>NC_000002.12:224989618-225614618 GCF_000001405.40 Homo sapiens | reverse complement strand
ATTAGGTTGACAAATACAGTTCAAAAATCCAATATGTGATGCTTTTGTTAGCTCTAGTTGTAATAAAATGCCTTTATAAAACTCATACTCTTTATTGAGTATTGAATAGATATTTTAAATCCTCTGGCTTTAGTAAATATGTGTCAAGTGTAAAAGTAGTTGAATCTCTAGAATGATCATTCATTTGAACAGCTTACATATATTTTATTTGTATTAATTTGAATGAGGCTAGTGCCAACCAAAATTTTCAAATAGTTTTTCATTCAAAATAGTAGCAAAACCCCCAAATCTGTAAGAAATAGTTTAAAAAATGATTATTTTAAAATGTTCATAAATAAAATATTAACTGTTCTTAACATTCATAATTTAGATATAAATCAGCTATACTTAGGAACAAATAAGAATGAATTAAAATATTTTCCCAGAAATACAAAAACTATAAAACATCCTGGCTTGGGGTTGAGATGATCTGTAGTTCATTCTCAGCTCAGTTCAATAAAATCTTTGGGAATCTGAGGAAACAACTCTTACTGAGCCTTGGTTTTCTCAGATACAATCGTGGATTTGAAACAAACTGTAAGAATTTTCCTATGTCTAAACTTGTATACTTCTATGACACCAAAGTTTCAGAAAAAAACAAAACAGTTCATGAGGCTTCAACAATATTAGTTCTGTTTTAAAATACACCTTCACTTTACATTTCGGAGAGTGTCTACGTTCTTTTTATTGTAGTCTTCAATTAAATTAAACTACATATAGTTTAATTTAATTCTCCTTTCTACTACCTTCCCCCAATCAAATCACAGTGGACTATATAATAAATGAAGACAGTGAGCTATTAAAAACATTAATGATTTGTTTTTAATGTTTTTCCCTGCCTATTATTAAAAAAAGTTAATGTCTTCTAGTTACTATTGGAAAGTCAGGAATGCAGTTCTTCTACATGATGTCTTATAACAGCAGCAGCATCAACACTGTTATTAGAGCTACCACGTATTAAGTGGCTACTATGGGTCAGATGCTGCACTAGACTCCTTACAAATGTTATTTCCAGTTTTTAATATGATGGTTAATTTTAGGTGTCAATTTGATTGGATGGAAGGATGTCTGGATAGCTCATAAAGTATTGTTTCTGGGTAAGTCTGTGAGGTGTTGCCAGAGGGGACTGACATTTGAGTCAGTGGACTGGGAGAGGAAGACCCACCCTCAATGTGGGTGGGCACCATCCAATCAGCTGCCAGCAGAGGTGGAATAAAGCAAGTGGAAATAGCTGGGATAAGCCGGCTTGATGAGTCTTCTGGCTTTCATCTTTCTCTGGTCTGGGTGCTTCCTGCCCTTGGATATCAGACTTCAGGTTCTTCGGCCTTTGGACTCTGAGACTTGCACCAGTGGATTTCTGGGGACTCTCAGGCCTTCAGCCATAGACTAAAGCCTGCACTGTAGGCTTCCCTACTTTTGAAGCTTTTGGACTTGGACTGAGACACGACTGGTTTCTTTGCTCCTCAGCTTGCAGCCAGCCTATCGTGAGACTTCGCCTCGTAATTGTGTGAGTCAATTCTCCTAAATAAATTCCCTTTCATATGTTCAAATATCCTACTAGTTCTGTCCCTCTGGAGAAACTTGACTAATACACTTACCTAGCCCTTCCAGGCTTCACTGTGAAGCAAAACTTAGGGTCCTGTTGACTGGGAAGACTCACTGTTATGGACTGAATATGTGAGCCACACCCCCTCCCCAATTTATATGTTGAAGCTCTAGACCCAGATGTGATGTCATCACACACATTGGGTGTGATGTCATCACACACATTGGGTGTGATGTCCAAAGGTGGGGCTTCTGGTAGATAATTAGGTTTAGATGAGATTGTAAGGGGGGGGCCTCCATGACGGGATTAGTGCCTTTATAAGAAAAGGAAGGGACAGCAGTGCTTTCTCTGTCTGCCATGTGAGGATACAGCAAGAAGGTGGCCATCTCCAATCCTAGAAGAGAGTCCTCACCAGTACTTGAATGTCTTGGCACCTTGACTTTGAACTTCCCAGCCTCCAGAACTGCAAGAAAGAAATGTCTGTTGTTTAAACCACCCACTCAATGGTATTTTGTTATGGTAGCCTGAGCAAACTAAAACACTCACCAAGGAAAACTCACCAAGGGTCTCAACGGTTGTGTAAGCTCCCCAATGCCAGTCAGAGGTGGGTGACAGGAGGAACCAGGACATGAATGCAAGTCTATCTAAACAAACAGCCTTTCCAGAGAGGGTTCACTTTGTTTTCTTTTTGTTTTGTTTTGTTTTGTTCGGGTTATTTTAAGGAGGATTACTTATGTTATTAAAAACAACAGAATTTTCTTTTCAGAAAATGTGAAGACTATATAAACAGGAAGAGTGGTATAATGAGATGTGGAAATGGAAATCTAGGTAGTACATCTTATACACAACTCATCTCCTGAGACACTTCAATAGACAGTCATAAAGAAGCCTGTAGTAGTTTTCAGCTGGGACACATACTAGATCAGTACTCCTGCACAGTAGTGGTTTATCCAAACCACAGTTACTAAGATATATTTATTGGTAACATTGAAACAAGACAGAAAACAAAGAATGTGACTTTTCTAAAACTGGCTTCAGCAGTTTACTCTGAAATTTTTTTGGATTGATTTTTTATAAAAGACAAGTGAGGAAAAGTGTGTGTGTGTGTGTGTGTGTGTGTGTGTGTGTGTGTATACACACACACACATATATATACATATATATATCTCTCTCTATATATATACTTATTATGTTCAACCAATGGTAAAATGTATATGCCTTTACTGTATCTGTCTAGACATTTTGAATGCCAGGCACTGTGATCTGGAAGAATAGAACAGTGAACTAAAACACCATGACCTCTGCCTGAATAGAACTCCTAATGTAAGGTAGGGAGAAAATAATTACATGAACTCATATGGAATTAGAGCTCTGATAAGAGCTACAAGAAGAGATGATAGATATAATGAAAAGATATAATAGATGATTTTTTTTAAGGAGGGAAGTCGAGAAATCTTGATTAGTGATTCAAAAATGGCAAAGGGGAGGGTGAGGGTGGATTAGATTAGTTTTGCGGGCAGAGGGAAATATTTGTGCAATGCCCATGGCAAGTTGGAAGAGGGGAAGATCTGCGCAGCTGGAGTGAAGAGAGAAAGGGATAAAAGGCACTAACTGAGGGTGAAGAGAC
This sequence comes from Homo sapiens, assembly GCF_000001405.40. Classification (NCBI taxonomy): domain Eukaryota; kingdom Metazoa; phylum Chordata; class Mammalia; order Primates; family Hominidae; genus Homo; species Homo sapiens. The sequence goes on along the minus strand of NC_000002.12, from coordinate 225,611,406 downwards.
AGAGCTGGTCAGATATACGGGGCCTCCTTCTGAAAAGAATTTCATTGCTCAGTTTGAGAGCAAAGAAAAGCAGCTGAATGTTTATGTAGGGATACATGGAAAACACACACACACATGATTAAGATTTGTAAAAGATCACTCTGGTTGCAGTACAGAGGAGGAATTGAGGCTCTAGTCTTATAAGTTTTCCTCTGAGAAGGGAAGTGTCTGGAAACTAGGGGTTTTGATGGTTGATTCCAGACTTTCCATAACAGAGTAATGTAGATCCCATAGTCTACATTTGATTTCTGTCTACCACACATTTTCAAAATTTGCTTCCTGCCCCATTCTCTTCCTTTCTGCATCCCAAACTCAACCAGCTTGCTGAAACCTTGAAGTCCATAAATTAAGCTTTTGATATAAGCTAAAGGCAAATTCTACGTGGCATAAATATTCTACAACTGTCAATGGAGTATAGATGTTCTTAACAAAATGGTTCTATTGTTAAATAACTTTTGAAAAGGCTTGGTTAAACAGTTAAACAGAAAGCCTTGCTATTAAGATTTCTTCAAGTCTTTAATGAATTATTAGGCATTGTGCATGTTTAGAAGGCTCATGTAATGTTGAGATTCCTTAATTTTATTCTTTAGGGTGACTTTCCCCCCATTTCAAGAACAATTCCAAAAGATATATTATTACACAGAATGCACTTTGAAAACTATGAATGTATGGCCTACTGATAGCCTGTTGCTGGCAGAGATGGGGCTGAAATTCAGAATATCTATCCCATTCTATACTATCCCATAGTTTTGGGAGAAAATTAAACCCTGGTGTATAACAGAAATTTTCAATTATTTACATGTATTTACTATTTCCTTCTATCTACTATTCTAAACTCTCTGGAATGTTATGAAGACAGAATTTTGACTCCCCTTAAAATTCACATGTTAAAGTCCTAATCCCACAATGTGACTCTATTTGGACATAGGCCCTTTAACAAGGTAATGAAGGGTGAATATGGGCACAAGGGTGGGGCTCGAAACCCATAGGACTGGTGTTCTTACCAGAAGAGAGAACCGAGGTATGCATACACAGGGAGTAAAGGTCACATGAGCACCCAACAAGAAGGTGGCCATCTGCAAGCCAAGGAGAGAAGCCTCAAGAAAGACCAAATCTGCCAACATCTTGATGTTGGGCTCCAGAACTGTGAGAAAATAAGTATCTGTTTACCCCACCCAGTCCACAGTTTGATGTAGTAGCCTAAGCAGACCAACATACCAACCGTACATGAAATCTTAATCTAATTCTACCACTTTCTAGATTTCATTTGGGGTAGGAAGAAATTTGAAGAAATGAATGGAGGACAATGAATGTCTTCTAAGAACTATGAGGCAACTACATAATCTTCATTTTACTGATGAAGAAACCAACGCACAATGAGGTTATATGACTTACCCAGTAACACCTGCTTGGTGAACAATAAAGCTGAGGTGTGATTCCCAATTTATCTGAATTTAAATACAGTATTGACTGCAGTTTACCACATGCTTTCTGGATTCCCATTTCTTCATTTTTAAAGTGTGGATATCATGCCACATTCAAGCACCTTTAAGGACCTTTTCCAAATCTCGAATATTATGATGCTATTAACACTTTAATATCATTGAGTTTTACATCTTTTATTTGGGGCAGATTTAAATAAAGAAAGTACCACCCTTAGCTCTGGGCAACCAGTGTCCCTGCCCTGAGCACCGCACTTTGGAGGTTCTCACTCTGATTCTCATCCTGTTACCTCTCAACATGGGACAAGGAGTCCATGAAGCCAAGAGCCTGTGCCCATCTAGAGCCTCTATCCTCTTTTACAGACTTCTCCATATGCAGCTTGGACCTAAGAACTCGCTGCATTTCTGGCCCCAAGCTGACTTCCAGGTCCTGGGCTGTCTTCTTTCCTTGAGTTTGTCCTACGAAAAGCTGATGCTGAATGTGCTATGTCCACATCTAGGCCTAAGAAATGGCAAGAGGAAAGCTGTTTGCAGGGATGGTGAACAAGAGAGGCAGGACAAAAAGTAAGGGTCTCTATTTATGCTCTTACAAAAGGCCTCATAATCAGGTAGGCTCATGTAAGAAGAGTATGAACGGCATCACTTGGGACTGGAGTTGACTATAGCTTACTGTCTTGGATCCATCCTATCCTCGGTTTGTTCATTCAGATTACAAGTATTATAATACCTATAATTTTCCAGAAGACTTAAAGATTTAAAATTATGTAGCAGCTGTTCTCTGATTTTAGTAGGTTTGCAATCTAGTAGGAGAGATGACATATCTTACAGGGACTGGGAGTCAATTAAAGAATTTTGAGCAAGAATATGACAAGAAGTAAAGGCAGCGATCTATAGGGCAGATTGGAACAGCCATAGTTTAGAAGGTGAGGTTTCAGGCCAGTGTGATTACAATGGCCCACTGACAGAAGGAATGAAAAGAGAAGACACAAAGAGAAGTTGGTGCAGGAACAAGGCTGGAATATAGAGGGAGAGAACAGTCCAGGGTGACATTTGGACTAGGGAATGGGGCCACATCTATGCTACCATCCTCCCTTCCCTAGTCACATTTATTCACATGTATGGTGTTGTGGCTCAGAACTAAGAATAAGGCAAAAGTGACCCAAATCACAGATCCTCCTTTCCAGAAAGTCACTGTGTGGTAGAGAAAGTCACTGTGTGGTAGAGACACGTAGAAAATAAGCAAGTTAAAGCCCACAAATGTCCAGCCTGACAAAATAGCACAGCAAATACTTTTTTTAAAAAATTGAAAGATGGAGAGAAATAATGGTTCAGGGACCGTAATAAGTTCAGCCTGTTTCTGAAAGGCAGGCTTTGTATTAGAAAGAATGAGACCTGAATTTACATAGAAAAGAAGTAACAAATTGAATGTTTTAAGTGGCAGGCTACAGAGTTTGTATTTATTTTCAAGGAGCAGGATATGATGATGCCATCAGTTTTAAAGGAAGATTCACCCAAGAGAGGTGTATGAGAGGCACCAGAAGGAAGATGTGAGAATAATTATCCCAGGTCACAGGCTCATTATCAGTGCTGCCTTATCTCTGGGCATGTGAAATCAACAGACATCCAGATGTCACCATCTCAACATCAGAATGCCATCAACTTCTAAAATACCCTTTTCAACGTATTGTACAGACCTAGTTTTAAAAATGCAGAAATATAAAACATTTAATAGTGTATATTTTTATAAACAACTAGTGTTTGCATCCAATGCCACAGAATTTGTGGCTATCTACCAGATGAAGATCATTTTATTGGGATTCCAAAATCTACCAACTGTTCAATGACAAGATAATCATTTTTTGTTAACCAACCTCATTGTCTGGTCTTAATCTGATGTCAAGATTTAGTGAGAGAAATACCAGACAAGGTTATATTGAGAATTCATTAAATAACTACTCTGAACCCCGAGTCAATTCTCTGCGTATTAAAAATGGAACATAATTATAGAAAGTGTCCTTATTGTTCAACAACCCTTTTTACTTCAAAATAGTGCATAAACATGCAAATGTCTCCCTATAATTTACCGCATTAAATATGTATGCCCACAGTTCTCTAAGGCCCCTGTAATGGCAATGGTGTGCTTTTAGTCCTTTTCCATTTAAGACCTGACAGTGTGGCAGTTCATTTTATTCCCTCTAAATTCAGTTCTTCATGGTTCTTTTGATAAACAACTGATAAAAATCTCCTAGAGGGAAAAATAGAATTCTACAGTCTTGACCAAACAGGATTTTAGGGTTATAAAATCTTTATAACCTGGGTCAGGTACAAATTTTGACTTAGGATGTTTTAAGATGTCTTTATCTTTTGACAAATTCCAAAATCATGTGCCAAAGTTATGGAAGACTTGCTGCTAGAGTCAGTCTTAAATAGGACACAACGCAGCAAATTAACATAAAGCTAACAACTTAAAAAAGAATGTTCTTGAAGAAAGGAGGCCACAGGACTCAAACATATGTCATGTTAGATTGGTTCTCCTTTCCACTGCCCCCATCATAGTAATGCTGAATAGACTGGCATAGTACAAAGATCTCTGGATTTAACTCCTGGAAAACCTGACCCTGGTAATGGTTTTGCCATCATCTGTGTGTCACTGGGTACATTTTCTTACTTTCTCTGCCTCTGTGTACCCATCGCTCAAATAAGAGATTTAGGCCATACCATCTCTGAAATGCCTTCTGGATCTTAAATTCTATGGGGAAAAAATAAATGAAAGGGCCGAGATGTAAAATTATATACACTGTTTTCTCAGTTTAAAGTGAAATAGGATTCATGTGAGCCTTAATACATGACAAGAAATGATGTTTGATGAGAAGTGTCCCCCTACTGAAGTCCAATATTCTTAAAACTACAAAACTGACCTGTTTCAAGGAGATTTTCTAACTAATTAATGATACCTTACAATAGAACAGAAGAAGGGTGGTTTTACATACAAAATATCCTTAGGTGCTGCCAGCAGTGTGAACAATCAGACAGCCGAAATACAGAAGAAATGATGCCAAGCTCTAGGAGAAGCAACAATGTTATATACAGAATAAAGAAACCATGCCTATAATTTGAGTGGCCCATTTATGAGATATTCAAGAGAATTTGGCTTTATAAGAGGAATTTGAATCTCTGATTACTAAAGCCATGGCAAGAAAGTAGACCAATTATCTATTGGATGCAAGGAATTCAAATTAACTTTTCCTTCTATAGGAAAAGAAAATGTGAAACTCTATCAATGTCTCTACCATTTCTGTTTTCATGTATTTTTTAAGTGGTGATGTCAGAATAACCCTTTGAACAATAGGATAGAAAGAGAATGACTGAAAAGTCAAAGCAGTACTCTGTGAATAGACATTTTATAGGTTGGGAAGATGTAATGTAGAACATTTTTATGTATCCTCAACACTGAGTTAATACTCATAGGAAATTACAATTAGGCATTTGTGGAACAAAATCGAAGTTCCTGTTGCATGGGCTATTACCACATTTTATTAGAAATGGCCTAGATGTTGTTGGAGAAAATAAAATTGGTACTAATAATGTAGCGCATAAATTTATACCAGCAATTTGGAAACCAAGTGCAGAAAGTTCACACCTCTGGACACTTTGATCTGGGGAGTCCCAGTCATAGCACCGCACAGCCACAACATTGTACAGAATCATCTTTGGGGTTATGAGCCCCTGGGTACCAGTTCATACTTAGCCCTAATTAACTCTGAGGCTTTGGGCAAATTACTTTCCTCTATTTGCTTAACTGTAAATGAGGAATTTAGACTCAATGATCTTCTACTAGGATTCTACTAAGTACCAGAATGAATTCTATATTAGATGTTCCTGTTCTTGACTGCATATTAGAAATGGGATCTTTCAAAAAATATTCATGCCTAGGCCACAATTAAAACCAGGATTAAGAGACACTGTTTTATATTACGGAAAGTTTTTAGCAACACTTAACATATTTTTGGTTATTAATTTTGTAGACTGGCTAGATCTTGTGATTCCACTGTTTTCCCTAATTTAAAATGAAAGCATTTTATTTGTCCTGTTTGCCCCAAGAGAAAGAAAAGAAAAGTAGAAGTAAATAAATAAATAGGAGCTAATCTATTTTATATTTATTAGAATTATTTGGGAGAAAACATGTTACAGGTAGTAAAGAAAAATGTTTCACTACTCCAAGTTTGAAGATGATTGCCATCATTTATTTATTTATTTATTTATTTACATTATGATTATTCCCCAACTTCATAAATAAGGAAAAACTTGGCTGCCAAATCTAAGAACAAGCACAACCACAACCAACCAGTGAGTAGGTGGATGAGACTTTGTTATTAAATTCTGATTTTTTACTTAGCTACTTCAGCTAGGCTGCTCTATAAATGAAAAGAAAACCAGCAGATTAAGAAAGATAATCAACTCTTACATCAACTGACAAACAATCATTAGGAGGTTAAAAAGTCACTGATCTAAGACAGCCAGAAGGCATTGTATTTAACACTTCACAGTATTATCTGTCTTCTATGACTATAAATTTTTTTAAAAAAGATAAGAGTTCCCACTTTTAATTTTTGGAGGAAAGACAAGCTTTTCCACTCTTAGGTGGGAGTGTGTGGGTAGCTGAATATATGCACAGGTGCAATCAACTTTAATTAAGACTCAAATCATTCTAACAGGCAGATGGAAAAATGCCTCAATCTTTAAAAGAATCAGAGGCATTCAGGCACTAAAAATATTAATGCATGGGGAGAAAAATATCGTTTCCATTCTTCCTAAAAGATATAATTCTGAAAATACATTCATGAATGTTTCTGAAGCAAACACCAAATGCTAAGAGGAATAATTCCTCCATTACAAAGGCTAATGAGAATATTTAATTTCTATCAAAGTAAATGCAGAACTTGGTATTGCTGGAATCACAGTTACTAATACATATTTGGAAGAGATAAATATGTCATAGCTATTAAAATTTCATGTAAAAAGTAAGGCAGAAAGAGTAAACATTTTAGGGATATTATAACTGATGGCCATAGCACTGAATGTATCAGTACTGTACATTTTGCTGATTTATTTACTGATTCTCTCAATAAATATGGTTATAGAGAGTAATAGTGTTTGGGAATCATTAGTGGCCAATATGAAATTTGTCGTAGTATTCCTGGGGAAAAAAATATACATATAAATATGGAGGAGAGATATTGTTTAGGGAAAGCCAATTAACCAGATTTGATTTTTTTCCTCCAAAATGACATTGTAAATGGAGTTAGTTAAGAAGATCAAGTAAAACCATATGCAAAACACATAGAAATATATTTAAATATTGATCTCTTAGCAATATTTACAGGGCACATATGAGAACTGGAGCTCTGTTTCAGATCGTGCTTCTTCATAATACTATGGTTTTGCCCAAGTAATTGAACCTCTTTGGACTTCAGTTTGTCTGTGATATCAGGGAGTTAAATATGATTATTTCTAAGGCCCAGCAAATAGTTATTGAGCCCCAGCTGTAACGCATGATTTAAGGATGTAGAATAGGGAATCACTAATCTTATTTTCCAGGCGTTCACATTAAAGCCAAAAAAGGAAACGTACAAAACTTCTTCTTTTGGGAATTTTATGTGGCAATACCATTTCCACCTCATTTTGTTTCCTATGTTTTCAGCTTTTTTTAGGTTAGGTGTCTGCCATCTGCTCCCTTGAATGAACTCTTGTCATCCTCTTTTCTTCACACTCTTTCACTTCTACACACATTCAAAATGCATGTATGAACTGTTTACTCACAAAATACCTTGGGAATCGTGGTGTTTACTTTTTATTTTTTGTGAATTAAATGAAAGAAAATAGAACTTGTCTTAGATGTTATTCCTTATTTCTGATGTTACTGATATATTTTATTGCTATTGTATCTTTTTTCATAAATTATCTGGTAACAGACTTCCTTGTGGCAAAATCAAAGTAAAAAAATGAAGGTCTCAGAGGGTTTCAATATCCATTGTTTTGGATTAAGCTCATCAGCTTAATCAGCGAAAGTGACAAATGAAAGAAAAAGAGAAGGAATAGGAGAAGAATGAAGAAGGAGCCTATTTTCAATACAATATTCTTCAGATAAGGTTATGATTAAGCCTCAAACAAACAAAACTATCTTCTGAGTGTCACCAGAACCAGTTCACTGGAATGGGTGCCAGGATGCTCAGGTCTTTGTGAGGTTCAGAACCCAAAAAAATCATTGAGACATGGGCCAGGAGAACCAGAATGGAGCAATGTGGAGGCAAAGAAGAAAGAAAACACAACACCCTTCCTAAAATGCTCAGTTCTGGAATCACTTAGAATCCTGAAGGAGGAGATTGCAGTGAGCCGAGATCGCATTACTGCACTCCAGCGGGGTGACAGAGTGAGACTCTGTCTCAAAATAAAAATAAAAGTAAAATGAAATGCTCAGTTCTGAATCTGTCTGTCTTCTTTACTACCTACAACTTTGTTAAAAATATACTTGACTGTCACATCTTCACTTAGAAAATACTCCATTATTAATGTATCTCTGATCCTAATTTGAATTCTTGATTTTATTTTCTGAAATTTCAAAATAAAGATGCTAGCACCTAGAATAATGCCTGGCACAGACTAGGTGTTCTATAAACATTTATTGAACGAATGAAAGACTGAATGGATGCATAAACATGATTAAATGTTTATATATTAATACCATGAAAAAGAATAAAATACTTAGGCATAAACGTAACCAAGGAAGTAAAAGACTTATACACTGAAAACTTTAAACATTGCTAAAAAAATTTCAGTAAATGGAAAGACGCCTCAGCCTAATATTTTTAAGATGTCAATTCTAAGCAAAGCAATGTATCTAGTCATTGTAATCCCCAAAAACAATCCCAATAACTTTTTTTTTTGCAGAAATAAAAACATCCATTCTAAAATTCATATGGAATCTCATAGGACCTCAAATAGCTAAAACAATCTTGAAAAAGAAGAACAAAATTGGAGGTCTCACATGGCCCGATTTCAAAACTTGCTATAAAACAGTAACCAAAACAGTGTAGCACTGGCATAAGACAGACAAATAGACCAATGGAATAAAATAGCCCAGTAATAAACTTCTATATATATGGTCAAATGATTCTCACCAACTGCCAAGATCATTCACTGGGATGATCTTTTCAACAAAGTAGGTTTGGAAAACTGAATATCCATATGTAAAAGAATAGAGTAGAACTCTTACCTTACACTACCTATAAAAATTAACCCAAAATGTGTCAAAGACCTAAATGTAAAACCTAAAACTATAAAACTCCTAGAAAAAAATGCAGGGGAAAATATTCATGACATTATGAGAGAGGAGAAAGAAAGAAACTGGTCAAGCAGGCAGTTAGGATGGCTTCTTGGTAAAACTCTTTCAAACAAAGAACAGCCTCAAAGTCAAACTGCAGGCCCCAGATAAGAAAAAGCCTGCCTCCATGAATGGAAACACTCAGTCTGTGAACCCAGATAAACAAATCCCACCCTTTTTTGGACATATTTCTCTCCCCTTCACGTCTTTGTCTCTCACTTTTCACCTATTTTACATATGCCTACCTCTCCGTAATTGACCGTGAGCTAAGTCTTCATTTACATAGGGTAAATCATCACTTCAGCCCCTGATTGGTCCCAGGCGAAGCCTTCACATTTACCTCCAATTGGTCCTCCAAGATGGCCCATAGACCAGTCAGCACATTCCTCCCCTTCCAGTCCATAAAAACCCCAGACTGAGTCCCATAGCTGGCAACCCTCTTTTGGGCCCCCTCTTCACTGCAGAGAGCTTTCCTCTTTTGCATAATAAACTTTCGCTCCAAATTCAACTTTGGTGCCCATGCTCCTTAATTTTCTTGGTCATGAGACAAAAAAATCATGGCAATAACTCAGACAACAAGACTGCATTTGGATTTGACAATAACTTCTTGAATATAACAACACAAGCACAGGCAACAACAGTCAAAGTAGAGAAATTTAAAATTTTTGCGCATCAAAGGACACTATCAGCAGAGTGAAAAGGCAACCTATGGGATGGGAGAAAATATTTCCAAATCATATTATATCTGATAAGGGATTAATATACAGATTATATAAAGAACTTCTACAACTAAACAACAAAAAGAAATCAAGTAACCCAATGAATAAATAGGCAAAGGACTTGGATAGATATTTATCTGAAGGAGGCATATAAATGGCCAATAAGCATGTGAAAAGATGCTCAACACTGGGAAATGAAAATCAAAACCAAAAGAAATATCACTTCATACACATTAGGATTGGTATTTACAAAATAAAACAAAACAAAAGAACAAATGTTGGCAAGGATGTAGAAAAATTAGAACTTTTGTGCATTGCTGGTGGGAATAAAAAAATAAACAGCTGCTATGGAAAACAGTACGTAGGTTTCTCAAAAACTTAAACAGAGGCTGGGTTTGGTGGTCCACGCCCGTAATCCCAGCATTTTGGGAGGCCGGGAGGATGGATCACGAGGTCAAGAGATCGAGACCCAAGGTCAAGAGATCGAGACCATTCTGGCCAGCATGGTGAAACCCCGTCTCTACTAAAAATACAAAAATTAGCTGGTCGTGGTGGCACATGCCTGTAGTCCCAGCTACTCAGGAGACTGAGGCAGGATAATCACTTGAACCCAGGAGGTAGAGGTTGCAGTGAGCCAAGATCGCGTCACTGCTCTCCAGCCTGGGGACAGCAAGACTCCATCTCAAAAAAAAAAAAAAAAAACTTAAACACAGAATTACTACCCACATGATTCAGCAGTTCTACTTCTGGGTATTTCTAAAGAATAGAAAGTGAGATCTCAAACAGATTATCATACACCACTCATGTCCATCACATATTTTGTATTACTCAAAATAGCCAAGAGGTGGAAACAACCCAAATATCCTTCAATGGATGTATGAATAAATGCAATGTGGTATATCCCTAAAACAGAATATTATTCCGCCTTAAAAAAGTAATGAAATCCTGCAATATGCACGGGTGAAAATTGAGGACATGCTAAGTGAAATAAGCCAGTAACTGAAAGATAAATATTGTCTAATTCCACTTACATCAGCTACCTAGAATAGTTGAAGTATTCAAGACAAAGTAGAATAGTGGGAAGAGGGGATTGGGAATTATTATTTAATGAGATGGAGTTTTAGTTGGGAAGAATGAAAGCTCTTGAGTGGTGATGATTGTGAAACTGATGGTTGTGAAACTGTTACTGCAAAGCTGTAACTGAGACAGTGAAGGAGATCTGACCTAACCAACTACATCTTGCTTCTCACCTTCAAGCTGTCCTTATTCATTCCTGAGTGTAAGATGAACTAACTTTGGCAGGAACTTAGTTTATAGTTGAAAACAAAGATGATAACAGCCCTTTTCCAAAACAAACCCCCTTTTTGCCTGGGGATTAGACTGCCTTTGTAGGACTAACAAATTAGCCAAAAGATTAGAAATTATGCAGCTGGAGGCTACAAGATTCTGACCCTTCCCAAATTGCTCTTGGGGATAACATCACTATTGTAAAGCCTAGATCATTTCTTGAGATATTTTGCAGATCCTGAACTTGATGGATCAGCTGGCACCACCCAGATCAATAAACTGGCTCATTTGATCTTGTGGCCTCCACTCAGGAACTTACTCAGCACAAGACAATTTCAACTCCCTATGATTTCATCTTCGACCTAACCAATCAGCACTGTTGACTTACTGGCTGCCCACCACCCACCAAGTTATCCTGAAAAACCCCTATCCCTGAATGCTTGGAGAGACTGATCTGAGTAATAATAAAACTCTGTTCTCCTACACAGCTGGCTCTGCATTAATTATTCTTTCTCTGTTGCAATTCCCCTGTCTTGATAAATAGGCTCTGTCTAGGCAGTGGGCACTGTGAACCAGTTGTGTGGTTACATTTGCACAACAGTATGACTGCATTTACTGCCACTGAACTCTACACTTAAAAATAGTTGAAATTGTAAATGTCATATATATTTTATAATAAAAATGTTTATGTAGTTATTGATTTGAGTTGCAGGGTTGGTGTAAATGACTATGAAGCAGTAACACAGATCTTAAACATTGATGCTTTTTAAAAGTACAGATCTTCTCAACTTCAACACTAATTGCAAAATAGTATCCTGGACTTTGAATTCTTCCATCAGTTTTACTGATACCTTCTTCCATCAGTTTTACTGGCTTAGCCCCACTTTAGCTTAGTGTGCTGGAATTTGACAGGGAAAAAGTCTCCAAGGTCAAGGGTCAGGGTTTCACATTGGCACAAGCCATGAAGGTCTGTGGCTGCACTTTAGAGGGAACTTGCTGCTCTTAGTAGGACCCTGGCCTGATGGAGGCCCAGTGTGCTCTACCATGCCCTGATGACTACTGCCCTTCTGTCAGGCTGGTTTTAATTCTTCTTCCTAATTCATGACCTTCTGTTTGGGTTCTTAACACACCAGTCTTCAAAAGATTTGCCATACAACATATGTTCTTACTTTCATAGGCCTCAGCACATAGGTATCTGAAGATCATATTCTGGTGAATATAATTTTTTTCATGGAATATATTTGAATGCAAGTGAGTGCTTTTTAGGTCTTTCTTTCGCTTCCTCAGTCCCAGACCTAGTGGTTCCTGTTAACTGGAAACCATTACATGTGCAGCTGACACAGCATCTCACAATTCCCCTGGGCATATAACTCGGGAACTCGGGTATGCCTTCACTTATCTTGCTCAATAGCTTCCACAGTCTTCTCTATTCTTAGAAGAATGAGAGAGAGAGGAAGAGAAAGAGACTGAGAGAGAGAGAGAAGGAGGTGTGGGGGAAGGAAGCTGAAGCCCAGGGAAACACACATTTTACACCAACACAGATTATGAGCTTCCTGGCTTCCTTAAATGTCAGCTACTCATGAGTCTCTTGAAGCCCTCCATTGATTTCACGTGGAAGTAGGTCAGGGCTGTTTTTAACTGGAGAAGCCTCATGCTGCAGGTTTCATTTAAGTGTGAGGAGTGAATATTAAAAATTGATATGCAAAACAAACCTCTGCTTAATTAGCATCTGGATAAAGTCTTTTACTAGGAAAGCCATTAATTTTGAAAAATGAGAAAATTGACAATGAAGCCATTTGTGTCTATAGCCTTTCACATATAAAAAACATTATGGATAGTCACTTATCATGCATTGCCTTCTCTATGCTAGCTTATCTGTATTTAGGAGGTTAGCATTCCTTCTGTGCATTTGTGGTTACACACATGTTTTAAAATAACATTTGAGTGTTTTTTTTCTGACATTCCATTTTTCAAATGCTAATCTTAATTTTTTTCATCTCAAATAATCACTTTAAAAGAAAATGAGCTGCTTCTACTTGAATGTACTTAGAAACAACACTTCACAAATCATATTTTTTAACAGTCTTCCATCCACATACTAATTATTTTTGATATTAAGTACTTCAACTATTCTTGGTTTCCACTTAATGATTTGGTTAATACCTATAGCTTTTTGGAAGCAAAATTTTTATTTTAAAAGATAAATTGTTTGTAACCAGGACATTTTTAAAAATTACATTTGAAAAATATATCAACAACCCAGTGATATTGAAGCTTTTTCTTCTGCTGGTAAATCATCTTTCACAATCATGGTGTCATGCTGCTCAGTCAGCCCTTTGTACAATAAAGATGGCCTCTTTGTTCTCAGAGTTATTCTTTATGGCGCAAGGGTACTGGACTGCATCGTATGTGAAGGCCCTCCAGCGTCAAGGCTTAGATAGCATTCAGCAGCCTTAAAACATCCTGCCTCCTGTGGGAACAGAGAATGGCTTGCATTCTCTCCAATTCTTTATGCTCCTAACCTCAGGTCGTAGAATGATTCACTTAAGATGTCAGATCCTTTACCCAAACTTAACTGAAGAGCAAGTTATGCAAACAACAACATGGAACCTCTGAAAATTTATTTCATTTGAACCTTACTTTATCTTTTACTAAAATATTTATTTTTTTACATGTATCTAAAGGTTAAACAATCACCCTTTATAGTTGCATAGCAATGAACATTTACAAGGTATTGTCCTGTGCATGATTTCCTTTAAATTGTCACAACAATCCTATGAGGTAAATATTTAAAAATTAAGACTCCCAAAGTTTGGCTTTTCCTAAAAGAACGGCTGTTATTTGATCCAGCATTCCCACTACTGGGTACCTACCCAGAGGAAAAGAAGTCATTATACAAAAAAGATACTTGTGCACACATGTTTATAGCAGCACAATTCACAATTACAAAAATATGGAACCGGCCCAAATGTCTATCAATCAACAAGTGGATAAGGAAATTGTGATACATATATATATATATATATTTCTCCTTGGAATACTATTTAGCCATAAAAAGGAATGAAATAATGGCATTCACAGTGACTTAGATGGAATCAGAGACCATTATCATAAGTGAAATAACTCAGGATTGGAAAAACAAACATTGTATGTTCTCACTTATAAGTGGGAGCTAAGCTATGAGGATGCAAAGGCATAAGAATGATACAATGGACTTTGGGGACTCAGGAGAAAGGGTGGGAGGGGGGTGAGTGATAAAAAGACTACAAATTGGGTACAATGTATACTGCTTAGGTGATAGGCACACCAAAATCTCAAATATCACCACTAAAGGACTTATTCACATAACCAACACCACCTGTTTCCCCAAAACCTATGGAAATAATTCTTCTTACAAAGAACAGCTGTTAGACGGCAGATCTATTTTTTTAACCCCAGGACATTAGACTCCTGTGTTTTGTTTTGTTTTTCACAGATACAAATACCATAACCTTCCACTCTATCTTCCACTATAAGGAGGTTGTTTTTTAAGCTGGTTAAACAGACGACTTTTTAAAACAAAGATATGAAAATGAAGGTACACTTTTATTCTTACTTTATTTTTCATCTTCTGAAAATTAACCTGCAAATGGACTGTATTCAATACCATGCAATCTAGCTAATAATTTTGCTGTCGACAACATGATATTCATTTATCTTGCTGCTTGTTACTTGCTTTCCCCAATCAGTAATGGGACTGACTTCTCTTTTCAGTATTATGTATAAGAATAATCTAAACCTGGATTCTCCATTGATATTCCTTGAAACATTTGGTTCCTAAATATCTTAACTACTGTTGATCTTGGCATTCTCTACAAAGCTCAGATTAAAATCAATATTGGTTAATCATGGCAATTCTATTGGATGGTGCTATTTTTTAAAAAAAATTAGCTTTAGAAAAATCAATAAATCTACAAATATAAACTGATTATGCAAAATTCAGTCACAGGGACCATGGAAATTTACAAAAAATATAAACTGTCCCTGCCCTCAAAAACTTACCATTTAATTGGGGAGGTCGGATGCATATTTGTTCACTCAAATAGTTGAACACATGCTGAGCATACACTTTATGCCAGAAAATGTGCTATTTGCTGCAATAAAAAAGACTCAGTATGTGTCCTAATAATTTAGTGGGGGAGGCAAATATTTAAACACACATTTACAACACTGTCAGTCATATGTCAGAAGAACTTTTTCATAAAAATGAAGGAGCAGAGTTCCCTTAAAAAGGAAGCAGAAGGGACACAGTTTTAAAATGATTACTAATGAGGATATCCTATTGCATGGAAATAAACAGAAAAATCTTAACATGTTAGGCAAGAGTGTGGCCCCAGCTACTTGGGAGGCTGATGCAGGAGGATTGCTTGAGGCCAGAAGTTGGAGGCTGTAGTGCACTATGAACATGCCTGTGAATCACCACTGCACTCTAGCCTGGGCAACATAGCCAGAGCCCATCTCTCAAAAAAATATATGGAATTATTTACATAGAATAATCAACAATATCAGATGTTTCATGAAGGTTTAAAAGAATCAGGAGAGGAAAAATGCTAGAACCAGAGCCCAATTAGGAAGCCTCATGTAACTCTGGGGTGAGTAGAAGAGGAAGCCAGTTTGTGGGAAATTAAGGCTGGAATGAGGGAGAAGAAATGGAGGCAGCAAGTACAGCACATTCACTTAAGTGGATTGGCCATGGAAGCTAAATGGAGAACTATGGCTGGACATAGAATCAAGCTTCTGTTTTATGAAACATCAGTGGGCAATTTGATTATGGTTTATATTAAAGAGCCATACACACAGCTTGGTTCAGATGCCAAAATGAATTCTGCAGGCTACAAGTGAGATTATCAATTAGCCAAAGAAAAACAACTGTGAGGTAATCTGCTTTAATTTCTTAGGTTTAAAACTTCTCTTTGACCATTTCAACATTGACAAAAAGCTTTCATTTGTTTGACACATATCTCTTGTCATTAATTATTGGTAAGTGGTTAATAACTAATGGTCAAAAGAATGAAAGTTGTTTGTAGATATAGACACAATTTGGATGTCCAGAATGTGTAACTTAAATAGAGCAGTACTTTATTTCAGCTCTGATCATTCTGTTGCAGGCTACTAACAACTAAATCCTTTTTCATCCTTCTAGTTTTTGGGGATCTAGATTTCTTAGTTGTGACATGGGAACAAAAAGATGCATTAGAATTATCCACCCATAGCACTATGGTTGGATCTAACGTTGGACAACACATGAATACCCCAATCTCTATTTTATGACTGCTTCTAGCTATTGTTTTTTCATCCTTATTCTTTCTTATCTTTATTATATCAGTTCCATCTACGAAAAGAAAAGCAAAACATAGGAAAATTCTATTTTATTGAATATAACTGAAAGTTGAGTAGTAGAATATGTATAGAAAAGTTTTTCCTCCATTATCAATTATCAGAAGAATATTACGGACTTCTGCATTGGAATTTTTTCCTTTCAGTTCAGCTGTTCTGGGTTCTTTTCTAGCCAGCTACAGCTTTACACGCTGCTTTACAATCCATGTAACTAATACTCCTTACTTCCCTCTTAGATTCCTTAATATTTTTACTTCTTCCATTTGGAAATAGCAATAGCCCAGATTTTTCAGTTGATTGGTTATTCTGCTAGGAGTGGAACTTTTAATTAACCTAGCTCCCACCAGCAACAACAATAATGAGTTTGCTTCTACCAAGAAATACCATGCACCACTACAGACATTTAATTAAATTTGGGATTGTCATCCATTTACTGAATTCCAAAAAAAATTATTTTATCAAAAACTGAGAAAAGCTTTTCAAATATTTTATAACTAAAATCCATTTTTTCACCAGGGAACACACATATTCAAGACCGCGAGTCACATAATGATAGCTTTGTGGATTTATGCAATGTCTTTCCAACAAAGATGTTAAATGACCTATTTGAATGTTTTTATTTTATTTTATTATTTTTTTTTAGACAGAGTCTCACTGTGTCACCCAGGCTGGAGTGCAGTGGCACGATCTCGGCTCACTGTGACCTCTGCCCCCGGGTTTAAGTGATTCTCCTGCCTCAGCCTCCTGAGTACCTAGGATTGCAGGCACCCACCACCACACCCAACTAATTTTTGTATTTTTAGTAGAGACAGGGTTTCACCACGTTGGCCAGGCTGGTCTCAAACTCCTGACCTCAAGTGATATGCCCTCCTCAGCCTTCCAAAGTGCTGGGATTACAGGCATCAGCCACCGCACCCGGCCATTGAATGTGTTTTTATTGTCTTTACAATTTTTGATCAATAATGCATAAGTTAAGCAGATTGAAATTGCTTCTTTAAAATGTTATTTTCTTTTTTTGAAAAAGGTATCTTTCTTTCTACAAACATAGAAAAGAGATCAATTTTCACAGCTCATTCATTTGTACCGAAACCGATGATGATTTGACCTTACAAAATGGTCCAAATTTAAATGCTTGATGGGCATATTCTTTATATCTTTCCCTCCAATAAATCTGCCTGGAATGGAATGGCCATTCTTTCAAACATGCCACTTAAGAGTAGAAGCAATGATTCAGCATTCAGCATAGCTGCTTTTTTGCTGAATGACTATATTGATTTTAATGTGGAATATTCTAAGTCAAACATAGAAGCTGATTTTTGTTTTTTCACTTAATGGTCAAACATTTCTTATATGGCTTTTTTCCCTAAAGTTCAATAGCCTTCTTAAGTGTGCCTATTAATTCAACAAGTTCAATAAATACTTATCATGTACCAACTTGGGGAAAGATTGTATTGGATCAAGTATTACAAAAAGTAAAATGATGAAAAGGTTTGTAGCTTGTTTTCCCTGGTCCTTTGTTTCAATAGAGAGAATCAGATAGAAATAATCTTCACAATGCATTGGAATAAGTCTTACATCATTCAAAAATTTGAAAAAAAGTAGTCAAAGACAATAGCATAAGAAAAACACCATGGAGAAATTGGTAGACTGAGTTGGGAGTCAAGGATTAGGCTGACATTTTTTTCATTAAGTTTCTGGCGAAGTCCTTTCAGCAAGGGAGAACAACATCAGAAGGAAAGTCTCAGAAGGAGGAAGGGGGTCCTCCCTTTGGAGATTTACAGATCAGCCAGTAATCTGCAGAAGCCCCACACAAGAAGCCAAGCCAGAAGGGACTCAGTTTTAGCATCTAATATTTTCATTTGAAAAGTGAGAAAACTAAGACACTAAGAGGCAAACTGACTTATCTAAGGTCTCAAAGCTTGTTAATGGAAACCACCTCTTGTGACATCCAGCCTTGTGCTAGACTTCAAGATCATATTTAATTAGAATGTGGGACACACTGAGGGTAACATGATGTAGCCAGTAGGAACTCACTTATACTGAATATTTAATTACTTATTGTTCTCAAAGTGTCAAGAGTACATGATAGTCTCTAAAAAAACAGAAATTAAATGTTTATTTCAAGTAACAGAACAGGAGGGAAAAATCAGTTCTAGTATTTTTCATGTATATAAAATTAAATACTACTGAGGGAATCTTGGTTTAAATAAATAGACTGGTATAACTTAATTTCTGAATTGAAAATGTTTCTGCATTTTATACATCTAAAGCAGGTAGGGTTCTTCTTAATGGAGAGAATTGCTGATTAAATTGGTGACAAGAAATTGCACTTAAAGATTCAGCAGACAGAGAATATAAACACGGGGGATAAACACATCTGCCTGCATCAATCAAGGACAGCTGCGGTCTACCCCCAGAAAGGTGAGCAATTATTTATGAAATTATGTCTTCTTCAGTGATTCTATATTGCAATTCTAGGATAAACTAAATGAGAAAAACAGACAATGTCATGGTCCCAATTAACCAAGGAGTCACACGAATTTTCAAAATCAAGGAATTTTACTTATACTCTATTTAACCTCATCCTGAAAAAAAATCCCTTCACTTTAAAAACATAACAATAGGCCAGCTTGTTCTTGAAGAATTGTATTTTTAAAAAACTTTAAGGATGAGTGTCTGATTCTGTCAAGTACATAGTACCACAAATGTAAAGAGTAAAGAGGTGGTGCTAAGAAGCATAGGGCCCCTTGCGCTGCTTTGTCTGTTTTACCCCAGTCAGTTTTCAGATTAGTGCTGCTAGGGTGCTCATTGCTTTGGTGCATTGGCTGGGGTTTTTGATTAATCAACTATTTTTCCCCTTGGAGTAGCCATGGGCCAAACTACTGCATAGTTATTATGGCCAAGATGCAAGCACTGAAAACAAAAGCCCTGTATCCCAGGATGGTAGCTCAGTACTGCGTATCTGACAGGCCAAAGAAACCTGCACATACACCCTTAAGTTATGCTTAGAGGCATTGAGGTGAGTACCCATATCTTTTTAGCAAAGAAACCTGAACATACATCCTTAAGTTATGCTTAGAGGCACTAAGGTGAGCACTCACATCTTTTTGCTTAGGTCATTTAGGCGATTCTGAGGCCCACTGGGCAGCAGACCACATGCCTTCAGGGGCAGCTCAGAAACCTGGGGTACAGAGTTCCTTACAGTGACTGGGATATTCCAAAGTGAGTTTTGAAGGGTGCCCAAAAGATTTCCCACCCCCTTCCTAAATTGATGCCAATCATTAAGTAGTTCATGCCATTTGTCTACAAATTAGGCTTTCTTTCATTAAGCAGATATCCCTGAGAATAACGTCATGAGCCCTTAGACTTTTGATGAAAATTGGTGAATTTTGGAGAGATTGATCAAGTATAGATAAGGTATCATTAAATCGAAGAAACTCTAGAGCCAAATAATCGGGGTTCGAATCCCAGATTTACTCCCCATGTGACTGCGTGAGTTGTGCCTCAGTTTCTTCCATCTTTAAAACGGCAAGGTCAATATCACATGCCTCAGAGTACTGCTACAAGGACTGAATACTTGTAAATTTTTAGAAAGTTCTGGTACAGAGTAAATGGCATGAAGGTTAAGTATATGCCACTATTATTATGGAAGTGTTCTCGAGGAAGGGGCTGGGCACTGCTGCCTTCTTCCACATCCTTACCACTAGTTTCTTTGATGTTCCCACTCTAGGCTTAGTTGGTCTTGCTATTGTTCCTGAGACAAACCTGTTTGAGCCCAAGGCACTTTGTAAGAATCTTACTACCTTATTCCTCATTAGCATTATGAGCCCCAATTCCTCAGCTCCTTGGCCCAGTCATCAACGCTAGAGCCCCAGATTGCCAGTAATGCTCTCATTCCATCCTCCCAGTGCCCCATAAGAAAGACTTCCATTCTCTCCTATTGCCTGTGAGTTACACTGTTCTCTCTGCTCTCCCACACTGACTAGAGAGTGTCCTCTGAGATAGCACACCTTTGTTCTGAGTCACAGCTCCATCTGGAGGGCCCGCCATGCTCTGGCTAGTCCTCCCCCTCCAAAAGCCTGGACTCATCTGGATGGACTTCTGAGGTGAGGACTGCTGCCAGCCAGTCTTAGGTTTCTTCCTCGCCTTCTGGACCAGCAGCACCAGCTCCTGTCTGAAGCAGCTTTTATCAGTGGTTCTCAAACTCAGATATTGAGGAATTCTGATGAAGGAAGTGGCACACACTCGGCACAGCTAAGATGGAGATGCTAAGACAAGGATAGATGCGATTCACAGATCGCCCACCATGTATTCCATTCTTAAACTCTCAAGGCCTCTGGGAGAATCCACAGGTAGTGAAATTGTTATCTCTTTTGAATCTACGTTACCCTGATCTGTCCTCGTTGCAAGCTGCCACTAATCAGTAACTTAGTCAAGGAAAGGAAAACAACAGTCACTCATTTTGAGTTGTCTGTTTTACTTTCTCCTGTCTCTCTTCCTTTGCTTACATAAATTATCTTTTAACCTTGTTAGATGAAAGCAATAGTTTCTTGAATACAAGTCAATGGTGATGCTCACATTTAACCATATGTCCCCAAGTTATTGTTTGACTGAAGGCATAAATATCACCAGGGATTATCATTAAACAGTCAACATCCCAGGCCTAACCCCTAAAGTTTCTCATTAAATAGGTCTATAATAAAGCCCAGCAATCTGTATTTTTAACAACATCCAGGTGAATATGATGCAGGCATTTGGACCACTCACCTAAGCTTTCTACCTCTTGCCTACCATGCTTTGAACTACACGAGAAACTTCTCTGGAGGCTGAGCGCATCCCCAAGGTCACATCCTGGGAGAATCATCATTATACAGGTCCTGGCTTGATTTCCCTCCTGAGCTGCTGGAAGGACCCTTGCTAAGGCAGAAGCCAGTCTGAGGCCACAGGAGGTCACTGTGTGGGACTCTCGGCAGAGGAGCAACCAACAAACAGCAGGACAGGAGACCCGAAAAGGGGTTAACCTTTATTTGAGATGTTTAAGAAAATTAACAGGTCTGGATCCTGCCAGAACTTTTGGAATCTTCCTCATGGTATCCTCTGAGGTGGCTTCAGGTATCTGGGTATAGCTCAACTCCTAAATACCTTTGTATTCCAGAGTACAAGAGGTTCCGAATCCAGCCCCTAACTCCGGTCAGGTTGCTCCAAGTTACCGTACATCCAGGAGTCCTGCCCAAAGTCAACATGCCTGCATGTGGGCAGTCACAGGCTGAGGATTCTCTCATTCTCTATTGCAAAGGAGAGATCCAAGACTATAGACTCCCTCCTCCAACCTTCCCTTTGGTTTTTCAATACCTGTTTTGTCCTACTCTTTGTCAGCACCTGCTTAAACAGAGGGAATATAAAGTCCTTAACTATTTCACCTGCAAAGTTTTAATGAAAACGAAATGTAATTTATTTTCCTATTTTTTAAGACAGGGTCTTGCTCTGTTACCCAGTCTGGAGAGCAATGGTGTGATTATAGTTCGCTGCAAACTCAAACTCCCAGACTCAACTGATCCTCCTGCTTTAGCCTCCCAAGGACCTAGGACCGCAGGCATGTGACACCACACCCAGCTATTAAATATATATATATATATATATATATATTTTACTTTTAGTAGAGATATAGTCTTAGTATGTTGCCCAGGCTGTTCATGATATCCTGACCTCAAGCAATCCTCCCACCTTGGCCTCCCAAAGTGTTGGGATTACAGGAGTGAGCCACCACATCCAACCTCAAAATGTATATTAAATAGGCCAAACAAAATGTGTGGATTCTCCTAAAAAAAAAAAAACTAACATTTATTCCATGTTTTCCAGGATTTCTTATTTTTTTGGGAAGTTGATGTTCCTAACCTCTCAGATACAAATCCAGAACTCTAGGCAAGACCTAGTTGGTGGATAAAGTGGCCTTTGGAAGTACAAGTCACACAGTCTCTATGTTGCAGGTCACATACTTTAATTAGTTGAGAGGCTGCTTCTCAGACAAGTTTGGGTATCTGGTTTCTTGGTCCACAACTGATTTTTGATTTGATATTACAATTAGGAAAAGAGTGAAAAGAGAAGAGGAGAGGCAGAGATGGTGGGAGAAGCTAGATGCATCAATAAAACTATCTGAAAGAAAGGGAGAAGGTAGGAAAACCACAGGAAACAGAAATAAGAATTTAAGTGAATTTAAATGATATAATAGTAGATGGCACTTCAGGTCTACAATCTCAAATAGACCCTGAAGACATCTCAGCAGAATAATAAGCTATCAATACTGTGTCACTGCTATTACGGATGACCAGAAACAATGATACCACCTTTGTGTGAGGCCTCCCCTGTTCGGGTCAACTTGCTCAACATTTTGCATTAGCCTGTGGCAGGCATACAGTGACTATCACAACAATGACCCTGAGTTACCAAGACAGCCAGCGTACATTAGTAGACCCTTCTTTTTTTCTTACAAATGGAACAGCATATAAAAGTAGAAATATATTTAAAAATACTTTTTCCAAAATAATTCTGTTAATTTACACAGTTTAAAAATAAACTTCAGAATTTTTTATTTACAAATTCTTTAAAAATTAAATTAGTAAGAGTTAGTTGGAGCAGCTCCTTCATAGTCAACGCTTGATGTTTTAGGTATCACTGGACCTCACACAGCACAAAAAAGGAGAGAGGTATGTGGGCCTGTATGTCCATGTGAGGCAGGGGTTAGGTGTTTTTCAGTTTTTGTGGGTTTGTTTTGTGTGTTTGGAGCTGTGGTTTCTATGTGGATTTTTTTTTTTCTAAGAAGGTCAATGAAAAGGCAAAGATGATATCTGATTTCTAATTCTATTTCATCAGATCTACAAGACTCATTTATATCTATAATTTTAAAAATATACTATGACATCTAAAAGAATTAAATACTGGCTGGGTGCAGTGGCTCACACCTATAATCCCAGCACTTTGGGAAGCCGAGGCAGGCAGATAACCTGAGGTCAGGAGTTCGAGATCAGCCTGGCCAACATGGTGAAACGCCATCTCTACTAAAAATATGAAATATTAGCCAGGTGTGGTGGTGCATGCCTTAAATCCCAGCTACTCGGGAGACTGAGGCAGGAGAATTTCTTGAACCTGGGAGGCAGAGGTTGCAGTGAGCTGAGATTGCACCACTGCACTCCAGCATGGGCTGCAGAGCAAGAATCCGCCTAAAAAAAAAAGTATTTACTACTTTTTAAAGGCTAAAAGATGAGGTTTAATAGGAAAAACTTACGAATCTCCAATAATGTAGAATACGGTTGAGTATGATATAGCTTTTTTTTTTTGTAATGCCAAGACATCATTTCTCTTTTAATAATAATGACAGGAGTTGAGTGGGTCTGCACCTTCATTTTCATCCCTGCTTCTGGAGCTCCACCATGCCCCATGCCTTCTGCCCTGTTCTACCTGTCTCTTTCTGAAAGGAGCAACCTGATGAGAGTTAGGGGCTAGATTTGGAAGCTCTTGCACTGTGGAATTCTTCAAAGGTATTTAGGAGTTGAGCTACACCCAAAGACCTGAAGACACCTCAGAGGATACCATGAGGAAGATTCCAAAAGTTCTGGCAGGATCAAGTCCTGTTAGCATTCTTAAACATCTCCAGTAAAGACTAATCCCTTTCTGTGCGCCTCTCTTCTTGGTGCCCAAATCTGTTCACATGCCCTTCTGCCCCGGGCGTGCATGTCTTTTGTATCTTAGTGCCTTAGTTTATTCCTTAGTCTCTTCCTTTGCTGCTTCATCTTCTACTTTTTCTTTACATTTTTAATTTACATTTCTCCATTTATAACATCTCTATCTCACTCTTTCCCTCAGATTGTAAATTTTAATTATGTTCTTCAGTAGATCTTGTACTTTTTCATAGAAATGTACATTTGCTCATCTATGTTGAATACAGGCTGATATGGTTTGGCTCTGTGTCCCCCACCAAATCTCATCTCAAATTGTTATCCCCATAATCCACACGTGTTAAGGGAGGGGCCAGGTGGGAGGTGATTGAATCATGGGGGTGGTTTTCCCCATGCTGTTCTTGTGATAGTGAGTTCTCACAAGATCTAATTGTTTTATAAGACAATCTTCCCTGCTCTTGCGAGCTCTCTCTTTCCTGCCACCATGTGAAAAAGGTCTTTGCTTCCCCTCCGCCTTCCATCATGATTGTAAGTTTTCTGAGGCCTCCCCAGCCATGTGGAACTGTGAGTCAATTAAACTTTTCTTTATAAATCATCCAATCTCGAGTAGTTCTTTGTAGCAGAGTGAAAATGGACTGATATGAGGGTTAAACATTTCTTTTAAAAAATATTTCTTGTTTGAGGGAATAAATAAAGTTTTCTACTTTTAAAATTTGGTTTGGTTATTAATTTCTATGATTCATGGCACCTGATTTATTAAAATGAAATGGCCCATTTGTGACCTACATCTTCTAAAAAATCAAATCAAAATCATAATGAATATATCAAAAAATGCAAAAGAAAGATGAAAATGATAGGTAGTAAATTATTTTCATTTAAGTCTCCAAAGTTCATCACAAAAATATTTGTACCTGACCTGCTTACCATTTACACAAAAATTTTTAGCAATAGCATATGAGTTGATCACTTCTTACATGCCTCATGTCATTCACCTCTCTGCACAAAATTTTTAAAAAATATTAATAATGACCAACTAAAAAAAGTACTAGAGCTACAGACTATCAGGTGTCCTAATTTAATCATAGATAAACATAACAATGTCCCATCAACCAGGAAAAAACACTTCCTATAACAATGAATGTGAAGGCCATATTTTCAAAATTGTGAAACAAAATGAAATTTAATTATAATCTACCTCTTTTGTCTTATTTTATTTCTTCTCTATTGACCAATCCCCATCAACAATTATAAACCTTTAAAACATGAAATTGATACATTTGGTGTGCATTTTACAGATTATTAAAAATGAGTTTAAGGTATACATTTTATTTGACATCGTTTTCCTTAATTAAAACAAAGACTATATTTGTTGAGATTAAATATTAGTAAATACTTAAAATTGACTTCTCCACTAAACCAACAGAGGCTTGGAAAATAGAGATATCAGTTTTGCTTTTATTCCTGAAATGTAGAAAATTCCTGAAACTTAAAAAGAATAATGAGACTCAGGGTCATAAATGTTATACTACTTCATATCACTTATTCTGTCCCTAAGGTATCAACAGGTCCACAAAACCTGTCTGGGAAGAGTAAAGGGGAGAATTGTATCCATGAGTGTACTGCAACAGAAATTACTAGTTAATTCCCAATTAACAATTTTGGTTCTATGTTTTGCATTATGAAAAGATTCTGAGAGACCTTTTGATTTTGTGAGCAACTAATGGTGTCTTTCTACTTTCCTCGAGAGTCAAAAATAAACAGCAATTTGATTTGTCCATTTGATTTTTTGATTATTCATTTGTATTACCTGCATTTTTCCTCCCTTCCATTTACGTAAAGTAAAATATTGAGGTTAATGTAACTCAGAGGCATGCCCTTTCTCTGCAGAGTTGATGCATGGTTAATAGCACATGTGAAATAATTCAATCCTTGGCTCCCTAAAAGCTATAAAGAGCCTTGACCACTCTTCCATGTACAAGCTTTGTTTTAGAAGTACACAAAGCTTGTTTTTGGAGTCGGATGAGAAAGTCTGTGACATATACACGTAGACTGATTCTAACAGATGGATTTTTCTTGAAATAGCTTCATTAGTTAATCATTTCTTTTACATATACTTTTTTTTTCTAGTTAATTGGCATAGCTGCCAGCTGGAGCTGTTAAGGATCCTCCAAAGAAGCTGATAGGTAGGGAGGAAATCCCATTGTCTCACCAATTCTAAGATGAAACTTCCATTAATTTCACAATACCCATTATGTATTTTTAAATAAAATGTTTAAAAAATATTTTCTCTTATTCTAAATACCTTATTTGATCTGTGTGAAAACCAAATCAATCAATGAATTATCTGGAAGAAACTTTAAACTTTAGTAAATTATCTAGACCAGGGTTTTCCAGCCTTGGCACTATTGACATTGTAGACCAGATCATTCTTTGTGTCTGTGTGGGATCAGGTGGCAGTCTTGTGCATTACATGCTGTTAAGCAGCATCTCTGGCTTTTACCCAATAGATGTCAGTAACACCCCCTGTAGTAACAACCAATAACATCTCTAGATATTGCCAAATATCCCAGGGGACAAATTGCCCTAGTTGACAACTGCTCTAGAAATAGATTGTTCCTAGTTTTAAATTCAATTCTTAAAATAATTTTATGTATGTATGTACATATGCAAGCATATAACTCCAGACATGCCTAATATATTAGAAATGTCTGCCTTTCACTTAGGTAATTAAAATGTTTTGGGGGCAATTATTGAAGTAGCTAACATTTTCATAAGTCTCTGGGTAAAGGGAAAAAAAGAATTAGTGGCTTGTAACTACCAAGGAATATTAGTTATCTAAAAAATGCCATTGTCATTTTCATCATCAAAAGTATTGAGAGTTTCTTTTCCTTTAAGGAAAGTTCTCAGTATGAGTGTATGAATAGATAAATAAAAAATCACATGGAGGGATTACTTGAGATGTAAGTGATTAATTATCAGCTTAGGTGCCTACGGCATTTTTAAATAAGAGAAAGAAATGTAATTTAATGAAATGGACATAGAAAAAACTAATCTGGGTCTGTTTTGACTTTACTATATACTTGTGAATTGATTTAATACTCATAAAGGTGTTAGTCATTCAGATAGATAAATTTCCTGGTCTTTGAAATTCAGTAGTAAAAGTAATGTTCACCACCTTAGTGACTTTTCTGTAAGTTATATATTGATGGATCTAGGAAGAGTATCATAGAAATAAGATGTAAAATCACCATGGCTTTTAAAAGGAAAATAATGGGTCTATGTTCATTTATAGTAATGGTAAAAATACAAGAACATGAAGTATACAGACAGAATCATTTTGTATGTCAAAGAAGATTCTAAGTTCTAATCAAACTGCTTTCTTTCCAACACAGGTTTTCTAATGGGAATTTGCTCAAGAAGGTTTTTTTTTTGTTTGTTTTTTGTTTTTGAGACAGAGTCTTGCTCTATCGCCCAGGCTGGAGAGCAGTGGCATGATCTGGGCTCACTACAAGCTCTGCCTCCCGGGTTCGCGCCATTCTCCTGCCTCAGCCTCCCGCGTAGCTGGGACTAAAGGTGCCCGCCACCACACCCGGCTAATTTTCTTTGTATTTTTAGTAGAGATGGGGTTTCACAGTGTTAACCAGGATGGTCTTGATCGCCTGGCCTCGTGATCTGACCGCCTCGGCCTCCCAAAGTGCTGGGATTACAGGCGCGAGCCACCATGCCTGGCCTCAAGAAGTGTTTTAATATAAGATGAAGGCAAGTTTTAACATTTATCAATTGCATGTTTGAATGTTTAATTCCGCCCCCCACCTCCCTGCCCCCAAAACAAGGTATTTACCTAAAAATTCCATAGTGGTCTCTGTTTTCACTGTTTGACTTTCCAGGGCCATTGTAAGAACTTAGATTTTGTACTTTTTTTTAAACACTCTTCTTTTAAATAGGAATATAACATTTCCTATTTAAAAATGTTATATTGTGCAGATTGTCATTTTTAATTCTTTCAGCTTACATTCAAGATACACTATTTGGCTTAGTGTGGCAAAAGTGAATTAACACATTTTGCACGTTAAGATTGCAACTCAAAGGCCCCAAGACCACGTACTCCGTGCGTTATCTGCACATACCTAAAATTCCATAGTGGTCCCTATTTTCACTGTTCAACTTTCCAGGACCATTGCAAGAATTTAGATTTTATACCTTATTTTTCAAAATCACTCTTCTTTTAAATAGGAAATAGTATATTTTGCAGACTGCCATTTTTAATACTTTCAGGATACACTATTTGGTTTAGCATGGCAAAAATGAACTAACACATTTTGTTTGCATGCTAAGATTTCAACTCCAAGGCCTCAAGACCCCGTACTCTGTGCGTTATCTGCACACAATGGGCTTCACCCTGGTTGTAAGCCTGGCACTGGGCTCTGGGGCTCAGGCAGGCCCTGCACACTTACTCTCTGCAGGCTCTTTGGAGCGCCGGCCACTGGACGACTTGCGCAGCAGGCTGCGGCCGGAGGAGAAGAGGCTGGTCAGCTCCTCCAGCGGGCTCGTGGGTGTCCGGGACCGGGAGCCACCCGGGGCTGCCCCGTAGGTGTTCACCGCGGCGTTGACCATCTTGGCCCCATCTTGCGACACGGGTCTGGGGGTCGAGTGAGGCACTGAAGGAGAGCTCCTTGAGAGGCTGCCCGAATGCACAGCGTCGTAAGGGGGAGGCCTTTTGAGGCTCAGGGGAGTCAGGGACCTCCCCATGCTGACGGGGGAGGGAGAGGTGGAGTGACTTTTAGGGTAGCCATGGGGAGACTGGGTTCGGTACAGCGTAGACGGGGGTGGGGGCGACGAGGAGAGCGCAGGGGTGGCAGAGGCAGGTCCCAGGGCCGCGGCCTGCTCTTTCTCCAGTTTCGCATGGCCGGGGACGTGGGACGGCAGCGTGGAGGGCGACGCCCCGGCTGGCTGTTTCATGTAAGACACGTTTTCCAGCACGGGAAGCTTCGTGACCTCCAGAGGGGTAAGCGGGGACTCGTCGGAGTTGGGGGAGCAATGCACGGGGGCGGGGGGAAATACCAGCAGCGGGGGTCTGTGAGAAAGCAGGTTGGGGAAGGGCGGAGGGATGTCGCAAAGCAGCCCCTTGGGGGGGCATGGCACTGAGGCCTTGGCGAAGTCCAAGTCAGGCACCGTGGGAGTAGCACACTGCGAAGAACAGCTGTGATGGTCGAAGTCACATTTGGCGTCTTGGCCCAAGTCGTCAAAGATAGGGTACTTCATTTCCTCGTAGACGGCCTCGCTCTGGTCATCGTCCTCCTTCCTGAAGTCTCTGAGAATGTTCCCCACCATCTCGATGTACACGGGCTCCTCTTCCTCGGGGTCTCCCGCGGGGCTGCCCATCTGGGACAAGGAGGAGTCCCGCGGCAGCGACGTCCTCCGGGGCCCATGCTTTTTGATGTACGTTTCATCGAAAGATGTGCTCAGCTGAGTGTTCGGATTTCGCTTCGGTTTGGGAGGAGGAATCTTCTTGGAATATTCATCGCTGTGGGGTCTTGGTTTAGCTGACGCTAAAAGAAGAAAAAACGTAGTGGAATAGATGAGTATAATAGGAAAGTTTTCAAAAATGATTTGCATGTGGGTTTACTACAATAAACTTTAGGCCAGAGGGGTAGACAGCTTCATTCTTAGTTTGAGTTTCAGAGTAAAAATCAACCAAAGAGTCAAGCATTCCCTTATTTAGAAAACCTGATGGCAGAATAATAGTCATCTTTAAACTGATATTAATAATCTAACACTGATAAATGCATTAAAACCAGGACTGTTCACCCCTTTCCTTTAGAATGCCTAAGGAGAAGCTTTCAGATGAAACATACTGGATAAAATACTCATAAATTTTGTGAAAATTAACCTGCATGAATTGAGAAAGAAATGCAGGAGGAAAAAAAACCTAAAGTCTCTGTTAGCACTATTGGTCAAAAATACCATACAGATTGCACTGTTTTACTGATGTGGTTTTTATAGGTGAACACATCTTGCTTGCATTTAGGATAAAAATTTCTCAGCCTGCTAGACTTAAAATCTGTCTTGGTTCAAATAAATAGCTTCCATACAGATGGGTCTGATATTTCAGGGGAAATTGATGTGAAAATCTTATGAGGCTAGACAAGTTAATCTTTAAATCTCCAGGTATTGTTGATTATGGTGTATTTGTCTGTTTTTGTTCTTAAGATCTCTTATGATATTCCAAATGCTGTCTCAGAATGAATTTATTAGATATGTTCCACTGACACATCAGAATGCCCTCAAGAGTGTTAAAAGAGAATAACTCAGGGAATGATGTGTAAGTTTCAAGAATAACTTCTGGAAACTCACAACAGATATGTGTACCAACGTATTGCACAGCCTGCTGGAAGACCCTTTATTGACAGAACATAAACTTCTGACATCATACAATAGCACGGAAGAGGCTGGCAAATGCCTGTGACTAAATTCAGTTGTTTAGCATGCAAGGAAGGTACTTGAGTCTTGTTATTATCTCATTATCTCATTGTGTTGATATATGATTACAGTGATCATCTTTATTATGCAATGTAGCAGAATGTGGTTGCTTACAGAAGATAGTAGCATATAGTGAGTTGACAGTACAACTTAGAGTTGTAAGACTGTGAGGAGCTAACAAGCTAAAGAGAAGGGTCTCAAGGCACAAATCGGGAAACACCTGAGTCTTCCTTTTTTTTTTTTAACTGGCCTAATTTATATACAAGAGTTTTACTAAAACATGGTAAAGGAGCTGAAAGTGCTTAAGGATAAGCTAGATGGCTGTTCCATCCATCAACTGAGACTTCAGCAACAGGGAACCAATCAAATATTCTAGCAGTGACTATGTATTTCACCTTTCTAGATCACCCCTGTTTCAAATATTTTGTTCCAATGTGCCTATGATGATGGTTTTACTCACTACAATCAAACAGCTTTTTGAGGGGAAGGTTCATAATCTGTGTAGAATTTCCATTAACCCATACTGGGTAGAACTAGATGTTATTTTCCAGGGGGAGGCTGTAGCAGTAAAGTCTTTTAATGCCCAAAGTGAAAAGCCTAGAGACAAAATGGGGTGAAAACTATGCAGTCAATCTTTTTAGGAGGGACCTAAAGCAACCAATAATTGTACCACCTAACTTGGCATATATTTTACTGGTTTTGAAATCTGAGTACATTAATTTTCATATAATTTTAGTAAGTCATCAGATTATATACAAAAGTCTGAGCCCCAATAATGTAAAACTGTAAATCAGTGAACAAGGTTGACAAAGTTTTGGTCAGGACTTGGAAGAACCAAAGCTCATCCAGACTATTCTTCTGGAACTTGTTTCCTGCCACCCTCAACAGCAAGAAATGACTGTAGACCAAGTGCAGGCTCTGGGAAACTATTTTCTACAAATATTGAGTTATAGGAATTGAATGGACTGGGGTTGAGGGAATTCTTTGAGGGCAGAGGACTGAAGAGAGAGATGCTCTATGAAGGGAGGGTTAACCTAAGGCTAGAAATTAGTGTGTGTCCCTGAGATGGGTAATTTCATCATACAGAAATAATCATATTTAGAATTATATTTTCATTTTCACCCTCTTAAATTATAATTTGCTTTCATTATCTTTGACCCTTCACTAAAGTCTGATACTCCAACATAGATTATGGAGAGAAATAACAGGGTAAGAACTTAAGCATCTGCTGAGCCTATGCCTAGGTAGCAGCACTGCATTTATGGGAGGCTACAGTGTGGGATTCTCAGGTAGTGAGGCTTTCAGTGGCAGATCTGGGCATGGCACGGCATTCAGAGAAGCAACGGTTGATGAACAACACTGGTGACAACTTCTCTCTTTCCCACACAGATGAGAAGGTGGCCTTTGGAATGGAAGAGAGCTATGTCTGGATTTACTCCAATTGTGAGCAAATGCCATTTCGTTTGCCAAAAGAAACAGAAAAAATGAAATAAAGCCCCTCTATATCTAGGAAATGATTTAAGAAACAGAAGTTTCTATTGCAGAGTGCAGCATACTTAGAATTAAGTAGAACAACTGCTAATTGAGAAGGAATCTGGACAATCCATTTACAAACAATTTCAATGACAAACCAAGTATAGATGTTGTATGACACGGGAAACAAAATATAACATATGGCTCTTATGGTGCCTGTGAGATTATCAGAGTTGACAGTTGCTATTGACTGAATTGGGTCCCCATTCTTCCACAAAAAAATTCATCTGTTGAAGCCCTAACTTCCAAAGTGATGGTATCTGGAGATAGATCCTTTGGGAGATAATTAGGCTTGGATGAGGTCATGAGGGTAGGACCCTCATGATGTGATTGATTATAAGAAGAGACAGCAGAGTTCTCTCTCTCTCTCTCTCTCTCTCTCCCCTCTCTTCTCTCTGTCTCTTCATGTCTCTGTGTGTGTGTGCACGCGCGTGTGTGTGCGTGCACGTGCATGCCGTATGAGAACAGAGAGAAAGCATCAGTCTAATCAGTCTACAAGCCAAGTAGAGAGCCCTCATCAGAAACCGACCATGCTACTATCTTGATTTTGAATGTTTAGCCCCAAGAATTGTGAGAAAATTTCTCTAATTTAAACCACTCTCTAATTTTCTTACAGCAAAATGAGCTTAGCTACCTAAGACAACATTATATTTATTAAGTCCTAATGTAAAAGACCTTTACAGATGAACGATGAACATTTTAATGTCATCCTCTGGCACTGGAAAACATTAACTAACTTTGTTATTTTACAATTAAACAACTCTTTCCAAGCCGCTTAAGTTTCTCCTGCTCCCTGTCCCTTATCTCCTTAACTTTTACAACTATGTCACAGAGAGCACATTCTGGCTACATCTGGCGATGCTTATCCCATACATGGGCCAAGAGCACCCTTCCACCACATGGCTTGTCCTGCTTACTCTTCTTGATCTGACTCTCCAGTTTCTAATTTGTGGAAGGCGCTTACTACTTAAATCTGACCCATTTTCTGGATGTTTGCTGTTTGTTGTTTGTTTTGATACACTTACTCCCTGCATCACACTGCTCTGCTTGTTCAGCCCACAAGCTGAAGTTAGTCTCTAGCCTGCCTTGCCCAGGGAATCCCTCTTTATCTAGGCAAGCTTCTTCCCTCTTCCCTTCCCTGCTTGGTGAAGAGAGCCTAATGCAGGCAGATTCATAAAGTTCAAGCAATTTCCCCTCCAGTCCTTTTTCTTATTATTGATCCAACTTTAAAATGAAGGTGTGAGTGTGGGGTGCAATGGCTCACACCTGTAATCCTAGCACCTTGGGAGGCGGAGGCAGGTGGATTACTTGAGGTCAGGAGTTCGAGACCAGCCTGGCCAACATGGTGAAACCCCATCTCTACTAAAAATACAAAAATTAGCCAGGCGTGGTGATGCATACTTATAATCCCTAGTATCTCAAGAGGCTGAGGCAGGAGAATAGCTTGAACCCAGGAGGCAGAAGTTGCAGTGACCCAAGATGGCACCACTGTACTCCAGCCTGGGTGACAGAGCAAGACTGTCTCAAAATATAATAAATTAAATTAAATGAGGGTGTGAGGATGTTTAGAGAATAGACTCTTCAGTAAATTATAGATGATCAGGATGAATTAACAGATTCATTCTTTCAATATGGGGGCAGGGGCTTCTTTTTTTAAAAAAAAAAAAAAATCTGCTTTTCATTCCCTGACATCCGTCCTTGTAATCTCATGGTTCTTCGAGGTAAATCAGAGGTTCTTTGAGGTAAATCATGGTTCTTTGAGGTAAGTCAGAGGAGGAAACAAATTTGTTTCCAATAAACTAATTTTTCTTTTCATTTTCCATGAATCATCTGGTCTTACCTTAGTGCAAGTATTGAGTAAATAATTTATATAACAATGAAAATGTGTTTCAACTGCCACTATCATGGGTGCTGTTTTAAAAGTGTATCTATATAAGAAAAGTACAAAATTTCAGATAACATTGTCCCATAATGTATTCCAACTTAACCTCATTCTAGGAACATAAAAATTAAAAAAAAAATTATTTAAAATGCCACTTCTTTATAAGGTACTTAAAAATAGTCTTGAGTTACATACATAGATGCTAAAATATTGCTAATAAAAGACAATAAAATGTCACTGCAAATTTCAATTTAACCAAATTCAACCATAATAAAAAGGTGATTTTTATCACTCCTGAATAAATTTTAAATTATTTCTAATAAGCCCAAAGATAGAAGCAATAATTCCTGTTCAGCTCCAGAACACAAGTTTAATGCTTAAAATAGTATCATGACAGTAGCATTTAATAAGCAGAAAGTGACATTTTTGAAATGAGCTATGTGAGCACAAAGGTTATACATGGCTTTCAGTCATGCCCAGATGATCTTCCTTTCACAGTTAATTTTGGAAATTCACCTCGTGCCTTGTCAACCTATCTTTAGGAAATACTTTTTTCCTTATTTAAAAAAAAAAAAGTGTAATGTAAAACCATGCTTTAGTATCTGTAGGTGTTCTTGACCCAAGAGGTGAAAAAAAGAGATACAACAGAGGTTAGCCTTGTCCCTTCCTAGAAAGACTGTGGCCACAGAATCCCAGAATACGAAGGGCTCTTTGAGATATCCAGCCCAGATTCCATATATTACTAATGAACAAATATGAATTCCTTACTAACCACAATATCTAAGAGAATCTCAAAACTTAAATTTAATTCCACACCCTTTGAAACAAAGAAACCCATAAAGGAAAAAGCTATGCAATTCATTATTTTGTATATGGCATAAAGTATCCTTTTAAACAGTCCTTTCCATAGCAGCACTATAACTTTGCTTATCATGTTTTAGAGTTATATTTAAATAAGTAATTCAAGCAGGAAAATGTGAATCCATTGAAGGAAAATAATGTCTACACTGTGTGATACTGGAACTGGCTGATTCTGGAAGGTGAGAGACACATTTCCCACTTTCAGCAGAACTGTGCTCACAATAACTCTTTTCACAACTCACAACTCCATGACTCTGAAGGATATTTTTATTTTCACAGTCACAAGCCCCACAATACTATCCACTATTTTTTTTTAATTAAGATGTTTGTTAAGGAATGGAAGTTGCAAATGGCCTTAGTCTGTTTATAGTAGGAATAAGAAAGTGTAATCATGTACAAAAAGGATCGGGTTCAAAGTTGTAGGACCTGTGTTACAGTCCTGGATCTGGCGACAGTGAAAGTAGAGAACTCAGATGAACATTTTGGTGGAACCAGATGAAGTAAGGCATGGAACTGGCTCAACAGTGTGGTCAAAAAGTCAAGTGGGACTGAAAGGGTCTTGGCTTAAACTAGAAGACATAATTCTAATCCCTTCTCTGCCTCAGTCAGGATGCAGAACATTGGAAAATTACTTTGAAGTATATTTTTATTTACACTCACTTTTGCTATATATACAACAAGGGACTTTAATCAGAACTACTGTTCTTTGAAGTGTTCATTTCAATCCACTAGTTGTAAAATAAAATTAGAGTTTGTAACCAGCATTTTAAAACAATAAATTAGAATAGATTAGAAAATATAAGTACCTTTCATGGCAAAGAGCTAAAGCTTGCTTCTTGAAACAATATTTAAGCATATAGAAATTCCCTAAGCCACACACATTTCTTATAGGTCATGATCAAGAATGTTTGGAAAATCCTAAGCCAGAACACATCTGGCTGACAGTCTCCAGTAATTGATCTATAAATTCTTTTTCTCCCTATACCTACATATGTTCTCATTCAGTAAGAAGTGGAGTCTATTTCTTCTCCCCTTGATTCTGGCAGCTTCCACTTTCTCCCAAAGAAAACAAGCCACTAAGTCATAAATCTGAACACTCAGAAGATCACCATGCTGTAAGGAAGCTCAAGCTATCCATGAGGAAAAGAACCAAGAAATGGAATCAATAATGAAAATGAAACCCTAGCCATACAACTTCAGTAAAGCTGTCCCAGTGGCCCCCACATCTGCCTGAGCTACCTTAGATGAGATAGCAGACATTTTGGCTCAGTGGTAAGCCATCCCCACAGTGTTCTGTTGAAATTTTAACCCACAGAATTTTGAGCAAATATAATCATTGCTTTTTACATCTCTAAATTATGCAGTTATACATACCTAAAACTGGTATCAGAAGTATGGTGCTACTATAACAAAAATCTAAAACTTGTACACCGGTTTTGGTACTCAGTGACAGCAGAGGCCTGAAGGATAGTGAGGAGACCAGCTGTAAGCTCTAAAGCTGTTAAGGAAATTGATATTGGAGGCTGGAAAAGGGGAGCATGGTGTTATATATTGGGGAAAAATTGGCAAGATGTTGCCTGTCGTAATGCAGAATATACGAAATGTACCTCATGAAACTGTGGACCTAACGAAGGAGAGTTCTGGAAGAAGATGAAACTGAGTTGGTCTGTTTTAGCTATGTACGATACAGGATTGCAGGAGACAGAGCACTAAGGAAAGAACTGCTTAGTTCTCAAGCAGAAATGAAAGGAAATAGCTTCAGTGCAGTGTTTGCCATGAAGACTTTTCTGAGCAGCAAAAGGTTTCAAAATGAAAACAAGCCTCAGAGCAAAGGTCAAATTCAGAACTCCGCCAGTAAAATGTGGACTTGTAAAAATCAAATGAAGGGCTTGACTATAAGAGCCCCTGTTGACATCTCTGAAAGATTTACGGTACTGAACCTGGGGCTCTAAAGCATCTCACAAACACTGTGCCACAATGCACTGACCATAGCCTTAAGTAGAGAGAAGCCTTTCTCAAGGCAATTTGTAGTTCTGTCTTTCATCTAAAGAAATGTAGTATGATCTCATTCATAGAAAGCCCACAAAAATTATAAGAATACTTGGCAACACTGTTTAGACAGGAGAGAGATAGTTTAAAATTTAAATGAAAAAACACTTTGGGCCCCAAAACTTTTAAAGGCTGGAAGTAGCTAGGAAAACTACTCACTTACAGGTACAGGTCATTTGTTACAGAAAAGAAAAGAGGATTTGGAGAGTAGATTCAAGAGCTTAGAGAGCAAAATCAAGAACCACAGATAATCAAAACCAGGGAGGAAAATTGAGCCCTTATCAACAATCTTTTTTGCCCTCAGAGTAGGGAGAACTGGACATGAGTCTAACTGAACTTCTGAATTGCTGCGAACCAGTGACTTCTATGTTCCTCCCCTTCCTCTAGCCCCCACTGTTTGAACGAGACTGTACATCACACTTTACCTGCCCCTGACCTGCCAGTGTATATTGGGTTTGTGCGGTTGCAGATAAACTGTACTTTTAATTCAAAGCCTTTGCATATGAGGAATTGCAACCTAGGAGCTGTGCCTGAGAAACTGCACCAAGATGCCTCATTGCACATGGGCGTGACTTAGATAATGAAACCTTGATTTCAATCTGATATTGCCATGTCATGAAACTTTTGGGGAACAGGGTGAGAATATTTTGCCTATTGGAAATATTGTGGCTGGAAGGCAAATTTCGTTTGACAGTCTTTCAAGATAGCCACCCTCAACACCTTCCCTGCTTTTACACATTCTGTCTATCAATAGATAAGATCTATCTCCCTCTCCTGAAATAAGAGCTGACCTTGTGACTTGCCTTGACCTACAGAGTATGTCAGAAGTGATTTTCTAAGTCTTAGATGTAAGAGGACTGGCAGGATTCACTTCCTCTATCTTGAGAGCCAATTGCTGTGAAAGACCTCTTAGACCAACATGTTACGAAGAAGTTCAACCTAGTCATAGAAGAGGCCACACAGAGGAGAAAGATTGCTCAGACATGTGAGTGAAGCATTCTTCAACGTTCCAACCCATCCCAACTGCCAGCTGAGTACAGAAAAATAAGAGGCCCCAGCCATTGTCACATAAAGCAGAGGAACCACCCATATAAGCCAACAACTCACAGAACAACAAGAAATAATAAAATTTTGGGGCCAGGCGTGGTGGCTCACACCTGCAATCCCAGCACTTTGGGGGACTGAGGCAGGTGGATCACAAGGTCATAAGTTCGAGACCAGCCTGACCAACATAGTGAAACCCCGTCTCTACTAAAAATACAAAAATTAGCCCAGCGTGGTGGCAGGCACCTGTAATCCCAGCTACTCGGGAGGCTGAGGAAGGAGAATTGTTTGAACCATGGAGGCAGAAGTTACAGTGAGCCTAGATCACGGCATTGCACTCCAGCCTGGGTGACAAGAACAGAATTTTGTCTCAAAAAAAAAAAAAAAAAAGAAATAATAATGTTGTTGTTGTTCTAAGCCATGGTATTTTGGTTTAGTTTATTACACAGCAATAGATAACTGAAAAAAAAATCCAAAATTAATTTCCTGTGCATGTGGGTATCTCATTGAAAAAATAATATCATTTTCATAGAACTAGGGTATAGACTATACCCTGAGGATACAGAAAGCATCCTTTTAGAATATAGAAATTAAGAAAGTAAGCTTTCCTTTGAGTATTATAAAATCACCACAGGATGATTCAGAGAGGAGATAGAAAAAGATTACATTCTTTCTAGTCAAAAATCTGGATTGAAATCAGAGACAAGGTATTAATATATATATAAAGGAAGAACAACCAGAGTAGAGGTCGCCAGCCACAAGGATGGAAAACCTTAAGACCATGGAGCAAAGCCTGGTGGCCCCTTACAGCAGTACCTAGGGGATCTGGTCCTCTGTCAGATCTCTGTTGTGGACATGGACTCAGCATGCTAGTAGAGCCTGAAGCCACTACATACATAATTCTTATGAGTCATTCATTTTCTAAGTTCAGATTCGATGAGAAAGCTTTTAATAATTTATATTTCCAAAGTTTTATGCCTATGTTTCTAATATGATTTGACTGTGTCCCCACACAAATCTCATCTTAAATTGTAATTCCCATAATCCCCAAATGTCATGGGAGGGAACCGGTGAGAAGTAATTGAATCATGGGGGTAGTTTCCTCCATGCAGTTCTCATGATAATGAGTTCTCACAACATCTGATGGTTTTATAATTGTCTGACATTTCCACTGCTGGCACTCATTCTCTCTCCTGCACCCCTGTGAAGAGGTGTCTTCTGCCATGATTGTAAGTTTCCTGAGGCCTCCCAGCCATACAGAACTGTGAGTCAATTAAACCTCTTTTCTTTATAAATTACCCAGTCTCAGGCAGTTCTTTATAGCAGTGTGAGAACAGATTAATACAGTAAATTGGTAACGGATAGCGGGGCACTTCTGTAAAGATAGCTGAAAATGTGGAAGTCACTTTGGAACTGGGTAACAGGCAGAGGTTGGAACAGTTTGGAGGGCTTGGAAGAAGAAAGGAAAACGTGGGAAAGTTTGAAACTTCCTAGAGAGACTTGTTGAATGGTTTTGACCCAAATGCTGATAGTGATGTGAACAATGAAGTGCAGGCTGAAGTGGTCTCAGTTGGAGATGAGGAACTTCTTGGGAACTGGAGCAAAGGTGATTCTTGCTATGCTTTAGCAAAGAGACTGATGGCATTTTGCCCCTGCCCTGGAGATCTGTGGAACTTTGAACTTGAGAGAGATGATTTAGTGTATGTGGTGGAAGAAATTTCTAAGCAGCAAAGCGTTCAAGAGGAAGTAGAGAATAAAAGTTTGGAAAATCTGCAGCCTGACAATGCAACAGAAAAGAAAAACCCATTTTCTATGGAGAAATTCAAGCCTGTTGCAGCTGCAGAAATTTGCATAAGTAACAAGGAGCCAAATGTTAATCACCAAGATAATGGGGAAAATGTCTCCAGGGCATGTCAGAGGCCTTCACAGCATCCCCTCCCATCACAGGCCCAGAGGCCTAGGAGGAAAAAAGGGTTTTATGGGCTGGAGCCAGGGCCCCCCTGCTCTGTGAAACCTCAGGATATGGTGCCCTGCATCCCATCTGCTTCAGCTCCAGCCATGGCTAAAAGGGGCCAAGGTACAACTCGGCCATTGCTTCAAAGGATGCAAGTCCTAAACTTAGGCAGCTTTCATGTGGTGCTGGGCCCTGTGGGGGCACAGAAGTCGAGAGTTGGGGTTTGGGAATCTTCACCTAGATTTCCAAGGATGTATGGAAATGCTTGTATGTCTAGGCAGAAGTTTGCTGAAGAAGCAGAGTCCTCATGGAGAACCTCTGCTATGGCAGTGTGGAAGGGAAATGTGGGGTGGGAGCCCCCATACAGAGTCCCCACTGTGGCACTTCCTAATGGAGCTGTGAGAAGAGGGCCACCGTCCTCCAGACCCCAGAATGGTAGATCCACTAACAGCTTGCACCATGTGCCTGGAAAAGCCTGGAAAACCCACAGACACTCAACACCAGCCTGTGAAAGCAGCACAGAGTGGGGCTGTACCATCCACAGCCATAGGGACTGAGCTGCCCAAGGCCATGGGAGCCCAATTCTTGCATCAGCATGACCTGGATGTGAGACAAGGGGTCAAAGGAGATCATTTTGGAACTTTAAGATTTAATGACTACCCTATTGGATTTTGGACTTGCATGGGGCCTGTAGCCCCTTTGTTTTGACTAATTCATCTTGTTTGGAACATGCATATTTACCCAATGCCTGTAATCCCATTGTATCTTGGAAGTAACTAACTTGCTTTGATTTTACAGGCTCATAGGTGGAAGGGACTTGCCTTGTCTCAGATAAGACTTTGGACTTGGCCTTTTGGGTTAATGCTGGAATGAGTTAAGACTTTGGGGGACTGTTGGGAAGGCATGATTATGCATTGAAATGTGAGGACATGAGATTTGGGAGGGGCCAGGGGGCAGAATGATATGGTTTGGTTATGTCCCCACCCAAATCTCATCTTATAGTTCCCATAATCCCCATGTGTTATGGGATGGGCCCAGTGAGAAGTAATTGAATATTGGGGGCAGTTTCCCCCATGCTGTTCTCATGATAGTGAGTGAGTTCTCATGAGATCTGATGGTTTCATAGGCATCTGGCATTTCCCCTGTTGGCACTCATTCTCTCTCCTGCTGCCCTGTGAAGAGGTGCCATCCACCATGACTGTAAGTTTCCTGAGGCCTCCCCAGCCATGCAGAACTGTGAGTCAATTAAACCTCTTTTCTTTATAAATTACCCAGTCTCAGGTTATTTCTTTATAGTGGTGTGAGAATGGACAAATATAGTTTCTTATTAGAAAAAGAGCAAAGTGGGATTCTAGTTCTATGTACCCATCTCTTTGAGTTTGTCTACTCTAGACATCTGATGAGAGGGAGTTTCTGAGCTTGTAGATTGTGGCCAAACCTGTACCAAGGCAAATTCAGCACAGTAACACCCTTTTGTGGCATTCTATCCAGGCAGGCAGCCAGCATTCCCAAGAAGACACAGCCCTCTGTTCACAGTGTATATCACAAGTTCTAGTTTGATATTTGCATTCCAGGGCAGTAGCTTGTTTCCAAATCACTCTCCTCCTGTTCTAGACATGGGATGTCCATTAGACATAGCCTGCTTGTAGAGAACAGAAACAGTGGTGGTGCTGCAGACATTTCCTCAGCTCTACTACTACAGGCTCTCAGATTGCACCTGCCATTCCATCCTTTACACAAGTCTAGTAGGATAAAGAAAAGAATTGGAGACAATGTATCTATCAGGGACAGGAACTATTCTGCAGGAATGATCTCAGTGGGAGGTTATGCTAAAATATTAGGTTCCATAACCTAATAGATGTGAACAGCAGAGCATAAGACATGAGAACACATAGGGAGAACGTGCTCTGGAATCAGAGAGATCTCAGTTCCAATCCTATCATGATCTTGAACCACTACTTAACCTGTTTGTTCATCTATAAGGAGGAGATATTTGTAGGACTGATTATGAAAATCAAACGAGACAATGAGTCTGTGCATTTAAAACCATTAGCAGAATTCCTGCCACTTGGAAGGGCCTCAAAATGTATACCTATTAATATTTTACTTTCTCTAAAACACTGAGTTTATTCCTGCTCCCAGGAATGCTTGTGTTCCTGTTGAAGCATGGAAGTCAATAGCCCAAAATACAGCACTGTGACATGCTGGCCTAAAGAAGCAGTCTCGAGGTCTCTCTCACCTCCCCCCCTCACTCCTCCTTTCTCTCAATCCCCTCTCTCTTTGAAAGCACAGAATTGAGTTGTTATCTGAAGTTTCCTTACTGCCTAAAGCCCAGACCTACCAAAGAAGAAAACAATTTTCTCTGGTACCTTCCCTGAGTTTTCATTAACTTAAATCATATTGCAAAAAGAAAGACTGAAGTCTGTCAACACACCTGAACAGACTTTTGTCATAAGCCATTGTCTTCTATTTCTGTCCCATTCAGTATCTCAAAGGTAATCATTTACCAGCCATTGTCTGCTCTGTGGGCCCAACAGACTTCATCCCAGGCCACTTTATGTTCTCCAAGTCCATTCATTTCCCCACTAAAAATTATTTGCTATCCCTCATATAGCTGCATTTCTTCCATTTCCCCTTCCCCTATGAAGAAATTTATATAAACATCTGTACCCCATCAGGTTATTAGGTAATCATTCCTCCATGATTCCCCTGTGCTATGCACATTAAAATAAAGTTTGTTTGCCTTTTCTCTTATCTCCCTTTTTTTAGTTGATTTTCAGGAAACCTTCAGAGTATAAGGGGGAAAGCTTTCCCTCTCAACCTCTATATCTCCTATACAATGCTGACTTCTTTGTGTCACTCAGATCTCAGCATAAATGTTACCTCTTCAAAGAAGTCTTCTATGCACATCCAATCAGAACTTATCCCTGTTGGATATTTCTCTTGTTTTCCTCTCCATTGGTTTATGTGAGCTTATTGGTGCCAGTTTAGGTATTTCCCTTTTCCCCACTTGACTATAATCTGCATGACAATAATGGTTCCTTGTCTGTCTTGATCTTAGCTAAATCATTAGGGTAAAGTGACTAGAATATCACAGATTCTTGGTAAATCTTTGTTCACTGCTGAGTGACTTATAGACCTTTGACAGTATTAGAATCGGCATTCAGAATTTGGGGTATTTTGTAATAACACTAAAGAGTCATGAGCACCCCTATAATTTGTCATTTCCTCAAATAGTCTTGAAGAAGCAGGATGATGAGACTAATAAAGAGTGGTAATAATGGCAAAATAAATAAAAGGAGAGTGGTGAGAGTGGTCAGTGAAGGAATACTCAACATTATCCATGTGGAAAAATTGAGGCAGGTTAAATATTTTACTTGCCAAAAAGAAAGGTTAGAAAAATTAACTGAGAAATTAAAATTTTCCTCTTTCAGTTCCCTTATACTTTAAGTAAAGGTCAAGGGAAGGCATGAAGGGACAGGGCAGAGGGAAATCACAAGTTAGATTTTGCAATATATAAAACACTTAAGGTCTAATGACTTTGTAAGCATAATCCCAGACCACAAATTTGAGATTAAAACAATCATTTTCTGGCAAAAAACCTCCTGTGTAGTTATAAAGCTTAATATAGCAAGACCATTTGAAAGACTATCACTAGCAATATAGGGAATAAAAATATCCTAAAACTCCTTCATAACTCTCATCCTTCCTATGTATGAAAGTGATGCCATGTGGGATTGCTCTGAAGTAGTAAAGAATTACTGCAAAATATGCCACAGCCAGTATGATTTTTCTTCCTCTAATAGCATGCCAGACCTCTGATCATAACCCAAAATAGTTTCCATCCTTTTTCCCCTTGGCTTCTTCATATGCCCTTCACTCTGGCCAAACCAAACTACCACTGTTCCACACACTTATTAGATATGTGTATGTTCAGACTTTACTGAGACATTTCCCCTGTTCTTGTACCATCCTACCCTAAATAAGACCCTTCCCATCCTTTCAGGTCCAGCTCAAACATCACCAGCTCCTCCCCTTCCTCCTCCTTCTCTTCTTCTTCTTGCCCCACCCTCTGCCCCTCACTTTGG
Source organism: Homo sapiens (assembly GCF_000001405.40). Lineage (NCBI taxonomy): Eukaryota > Metazoa > Chordata > Mammalia > Primates > Hominidae > Homo > Homo sapiens. The sequence continues at coordinate 225,567,598 of NC_000002.12, read as the reverse complement.
GCTTCATCTCTTTCTTTCTTGTGAACTTCCTCATTTTTACCTTGTACTTGATTATCAGCTTCTCTCTCAAAGGCTATGAGCTTTCTGAAGGGAGAATTAATTTATCTTTTTAAAAGTCCCAGCAAACTGTACACAGCAACTTGCTCCCAATAGGCAATCAATCAATAATTACTATAAATAACTGTTCATGGGATAATAAACTATAAGTGTATAATGATTCAAAGTTTTCAAATCTCTTTCTTATATATCCCTTCAAATTTTCTTTTTTTCTTTCCTCCACTTTCATTTCTTTAATGAAAGTTTATGTGCCACATAATAAGGGTGCAGTCAGCTATGGATCCCATATACAACTGTGGTCTCATAAGATTATAATACCATATTTTTACTCTACCTTCTCTATGTTTATATATGTTTAGATATGCAGATACTTACCATTGTGTTACCATTTCCTGCAGTACTCAATATTGTGACATGCTATACAGGTTTGTAGCCTAGGAGCAACAGGCTCTACCTTATGGCCTAGGTGTGTACAAAGCTATGCCGTCTGGGTTTGGGTAAGTACACTCTATCATGTTCCCATGACAACGAAATTGCCTAATGACACATTTTCTCAGAAAGCATCCTTATTGTTAAGCAATGCATGACTGTATATGCAAACACACACGCACACACACACACACACATATTACTGTAAGTTCCTCAAACCGAGAGATCTATGAGTGGTTTTATCTCAGCATGCCAATCACCTCCACCCAGTGGTCAATCAAACACTAGAAGTCCAAGCTAAGGAAAACAATATGCACATTTAAAACTTAGGGATTGCTGAGCTATTAAACCAGTGGTTGATAACTCTTTTTTCTCTTTGCCCAAATATTTTGAAGCCATCAGCAAGTTTTCTTTACAAGTTCACTGTAGCTATCACTTGCAGAATTTCTACCTACAGTGAAAGGAAGTTACCAAGTTGATTTCCTAAGTCTTAAGGGAAAGAAATGTGACAGCACAAAAGTGTCCATGGAAAATGCATGATGCTAAGCACCCAATAAAAGCACAATTAATTTGGATTCAACCCAGGGGGATATTATCTTAAAGAAAAGTAAGTTGGGAGAAAAATCCGATTAATGATTGGAACATTTCTCCTGTCCTTGGGGCAGTCAACTCTGTAGAAGCTGAATCCCTGCCGTTTCATAGATACAGTCTACTGAGGATTATCCTTTGGAAGTCTGTCCTGGTTGTGATAAAAAGACAGAAATGTTTGTGATCTTCTTAAGTACCTGAGATCACAGAGGAAGCAGCATGGAATTACACAGCCATAAAACATTTCATCCAACTTCATTGAAGTTGTGTGCTAACATTTCCTTTAGTGGAACTGTAACTTCAGTAATAATAGTAATAATGATAATAATGCATAATAATAGCCACTATTTATCAAATGCTTTATTTGTATCAGACAATGCGCTTTGGGGGGATTATTTCATGTAATCCTTACAACATCCCTATGAGGTAGGTACAATTATAAACTCTGTTTTACAGACATTAAAATATAGTTATAGAGAAATTGAATTACTTGTCCAAGTGGCAGAAACTGTGTGAACATGGGTGAGCTGGCTCTAGTCACCATACTGTCAAAAAGACTAATTTGCCTCTATATATGATGGTGCATATTTGTTTTACAAATATATTGTTAAGGGCATTTTTTTACCGTTTTTTAAAACACTACCAATACTCTTCCATAAGTCAAATTAGTCTGAATTTGAATCCCAATTTAGTAGTTGTATAACCTTGGGAAAGTCAACTCTAACTTTACGAAGCCTTGTTGAGCTCAACTGTTAAATGGATATAATGATGCTTATTCATATATGCATGTGAGGATTTAAAAAGACATTCTACCTGAAGTATTTAGCATACTGCCTGGGATATAGGAAGGGCTTAAAATGTAGAATCAAGTATCATTATCAATTATTATTGCTATACATGGAGAATTATCTCTGACTACATTGGAAGATAGGAGAGCATATGCTTTTACACATACTTCACATTTATCTATCACAGAGCTATAAAAATTAATGCTGCCAATACCAAAGAATCTACCAGCTCTGGGAAATTGTAAAATGAGTGATTTTGCCAATAAATACAGATTCTATGTTCATTGAACTATGAGACCAATATGTCAGTTTCCTTCTGCATTAGGTTTATAGCCCATGTATGTGAAGGTAATAGAAATGGATTTACTTTGAACAAAAAAAGCAACATGTGTTTTAAAAATATGTAGTTACTGGAACTTTTGGGATATTACCATTTTAGTATTGATAATCTTAGTTTTCTTATCAGTTTTTTAAAAATGATTTCCCTTAAGTGAGTTTTAATTGAAGGTGCAACTAAAAATCACAAAGTGGAGTAAATCACAGCATATGCATGACAATAGAAAATTCAACAGATTAACAATTTTTATTAAAACTTTTTTTTTTTTTGAGACGGAGTGTTGCTCTGTCGCTCAGTCTGGAATGCAGTGGTATGATCTTGTCTCACTGCAACCTCTGCCCCACAAGGTACAAGCAATTCTCCTGCCTCAGCCTCCCAAGTAGCTGGGACTACAGGCACCTACCACCATGCCCAGCTAATTGTTGTATTTTTAGTAGAGATGGGGTTTCACCATGTTGCCCAGGCTGGTCTTGAACTCCTGACCTCAAGTGATCCACCTGCCTTGGTCTCCCACAGTGCTGGGATTATAGGAGTGAGCCACCATGCCATAGATATATCCCTTAGGTTTTACAAAATTACATTGGTGAGTTATTTTCTATACTTCTCAAATTTAGGAAAAGTGTGACTAGATTGTTAAAAAAATAGAGAATATTTCTAAAAACTGAGATGGCTCATTATGAGGACATGCAGATAGTGAGCATGTTTTTTTTTTTTATATTTATGCAGTTCACCTTCAGATATTGCAGGTGTTCTATTATCCCCATGCAGTGTACCTTCATTCTTGAAGAGTTAGGTGGGAAAAGAGAAAAGATTTTTTTGTTTGTGCACAATTTTAATTTAGTCCCAATGACCCAATACTCTTTAGTTGGTCTTTTATGTAAGTTCTGTTTACCTTTCTCTATATTCAGATGAGGAAAATGGTTTCGTCTAGGACAGAGTAGCTTGATCCATGTTAGAATCTCACTGACCACAGGGACCAGACACTGGTATTTTTTGGTTCTGAGCTCTTAGGGGTTACTAAAAACACAACACAAGCAGAAGTAGCAGTGGACAATGGAAAAATCTAATCCTTGACTTTTGAACTCAAGGCCTTAAATCAGTTTTGCTCTTTTTTTTCACATTATTTGGAGGTTCTATTTAATCCACAGTAATTTCAGGGAAAAGTGTTATCTCAGAGACAGGGCTCTGAAGAGTCAGGACCACAGTGGGCCACACAGAAGCAACATCCCCAAGGAGACCTTAGTCTTCCTTGCCTTAGCTGGAGTCATGGGCTATTTGTGAATTTATTATTATTTAAATAGTTATGAAAACTTCAGAGGCTATTCTTTGGTTTTAGTTTTAGATCTAAGTTTGTTTTCTTTATAATAAATGCCATCAAGATGACATGGATTCTGAGTCTAAACTATAAGAAAGGAGAGAGACATTACAGTTCACCCAGTCTGCAATATTCTCAGATTACAGTCCACAGATTATTCCCCGTGTGGCTTTTCCCACCCCCAAGTCATACCTTAAACATCTAACTCAAAGTCAGGATGGGATATTAACCTAAAAATTAAACTTCAACACATAGACAATTTGAGTAATATTAACAGGAATTTAAAGAAATCACTCTAAAACTAATTTGAAAGTACATTTTCAAACTCAAATTTGAATTTGAATTTGAATATGGATACACAAACACATGTGTATGCATGCATATATGCATGTATGTCTCTCTCTCCTTCTCTCTCCCTCCTATATATCAAGAAATGTTCTGCTTTGTGATCACTATGAAGATCCTTCATATATAAAATTGTAAATACTGTAATCAATTAGCTGTGACCATGTCACGAACCCATTCCTTTACCCCTCCAATGTTCTCCCATAGTTATTACAGTACACATAGCCTTCTATGACCTGGCTTCCCTCTCTTTCTCCAGCCACATCTCACAATGCTCACCCCTTTGATAACTCCCTGCAGCCAGAGGCTTCTCTTTCAGTGATTCAGACGAAAAAAGTGATTTCCCAACACCAGGCTCTTTTGTCAAATGCTTCCTACAGCTGGAAGACCTTTCTCTTCACTCCCCTGCCTCCCTTGCTACTTAACCTCTAAGTCTTAGTTTAATGTTCACTCAAGGACCTCTTCTCTGGAAAATCAATCTAAGAATAATCTTCTTTGGAACCCTCCCCTGTTTCTTGCCACCATCTCTAGGTGCATGTTTATTTGTGTTACTGCTTGCTTAATGTCCTTCTCCTTTAGATAGAGAGACTGTGTTTGTCTCTCTCACTTCTGGAGCCCCAGCTCCAAGCACAGTGCCTGCTTGATAATAAAATTAGAATCTTTTGCAAAGTTACACATAAAAAGATGCAGACTTTTACACTGTTCATTCCTTCTAAACATCTTTTGTTAATTTCATTTCAGAAATATTTTGCCATGAAGTGGGTAAGTGGGGAGATCTTGTCTCATCATCAGACATCTTATCCAAATAGGAAGGACAAATGATAATGTGATAATCTGCAACAGCTTGTCACTATTGAAGTAAGAGAAAAGATGCTGTCAAAGTACACCCGAGCTAAGCTGGCAATTTAGGTACCGACAAAACAATTATAAAGTAGTGTGATGCTGGAAACGCACAAGTAGAAAGCTCTAACATGAGAGGAAGTTAATCTTAACAGGAGCGAGGTTTGGGGTGGTGTCCTGGGTTTCTCAGCAGGTACAAACTATACAGAACAAGTGCATGAGGTAATTGGGAATAGTGCAGCCTCTTCCACTTCGACTCTGTATGTTCCAAGCAAATTTGCCCTTACAATGCTTTTCAAATAGCACAAAAACCCAGGCAGGGAAGACAAATTGTTCTCAGCCAATAGGAATTTTGGTGTTACCTTGGAGATATGGATCCTTTGCAATCAAACCCATGTCCTAAAATTCTCCCACAATCACCCTTAAGTACACAGTACTTAGACCAGAAAATAAAAGCTTTCAAGGGCATACCCCAGCAAGCCGTTTAAAACAATAACAGAAATTCCTAAATTCATAGAGATAATTGAGACATTGAACACATACAGTAAGTGCCCTTAGAACAATCAGGAAGCCACATGCCCTGGATTTCTAGAATGTTTCTATGTATTTCTGTGAACAGATTCCAATGGGAAGAATTGTTTTTCCTCATTTGTGTGTCATTTGTCATATGCCCACACAAAGCAATAGCAGAAACTGTTCTTTCCCCCAGTGAATTTACCATTTAAAGGGGAAACAAAACACATATAATTTCTAACTATTTACCAGCAAGTGAGACTCACAACTGACAAAACAAGTAGGAAAAGCACCAGTGGATCCAAATTGCAGCTCCCACTCCCTCCTGCCCCACTCTGTCTTCCAGATTTTCAGTGAGCTTTTCTTAACATTCTAATCATTTAACTAAGTTCCAGTTAGGTCCAGAACTTTTTGAGAGACAGGAAGCCAGATTCAGTGATTTCTTTTTCCTCTTGATTTCATTGCCATGAATTGAAGCAAACATGAAAAAAAAAATATATAGCCCCTAATTCCAGGACCCCATCCAGATGAGCACATGATTTAACATTTACTGTCAACATAACATGATACATATAATACAGAAATATAGAATGATATGTGCAGGCTACTAAAATAAAAAAGAATCATTTTATTAAAAACATACTGATTTTTACATTGCAACTATCTGGGTGAATTGTTACTCTTGGGCTCCAGCTAAAGCCTCTATTTCACCTATAATAGCATGATCACAATAAACTATAGCTGCCTCTATGCCTCTGTGTTTCCTCCCCTGGAATGCTTACTCCATGCCAGCCCTGCCTGTCTTTATCCCCTGTAGATACCCACTGTCTATCCAAGGGCCTGGAGTACAGCAGGAACTTTAAAATATGTGTTGAATGAATGGCCTCAAAATATGAGGCACATGGAATCCCTAGTGGGTCTTATAATGCCATGAGTTGACTAACCCTTGCCCGTCCTTCCAACTTCATCTTTTGTGCCTTTCTTCCAGGTTCACTCTGTTCCAGCCACCTCTGGCTTCCTTCCTATTCCTAACTGCCAAGCATGCTGTAATCTCAGACCTTGTACTAACTCTTCCCTCTGTCTGGAATGTGCTTCCCCCAGCGATGTACATGGCTTGCTTCATTACTTCTTTTCAATTCAGGTCAAATATCACCTCATCACTGAGGGTTTCTCATGACCACCTTATTCAAAATGGTCATCCCCCTGTCTGTCGTCCCCCTAATTACTTATTTATCTTCATAGCACTTGTCACTAACTGCCATCATATTTACTTATGTTTACTGTAATATCGCTGCCTCTTCCCACGAGAACATAAGTTCCACGATAGTAGAGACTTGTTTTTAGGCATGGCTGCATGCTCCAGGCCTGCAGCAATGCCTGTCATAGACTAATTGCTTAATAAATATTTGTTGAATTGATGAATTCATGAGAAGCCACCAAAAAAAAAAAAAAACGTTTTGGAAAGGTCCTTTGTTGCCTGCATCTCTTCCATCTCTGACTTCTACAGCAAATTTATTTATAAAAGCTAGGATGGAATATGTGGACAATTTTAAAATAATAAAAATTAGAATGGATTAAACAAAAACCAACTTGGATTAAAACCATTTTCCCTGCTCCTTTGTTTCCCCAAGCCCCTATAGTTTTGCTGAGCCAAGTTACACATGTAAAATTCTGAGCACATCACAAATATCCTTCCAGCTCCTGCTTGTGCCAGAGTTTCTGTTCCAATTGATCAATTATACCCTCTAAAAATATGCCCAATCATCTGGATATAAATGCAATATACTATTGATAGGAAAGATCCCACTGAATTTACCAAAGCCTATTCAAATTTTGCTATGATTATGGTTCTTTAAAATAAGCCAAGCTGTTTAGGTGGGCAATTTAGCATCATGTATCAAATTCTTTGAAAAGCTCAATGTCCTTGCCTGGAAGATTGTACTTGCAGGCATGGATCTCAAGACAATATTCAGTCATATTTGAAAAGATATGTCCAAAGATATGGTATGCTCTATGTCATAGTGTTTCTCTCAAAGTATGTTAGAAACAACATAAATATCTGAGAAGAATATTGTATATCTAAATTAACAAGACCCTTATAACTATACAATAAAGTACTCTGCAATAAAAATAATGTTGTGATAATATGCCTATTGGCATAGAAAAAATGGTCAACATTTACAAAATTATATTTTTGTAAAGTAAGTGTCTATTATGCATATATATGTAAGTGTATAGAAAGGTATCTTGATGGATTGAAAAATTTGTCTATGACTTGGAAAGGGAGGTGGGTAATGGCTATTCTTTACATATTCTTTTTTGCATATGTAATATATTATGATCTCCTTGTGATAATGAGGCTTTACTTTTAAAATAAGCAACTATAATATGAAATTGAGGAGGAGATAAAGTAAAATATGCCCCTTCAGTTTACATCATGCATTCCTAATGCAGGCAATATCTTCTCCAACAGGATGAAATTTGGTTCTTGGGAAAGGGGCAAAATATCTCTTTCTTTTCATGTATAAAGCATAGATATATATATACAGCACATGAACAGATATATTGTATATCTGTAGCATTAAAATTTTATGGTAGGGTGACTAGGAAAAATATACCTTATAAAGCTCCTTTTGGGAGTATAATGAAAAAAATTGAAAGCCCCACTTCATTTCAATCTAATATTTTAATATTTTGTTTGTGTGTTTTTAGAGCTTTTAAAATTCCTTCCATTTATTTGATACATAATGACTTCTCCTCACTTCCAGTAAAAACAGGTTTAAATCGAACCATGGGTCCTGAGGAGAGTGTCCTACAAAAATTCATGAGGAGTTTCTGAAAAGAAGTAAAGGAATGAGGTTACTGGATCACTAAAGGCAAAAATCTTCAGCTTAGGAGAGAGTTAACTCCAATATCCAGTAAGCCACTTCAGGCATCTCAGAAGCAATCCTTAGAAATATTTCTGCTTTTTCTAATTGAGGTCAGACAATGGGAAGCTTCTCCTAATCCCCAGACATAGCACATTTTTTTTTTTTTTGGCATTTGTACAATGCCTTCATTTAAGACCTTCCTTAAAAGCATCCTCTCCATGATAAATGAGCGATGGAGTTGGCAAGCTTTTTCTCTACTGACACTCATATTTCAGAAAGTCAGGATTATGATTAGAGAAGCACAATATCAAAGACAAGACTCAAATAAGTCCCCAGAGCAAGAGCAGCTGAAATTAGAATTATCACCAGCATTTCCTCCCAGGAACAATTTCAAATCCATCAAAAGGACAGAAGGGGATAATTCTAAAACATAAACAGAGAGGAAGAGAGAGAAAAAAGACAGCCTCCACCTCCTAATATAATAAAAACAATTTCTCCAGGTTGTCATAAAATATCCTCAAGGAGTGACTAAAACTCCAGTTACCCAAAGTAAACAAGCTGGAGCTTTCTGGTAACGTGTCACAGTGTACTCAGCCCCCAGATGTATGGAGTTCTTTGTCAAAAGCCAAGTTGTATCATAGTGATAGGAAAACATGAGTGTTCTTCTTGCCCTTTCCCAGAAATCAGGTTAATCCCATTACAGAATGGCTCTGTCTGGTGATGCCTCTCATCGTAGAGGAAGCTGCAACCATAAATTTAAAGAGAAGCTATGGAAGATAGAACAATGGCACCCCCCGAAAATGTCCATAGCCTAAAACCTGCAGCCTGTGACTACATTACAAAGCAAAGAGAACTCAACAGATGTGATTATGGTTAAGGACTTTGAGATGGGGAGATTAGCCTGGATTGTCCAGATGAGTCCAGTCTAATCACAGGAATCTTTACAACAGGGAACCTGTTCCCTGGCTGTTATTGGAGAGAGAGGACAGTGGAAGCAGAGTGAGCAAGATGCGACATGAGAATGTGACCAGTCGCTGCTGGGCTTTAAAGATGGAGGACGGGGGTCATAAACCAATCAGAAATGCTATCATTTACTGATTTCCACAAGAAGTATATGCAGCTAAAGAAGCTGGAAAAATGGACAAAGGGTTTCCCCTAAAGCCTCTAAAAGTAAATATAGACATGCTGACACCTTGATTTTAGCTCAGTGAGACTCATGTTAGACAGAATTATTAGATAATACAAGTATTGTTTTCAGCCACTAAGTTTGTGATACACATACTTTTATAGCAGCAATGAGAGATTAATATGAAGCTAAGGTTGGAAATCTCAAATACTCACTTTATTACATCCATGGCTAGTTCTTAATAATGCAAAACACCTTGAATGTTAGTTGACAGATCCAGCCCTCCTCCACAGCCAGACCACTCCCTGGAGGGTCATATCATAGGATCGAACCAATCAATCCCCAAAGCAGTACACAGGCAGAGCAGAAAAACCAGGGAAAGGGAGAAATATTTCTGAGGATCCTTGTTCATTTTTCTCTGGATCTTTTAAATTTGTACTCTAATGCATTGGGCAACATTATTCAACTTTACTTCCTTAATTGTAGCTTTGTTAGAAACATAAAGGCCCTCCAAACAATGTGATTCCACCTAACTTTAAAATAACTGGGCACATTGTAGACCCTGGCAATCAGCCTAGTCTATTCTACTTAGCCCTTTTTATATTAACCTGACAACTTAAACATGATAAATGGATGCCAGGGAGAAAAATGAAATAAAACAAAAGGGAGAAGCTTAACAGATTCTTTTGGTATTGTGACCCTCATTAGAATGACATATTTGATTATAAATACATGGCTGTTTTATTCTCAGCTCAATTATTTAGAAAGGTTCTCCCTCACCAACTATTTAATGTTGCTCCTTCCTCTATATAGTTGTATTTCCCTATTTCCATTTATTCATAATATAGTAATATCTGAAATTATATTTATGTTTTGTCTCACACATCTATTTTCTCCACTAAAACATAAGCTCCATTCTTGCTTGGTAGTCCTGGAAAAACATACATACAAACATACATACAAACATGCATACATAAAAAATAAAATAAAAGCTTCATGAAATTGGAGACCTTTTGAAGATCTTATTCATGCTATATCTTCATGGTGTAAACTAATGCTTGACACATAGAAGGCAAGCATTAAATAATTTATGAAAGGATGGATGGATTGATAGATGGATGGAAGGAACAGAAAAAGGATATTTGATGTCCAGAAGGTAAACAAATCTTTAAACAATGGCAAGATTTTGTAAATCTTTAATAGGTGGCTATTAAGTAGACAGATGGAGAAAACAAGCATTCCAGATGACATTTCCCATGTAGATAATAATACTTCCTTTGACCAATGAAATTAGAGCAGAGCTAATCTGTTCTATATCTAAAAATTTAGATATGTGTGTTTTGCTTTGGCCTCTTTCAACCATGCTCATGAGAAAAGTGTGGCCCAAGTGCTGTTGCTACTTAGTCTAGGCCTCAGAAAGAGAGACATTTGAAGTAAACCTGAACATGACCAATGGTCCGAGGTTGAGCACAGCCAAAGATATTGACATGCATTAGCCATTATATTCTTCTGACTGTTATGCATAATTATAACAGCACACTGTTATAATCATTAGTATCACTAATACAGCTGGTCAATGGGGAAGTATGCTACAGGAAAGCTTGATCATGAAATATAGCAGAAAATGGTTAAAAATCCATTAAAATTCATGATTCCCCTACCATAGTGTAGAGCTGTTCCTAGGAAGTAGCTGCCAACCAGAGACTGTACAAACTATTGCACCCAGGGGGAGCCATTTGACAGTTCTGATCAATAGAATAATATTGGAAGTGATGTGTGTTACTTGAAGTAACCAAGATGGTCAAAACAATTAAGAAGCCATCTCTTTTGCTTCATCCAGGTGGATACTAATGACTGAGGAGCTCAAGGAACAGCAGAGCCATAACATTGAAGAAGTCTAGATGCCTAAATTATCACCTGGGGGAGTGCCACTCCAGACCAAAAACACCCACGTTTGGACTATTACGTGAACAATAATGAAATTTGTATTTTGTTAAGCCAGTAAAATTGAGTTTGCAACAGCTGGTAATAGCCTATGTAATATGTTTAACATGTAATAAAATTATATCTATTAAATAATGATTATACCTGTATATGCTATATTGTATATGGTGTAAGTATATCGTATATGTGCAGGATTATTTCAGAATCAGAAAATGTTTATGTCCACTTAAGGGAATGCTTCTCAGAAGAGAAAGTTTACTTTAAAGAAAAAAGCAAGCTTTCCAATATGGTAACATTTTCTATTCATTCCTATAAACAAATGGAACAGAGAGTCAGAGGTTCTAGCTGATGAGGCTCCATTGGCAAAAAGACTCCTGCCTTCATAGAGTATGTATACTAGTAGGACTTAGACAATAAACAACCATAATACATAAGTCAATTATATGATACATTAGAAGGTAATGACTGCTTATAGAAACAACAGAGCAGGGTAAGAACTGATGGGGTATAGTGTCAGGATCTGTAGGGGTGCAGGGGAGCACAACTTAACTAATATTTAGATGTTCAATGCCCAAAGTGAATGGAACTGAAGGTAGAGAGGAGCATCCCCAACCAATTTCTTCCATCTGTGTTCCTCACCAGCTCTCAAGGTGATTCTGGAAATTGTAGGACTCCTATTGTCCTCATCTCAGCTTTAAATGAGTTGGACTCTTGTTTTTACTGGGCAGAAGAAGAGGAGGAGAGCTAATCGGGCTTAGACAGGCTGACAAGGCAGTGATCCCCCTTCTGTGTGTTCAGGAAAGCCTACTTAGGCATTGGTTGGCACAGGGACCAGATCTGTTAGTTGCACATTTACCATTGAAAACTAGATGGATGGGTCACACATCTGGAGGTACTGGTGATCCCTAAAAATCAAACATGTTATGGATTTGCTGCTCTGTTGTTTCTATAAGCAGTCATTACCTTCTAATGTATTAACCTGAGACTATCACTAAGAGATTTTAACAACATAGAATCTTCGGTTGTGATGGCAACTCTAAAAAAAACAGTCTTAGGAGAGGGAAAAGAAAGTTGTTTATTGATTAGCCCAAATTTGCCCCTACCTATATGTAATTTGAAAAAGGGAAGAAAAATGAAATAAAGCAAAAACCCAACTCAGGTGCACAGAATATATTTTTAAAACATAAAAAACAAAACGCTTGTTTTTCTCCTCCCACCCTAGCCTATATTTATTTTGGCTGCTCACACCTCCTTCCAAATGGTTGATCAAAACACAAATCCTTCTGGGAAAAAAAGCTTGAATATGATGATTTCAGTCTCAGAATTATTTTCTGAAAATCATTCAAAAGTATTAACATATTTTGTATAGATAATAAAGATGGAAAACTGTGAAGAAAAACTGGAAAATGCTTGAAGTTTCTGTATGTTGCTATAATCTTGCATTTAGAAAGCTATGATTATTTCACAAATGCTGTTCAAAATTCCAATAATCTTTTCATTAGCTGTTATTTTTTATTTATAAAATACATTTTATCATGTATATTTAAAATATACATATATAGTAAAATGGTTATTATAGTGGAACAAACTAACATATCTATCATCTCACATTGTTACTCATTTCAACTCCTTGTGGCAAGAGAAGCTATAAGCTACTTATTTAGCAAAATTCCTGAATATAATACACTATTATCATCTGTAGTCTTCATGTTGTACATTAGATCATATCCTTTGACCCACATCATCTCTCCCTTTGCCCCTCCCCCAATCCCTACAATCCCAACTCTGGTAACCACTGTTTTATTCTCTATATAAGATAAATGTAGGCTGGGCATAGTGGCTCACACCTGTAATCCCAGCACTTTGGGAGGCTGAGACAGGCAGATCATGAGGTCAGGAGATCAAGATCAGCCCGACCAACATGGCAAAACCTGTCTCTACTAAAAGTACAAAAAAAAATTAGCCATGTGTGGTAGTGCCCACCTGTAATCCCAGCTACTCAGGAGGCTGAGGCAAGAGAATTTCTTGAACCTGGGAGGCAGAGGTTTCAGTGGGCTGAGATTGTGCCATTGCACTCCAGCTTGGGTGACAGAATGAGATTCTGTCTCAAAAAAAAAAAAAAAAAGATAAATGTTTTCTGATGACAGTTTTATATGGTTTTAGATTGGGAAATTTTTCTGTAATACAAATAAATAGTTTATACTAAGGCCATAGGAGAAAAGAAGCAAAAAAAAAAAAACAACAACAATAACAACACCTTGGATTACTTTAGAATATATATTGTTTAGCTGCTGTTATTGCCACTGAAAAATGAAAATACTGGTATGTAAAAGGATTAGTAATGAATGTAAGGGACCAAATCATTATGGGTTAACTAAATATCTAACCTTTTTAATTGTTTTGAAATACTTTTTTCATCTTTTCTTTTTGAATTCTTTCTGAGACAGAGTCCAGGCTGGAGTGCAATGGGGCAAACTCGGCTCACTACAACCTCTGCTTCCCGAGTTCAAGCGATTCTCCTGCCTCAGCCTCCTGAGTAGCAATACCATGCCAAGCTAACTTTTGTATTTTTAGTAGAGACAGGGTTTCACCATGTTGGCCAGGCTGGTGTCGAACTCCTGACCTCATGTGATCCACCCGCCTCAGCCTCCCAAAATGCTGGAATTACAGGTGTGAGCCATGCACCCAGACTCTTTTTGAATTCTTGATAAAAGTTGATATACTTCTCCAGGTCATCCTAAGCCAGAAATGGAAAGCACATATACTTTTTGATATCAGCACCTTTAAAACAGTGGTTATGTTCATGAAAACAAAAAATAAAGAACACTTGTCCGATCCTTCTCTGAAGCTATTGTAATCACATATTTTCAATGCAAATGATTAAGACATATAAAGTCAGCTTCCATTTGGCTGTGCTAACCTTTCTTCCTCTCTTTCTCCCTTGTACCACTGAAGAGAAAAATGGCAAAGATGGTTATTAAAAAACTGTGCTGGTTATTCAGCTTTTGCTCCTCAGCTTCCATCTCATCCTTCCATGTTCAGCCCTGTGATTCTGGAGTTGGGACTCTGCAACCTTGTTTATTCTGTGCCAGGTGCTCCCTGTTAGAGGAGGAAGAGGCCCTAGAGGAAAGTAGAATACTCAGAAGAGAGAGGGGGAACTAGGGGGAACTTGTTTCTTCCTGGTTTACTACTTGTTTTCACTATAGTGGTAGCATTTGGTTCCAGTTTCCAGGTTCTTCTAGTGGTCCTAGAACCAGCTTCTTTATGTTTCAGAATTAGCAGCCGCCGCCAGGCAGGGACGTCCCGTCAGAGCTCCACAAGCCTTGCTGTTAGGGCCCTTCCTGCAAGCTTCTGGAGTTTGATAGTCTCTTTCCTTCGCTGCCAGGGATATGTCCTGGTCTGTGTTGGCTGCTATAACAAAGTACCATAGCCTTGGTGGCTGATAAAAACAAAAAGTTGGCTGGGCACGGTGGTGGCTCACGCCTGTAATCTTAGCACTTTGGGAGGCCGAGGCAGGTGGATCACGAGGTCAGGAGTTGGAGACCAACCTGGCCAATATGGTGAAATCCTGTCTCTACTGAAAATACAAAAATTAGTCAGGTGTGGTGGCAGGTGCCTGTAGTCCCAGCTACTCGGGAGGCTGAGGAAGAATCACTTGAATCTGCAAGGCAGAGGTTGCTGTGAGCCGAGATCACGCCACTGCACTCCAGCCTGGGCAACAGAGCGAGACTGTGTCTCAAAAAACAAAAACAAACAAACAAAACCTTGTTTCTCACAATTCTGGAAGTTGGAGGCCTGAAATCAGGGTTCCAGCATGGTCAGTTCTGGTCAGGGTCTCTTCCTGGTTTGTATCCTCACACAGTAGAGAGCAGAGAGAGAGAGAGAGAAAGAGAGAGAAAGCTCTCCCTTCTTATAAAAGCACCAATCTGATTTATGAGAGCTCTATCCTCATGGCCTGATCACCTCCCAAAGGCCTCATCTCCAAATATCATCACATTGTGGATGACGAATTCATCATATGAATTTGGTGGTACATAAACAGTCAGTCCATCACAGGATGGTAGTCTCTTCATGAAGTTATTATTCCTGAGTTACCTCTGTGTCTCCTTTTTGCTTTTTTAGTCCTTCTATATTTGTTGACTTCATTCTTTATATGAAATTCTATGTGTTCAAGTGGCAAGTATCATGTATCGTTTTTATATTTATGACTGGGCATGGTCTAATAGAGGAAGCAAATAGAAAAGTTTGAAAATCTGAGGGAATTTTGGACAATGCTCCATGAAATTGGACAAATGAGGCAAAATAATAAGAACAATGAATCAAAAAGAAAGAAGTGCCAGGTGCAGTGGCTCGCACCTGTAATTCCAGCACTTTGGGAGGCCGAGGCAGGTGGAACACTTGAGGTCAAGAGTTCGAGACCAACCTGGCCAACATAGTAAAACCCCGTCTTTACTAAAAATACAAATATTAGCTGAGTGTGGTGATGCACACCTGTAATCCCAGCTATTTGGGAGGCTGAGGCAGGAGAATTGCTTGAACCCGGGAGGCGGAGGTTGCAGTGAGCCGAGATGGCACCACTGCGCTCCAGCCTAGGCAACAAGAGTAAAACTCCATCTCAAAAAAAGAAAAGCAATTAATGCCCACATAATGGAAGAAAGATGTTGCAACTACTGTGTATATGCCTCAACCTTTCAAATAAAATGTTTGAGGCCAAGACCAGTGTCCAATACCTTTTTTATCAACCTCTTAGGCCTTAATATACTGGCCTGTACATAATAAACATCTAAATTTATTTTGATGGGTTGATCTCTTCTTAAAAAAAGAACAAAAGAGCCTACAAAGGATAGACATTACAGTGTCACTTTTCTGCTATGTAACAAACCACCCCATAACTTTATGGCTCAACAATGAATTATTATTTCTCACTGCCTTGGGGTTTGTCTCAGTTCATCTGGGAAGTTCTGCTCCATGTGGTATAGCTGAAGTCTCTCATGCTACTACATTCAACTGGAAGTTTGATTGGAAGAGGTCTTCCAACCTCTAGCATCTCACTTCATGTAGTCTTATGGGATTCAACAGTCTATCTTTACAGCATGGCAATGGCTTCCAAGAGCAAACATTTCCAAGGCTCACACCTGATATGCAAGTATTTATCATGCCTCTGTTTGCTTCATATTTGCTAATTTCCCATTGGCCAAGCAAATCATATGGCCAAAGCCAGAGTGGACGTGGAAGAGACTATACTAGGATACCAGAAGGTGAAATTCACTAGGGGTCACTAAAGTAGCTGTCACAGGTTTCTTCTATTTTCTAAAATAAACCATTATTATCTGTTAAATGTGAGTTGGGAAAGAAATATGAAAAGTAAGACCCGTTATGGGAATTGGAAAATCATAATATTTTGGGCCAGTGCTGTGTGACTGCATGGGCTGTAGTCATATCTATAATGGATAATAGCCTGAGTCTTCTATTACTTTAATTTTCTGTAATATTATTCAGCTGCTCTCCATTGCACACAGGAAACTAGAACATCACTAAATAAAAATTTCCTCTTATTTTCACCACCCAATAAAACTCAAACCAAAATTTACAGCCGGTTCTTCATTTTCCCTTCTTTGGTTGCATTGGAAAAAGCTCCAATCTCATCAAAGGCCCTGATGGGCTTTATTTCTTATTATTTGACAGCTTATCAGGGGCTTTCCTCCTTTGGTTATCTCCTCTCTCACTCATCAGTGTTTCTTTCTTCTCTGGATCTTTCTTATCACCATTCTAACATGGTTTCATTCCTCCCATAATTCACACAAGAATGTTTTTATATATACATTACCCTGATCCCTCATCTCCTTCCAGCTGCCACCCATTTCCCTACTTCTTTTTATGGGCAACTGTCTCAAAAAATTATGTTTGCCTCCTCTCTAATTCCGCACAGTTCACTTTCTCTTCAACCTCCACCCCAATTTGGCTTACGCCTCCACCACGTCTGAGATTATTTTTCCCTGATCACCAATGCCTTCAAATATTGCCAAATCTAATAGATTCATCTCTGTCCTCAACCTAATTAAGCTCTCAATGATTTGTCACCATTGATTACTCTATCTTTTTGTAATATCTCATATAATACTGTAAGGAAAGTGAAAAAAAAAGAATGGTTATATGGGTACTCAAAGAAGTGTAGTTTCTACTGAATGAGTATTGCTTTTGCACATCCTAAGGGGACCATCCATGTGTATAAGATTTTAGACATTTACTGATGAGAAATGTTTTCTGGTCGCCATATCTTAATGACTTTTTTCCTCCTGGCTTTTAAAATACTTTGTGTTTTCCTTCTGACTTGCTGACCTTTTTCTCCATTTCCTTTCTTGGCTTGTTCTCTTACATTTGACTGAGCCTGAGGTTCACATGGATTGTTTTCTTTTTTTTTCTCTCTCTCTATTTTTTATTTATTTATTTATTTATTTTTTTGAGACAGAGTCTCACTCTGTTGCCCAGGCTGGAGTGCAGTGGTACAATCTCGGCTCACTGCAACCTCTGCCTCCTGAGTTCAAGTGATTCTCCTGCCTCAGCCTCCCAAGTAGCTAGGATTACAGGTGCACGCCACCATACCCAGCTAATATTTGTATTTTTAGTACAAACAGGGGGGTTTCACCATGTTGGCCAGGGTGGTTTTGAACTCCTGACCTCAGGTGATCCACCCACGTCAGCCTCCCAAAGTGCTGAGATTACAGGCATGAGCCACCGCCCACATGGATTGTTTCTAGACCCTCTCATCTACTGCATTTTCTCCCAAGGTGATTTTGTCTAACTCGATAGCTAAATGTCATCTTTATTCTAATGACAATCAAATTTTTTTCTCTAGGCTTTCAGAGAAATATATCAAATTGTTTACTTTCCATCTCCACAAGCAACCATCTCAAGCACAGCCATCTGAAACCCAGTACTTTACACTGATCTTTCCCATCAGCAATGACTCCATCAAGTATTCATTTGTTCCATCTAGAATCATACGAGCTTTGCTTGACACACTCAGGCTTTCAAAAAGCATTTAACTGAGCACTTACTAACACCAAACACTATATTCAATTAATATAAATTTTGTTCTATAGGAGTTCACTGTTTAGAGTTGGAAACAGATACGTAAATGGATAATTACAATACAAATTTTAAAATGTTAAGTAGAGACAAGATAAAGCACATCTATAAACTAGGAAATAGGTTTTGTGTCTCATTCTTGGAAGTAGAGAAAACTATTTCAAATAGCTGCATTCTGGCTGGGCATGGTGGCTCACACCTGTAATCTTGGCACTTTGGGAGGCCCAAGTGGATGGATCACTTGAGGCCAGGAGTTTGAGACCAGCCTGGCCAGAATGACAAAACCCTGTCTCTACTAAAAAATACAAAAATTAGCCACTGTGGTAGTGCATGCCTATAGTCCCAGCTACTTGGGGAGCTGAGGCAGGAGGATCGCTTGACCCAGGAGGTAGAGGTTGCAGTGAGCTGAGATCATGCCATTGCACTCCAGCCTGGGCAATGAGCAAGACCCTGCCTCAAAAAAAAAAAAAATTGCTGCATTCTGAGAAATTTTACTTTTATTACAAAAACCATTCAGTGCCTTTTTTATCAGATTATTTCAAGGTAACCAAACAAGTTGGCTCAAAGTTGTCCCTTAGAATGAAAAGTTATTAGGTTTGAAATAAATGTTTTCAGAAGCATTTCCCAATGTAGAACCTTTTTCTTGTCAATTGTGGATTCTCGTGGTAGCACTGGTTTATTCCCTTCCTTATCAGATGTCTTCAAGTTTTTTTTCCTCTCAATGTTCCTACAGAATATGGCTATAAAATCTACTTTCATTTACTTCTGTCTGCATTCTTCGTTTGCTCCCACCGAGCATAATTTTAGAGTTTCAGGACACTTGACATCCCCAGTAAACCTCCAACTCTCCAGAGACACATAGCATTATGTAATAGGATAGTGGGGTACATTGCTTAATACACAGACATTTTTATTGTAAATACTTATATTTGGTTACAATTTGAGTATTAATAAAAGTATATCCACATGTCATGCTTATCTCAGGGAGTTCTAGAAGATTAAGAATCAGAAAGAATTTTGCGTATCTAGTATGATGACCTCTGGACCTCTTGACTATAAGAGTTAAGGAAAAATAACTATGTTCCATATTTTAAAAGTATGAATAAAATGTGGCTTTTATTGTGCTTACAGGAGTGGGAAATGTCACAAATAATGTTAAATATTTCTCCAGATAAAAATTTTCCACAGACAACATCTCCTCAGTTCAAAAACTGCTCCAGTGGGGTAAGTAATTACTAGTAACATGTTTAAGTTGGTATATAATGGTAAAAATTAGTTTGTAAGAATGAACTATTATTAGCTAATGTATCTCTAATTAGTAGACTTAACATTAGTTCTTGCAACTTTCTTTTTAAATAAATGAGGGCCAACTTCAATGCATATGTATTTCATGTAGTGAGCTTCAGGAAATATAGTAGGGATATAAAGAACAGGAAGACCTTCAAGAATATACAGCTTGAGGGTGGAGCAAGATGGCTAAATAGAATCATCACCACCCCAACCCCACGGGAACAACAAATGTAACAACTGTCTACACACAAAATAGCACCTTCATAAGAACTAAAAATCAGGTGAGCAATGATAGCACCTGGTTTTAACTTCATATCACTGAAGGAGGCACTGAAGAGGGTGGGAAAGACAGTGTTGAATTGCTGATGCCACTTCTTCCCCATCCCCCAGCAGTGGCCACATGGCATGAAGAATCCGTGGACTTGGCAGAAGGAGAGTATAGTGATTGTGGGTTCCTTCATTGAACTCAGTGCTGTCCTATCACAGAGGAAAGCAAAACCAGGCTAAACTCGGCTGATGCCCAGAGGGCGCATTTAGACCAGCCCTAGCCATAGGGAATCATCCATCCCAGAAGTCAGAACTTGAGATCCCACAAGCCTCACCATTACAGACTAACGTGCTCTTGAGTCCTTAATAAACTTGAAAGACAGTGTAGTCCACAAGGACTGCAATTTCTAAGCAAGTGTTAGTGCTGTCCTGGGCTCAAAGCCAGTGGATTTGCAGGGCACATGATCTAGTGAGACAGACACAAGCCGGGGTGTCCAAGGGGGTGCTTATGCCATGTAATTAAATAGTGGAGTAAATTGCTAGGCCTGGGACTCACCCTTCAGGGCAGTGGGCTACCCAGTGGGCCCAGGGTAGGTCCAGAAATGCCATTCAAGAACTAAGGTCCAGAATCAGGAAACCTAATGGTTTGCTTGGCAGTGCAGCTTACGGCAACAAAAGGGATTCCTTCCTTGTGTGGGAGGGGAGGAGAGGGAAGAGTAAAGAGGACTTTTTTCTAGCTTTGTGGACACCCGCTTAGCCACAATAGGATAGGGCACCAGGCAAAGTTGTGAGACCCCCTTCTAGGCCCCAGTTCCCATATGACCTTTCTAGACACACTCTGGGCCTGAAGAAAACCCACTGCTTTGAACGAAGGACCCAGTCCTGGAAGGATTTATCACCTGCTGATTAAAGAGCTTGCAGGCCCTGAAGAGCCAGCAGCAATGTGCAGGTAGAACAGGTCAGCCTGGGGTGATACTTTGAGATATGTTGTCTTCAGGTGGAACCCAGTACATTCACAGCTGTGATGGCTACAGGGAGAGACTCCTTCTGCTTGAGAAAACCAGACAGAAAAGTAAAGGGGACTTAGTCTTTCATTTTAGGTGCCAGCTTGGCCACAGTTGGGCAGAGTACCAAGTGAACCACTGGGGTCCCTGATTCTGGGCCTTAGTTCTTGGATGGCATTTCTGGACTTACCCTGGGCCAGAAGGGAGCCCACTGCCCTGAAGGGTAAATCCAAGGCCTAGCAACATTCACTACAAGCTGACTGAAGAGACCTGGGTCCTTAAGTGAATATCGGCAGTAGCCTGACAGTACCCACCATGTGGATCTGTGGTTGTGGTAACCATGTGGAGAGGCTCCTCTGCTTGTGGGAAGGAAAGGGAAGAATGGAAAGGACATTCTCTCATGGTTTGAGTGCCAGCTTAGCAACAGTAGAATAGAGCATCAGGTAGATTTCTAAGATTTTTGACTCCAGTTTTTGGCTCCCGTGTGGCATCTCTTGATTCACATGGGGCCCAGCGGAACTTGTCGCCCTGAAGGGAAGGACGCAAACATGGCTGGCTTCAGCAACTGCTGATTGTAGAGCTTTAGAGTCTTGAGTGAACATAGGTGGTAGCTAGGTAGTGGTTACAATGGGCCCTAGGAGAGACTCAATTCTCTGCTGGGTTCAGGTCTGATCCAGTGCAGTCCCAGCGGTGGTGGCCACAGGGGTGTTTGTGTCACCCCATACCCAGCTCCAGATGGCTCAGAACAGAGATATAGACTTCATTTGTTTGAGAGAAAGTAAGGAAAGAGAACGAGAGCTGGGTAATCTACAGAATTATTCCAGATCTTATCCAAGACCACCAAGGCAGTACATCTATGAGTCTGTAAGAATGACAGCATCATTGGGCTTAGGGTGCTCCCTAACACGAGTAGGGCTTAGATAACAATGTCCAAATCCCTTCAAATACCTAGAAAGTCTTTCCAATAAGGACAGGCACAAACAAGCCCGGACTGCAAAGACTACAATAAATACATAACTCTTCAATCCCCAGACACCAACAGATATCGACAGGAGAAAGACCATCCAGAAAAAAATGTAACTTCACCAAACAAACTAAATAAGGAACCAGAGACTAATCCTGGAGAAACACAGATATTTGACTTTTCAGAGAGAGAATTCAAAATAGCTGTTTTGAGGAAACTCAAAGAAATTCAAGATAACACAGAGAAAAAATTCAGAACTCTATCAGATGCATTTAACAAAGAGATTGAAAAAATTAAGAAAAATCAAGTAGCTATTTTGGAGTTGAAAATGCAATTGACATACTGAAGAATGTATCAGAGTCACTTAATAGCAGAATTGATCAAGCAGAAGAATTAGTGAGCTCAAATACAGGCTATTTGAAAAGACATGGTCAGAGGAGACAAAATAAAAGAATAAAAAACAATGAAGCATGCCTATAAAATGTATAAAATGGCCTCAAAAGGGCGAATCTAAGAGTGATTGGCCTTAAAGAGGACGTAGAGAAAGAGATAAGGGTAAAAAGTTTATTCAAAGGGAAAATGTCCGAGAACTTCCCAAACATAGAGAAGGATATCAACATTCAGATACAGGGTTATAGAACATCAAGCAGATTTAACCCAAAGAAAACTACCTCATGGCATTTAAAAGCGAACTTCCAAAGGTCAAGGATAAAGAAAGGATTCTAAAAGCAGCAAGAGAAAAGAGACAGATAACATACGATGAAGCTCCAATAAGTCTGGCAGCAGATGTTTCAGTTGAAATCTTATAGGCCAAAAAAGAGTAGCATGACATATTTAAAGTGCTGAAGGAAAAAAAATAACTTTTACCCTAGAATAGTATGTCTAGCAAAAATATCCTTCAAGCATGAAGAAGAAATAAAAACCTTCCCTGATAAACAAGAGCTGAGGGATTTCACCAATACCAGACCTGTCCTACAAGAAATGCTAAAGTAACTACTTCAATCAAAAAGAAAAGAATATTAACAAGCAAGAAGAAATCACATGAAGGTAAAAAACTAACTGGTAATAGTAAGCACATAGAAAAACACAGAATATTATAACTCTGTAATTGTGGTATATAAACTACTCATATCTTAAGTAGAAAGGCTAAATAATGAACCCATCAAAAATAATAACCACAACTTTTCAAGACATAGACGGTACAACAAGACATAAAGAGAAACAACGAAATGTTAAAAAATAGGAGACGAAGTTAAAGTGTAAAGTTTTTATTAGTTTTCTTTTTCAGAAAGTTTTCTTTTTTCAGTGTTCATTTATCCAATTAGTTTTGTCATCAGTTTAAAATAATGGGTTCTAACACAGTATTTACAAACCTCATGGTAACTCAAATTAAACATCATACAACAAATACACACACACAAAAAAGCAAGAAATTTAATCCTACCACGAGAAAATTACCTTTACTAAAAGGAAGACAGGAAGAAAGAAGACCAGAAAATGAATAACAAAATGGCAGGAGTAAGTCCCTATTTATGAACAATAACATTGAACATAAATGGATTAAACTCTCCAATCAAAACACAGAGTGGCTCAATGGATAAAAAAAAAAAACACCCAATCATCTGCTTTCTATAAGAAACACATTTCACCTATAAAGATACACATAGACTGAAAATAAAGGCATGGAAAAAGATATTCCATGCCAATGGAAACCAAAGAAAAACAGAAATAGCCATATACTTATATCAGGAACTTATTTCCAGGACTTATATCAGAAAATATAGATTTCAAGACAAAAACTATAAGAAGAGACAAAGAAGGTCACTATACAATGATGAAAGGGTCAATTTAGCAAGAGGATATAACAATTGTAAATACATATGCACCTAATCCTGGAGCATTCAGATATCTAAAGCAAATATTATTAGAGCTAAAGAGAGAGACAGGCCCTAATACAATAATAGCTGGAGAATTCAACACACAACATTCAGCCTTGGACAGATCTCCCAGACGGAAAGTCAACAAACATCGGACTTAATCTGAACTATAGAACAAATAGACCTCATAGATATTTATAGAACATTTTATACAACAGGTGAAAAATACACATTTTTCTCCTCAGCACATGGAACATTCTCAAGGACAAACCATATGATAGGTCACAAAACATGTCTTAAGTGTTAAAAAAATTGAAATAATATCTAGCATTTTCTCTGACCACAATTTCCACAATGGAGTAAAACAAGAAATCAATAAAAAGAGGAACTTTGGAAACTATACAAACATATGGAAATTAAACAACATGCTCCTGAATGACCAGTGGGTCCAAGAAGAAATTAAGAAGAAAATTGGAAAATTTCTTAAAACAAATGAAAATGGAAAGAACATACCAATACTTTTGGGATACAGTGAAAACAGTCATAAAACAGAAGTTTTTAGCTATAAGCACCTACATCAAAGAAAAAGAAAAACTTCAAATAAATTACCTAAAGATGTGTCTTAAAGAACTAGAAAAGGAAGAGTAGACCAAACCCAAAATTAGTAACAGAAAAAAAATAATAAAGATCAGAGAAGGAATAAGTGAAATTCAAACAAAGCAATGCAAAAAGATCAATGAAACAGAAAGTTGGTTTTTTTAAAAAGATAAAGGTGTGTCAATTTTGTTTAGCTAGACAAAGAAAAAGAGATGACCCAAATAAATAAAATCAGATATGATAAAGAAGATATTACAACCAACAATGCAGAAATTCAAATGATTATTAGTGGTTACTATGAGCAACAATAGACCAATAAATTGGAAAATCTAGAAGTGAATAAATTCCTAGACACATACAACCTACCAAGATTGAACCATGAAGAAATTCAAAAACTGAACAGACGAATTGCAAGTAATAAGATCAAAGCCATAACACAAATTTTTCCAACAAAGAAAAGCCTGTGACCTGATGGCTTTATTGCTGAATTCTACCAAACATTTAAAGAAGAACTAATACCAATTCCACTCAAACTATTCTGAAAAATAAAGGAGAAAAGAATACTCCCAAAACCATTTAATGAGGCCAGTCTTATCCTGATATCAAACCAAAGATGCATCAAAAAAAGAAAACTATAAGCCAATATTTCTAATGAATATTGATGCAAAAATCCTCAACAAAATACTAGCAAACTGAATTGAACAACACATTAAAAAGATCATTCATCATGCCCAAGTGGGATTTATCCCATTGAGGCAAAGATGGCTCAACATATGCAAATCAATTAATGTGATATATCATATCAAAAGAATGGAGGATAAAAATCATATGATCATTTCAATTGATGCAGAAAAAGCATTTGATAAAATTCAACATTCCTTAATGATTTAAAAAACTCAAAAAACTGGGTGTAGAAGGAACATACTTCAACATAAGAAAAGCCGTATACAACAGACCCACAGCTAGTGTCATACTGAATGGGGACAATCTAAAAGCTTTTCCTCTAAAGATCTGGAACATGACAAGGTGGCCCACTGTCACCGCTGTTATTCAACATAGTCCTGGAAGTCCTAGCTAGAGCAATTAAACAAGAGAACTAAATAAAAGGCATCCAACTGGAAAGGAAGAAATTCAATTATCCTTGTTTTCAGATGATATGACCCTGCATTTGGAAAACCTTAAAAACTCCACCAAAAACTATTAAAACTGATAAATTCAGTAAAGTTGCAGGATACAAAATGAACATACAAAAATCAGTAGCATTTCTATATGCCAATAGCAAACAATCTGAAAAATAAGAAAGTAATCCTATTTATAATAGCTACAAATAAAATAAAATACCTAGGAATTAAGCAAAGAATTAAGGATCTCTATAATGAAAACTGTAAAATACTGATGAAAGTAATTGAAGACAACAAAAATTGAAAAATATTCCATGTTCATGGATTGGAAGGATCAATAATGTTAAGATTTCCATATTCCCCAAAGCAATATCCAGATTCAATGCAACCTTTATCAAAATACCAATGACATTCTTCACAGGAATAGAAAAACAATTCTAAAATTTATATGGAACCACAAAGTCCTAGAATAGCTAAAGCTATCTCAAGCAAAAGAACAAAACTGGAGGAATCATATTACTTGACCTCAAATGATATTGCAGAGGTATAGTAACACAAACAGCATAGCACTGGCATAAAAACAGACACATAGACCAATGGAACAGAACAGAGAACCTAGAAACAAATTCATATATCTAAAGTAAAATCCTCTTCAACAAAAGTTCCAAGAACATACATTTGGGAAAAGACAGTCTCTTCAATAAAAGGTGCTTGGAAAATGGGATATCCATATGCAGAAGAATGAAATTAGATCCCTATCTCTTGGCATATACAAAAATCAAATCAAAATGGATTAATGACTTAAATCTAAGACCTCAAATCATGAAACCGCTAAAATTAAACATTGGGGAAACTCTCCAGGACATCGGACTGGGCAAAGATTTATTGAGTAATACCCCAGAAGCACAGGCAACTAAAGCAAAAATGGACACATGGGATTATATCAAGTTTAAAAGTTCCTAAACAGCAAAGGAAACAATAAACAAAGTGAAGAGACAACCTACAAAATGGAATAAAATATTTGCAAACTATCCACCTAACAAGGGATTTAAAACCTGAATATATAAGGAGCTCAAACAACTCTATAGTAAAAAATATAATAACCTGACTTAAAAATGGGCAACTATCTGAACAGATATTTATCATAAGAAGACATACAAATTGCAAACAGGTATATGAAAAGGTGTCCAACATCATTGATCATCAAAGAAATGCAAATCAAAACTACAATAAATATCATCTCATCAAAATTAAAATGGCTTTTCCCAATTAAAAAGACAGGCAATAACAAAGGCTGGCGTGGATATGGAAAAAAATGAACCCTCATAGACAGTTGGTGGGAGTGTTAATTAGTAAAACCATTATGGAGAACACTTTGGAGATTTCTCAAAAAACTAAAAATAGAGGTACTATATGTTCCAATAATCCCACAACTAAGTATATATCCAAAAGAATAGAAATCAGTATGTCAAAGAGACATCTGCACTCCCATGTTTCTTGCAGCACTACTCACAACAGCCAAGATTTGGAAGTAACCTAAGTGTCCATCAATAGATGAATGGATAAAGAAAACATGGTACATATACACAATGGAATACTATTCAGCCTGATATGATTTGGCTGTGTCCCCACCCAAATCTCATCTTGAATTTCCAAGTGTTGTGGAAGGGACCAAGTGGGAAGTAATTGAGTCATGGGGTCAGATCTTTCCTCTGCTATTCTCATGACAGTGATAAAGTCTCATGAGATTGGATGGTTATTATAAGGGGGAGTATTCCTGCACAAGCTCTCTTGTCTTGTCTGCCACCATGTGAGACGTGCCTTTCACCTTCCACCATGATTGTGAGGCCTGCCCAGACATGTGGAACTGTAAGTCCAATAAAACTCTTTCTTTTATAAATTGCCCAGTCTCAAGTATGTATTCATCAGCAGCCTGAAAACAAACTAATGCAGTAAATTGGTTCTAGTAGAGTAGGGCAATCCTGAAAAGATATCTGAATAAGTGGAAGCGACTTTGGAACTGGGTAACAGGCAGAGGTTGGAACAGTTTTGAGGGCTCAGAAGAAGACAGGAAAACTTGGGAAAATTTTGAATTTCCAAGATATTTGTTGAATGGCTTTGACAAAAATGCTGATAATTATATGAACAATAAGGTCCAGGCTGACGTGGTCTCAGATGGAAATGAGGAAATTGTTGGGAACTGGAGCAAAAGTGATGCTTGTTATGTTTTAGCTAAGAGACTGACAGCATTTTGCCCCTGCCCTAGAGATATGTGGAACTTTGAACTTGAGAGAGATGATTAAGGGTATCTGGCAGAAGAAATTTCTAAGCAGCAAAGCATTCAAGAGTTGACTTGGGTTCTGTTAAAAGCATTCCATTTTATAAGGGAAGCAGAGCATAAAAGTTTGGAAAATTTGCAGCCTGACAATGTGATAGAAAAGAAAATCCCATTTTCAGAAAATTTTTGCAATCTATCCATCTGACAAAGGACTAATATCCAGAATCTACAAAGAACTTCACAAATTTATCAGAAAAAAAAAATCAAACAACCCCAACAAAAAGTGGTCAAAGGAGATGAACAGACACTTCTCAAAAGAAGACATTTATGTGGCCAAGAAACATGAAAATAAGCTCATCAACACTGGTCATTAGAAAAATGCAAATCAAAACAATAATGAGATACCATCTCACACCAGTTAGAATGGCAATCATTAAAATGTCAGGAATCAATAGATGCTGGAGAGGATGTGGAGAAACAGGAATGGTTTTACATTGTTAATGGGAGTATAAATTAGTTCAACCATTGTGGAAGACAGTGTGGCAATTCCTCAAGGATCTAGAACAAGAAATACCATTTGACCCAGCAATCCCATTACTGGGTATATACCCAAAGGATTATAAATCATTCTACTATAAAGACACATGCACATGTATGTTTATTGCAGCACTATTCACAAATAGCAAAGACTTGGAACCAACCCAAATGCCCATCAATGATAGACTGGATTAAGAAAATGTGGCACATATACAGCATGGAATACTATGCAGCCATAAAAAGGATGTGTTTATATCTTTTGCAAGGACGTGGATGAAGCTAGAAATCATCATTCTCAGCAAACTAACACAGGAACAGAAAACTAAACACCACATGTTCTCACTCATAAGTGGGAATTGAACAATGAGAACACACAGACACGGGGAGGGGAACATGACACACCAGGGCCTGTCAGGAGGTGAAGGGCTAGGGGAGGGATAGCATTAGGAGAAATATCTAATGTAGATGACGGGTTGTTGGGTGCAGCAAGTCACCATGGCACGTGTATACCTATGTGACAAGCCTGCATGTTCTGCACATGTATCCCAGAACTTAAAGTATAATAATAAAAACAAAGAAAGAAAGAAAGAAAGAAAGAAAGAAAGAAAGAAAGAAAGAAAGAAAGAAAGAAAGAAAGAAAGAAAAGAAAAGAAAAGAAAAGAAAAGAAAATCTCATTTTCTGAGGAGAAATTCAAGCCAGCTGAAGTAGTTTGCATAAGTAACAAGGAGGCCAATATTAATCCCCAAGACAATGGGGAAAATGTCTCCAGAGCATGTCAGAGGTCTTCACAGCAACCTCTCCCATTACAAGCCTAGAGGCCTAGGAGGAAAACGTGGTTTTGTGGGCCAGGCCCAGGGTCCCTGTGCTGTGTGCAGCCTAGGGACTTGGTGCCCTGCATCCCAGCCACTCAAGCCTGGCTGAAAAAGGGCCAACATAGAGCTCAGTCCATGGCTTCAGAGGGTTCAAGCCTCAAACCTTGGCAGCTTCCACATGGTGTTGAGCCTGCCAGTGCACAGAAGTCAAGAATTGGGGTTTGGGAACCCCCACCTAGTTTTCAGAAGATGTATGGAAATGCCTGGATATCCAGACAGAAGTTTGAGCAGGGTGGGGCCCTCATGGAGAACCTCTGCTAGGACAGTGTGGAAGGGAAATGTGGGGTTGGAGCCCCCACATGGAGTCCCTACTAGGGTACTGTCTAGTGGAGTTGTGAGAAGACAGCCACCATCCTCCTGATTCCAGAATGGTAGATTCACTGACAGCTTTCACCATGCACCTGGAAAAACTGCAGACACTAAACGCCAGCCTGTGAAAGCAGCCAGGAGGGAGGCTGTACCATGCAAAGCCACAGGGGAGCTGCCTGAGACCATGGGAACCCACCTCTTGCATCAGTGTTACCTGGATGTGATGCATGAAGTAAAAGGAGATCATTTTGGAGCTTTAAGATTTGATTGCCCCACTGGATTTTGGACTTGCATGGGGCCTGTAGCCACTTTGTTTTGGCCAATGTCTCCCATTTGAAATGCCTGTATTTATCCAATGCCTGTATCCCCATTGTATCTAGGAAGTAACTAACTTGCTTTTGATTTTACAGGCTCAAAGGCAGAAGGGACTTGCCTTGTCTCAGATGAGATTTTGGACTGTGGACTTTTGAGTTAACACTGAAATGAGTTAAGACTTTGGGGGACTGTTGGGAAGGCATGATTGGTTTTGAAATGTGAGGACATGAGATTTGGGAGGGGTCGGGGTGGAATGATATGGTTTGGCTGTGTCCCCACCCAAATCTCATCTTGAATTCCCAAGTGTTGTGGAAGGGACCAGGTGGGAGGTAATTGAATCATGGGGTCAGATCTTTCCCATGCCATTATCATGATAGTGAATAAGTCTCATGAGATCTGATGGTTATTATAAGGGGGAATTATATCTGCACAAACTCTCTTGTCTTATCTGCCACCAAGTGAGACATGCCTTTCACCTTCTGCCATGGTGTGAGGCCTCCCCAGCCATGTGGAACTGTAAGTCCAATAAATCTCTTTATTTTATAAATTGCCCAGTCTCGGGTATGTCTTTATCAGCAGTGTGAAAACAGACTAATACACAGACATAAAAAAAAGTGAGATACCGACATTTGTGACAATATAGATGGAGTTGGAAATAATTATGTTAAGTGAAATGAGCCAGGCACAGAAAGACAAACTGCACATGATCTCACTTATTTGTGGGAGCTAAAAATTAAATGAAGACAGAGAGAGAAGGGAAGATTACCAGAGGCTGGGATGGTAGTAGGGGGTTGGGGAAAGTGGGCATGGTTATTGGGTACAAAAATACAGTTAGAAAGAATGAATAAGGCCGGGCTCAGTGGCTCACGCCTGTAATCCCAGCACTTTGGGAAGCCGAGGCGAGCGGATCACAAGGTAAGGAGATTGAGACCATCCTGGCTAACATGGTGAAACCTCGTCTCTACTAAAAAAAATATAAAAAAGCCGGGCGTGGTGGCGGGCACTTGTAGTCCCAGCTATTCGGGAGGCTGAGGCAGGAGAATGGCGTGAACCCGGGAGGCGGAGCTTGCAGTGAGACGAGATCACACCACTGCACTCCATCCTGGGTGACAGAGCAAGACTCTGTCTCAAAAAAAAAAAGAAAGAAAAAAGAAAGAAAGAATGAATAAGACCTCCTACTTGACAGCATAATAGGATGACTATAGTCAATAATAATAGTACATTTAAAAAAAACTAGCATAACTGGATTGTTTAGTACACAAAGAATAAATGTTTAAGGTGATGACCCCATTTGCCCTGACGTGATTATTACACATTGTATGGTTATATAAAAATATCTTATGTACCCCATTAATATATACACCTACTATATACTCAAAAAATGAAAAAAGAAAAAAACAAGGCAACAACAGCAATAAAAAGAATATAGAGCTCAAAGGACCCCATCAGCACATTCTTTTCTGTGTGCTCCCTTCCATAATGTGTGGCCACTAGCAATGCCTAGTTTGAAGGATGGGAAGAATTTCCCAAAGGCCAGGGGGAAATAGGCCACCATTTCATGCAGGTAATGCCATGAGTAATGACAAGGGGCAGGAAGCAGGTGAATTTTTCAGGGCAAGAGGGAATGGCATAGGCTGAGAGCACTGTGCTGCCTACCATGTGGTAGCGCCTTGGGAGAACAGGAGGAAGAAGGCTTGGCCGACTGACAGCAGCAGCTGGAAAGGGGTTGGGGGTTCAACTGAGGGGTAGCCTTTATCCCAGATAAGCTCTGAACTAGATTTATTTTTGAGAAATATGAAGGTGAAATACAGCCTTTTGCAATTATTTATTTGATGAAATAGCTATGGCTGCTATGTTTATAATTTAAGCATCTATAGATCTCTTACTGAAACTCATTGGCAGTTTGGAATCTTTTGAATTGCAAGAAAAAATGTAAATGTAATCAACAGCAAACATTTAATGAGTGTTTATATAGAGTCTAGGATCTTTATGTCACAGAAAAATTTTTATGGATAAGACACACATATTCTAGATATATCTATATCTATCTATCTTTCCCAGTAAGGAAGGAATGGAGGTAGGATTATGAGTAGCTTATTCAATAGGAAATGTAGCACTTTTCTCACTATTTACCAACTGTTCCACTGTTCCTACCTCCATCTAAGCAACCACCATCTGTCTCCTGTATTCCTGCAGTAGCCACCTGACTGGCCTCCTTGATTCTATCTGACCCCTGTACGTCTATACTCAATAGGGATCACAATGGTTGTTTTCAAGTAGTCATGCCACTCTTCCACTCAGACCACCACAATGCTCCCTTGGAATAAATCTCAAAGCCATAGGATAGCCTATAAGGAAAGCTGCAGGGTCTCACCTTCTTTTTCCTCTCCAATCTCATTTCCTGGTCTTATCCTTTTGATCCAAACTGTTCCCTCAACACTGACCTCCTTGTGATGCACTATTCTGCCTTTGGGTTCTGTAGCAACTGTTTTTGCCACTTGTAACACTCTGTTACAAGATATCTACATACGTCATCCCACATCTCCTAACTATCTTTGGGAACTATCAATTGATTGCATCTCACTTCCAAACCCATCTTCTTTCCCTGCTTGTGACAAAGGAAATAGGCTCTTCAAACATTTTCTTCTGGGCTGGCTGGCCCAGTGTTAAGTTTTGTCCATAGAAGATACTGGAGAAACATTGAAGCAGAAAAGAGTTTTGCTTCCTGGTTCCTGTATCTCACTGGCCAAGCTTCTGCAGTGCAGGTGGCTTCTCCATGCTCAGCTGCTGCAGAACATGCAGCTTCTTTGGCATTTAACTTCTAAGACACCCAAAAGCTATTAGCCGCCTGCTGATCTCAGGCCATTATGTAGTGCAGTGCAGTATCTCTGGTGAGAAACTCCTGGGGACAGTTTTCCCCAGCACCCTAGAGGGTAATTCTCTGACAAGTTGCAAAGGCTGCATTTCCAGCAAGTCCTGCCTTGCACAGTTCCATAGCAGTGTCTCTGGCTCCGATGACGCAAAACTGCGCACTCCCAACAAGGTCTGGATCTTAGCCCTGGGCCAGAGGCTACTCTGACTCAGCCCTGGGAGTTAGTGGCTGCTCCTTGTATCTTCTATTCTTGTATTATTTGCAGCTTGCTTTACTTTTTACCAGACAATTCTCTTACTCCAATCCTCTTGTCATTACTGATTCTTTACAGTAAACTTTTCCTGTTCCAATTACTATAAGGTTTCTCTCTCCTGTCGGGCCTAGACTGATACAATATTTTAGCTCAAATATCAAGATGATGTCTTTTCTGTCCTCTACTTAAAATTTCCTTCTGCATCTCTTTACCTTGCTTTGGATTTTTCTTTCTTCTATTGCACTGATCATCTTCCAACATACTAGCCAGTTTATGGATTATGTTTATGATTTATCAACTGCTTACTTCTGTAGAATATAAACACCTCAAAGGTAAACATCTATTTCACTTTTGCTCATGGATATATCTGCGACTTGTAGAATAATGCTTGGCCCGTAGTAGGTGCTCAATAAATATTTATTAAAGAACAATCATATGGATTCCAAGCATCTGTCTCTCTGAAGAATGCCTACATTGGCCCCTGCTGTGGGAATTTAACTTGTTGCCAATGGCTACGGTTAGTATTCCCACATCCTTTGGGGGAATGAGGGAAATGCTAGTCCTCCCACTTGTCCTAGGTTATAAATTATAGAAGCTGCTTATCGTTGTATGCACAGGCCTTCAGACGCAATATTTCCCTAAACTATCATACAGGAATGTTTTCTCAACATCTCCAAATTGATTTAGCCATTTTAATCAAATCAAGAAATCCTTATTCGGTTGTTTTTTTTTAATGTGCCAATTAATTTTACATTTAATTTACTTGTATTCCCTGTCAAGCCAGTTTACTCATATTGCTAAAACAAAGATTTTCACAGATACTGAAATGTAAATTTTGGTTAGAAACATAGGATAACCTGCCAGTTAAGAAACAGATCTGTATAACTCTGGCTTCCTTTATCTGATAGCAAATGTTTATATGACATGTAAATAACCATAGCCAAGTTACCTAGACATAGTTAGGGAAAAAATTAAATTACAAAATATTGAAACAAGTGAGGTCTAATTTTCATTTATCTGGCTACTATTTAATTTATGGGAGCAGAGTCTTTTTACTATATGGAAGTGAATATCTCTAATTTGAATTTCATTTCTATGTACTTTTTTTTTTTGAGACAGAGTCTTGCTCTGTCACCCAGGCTGGAGTGTAGTGGTGCGATCTTGGCTCACTGCAACCTCCACCCCTTGGGCTCAAGTGATCCTCCAGTCTCAGCCTCAGAAGTACCTGGGACCACAGGTGCACACCACCATGCCCAGCTATTTGTTTTGTATTTTTAGTAGAGATGGGGTCTTTCCATTTTGCTTAGGCTAGTTTCAAACTCCCGAGCTCAAGCACTCCACCCGCCTTAGCCTTCCAAAGTGCTGGGATTATAGGCATGAGCCACCGCACCCAGCTGGCTTTCTTTTAAAGATAGCCCAGCTCTTATATCACACAGAGATGGAAGACTATAGAAGATAAAATAAACAACAGGACTCCTTAAATAATGATTGTATATGGAGAGTAGAACTTTTGTTACTTGGAACTGCAAGGACATTACTCAGTTTGGTTAGCCACATTTTTGGAGACATAAGAGCATTTTTATTCAGTAGCAACATACTTTTTCATTTTAAGCATTTTTATAAGAAATATTTCTAAAATACATATGTCCTTATTTTCAACAGTTAAAGACACTTCCTCTGAGAAGCCATCTTTGGCCCTTCTAGTTTGGGGTAGGTGCCCTTGATCTATGCTCACAAAATACCTGGTATCTTCCCTTCCAAAGCACAGATTTCATTTCACTGTTGACATCAGTGGGCTACACTGGGTTGTCATGACTTTTAAGGGAGAGAATCTATCTTTCTTGTTTCTCTATTGCCTAGCATAGTATCGTGCCACATGCATAGTAGACACTCAGTAAATATCTGTTGACTAATGACATCTTCAAGGGCATCACTGCAAACACTGAAAACAACACAGGGCAGATCATAATCAAGGCCTTGTAAGTGGGTGGTGCTATGTATACATTCTTTAAACTTTGGCTAGTAGCAGGTACCAGTCCTTTCATGTTCTTTTCCCCTGCTTGTACATTGTTTCCTAATATGCTATAGGGTTAGAGACCCCAAATCAAATTTATACTAAGTAAAAATAAGTTTAAAAATTAAAGAAAGAAATAAACTAAAATTCACAAGTTTTAGTGCAAGAAGAAGGAGTTTGGCTTCTCTAAGTTCCTTCTTATTCTTAGTTTTCAGCTGTTCTGGTTAGACAAAGTTGTCAGAAAGCAGAGATTTCCAAAGGGCAATGTGTTCCTGTGTTCTGCTCCATGTAGACCACTTAATTTAATACATATTAATAGCTAAAAATAAATTGTAAAAAGCAGGTCTTAAATCACTGCCCTCCTACTTAACAAGAAAAATCATAGATAGCAATTCATATAATAGAAACTGTTAGTGCAGCTATAGAGCCATAAAATCAAAGTACTCTTTATGCAATAAGTCTATGCTTCACTGAAGTCAATTAAAGCAAGATTTATGCACACAGGCAGTCACTCCACCTTAAAAAATGGCTTTTACACACTGTAAGGTAGGGTGAAGAACTGCTCAAAAGCTGGATCCCTACATAATGGAAAAAAAGGAATGAATCTGGAAATATATACCTGTCCTCTAAGAATATGATAGAAATGGCTAAGTGAAACCGGAAATATACAGGCATAAGAAAGATTAAAATTAACATCCAGAAATCATTTAAGGAAAAGAAATCTCAGCTCTCTGTTGCATCTCAATTGATAACATTATTCTTTAACCTTATATAAATGGCACAAGCTGAACATTCTTTGATTTATATTATTTGGATAAAGTAAAAGATACATGGTGCCAACAACACATTAGTCTGTCAACAGTATTCTTTGTGACAACCCATAATTAGTTTGTGTACCAATCAAGATTCATAAATACAAAACAACTGAAGAAAGGCAGGGTTTTACAAACCGAAAGAGCCAGCAAAGCAATCTCATCTTTTACATCATTCAGAGTGGTTGCTGTATTATAAACAAAGCAGGGCCTGAGTGATGGATGGAGAGAAAATGCACTCGCTCTCTGAGGATCATAAATCACCATGCTTTTCTCTAAGCTCTCCAATATC
The DNA here is from genome assembly GCF_000001405.40 of Homo sapiens. Classification (NCBI taxonomy): domain Eukaryota; kingdom Metazoa; phylum Chordata; class Mammalia; order Primates; family Hominidae; genus Homo; species Homo sapiens. Next base: position 225,531,682 of record NC_000002.12, on the reverse strand, counting down.
GGAACTTCTTTCTACATTAAAGGTGCCTGAAAGTGCATTAACTCTTCATAGTAATTAGTCTCCTGAAAGACTTATTTATGAAAACATACATTATTCAAAATGTTCCCATTCATCATTACTTATTAAGCCCACGTCTGCAGTAGGCATCAAAGGTACAACGACAAAAGGACAAGGTCCATGTCTCTAAGGTATAGTCTCATTGGGATACAAAAAAGATAGGCAGATATTTACAATAAAATATATTAGCAGATATAATGGCATTGTACACAAAGTATAGTTCAATCACAGAAAAATGCCTACATAAGTTATTACAGAGAAGGTAGTTGACCCTGTTCCTTGAGGGATGAGTGGAAATTTGTTGCAGAGAATAACTTGGAAAAGAAACTCCAGAAAGAAAATTTTACAAGCAAGGGCACAGAGGCAGGAACAAGCATGGTTTGTCTGGAGTAAACTAGGTAGTCTGAGTTGGCTGTAAGAGGCATGGTTGGCAGGAGGTGTGGCTCTGCAGGCAGGAGCAGATGAAAAAGGTCATGCTAATGAGTTCAGTTTTATCAGATAAATGATAAGCAGGATAGTCACACGATCAGATGAAATGAGCAGAATGGTGCTATAATTGGATACACATGTGAGAAAATCCTCTCTGAAAGTAATAGGGATGATGGATTTGTGAAAGTGAACCTGCAGGAAAGATGACCAGTTAGGTGCCCATGCAATTGTCCAGGTGGGAAACATGATGGCCTGAATGAGATAGGAGCATAAAAGTGCAAACAGGTGGAGAGACTGACATAAGTGGAGCAGAATTGGCTGGACTTGATCACTGATGAGAGATCAGGGCAAGTGAAGGAGTGCAATCCAATTAGGCTCTTGCATGTCTAACTTGGGTGTCAAGATAAAAAACCATGGAGGAAACGCCTGGGTCAGTGTGGATATGACAAGTTTGAAGGCTCTCTGTGATATCTACAGATAGATGTATGTGTGAAGATTGGGACATCTGGAGATAATGTGGAATTCATGACTTATTTATTCAACAAAGATTAGAGTGAGAAGACAGGAGAGCCAGTGAGAGTTCAGAGACATCATTTAAGAATCAGGCAAAACAACAGACACCCTCAAGGAGACAAATAGAGTAGTAAGAAGATGAAAATTAGTAGAGGGTTAGGCATAAAAAGCCAAGGAGCATGGGATTTAGGAAGTATGGAGGTTCATAGTCTAAAATGCTGAAGAGACATACCAAAGGATAGGGATAAAAGGACAACATTGAGAAGAGAACCGAGATTCAATTTAGTGTCATGGCTAGGGCATCAGAGAGCAGTGGATTTTGGATGAGGGTGGAGGCCTCAGAGCAAACATGTGCAGGAGGCCTTTCAGTAGCCAGCTAAGCAGGAAGGGAGGGATGCAGGACGGTGGCCTGAAGGAGCCACCTGCTCAAAGATGCAGTCTCAAATGAGTTAATTTCATTGTCAGACTGCTCTGGGGTACATTCACCCATTAGAAAGATTTCTTTCCATTACTATTAAATCTATGAGATGGAGAGTAGCAGTATAAACAAGAAAAAGTCACTTTCTTAAAATTAAAAAAAAAATAATTTTATAGTTTTGTACAGTACCAAACGCTTTATATTATCAAATGGGAAAAATGTTTTTGTCAGGTATACTCTCTAAAAAAATACTGACTGAGGCCAGGCACGGTGGCTCACGCCTGCAATCCCAACACTTTGGGAGGCCAAGGTGGGTGGATCACGAGGTCAGAAGATCGAGACCATCCTGGCCAACATGGTGAAACCCCGTCTCTACTAAAAATACAAAAAATTAGCCAGGTGTGGTGGCAGGCACCTGTACTCTTAGCTACTCAGGAGGCTGAAGCAGGAGAATTGCTTGAACCCAGGAGGCAGAGGTTGCAGTGAGCCAAGATAGTGCCACTGCACCCTAGCCTGGGCGACAGAGTGAGACTCCGTCTCAAAAAATAAATAATAAAAATAAAATAAAAACACTGAGTTGGAAAGACGAGAATGAAGCCAAGTTATCTCCCAGGGAACATGCTTATATAAATATAGGCAGGGGCCAGGCACGGTAGTTCATGCCTGTCTTCCCAGCACTTATGGAGGCCGAGGCGGGTAGATCACTTGAGGCCAGGAGTTTGAGACTACCCTGTCCAACATGGCAAAACCCTGTCTCTACTAAAAATAAAAAATTAGTTGGACGTGGTGGCTCATGTCTGTAATGCCAGCTACTCGGGGGGCTGAGGCAGAGAATGGCTTCAACCTGGGAGGCAGAGGCTGCAGTGATGAGCAGAGATCATGCCACTTCACTCCAGCCTGGGCGACAAGAGAGAGACTCTATCTCAAAAACAAACAAACAAAAAAACATAAAACAAAAAACAAACAAAAGATAGGCAAGCTCTGAGGTGCCTTCTGAGGACGGTGGCATCGATTTCCTTTAGGTCTTAGGGGCCATGTTGAAGTCTAGAAACATGAAGGAAAGGTAAAACATTTGATGAGAAAAGAGATAAAGAGGTGGAAGTCGTTTAATAAAGGCAGGTTATGAACTCCTTTCTGCCATTTTGTTTAGAAAATCCTAGTAATTATTAATTCAATAATTTAGCACAATACTTTCTAATGCTTTCATATAAATGCAAAGAAGAGATCAATCTTTATATAGGTTTGAGGCCAGACAAAAACAGAGACTTCGGGGAAAGTTGCAATGAGGGTTACATTTAGTATTCTGCCCTTTCTCCACTTCGTCTGCAGACATGCTTTTTGATGTCTATTCACCCATTACTGGAAATTGATGCAATTGTTGCAATTAAGGAATTGTATAACTTGGGAACATCGAGTCTCATATTTCTCACCAAAATGCTACAGAACAGGCAGAGATCAGAAAGGTACACAGCATAAATTAACATCACCAATCCCTACAATCCAGGGGTTCTGGAGAATCACAGGTGAAAGCACTGGGAAGTGGGTTTGCTGTATCAAGAACACTGTGCATTATCTGTTCCACAACTCTCTAGGGATTTAGGGGACCAGTTCCCATGCTGGGTCAACAAGAGAGCTCCCAATGAGGAAACTCAGCAGTGAGGATCATTCAGACTGATGTTTATGCACACTCTAATTTTAATCCTAATATCATTTTAGTGTCAGTATTTTACTTGGATCTTTATGTTCTAGAAGTTCTTTGGCCTGAGGACTGCTGGACTAAAGAGTGTATTTTCTCACATGTGAAGCCAAAGGAAATGAGATTTTTTCCAACCAATAAAATAATCCAAGCACTTTGCGGCGGGATGATTTCCATTATGTGGAGCAAAGGAAAGACAAAGAGAAAAATAGGGAAGGGAATTATATTTTACCCTATTTATTTGCCAAGTATTTAGAATGTATTGTGATATTTCTATTATCCCATAGAATTTTAGTTTACCTTTTGCAGTTTTCATTAACTTTCCATGAGTTGACTTTTGAAGCATTCAACCAGATAGCTGCATGGTTTCTAGGAAAGCAATATATGCCTGTTCCTAGTATCACCCTGATAACTCAGAATTCTAGGTTGGACACAAGATTCCTGCCCTCTGGAGTTTATACCCTGTATAATTCTCTCTCATTGAGTGCAGAAGCAGGACCATGAATATGATGGTATTTCATTCCTTTGATTAAGTTAGGGATTATGGAAGAAGGTGAAGCGATTTTCCAGTTATAATTATTGCTTTTACTAGGTTGACTCTGAGTTAATAAGAAAGGAGATTAGGCCCAGTGCAGTGGCTCACACCTGTAATCCCAACATTTTGGGAGGCCAAGACAGGAGGATCATTTGAGTCAGGAGTTTGAGATGAGCCCAGGCAACATAACAAGACCTTGTCTCTACAAAAAATAGAAAAATTAGCTGAGCATGGTGACACATAACTGTAGTCCAAGCTACTTGAGAGGCTGAGGTGGGACGATTGCTTGAGCCCAGGAGTTTGAGGCTGCAATAAGCTATGATCATGCCACTGTGCCCCAGCCTGCGCAACAGAGAAGAAAGACCCTGTCACAGAATAATAATAATAAAGTAGATTGTTCTGGGTGGGCCTGTGTTAATCAGGTGAACTCTTTAAAAGAGGGTCCAGGCTTTACCTGAAAGGACAGAATCAACATCCAAGAAACTCTTCTGTTCTTGAGAAGCAAGCTACTGCATGTTCTATAACAGCATAAATAAATAATAAAAAGAAGTTTTGCCAACAACTATGTAAGCTTGAGAAAGAACTCTGAGCCTCAGATGAGACTCCAGCTTCAGCTGACACCCTAGATTGAAGCCTTGGAAAATCCTGAGCTGACTCCTAACCCAAGGAAACTGTGAACTAATAGAGGTATGTTGCTTTAATCCATTACATTTGTGGTAGTTCGTTACACAGCAATAAAACACACCTCTAAATCAATGCCTGATTACAATAGACACACAGGCACATTGGGCTTATTGATTTCTCATGGAAGGCTCCATCTGTGCCAACAACATGGGTAATGAGTCATATTATGAATCTAAGACACTGAACAAACTAGGCCAATGCTGAACTTAATAGGAAGATGTTGGGTGAGACCAGTAAAAAGGCAGGGTATTCTTTGGACTGGACAACAACCATGGCAAGAACCGAGAGAAAGATGCATTGCATGATGACTTGACTTGCAAACTGTTTCATTCATGAGCCTCAGGGTACGTTTAGAAAAAGATCACACATGGTAGATGCGCAACTCCATCTCCATCTGAGCAGTGCCTGGTTTGACAGATGGGTCTTACACTAGGAAGCCTAGCAGCATCTGATTCTGCCAACCTGGGAAGAGAAATCCAGGAATGTGGGCCTTCAGTTATAATCTCCTACATCCTTTCCTCATAAAACAAGAATACACATTAGAACACTATCCAATGCAAAAAACAATGGAGATTTTGAGAGTTTGCTTTCAACCTTCTTTGTGCTTTATTAGTATAGTGCTAAGCAGTGTTTTGAGCACTTCTAGGGGGCACACTATGAAGTACAAGTGCCACTTGCTATGTGAACAAAGGCATTAACAAGGCAAGTTGCAGCCATGTAGACAAGCCTGTCAAAAAGCCACCAGAAAAGCCATTGCTGAGCCATTTGAAGGAACTAAAAATGTTGCTGAAAAAGGAGACTCTTTCAGAAGAGCCAAATAAATTCAGAAAAAGCTAAGCAGCTATTCAAAGGGCTACATATGTCAGTATTTGCTGAACCTCTATCATCTCATTTATTTTCAAAGTCTGGCCAGGGACATTTGGGAAGTCACTGCTGTTGTCTTAACCACCCTCCCCTACCTGAGAATACAGCCCAGCAATGACAGGGGAAGGGAAGTAGGGTTATCAAGCATCTGCTATTTGTCAGACACTAAGCCAGGTGCTTTGCTAAGTTGCTTTTCTCTGTCTAGAAACTTTGTATGATGGATTATTTTTTGATTGCTGCTTAACAAGTGATCACAAATTTAGCAGCTTAAAAATCAATACCTTTACTAGCTCACACTTCTGTAGATCAGATGTCTGGGCACAGCCAGAATCCAAAAGGCTATGTTCTCTGCTCAGGGTCCCATAAGCTCAAATAAAGGTAGCAGCCAAGCTGAATCTTCATTTGGAGGTTCCAGGGAAAAATCTACTTCCAGGCTCACTCATTGTTGGCAGAATTCAGTTCCTTGCAGTTATAAAACCAGGTCCCACCTTTCTTGCTGACTTTCAGCCATGGTGCTGCTCTCAACTCTCAGAGGCTGCCCATGTGCCTTACCACATGGCCCCTCTATCTTCAAGCCAGCAACTGTGCCTCAGGTCCAAAGATGATACAGAAGTAGTACAGCAGGGAGTGGGGGAATCTTGAATACCGTCTTAGAATTCTGCCTACCACATATGGTGAGTATTGTTATTTCCATCTTACAGAGAGAAAACTGAGGCTGAGGAAGAGAAAGAATGCTAATGTCTGCAGCACTGATATGAAACCAAGATCTGTGTGCTGGGCTTTTGTTGTACCCATCATTCAAATAGTGCACATTGTATCCACTAGATGATTTTTCAGCCCTCACCACCATCCATCCTTCTACCTCTTGGAGTCTCCAATGTTGTCTATTATTCTACTCTGTTTGTCCATGTGTACCCATTGTTTGGCTCCCACTTATAAGTGAGAACATGAGGTATATGACTTCCTGTTTCTGAGTTATTTCACTTAGGATGACTTCCAGTTCCATCTAATCTGATAGAAAAGACATTTCATTCATTGTTATGGCTATGTAGTATTCTATGATCCATTTGTATGTGTATGCTGCATTTTCTTTATTCAATCCTCCATTGATGGACACTTAGGTTGATTCCATATCTTTGTTATTGTGAATAGCGCTGCGATAAACATACAAGTGTGTAATGAACTACCACAAATTTAATGTATTAAAACAAAAGAAAACATTTGATGAAATGGTTTCTTTCCCTTTGGGTATATACCTAGTAGTGAGATTGCAGCATCAAACGGCAGTTCTAGTTTTACTTCTTTAAGAAATGCCCATACAATTTTCCATAAAGGTTGTACTAATACATATTCCAACTGACAGTGTATAATGTTCCCTTTTCTTTGCATCTTTGCCAACATCCATTTTTTAACTTTTTAATAATAGCCATTCTAACTAGCATAAGATGACATCATACTGTGGTTTCAATTTGGATTTCTGTGATGATTGGTGATGTTGAACATTTTTTTCATATGTTTATTGGCTGCTTGTATGTCTTCTCTTGAAAAGTATCTATATATGTCCTTTGCCTACTTTGTATGGGGTTACTCATTTTTTCCTTTAGTTGTTTGAGTTTCTTATAGATTCTGGATATTAAGCCTTTTTCAGATGCATAGCTTGCAAATGTTTTTTCTACAGTTTCTCTGTTTACTCTGTTAATTGTTTCTTTTGCTGTGTAAAAGCTTTTTAGTTTAAGTCCCATTTGTCTAGTTTTGTTTTTGTTGTGTTTGCTTTTGAGGACATGGTCAAATTCTTTGCCTAGACCAATGTCCAGAGGCATTTTTGCTAAATTTTCTCCTAGGACTTGTATAGCTTCAGGTCTTATATTTGGATCTTTAATCCTTCTTGAGTTGATTTTTGTATATGCTGAGAGGTATGGATCCAGCTTTGTGATGGTTAATACTGAGTGTCAATTCGATTGGGCTGAAGGATGCAAAACATTGTTCCTGGGTGTGTCTGTGAGGGTGTTGCCAAAAGAGATTAACATTTGAGTCAGTGGACTGGGAAAGGCAGACTCACCCTCAATCTTGATAGGCACCATCAAATCAGCTGCCAGTATGGCTAGAATAAAAGCAGGTAGAAGAATGTGGAAGGACTTGACTTGCTGAGTCTTCCAACCTTCATCTTTCTCCCATGTTAGATGCTTTCTGCTCTTGAACATCAGACTCCAAGTTCTTCCACTTTTAGACTCTTTGACTTACACCAGTGGTTTGCCAGGGCCTTCAGCCACAGACTGAAGGCTGCACTTTTGGCTTCCCTACTTTTGAGGTTTTGGAAGTCAAACTAGCTTCCTTGAACCTCAGCTTGTGGATGGCCTATTGTGGGACTTCACCTTGTGATCATGTGAGTCAATACTCCTTAATAAACTCCCCATCATATATGCATCTATCCTATCAGTTCTGTCCCTCTGGAGAATCCTGACTAATACAAGCTTCATTCTTTTGCATATGGCTATCCAATTTTCCCAGAAGCATTAAATAGAGTGTTCTATCCTCAGTGTACATTTTTGTTAACTTTGTCAAAGATCAGTTAGTTATAGGTAGGTGGCTTTATTTCTGGGTTCTCTATTCCCTTCCATTGACCTATATGTTTACTTTTATACCAGTACCATGCTGTTTTGGTTGCAGTATCCTTGCAGTATAAAGTCAGATAATGTGATCTCCCCAGTTTTGTTCCTTTTAAGGATTGCTTTGGCTATTCAGGCCTTGTTTTTTTGGTTTCATGTGAATTTTAGGATTGGTTTTACTCATTATATGAAAAATGACATTGGTAATTTGATAGGGATTGTGTCAAATCTCTAGATTGCTTTGGACAATATGGTCATTTTAATCATACTGATTCTTCTAGTCCATAAACATGGATGTTTTTCCATTTGTGTCATCTATGATTTCTTTCATCAGTATTTTGTAGTTGTCCTTATAGAGATGTTTCACTACCTTGGTGAAATATATTCCTAGATATTTTTATAGCTATTATAAATGGGATTGACTTTTTGAATTGGTCCTCAGCTAGATATATATACATATAAAATTTTATTGATGTCTGAATGTTGATTTCCTATCGTGGTACTTTACTGAATTCATTTATCAAATATAGGGAGGTTTTTTTTTTTGGTGGTATCTTTAGGTTTTTCTAGATACGAGATCAAATCATCAGTGAACAGGGATAATTTGACTTCCTCTTTTCCAATTTGGATGCCTTTTATTTATTTCTTACCTGACTGCTCTTGTGAGGACTTCCAGGAATAGTCTTTTAAAAAACGTTATGGCCACTTATAAGTGTCACAGATCTGCACTAGGAACTGAGAAAGCAAAATCAAATATGTGGCTGGCCCTGACTGGTGCTGACTTAAGTCCTCAAACTAGGATTCTAATCTGGGAAACCTGTAAGTTCCCCAAGATGAACACACTCAATTTGTTTCCACTCCTTTTTCTTCAACTGTCTCCAGGTTGTTTCTAAAATTTTACACTGGAAGAAAATCTAATTCTGGCTTCTTTAAGTTGGTCAACACCAAACAGCCATAATCAACAGATATTCTTTATAGGAAAAAGCACAGTATTAAAATGTGTTAAACCATTTATTCTCTAGATAAACACCCGATTACATGAAAGAAAGGCACGTGTTTGTCATGCCAGATTTTCTGGTTTCTAGAAATTGTTCCTTTAACTCATTGCTGGCTCTATGACCTGGATAGAGTAAAACAGGCTATGCTGGTGAAGTAGAACCAAAACTGTTTGTAAGCAACAAGAAAGAAAGGACCATTTGTGTTCTCTCTGTTGCTGGAGCTGGATCCCAGTACAACAGGGTAGATACTCAAAGTATTTTCTGAATAAATGGAGGCATGAGAAATGACATTATTAAAGGCTCTAAATTACTTTTTTGGGTAATTCTTAAAAAGAGGTTTTGTGTCTATTTTTAAGGCAGTGACTTATAACAAACTTCAGCTTCACTTGGTTCTGGCTCAACCACACATTCCAAGATTGTAACAACAACCATGATTGCAAATATTGTAGCAGGTATCCCAATTTTTGCTTCCAAAGACATGACTTTACTAAACATGTCTAAAACAAAATCAGAAATCAGGAGAACTATCCCAATCAAAAGTATTTCTTGATGGCTTTGTAAAGAGACAGTCATGAAATTATATAATAAAGAAGTTTGAAAATAACTTGAGGAAGAGTTCATAACAAATGGAAGGTAGGAATACTTAGCTGGTTCTTGTAAACACTTGAAAATGTAGAGATAATTAAAGGTTAATAAAGCAAGACTAATAAAGAAGAAAAGAGAGAAGAATCAAATAGATGCAATAAAAAATGATAAAGGGGATATCACCACTGATCCCACAGAAATACAAACTACCATCAGAGAATACTACAAACACCTCTATGCAAATAAACTAGAAAATCTGGAAGAAATGGATAAATTCCTCGACACATACACCCTCCCAAGACTAAACCAGGAAGAATTTGAATCTCTGAATAGACCAATAACAGGCTCTGAAATTGTGGCAATAATCAATAGCTTACCAACAAAAAAGAGTCCAGGACCAGATGGATTCACAGCCGAATTCTACCAGAGGTACAAGGAGGAACTGGTACCATTCCTTCCGAAATTATTCCAATCAATAGAAAAAGAGGGAATCCTCCGTAACTCATTTTATGAGGTTAGCATCATCCTGATACCAAAGCCAAGCAGAGACACAACCAAAAAAGAGAATTTTAGACCAATATCCTTGATGAACATTGATGCAAAAATCCTCAATAAAATACTGGCAAACCGAATCCAGCAGCACATCAAAAAGCTTATCCACCATGATCAAGTGGGCTTCATCCCTGGGATGCAAGGCTGGTTCAATATACGCAAATCAATAAGTGTAATCCAGCATATAAACAGAACCAAAGACAAAAACCACATGATTATCTCAATAGATGCAGAAAAGGCCTTCGACAAAATTCAACAACCCTTCATGCTAAAAACTCTCAATAAATTAGGTATTGATGGGATGTATCTCAAAATAATAAGAGCTATCTATGACAAACCCACAGCCAATATCATACTGAATGGGCAAAAACTGGAAGCATTCCCTTTGAAAACTGGCACAAGACAGGGATGCCCTCTCTCAGCACTCCTATTCAACATAGTGTTGGAAGTTCTGGCCAGGGCAATTAGGCAGAAGAAGGAAATAAAGGGTATTCAATTAGGAAAAGAGGAAGTCAAATTGTCCCTGTTTGCAGATGACATGATTGTATATCTAGAAAACCTCATTGTCTCAGCCCAAAATCTCCTTAAGCTGATAAGCAACTTCAGCAAAGTCTCAGGATACAAAATCAATGTACAAAAATCACAAGCATTCTTATACACCAAGAACAGACAAACAGAGAGCCAAATCATGAGTGAACTCCCATTCACAATTGCTTCAAAGAGAATAAAATACCTAGGAATCCAACTTACAAGGGATGTGAAGGACCTCTTCAAGGAGAACTACAAACCACTGCTCAATGAAATAAAAGAGGATACAAACAAATGGAAGAACATTCCATGCTCATGGGTAGGAAGAATCAATACCATGAAAATGGCCATACTGCCCAAGGTAATTTATAGATTCAATACTATCCCCATCAAGCTACCAATGACTTTCTTCACAGAATTGGAAAAAACTACTTTAAAGTTCATATGGAACCAAAAAAGAGCCGGCATCGCCAAGTCAATCCTAAGCCAAAAGAACAAAGCTGGAGGCATCACGCTACCTGATTTCAAACTATACTACAAGGCTACAGTAACCAAAACAGCATGGTACTGGTACCAAAACAGAAATATAGATCAATGGAACAGAACAGAGCCCTCAGAAATAACACCACACATCTACAACTATCTGATCTTTGACAAACCTGAGAAAAACAAGCAATGGGGAAAGGATTCCCTATTTAATAAATGGTGCCAGGAAAACTGGCTAGCCATATGTAGAAAGCTGAAACTGGATCCCTTCCTTACACCTTATACAAAAATCAATTCAAGATGGATTAAAGACTTAAATGTTAGACCTAAAACCATAAAAACCCTAGAAGAAAACCTAGGCATTACCATTCAGGACATAGGCATGGGCAAGGACTTCATGTCTAAAACACCAAAAGCAGTGGCAACAAAAGCCAAAATTGACAAATGGGATCTAATTAAACTAAAGAGCTTCTGCACAGCAAAAGAAACTACCATCAGAGTGAACAGGCAACCTACAAAATGGGAGAAAATTTTTGCAACCTACTCATCTGACAAAAGGCTAATATCCAGAATCTACGATGAACTCAAACAAATTTACAAGAAATAAACAAACAACCCCATCAAAAAGTGGGCGAAGGACATGAACAGACACTTCTCAAAAGAAGACATTTATGTAACTGAAAAACACATGAAAAAATGCTCACCATCACTGGCCATCAGAGAAATGCAAATCAAAACCACAATGAGATACCATCTCACACCAGTTAGAATGGCAATCATTAAAAAGTCAGGAAACAACAGGTGCTGGAGAGGATGTGGAGAAATAGGAACACTTTTACACTGTTGGTGGGAGTGTAAACTAGTTCAACCCTTGTGGAAGTCAGTGTGGCGATTCCTCAGGGATCTAAAACTAGAAATACCATTTGACCCAGCCATCCCATTACTGGGTATATACCCAAAGGATTATAAATCATGCTGCTATAAAGACACATGCACATGTATGTTTATTGCAGCACTATTCATAATAGCAAAGACTTGGAACCAGCGCAAATGTCCAACAATGATAGACTGGATTAAGAAAATGTGGCACATATACACCACGGAATACTATGCAGCCATAAAAAATGATGAGTTCATGTCCTTTGTAGGGACATGGATGAAGCTGGAAATCATCATTCTCAGTAAACTATCGCAAGAACAAAAAACCAAACACTGCATATTCTCACTCATAGGTGGGAACTGAACAATGAGAACACATGGACACAGGAAGGGGAACATCACACTCTGGGGACTGTTGTGGGGTGGGGGGAGGGGGAGGGACAGCTTTAGGAGATATACCTAATGCTAAATGATGAGTTAATGGGTGCAGCACACCAGCATGGCACATGTATACATATGTAACTAACCTGCACATTGTGCGCATGTACCCTAAAACTTAAAGTATAATAATAAAATAAAATAAAAAATAAAAAATAAAAAAATAAAATATTCTTTATACTAAATACTATGTTAATATCATATTATTAAAAGATTATGCCTTGGGAATACTTATTAATATTACAATATTATTAAAAGGTTATTTTGCCTGGGGAATATTTCTTAATGCCATAATATTGTTAAAAGATTATTACAACTGAGGAATATTTTTCTGTTTATTTGGGCCATTGTGCAATTCTTTTTGCTCCTTTTCCTTATTTTCATTTTATTTATTTTTGATACAGAGTCTCACTCAGTCGCCCAGGCTTCGATTCAGTAGCACAGTCTCAGCTCACTGCAATCTCTGCCTCCTGGGTTCAAGCAATTCTCCTGCCTCAGCTTTCTGAGTAGCTGGGATTACAGGCTCCCGCCCACATGCCTGGCTAGTTTTTATATTTTTAGACCGATGGGGTTTCACCTTGTTGGCCAGGCTACTCTCGAACTCCTGACCTCCAATAATCCACCTGTCTAGGCCTCCTAAAGTGCTGGGATTATAGGTGTAAGCCACCATGCCTGGCCTATTTATTTTTAATTGGCAAAAATTGTGTATATTTGCCATGTATAATATGTTATTTTGAAATATGTATACATTGTAGAAAGGCTAAATTGAGCTAATTTATTTATATATATATATATAAGCTCACAAGCTAATATATATATATATATATATATAAGCGCACACGCTAATATATATATATATATATATATATATATATATATATATATATATATATTAGCTCACATACTGTTTTTTTTTGTAATGAGAACTCAAAGTCTCTTAAGGATGCTCAATACAATATGTTGTTATTAAGTATAGTTACCATGATGTACCGTAGATGTTTTGAATTTATTCCTTCCAACTGAAATTCTGTATCCTTTGACCAATACTTTCACCCACTCCTGCCCTAGCCCCTGGTGATCACCAGGCTACTCTTTACTTCTACAGGATTAACTTTTTTACACTTTACATGTAAGATCAAGCAGTATCTGTCTTTCTGTGCTTAGCTAATTTCATTTTACATAATGTCTTCCAGGCCCATCCATGTTGCCAAAAATGTCAGGATTTTATTCCTTTTTATGACTGAATAGTATTCTATTGTATGTATGTGTGTGTATGTGTGTGTGTGTTTGTGTGTGTATGTGTATGAATGACATTTTCTTTATCTATTCATCTGTTAAGGGGCACTGAGGTTGATTCCATATCTTGGCTATTGTGAAGATTGCTGTAATAAACATGAGAGTAAAGATGTCTCTTCAACATACTGGTTTCCTTGGAAGTGTATCCAGTAGTGGGATTGCTGGATCACATGGTAGTTCTATTTTAAATTTTTGCTCTGTTCACTATTCCTTAATGGCTATCTTAATGTCTATCAATAGTGTATAAGGGCTGTCTTTTCCCCACATCCTCTCTAGTGCTTATCTTTCATGTTTTGGCAATAGCTAGGTGTGAAATTAAGGCTCTAACATGCAAAGTGGGTGTGCATATCTTTTCTTTTCCTCTTTGTTTTTAATATATGTGCTATACCAGACCAAAATTTCATGTTATTCAGGCCTATTAGAAGTGGTGATTCAATAAGGTATTCAGCTCTATTTGTACGGCACCTTCTTTGTACCATGCACAATCATTGGCATTAGTTCACCAGGTTGTCATAAAGCTGTGAGGGATGCAGGATCTGATCATTTTTTCCGTTATTCACAATCACTTTAAAGGTAAAGAAACAGTCCCATTGGATCACTTGCCTAAAGTCAATGTTTGCCTGTTGATCCTAAGTACAGTCTCTTTTGCCTAAACTAGACAGCATTTCTAACAATGACATTATTGAGGAATCGGCTATGTGTTTACCTGAGGAATGGGGATGACCAATGTGAGGGTGCACACTCCCTCCTTTTGCTGGATCACACATGAGACACAGCTCATAGGGCCTCTCACTCTTTCTACTTAACCCCCTTTAGATCATCTAATCTTTCCTCAAAATAAGCAGGAACCACACTGAAGCAATAAAAAGGGGTAATTAAAATATTTATAGTATACTGATTGCCAGTTTATGCTCACCACTATATAAATTTTTAAAGGTGTTTCTGTTGTAGATAATCTGAAAATAGAACAGTAAACATATATTTTTAATGTAACAGAGTTACAATTTTTAAACACTAAATTATACTTTTTTGGTATGTGATTTTTTTTTGTTTGTGCTCAACAGTTTTATTTTTTTCTACTCTGAAAAGCCATTTTGTAGAGTCCAGTTCTTTTTACTTTTATCCACAGGGAAGTCATAATCCCTTACTTAAATAGAAGCCTGTTACCATGGCAATCATTCTAATGCCACTGAATCAATATTTTGATTTTTCTGGCATTTAATGTAAAAAGAAAAGACAGGCTAAGATTTATAAAAGTTATTTTTTATGTTTGTTATACTGTTGATAGCTAGAAAAATTATAAAGAAAACATATGCTCTGTAATGAACTCCAGTTATAGCACAATTATAAAGAACTGAGAGTTCATAAAAGAACAATCTACATATTGATATATTAATAATTTTGGCTCTGAGTACACATATATATACACATGCATTTGGACTCAAGAGTTTTCTCCTATCCCTGAATTGAGCCCTGTCTTTATGCTATTATCATTGAGGTCATAACTTGGTAGAAGAGATTTGCATATATCTGCTTTTGCAATTGCTGTTTTATTAAGTGTTCTGAAGAGAAAAAAAAAAGGGAAAGTAAAATTCCCATGAAGAATCACTTCTCTATGGGAGTCTACCATTTCTGCACTGGGTCCCGACAACTTATGTAGCCCACTGAACACCCTCAGAGCTCCTTTTTGAGGAGAAATGCTGGATTTGGAGTTGGTGTTTAATGAGCTCACTACCTATCAAGTATTTTTTCCAAGTCTAACAAGTCTTTGCTGCTACAGTTCAACCACATTTGCTACTTTGTCTTCAGAAGAAATAAAGCTTGTTGAACTGCTGCATTCTGCTTGACAAGTAGCCATTGGGAGCCCACTATCCTTAGATGGTGAAGGCATCTGAGAGAGAATTATGATACTCTCTGCCCCAGGAACTAGCGATGAAACATCCCAAATGAATGGGAATCCCTTCTATTTTTAAGACAAGTGAATGGCCACTCAAATTTTTCTTCTGTGGGACAGTAATCACGATTTTCTCCATACTTTCACTCTAAGTAGCCCAGCTCCCCCTCCACGAAGGCGGCTTTTCTGAGGTATTCTGAGGTATTCTGAGTGTATTTTACACGCTTTCTAGAAATGTTTCTGCCAACAAGGCATTGATAACACATCCCTTATGGGCTACTTTCTTTGTCCTTCTCATCTCTCTTCTCTCTTTGGGTGGTTCTTTTATTCCCCTTTATTCTTGAATTATTCCTGACTGCATTCAGGCCCCCCATCTTTCAGTGATCACTTTCTTAAATCAGTAATTTTCTTTTGAAAACAATCTAACATAATTTATTAGGTAGTTTTCTGGCAGTAGAAGTAGGACAGTGGTGACTTCTGCACAGAGAATCACAGAAAATAAAGAGAAATGAAAAGCACCATGTATCAAGGAAACCTATGAACCACATTTAAAATTTACAAATGGTAGGCCTCTGGGGCCTTTTAGTATACTACTGGGTTAACTAAACACCTATTAATACATTGTTTCTTAAAAAAATGTGTTATAAGTTGAAGGACTTACTGATAACTCTGAATCATGAGAAAAAGAATCAAATGTCTAATACTCTAAGAGGGCAGAGGAATAACAGTTATACACACACACACACACACACACATGAATGTTCATTGTAGCACTATTCATTGTAGCTGCAAAACAATCAATCTGAGTATTCATCAACAAGATAATGATTAATTACTTGGCTGTACACTTCTCTCTGTTAAAGTTGTTTCTTGACAAATTGCACACCATGGAAATTAGTTACAATAGAAGAAGTGAAAATACAAAACACAAGACTATACACTATGATGTCAATTTTGCAAATATGCAAACACATACATATTATTCATTTGTGTGTCTTAACCACATATACTTACATGCAAGGCATTTTTTGCATATGTATAGCAGGAAAAACTGAAGCCACAGGAGTTTTTTTGTAGAATTTATGGACTGACTCTATCTCCAGGCATTTATTGGTATTGAAGATATTGGTTGTTTTTGGCTAAAGGCACCTGAACACCAATGAGAGAGGAAGGAGAGACAAAGATGATGGGAGAGATGGCACATACCTCATAGGCATCTGATCTCATGGACTGCCTATGAGAATCTGTGGAAAGATTAGGCCAGAAGGCCAAGGGGCTTTCATGAGGGACTAGGGAGCCCATGTCACAATGAACACTGCCTAGTTGAAGAAAGGACCATGTGGCTCTCTGCGGCAAATATACTTGGTACCCTAGAGCTCAGAGAAGCTTGCTGTGGAGAAAGGAGAGTGGGGCAGAAGAGAAGCTATGGGACCTGGTGGAACGCCTCTCTCAAACTGGTCACTGGCAGCATTGGGAACCTTGAAGTGTTTTCCACATTTGCTATGTAAAGATCTCAATGTGCCTGTGCAATGAGCTGAATGTTTGTGCTCCCCAAATTAGAATGTTGAAAACTTAATCCCATAATGATTGTATGTGGAGGTAGAAAGGGAAGGAGAGCAGTGCTTTCAGGAATAGGATTAGCATCCTCCTACGAAGAGGCCAGGGAGGCCTTTCTGCCCTTTGAGGATACAAGGAGAAGTCGGCAGTCTGCAACCAGGAAGTGGGCCCCAACAGAGCTCTCAGGCTTCCAGCCTCCAGAACTGTGAGAAATAAATTGCTGTTGCTTATATGCCACCCAGGCTATGGTGTTTTGTTATAGCAGCCCCAAATGACCAAGATAGCTTGTGTCAAGGCACACTTAAGGCTACTTTCCCACCATGGAATTCTCAGGAGTAACTCAGGGAAGCTGAGACTCTACTAAATTCAGTAAGGCCTAAAGAGCTGGTGAGATCTAGTGTTAATATGACCTAATTTATATTCATAGACCAGCAAGGAGGCTGGGATATATTTGACTTGTATGTTTCATAGCTGAGAAAAAACACAGGCAGATAAAGGTAAAAATTGGAGATATTAAGGAGAGTTTAAGATTATAGTATGCACACACATACACACATAAATACATAAATTCATATTCATTGGAAGGAAATTCACCAAAACATTAAAAATGATTATAAGCTTTTTCTTGATATTTTCCTGAATTAAAATGTCCCCTTGATAATCAAATAATAATACCTTTAATTGTATAAATAGTATAAGAAAATATAACTTTTAGATATATTTCTGGGCAGAATAATTTTTGAATAATTTGAAGCTTTAAAGGATTAAAAAACTCATATATTGCCTACCCTTTCTGAACTATCAGAAATACATTCTTCTGGAAATTTGACAACACATCAATAAATAACCTTCCCCTCAATTCTTCTTTTCTGGGACTTCAGGGTGAGAGGCAGGATTATGTGGCCCAGTGAAGAAGGCACTTGCCCCTGGGCATGCTGACCTGAACATACTATCTGAAAGAGATTTCTAGGTGACATGGACATGGCGTGTTTTACCTTCAGTCCTCTCAGGGGTTTTCCCGCTCTTACTGGCTGCAGTGCTGCTGACTGTCTCTGATGAGGTGCTCAGCTTGGTGCTGGGGTCCCTCTTGGGTTTGGGTGGTGGTTGTCTCCGTGAGCCACAGCTGCTGTCATCGTCTGTGCCCCCAACCGAGTGCAGGGACTGTGATCTCACAGAAAAGCCACTGGAGCAAGGATGGGGAAGTCTGTCCTGAGGAGCAGGCATTGTCATGAATCCCATGCGGAAATGTTTGCCCACGTAACTTCCTTCGTGGCCTCGCCCTACTTCTCCACCTATGCTGTAAAAGAAAGCAGACCAAAAACCATGAAGACAAAAGGAGCCAGGATATACAAGATCATACATGTGAGAATATTACTAATAGGGAAAATTTCAAATCTTCATTTTAGTCCGGTGAAATGCTGCCTTTTAAAACAAACTCAAGTAGCATGAAAGCATTCTAACTTTTGTGTTAAATTTTGTTTTCCCCAAAGGAAAGAAAAAATACTGCATAGAACACTTATCTTCAATCACTTTATATTTACTTTAGGTAAATCTTATCAGTGGCTTAAAATGTAAACAAGAATTCCATGACTATGACTCAGATTCATTTTGACGTGCAATTCAGTCCTAGTGGTCAGCACTTGAGACTCTTGTCCACTTCATCAAAACCATTCCTGCTTTTATCTGCTTAATATATTGGAGAAAATGAAACAAAAAACAATAATAAATGTTCTGTTACGAAAGAAAGAAAGAAAAAGAAAGGAAAGGAAAGGAAGGAAGGAAGGAAGGAAGGAAGGAAGGAAGGAAGGAAGGAAGAAAGAAAGAAAGAAAGAGAGAGAGAGAGAGAGAAAGAAAGAAAAGAAAGAGAGGGAGGGAGGGAAAGAGGGAAAAAGAGAAAAAGAGAAAGAAAGAAGAAAGAAAAACGAAAAAAGGAAGGAAGAGAAAGAAAGAAAAGAAAAAAGAAAAAGCAAAGCAAGACAAGCAAAGCAAGACAAGCAAAGAAAGATGGGAGGAAGGGAGGGAGGAAGGAAGGAAGGAGAAAAAGTAAAAAGCAAAGGAGAGGAAGGGAAAGGAAAGGGGAAGGCAGGAAAGGAAAGGAAGGAGGGAAGAAGGAAGGAAGGAGGGAAGGAAAAAGAGAAGAGAAGAAGAAAGGAGGAAAGGCAGGGAGGGAAGGAGGAAGGAAGGAGGAAGAAAGGAGGGAGGGAGGAGAAAATATTTGCTTAAATTGGTGAAGGTATTGCCAACCACTCTCAATCCTCCAGAATCTTCAGTTACATTAGAAACAGTCCTACTAAGAAATCAGACACACAAAATAAAACAGCAACATTGAGTAAAGAAGTGCAGCTTAAATATCGTTTGATCCTGAGATGATTCTAATACTTCATAAATATTCAGTGTATGCAAAGTTTCCAAATTTAAGGTTCTTAAGTTTTACATAGGAAAGTTTGAACAAAAATATTAAAATATAAGAAATCCCCTCTAATTTTGGAACTCAAGCAATTATTTAGGAAATGACTCTTGGGCCTCTGTCTATGCTATTAAGTAATAGTGACTCCTTTATGAAAAGAAGGGACACAAATGTGAATGTAAACTTTTAAAAGGAAGATTTTTCTAGAGTTTCTTTTTATCTATGAAGTTCATTCACCAAGAGTAAACACAATTTTTTAAAAATACCATTACAAAATTTTTGACTAATTTTCTTAGATATGTTTGAATGGTAAGAAGTACCTCTGAGTATATGAAGTTTGGAAGCTTGCTGAGTCTACCTTCCCAGACATGTAAGTTTATTCAGATCTTCATTTAGTAAAACTAATTTTGGCTGGCTCTGCCTTCATAATATGATGGAATTTTATATCTTTCATATCGTTACAATGTTTGTTATGATTTTAACATTCCAGTAGGAACAATAATGAAAAATGAGATTTTCTTTTCCTCCTTCAACTGGGGACTTATGACAATTACATGTCCTTTGGGGATACAGACAAGAAGAATTTAACAAGAACATTAGATTCTTGATTCTGACCTTTAACACCAATGATAACTTGCCACTCAACCCAAAATATTTTATATGTATTTTTTTCTGAATATTTTCAACTGATACTCAGACACTAAGCACGGAGTACCATCTTTGCAATAAAGGTGGCTGGAATTTCAGTGCACTAAAAATCAACAGTATCCAGAAGCATGAATGGAGTCCAAGTGATGGCTAAGGGGCAGTGTTGACATCATAGCCGAAAGTATCCTAAGTCAGTGCAGTGTTTTTATGTGTTTTATCCTCTCTCTCTCTCTCTCTCTGTGTGTGTGTGTGTGTGTGTGTGTGTGTGTGTGTGTGTGTGTGTGTTTTAAAGAACGGCAATTAAGACATACATTAGAAGCTTATCCAAACAGAGTGGTTTGTGAAAAATGAAGAATATGAGAAAGGATGGGATAGTGGACGTGAGGGGCAGTCTTGGTATAGGAAGGTCTGTCTTCAGTTTGTGATGGTTGTGGTTTTGATCTTTCTCATAGATGATATACTTGATGTAATCTAACTTTGCTTTCAATTATTTTTCATCCTAATGTCTTTTGTTCATTTCTGTTTCATCACAGCACAAAAGGTGCTTTAAGGATTTATTTAGCCAGTCATCCCATTTCTGGTAACACAGCCAGCTGGGGAAATTTATGCATGTGTTAATGCACATGGGCATTTATGAGTTACTAAAAATAATTCTATCAGCAATTTCTCAGTTACTTTTGACCTAAATGGAGCCTGAACTTTTTCCCGGACTGACAATTTAGTCTGCTTCATTTCAGAATTATCTTTTTTAACAGCATACAACAACTTAATCTAACTCTATCTGCTTTGGTTCATATATGCCTTTTACACACACACACACACACACACACACAAACACATTAACATTTCTTTCAAGAGAAATTCAATGCATGCTTCAAGCACTAGCAGGTACCACTGCAAGTTTAGTTTGACCAGGCTGTAAATACAAGATGAAGAAATAGGACAAAAACAAATTTGGATGCGAAGACCATTGTTCAAGTCAAGGCTAGGGACAAACAGTAAAGGTGATGGCACATCTAGGTTCAAGAGACCCAGAAAGGTTATTAGCCCAAAACAAATTGAAGATTGTGAAATGCAGCATACAACTAGTTTCTGAATTTGCTAGGAACATGTGGAGTTTTTTAAATATACAGATTCCCAGACTCCATATGAAGGGCAATGATTGAATCATACCTGTTGAATCAGAATCTCTGTGGGTGTAGAAGATGAATTTGTGTTTTTAAAACTATATCCAGATGTTTCTGATGTAGCTAATCCAGAACCCCCCCAGAAATATTAAGAACAATAGTTAGGGCCATTAATGAGTAGATATATCAATTAGAAGCAATCAGGAAGAGGTAAATACTAAGCAAAATATCACGAATGAGAAAACATACAACCTATTAGCCAAATCTTATTAGGTTATCCTGCAGTAACAAACAATCCCCAATCCCTAATGTTTTTTAATGATATAGGTTTGTTTCTTGCTTGTATGAATGCACATCAACTGTGGCTCTGTTTCACATATATTCTTCACCCCAGGATGTAGCCCCATTGGGACTTTTTCTCCTGGCAGAGAAGGAAAAACACCAACTAACTTATATGTCTCTCCTGGCTTCTGCTCAGATGTGGCTTATAATCTTTCCATCACTCTCCACTGACTAAAACCAATCTTATGGTCAAGCTTGAGGTCAGTGGCCTGGGGACTTATTCTCCTCCAATAAATACTGCAAGTCATATGGCAATATATGGGGATGCATATTCCTTGTACAGGTAGGAGATCAAATACCTGGCAGCTGTGATGGTATGCAACTGAGATCTCTTAAGAGAGCACTTGCCATGAGGAATGAAGTTAATTGACGAGACAACAATGAACCATTGAGCACTTTATGTTTCCGATCCCTATAACTCTGGACTCTACAGAGTTAAAAGGTCCAGGTCCCCAAAGAGGCACACTCTTTCTAGAAGACACAGGAAGTGTCCCATTGAACAACAACTTATAGCTGCCCCTTCAGCAATTTGAACACCCCTTGTGTAGTGGGTAACGGGCAACAAGAAGCTGATCATGGTGGTGTGCACCTGTTTCCCAGACACTCTGGAGACTGAGGTGGGAGGTTTGCTTGAGCCCAGGAGTTCAGGGCTGCAGTGGGCTATGATCATGCCACTGCACCACTCCAGCCTGGGCAACAAAGAAAGACCCTAGCTCTAAAACAAAGAAACAAACAAAACAGAAGTGTCATTGCCATTGTGGAAGATATCCCTGATCCTGGTCAGCAGGAGGTAAGGCTGATTTTATGCAATGGGGCAGAGAGAAGTATGTGTGAAACCAAGGTTATCCACTTGGGTGCCTCTTGATACTGTCTTGGCCAAATGTGACTTTGAAAGGTCATACGCAGCAACCCTGGCCCAGAAAGGTTATGGTTACTAAGGACTCCAACTTCTCACGAATGAGAGATTAGTCTCTCCACCAAGTAAGCCACTGAGACAAGTGGAAGTGTTTCCTGAAGGTGGGGTGAATTTAGGATGAATGATGGAGGAGGGAGATGACGAGAACCAGTCGTAGCTCCCATACAAACTGCGGTGATGAGGGCTATAGTTTATCTCACTAACTGCACCCTTCCAAGTTTCCCCTCAAGAAGAGCCAGAAGAGAGCTAGGAGAGAACTGTTCCCAAAGCCTGCAGGAGAAGGACATCAGCTGAGTCTAGGGAGTGAACTGTGGCAGCCATGGAGGTGTGTGGCTCAGAAGTCCCTCAACAGAGAACCTCCTCTGAGGATAGCAGTCAGCTGCCAGCTGCCGTCTTCCAAATCTGGTGCAGCATTTTAGTTGAGGCTATGTTGTCCATGGGCAGCTCCTAGACAATGGATGAGCACAATGAGGTATTACACCTGATTACTTCTTCCCAGATTCAGGCAACCTTTATGGCTGGCTTTCCCTGTTGCACTGGTCAAGACCTTCCTTCTCATCACTGCATCACAGTCTGATGATCTTCCTATTCAATTGCTTTTCCTCCCCCTCTCCTTCTACAGGTGCTAGACCTGCATTGTGATCTCAGACTTGTCCTACCTCTTCTGCTTCCTCCTTCTTTATCTCTCACAGGCATTCTTCCCAATAAACCTCCCAGACTTCTAACTCTGTCATGGTGTCTGCTTCCTGGGAGACCTGAACTGACATACTTGGGAACAATTCCTCCGGCATTCAGAAACCAAAGAAGCAGGGAAAGAGAAGGCATCACGACAAATGGAAGACCCCAGAAATAAGGAATGCCTGTGAAAATAGGTCATTCTCCTGCTTCAGACTGAGCATTTAAATGAGGCTTGAGGAGTTAGAAGCTAACTTCACTATAGGAATATTTGGCTGGAAGTGAAAGTTATGTGGGCTAAAGAAAGAGTCTTGTTGCAATAAGACTCCAACACTCAAGATAGATTAAGCCTGACACATCTCATGTTATAAAAATAAAAACAAGTTTCATAATCCTGAATTTAAACAAGTATGCTTTTTCTCATATAATGAAGGCAATGTTGTGAGATCTACTTGTCTGTTGGTTAGTTATTCCATTACAAAACACAAAGTGTAAAATATTATCTAAATCAAGGAGGGTTATTTTTCCAGAAGTAATTGATGCAATGTTTGTAAATATCTCCACCAAACAAATTATTGGCTAGTAGACAGGCCTGGACATTTGTGCACTGGAATCATGGAGTTATAGACTATCCCAGAGCCATTATTTAGCAGCTGTATAACATTAGCTACTGAATCCCTGGGGCCATTTCCTTAGCTGTTTAATAGCGGCATTGGCCCCGTCAAACTGGTATCAAATTTACCTGATATACTGCATATGAAGCATTTAGCAGTCTGATATATAAAATGCAGTCAATAATTTTAGCCATAAAATTCCTACATTTAAGTCTTTTCCCACTGAATTTTGCTTATAGGATAGTCATTTGCATTATAAGGCCATGCCTGTAAAGCATGCCATATGGTACCATGTAACCTCAAAAAACTTCACACAAAGAAAATCAAAATAAAATCCTACATTTAACTCAAGGTATCAAGATAATCTAGGCAACTGTAGCCCTCATGTTGTTAACTTTCTTAAATACTTGCATCAATTTTTCAAAGCACCTGCTGATTAGGACCGATAAAGAAAAGTACAAAACAAGCACTTCAAAACTGCTCTGACAATGCTAATCACCACAGTTTGTTCCTTGTCTTGCTGTCTGCTTGAAATCCATCAGCATTGATGTTGTGTGTTTCCTTATGAGAACTGCTTCCTTTCGAAGACAAAAACAAAACCCATGAGAAAGGTGAGCTGCTGAGGTGAGACATCATCTTCAAAAGTGACAGGGGTGTTGCTTCTGCATGCAGTTTTGAGGCAAACATGTCAATATTTTGTAGTAGAGTTTTCTTTGCTAAGCACTGGGAAAAATATAATCCCACCCCAGATAGATAATGATGATGACAATGATGTAGACTGATAGCTAGATAATGATTGATAGATAAGTAGATAAAGATATTGATCCTCTTTTATGCACATCTAGAAATTTGAGATACAAACTGAAGGGTTGCCTAGGAGTTTGCTTGCTTGAGTAATTCTTTTCTGTAGTGATATTTTGGAGTTGAGCTCAAAAACCTATCTCTGAAACTGATTCATACTCCAGTGTATTTCTACCTTTGCAAACTTTGCAAACCATTTGGGATTTTTTGTGTTAAATTTTCAAAAAGATGTTTTCATCTAGTATCAGGGAAAGGGCACATTCAACCATACATTAAATGGGGGAACACCTGAAAGGGAAATGGTGGTGGTTACAGCTGTAAAGAAGAGGATGAGATTTGCCTGTGGGCAGGTGGGCCACTGTCACCTGTTAACTCTTGGAATCTTTCATGTGGGCATTTCTCTATGAATGAATAGAAAGAAACTAATATTTACACTTTCTTCATTAAAAGTATGATTTAAAAAGTTTATATTTGATGCTGCCTCCCTGTTGCCTTCTCTTAAGATGCTCAAAGCCAAATGCTCACCTTGTGCTGCCTACTGAACATCCCCCTGGCCCATCCTACCAGAAGGATCCCTGCTCCAGCAGAATGGCCTTTTCTAGGTATCAGGACCAGCTAGGCTGAGCTGTGCTCATGGAAATTGGCCATCTAGAGAGCCACTAGTAACACCTCTTCCTGTTTGACAAGGAATATGCCTCAACTCAAAGTCAGACTTTTAAGAGAGAGGCATAATTAGTTACATCTGCTTTGACTTTTGGCAGGTGTAACTTGTCATACAATTCATCATATTCACACGCTCTCCCCAGCCCCATTGGCCTTGAGTACAAATGGCTGGTCACATTCACTTACCCCCAGATTCATGAAAGCAGGCATTCTATCTCCTTGCTCACCATTCTAGTCACTAACACACATTTGTTTTACAAAGGAAAAATGAGTAATGGAAGTAAGTCCACTTTGGAGATAGCCTAATAAAAGGATTAGTTAAAAAAAATTGTGGACATATTTCACTTTTGCTTCCCAGGGATGCATTCTCCTTTATCTTTGCAATGGAAATTCCTGTAGGGAATCTTTTTTTTTTCTCTCTCTCAGTCCACCATATTGCTCAGTCTCAGCCAAACAAACGTTGGATCACCCTGGCCACCGTGACTATTTTAGGAACTGGCAAATGCCTCAAGGTGGTCCAATCAGAGTGAAACCAGGGCATACACGAAGCTGCACTGGCCAGAAGTCCGGACCTGCTTCATCCTTCTTCCCATTGTGAATGAAAATAAGTGGGACCAGGTCTCCAGGCCTTGAGGAAGACCTGGCTATAGCTATGTCTGCAGCTAGAATAATCCCAAACTGTTCAGGTATATCAACTACTAAATTCCATTTTGTTAAAGCCAATTATATTTGGGTTTCCTGACAAATGTATTGAGAAAAGTCCTAAATGAACCAGTATAATAATCTGCAGACAGTAGTTACTAAATAAGAGTTATTGGCTGACTTTTATCAGAAAATGCATCTGGTGTCAGGGATAGACTCAGGATGATACAACACAGGAAACAAATGCATGCAGCTTTATTATTTGAAGAAATCCCTCCTATTTAACACTATGAATAAAAATAATTAACTGCTTTATATATTTGCCCCATATATAGTTTTTAAATCAGGCAGTATACTTGGATATGAAAACTTGGCTTCAGTAAAATTAAACTGTGTTCATATTTTCTTCAAATTGTTTACTCACCATTACCCTTAATGTCTTCCCTGAGCCACACATGCTCATTCAAAACCATAATTTGTGGATTTCTTGCCTTAGGCTCAAACACTCATTTTCACCACTTCATATCCTCAATGATATCTATTTTCTACTTTATGCACCTAATATTTTAAGTCTCCTAGTTTTTTTCAGACATTAATTTCCTGTGTCTGGCTCTTTATTGATACTTCTCGGATATGAAGGTCAAGTGTTAAAAGTGGGATTTTTACACATCTTTTTATTAACTGCTGTGATGAACTGTTATAGAAAAACAAAATAAAATGACAAGAAAAAAACAAAACTGTCCTGAAGAGAAAGGACTCAGTTTCCATTAGTTCCAGATATTATACTTTAAGATAATGATGATGATGATGATTTTTTTTTTTTTCGAGACGCAGTCTTGCTCCGTCACCCAGGCTGGAGCGCAGTGGTGCAATCTTGGCTCACTGCAACCTCTGCCTCCCAGGTTCAAGCAACTATTCTGCCTCAGCCTCCCAAGTAGCTGGGATTACAGGCAGACACCACCATACCCAGCTAATTTTTGTATTTTTAGTAGAGACGGGATTTCACCACCTTGGTCAGGCTGGTCTCAAACTCCTGACCTCATGATCCCCCTGCCTCAGCTTCCCAAAGTGCTGGGGTTACAGGCATGAGCCACCGTGCCTGGCCTAAAATGATATATTTTAAATATCAAATATGTTCTTTCTCCTTGGTAGGAGATTTCACCTCTGCCAAAATTCAGTATCTTAGAATTTGAGATATGTAACTAACCAACTTATTTACTAGCTATCCAATTATAGGTAGAAGACATATACTTTATGAACTTCAATTATGCTTATCTTTATAAAGAAACACTTTCCAGGGTTGTTATAAAGTAAAATGAAATAAGACATTTTAAAATAGCCTATCAAGGTGGCTGATATAAGTACAGGTGCTATAGACTGAATGTTTGTCGCCCCTGCTCCCCCACCCCAAATTCATGTGTTGAAACCTAATCCCCAGTGTGATGGTATTTGCAGATGGAGACTTTGGGAAGTGATTAAGTCTTGGGGGCAAAACCCTCAGAATGAAATTAGGGCCCTCATTAAAGAGATCCCAGAGAGCTCTCTCACCCCTTCTATGGTGTGAGGACACAGAGAAAACAGCCATCAATGAACCACGAAGCAGGACCTCACCAGACACTGAATCTGCCATCAGCTCAAGCTTGGATTTTCCAGCTCCCAGAACTGTGTGAAATAAATGTCTGTGGTATTTATCCTAGCAGCCTGAGTGTACTATGACAGGAGGCTGGACAAATGTTAATTTACCTCCCCTTCCTTCCTGACTTACCTAACTCTGTATCAATTTTTATCTTTCTGTTCCCAGTCATCAAATAGCCATTTTTAATAAGTTTCCACCCTAGAGCACCATGAAGGAAAACATACTCTAATCATATCAATACATTTTGTTTATTTTTGTAAGAGGGCT
The DNA here is from genome assembly GCF_000001405.40 of Homo sapiens. Classification (NCBI taxonomy): domain Eukaryota; kingdom Metazoa; phylum Chordata; class Mammalia; order Primates; family Hominidae; genus Homo; species Homo sapiens. The sequence continues at coordinate 225,503,929 of NC_000002.12, read as the reverse complement.
TCAACAGTATTGTCATGCAATATACTTCCAAATCCAGACAGTAAATAAAAAGAAAAAGTCAAGAAAAAAAAAGCTATAATTATCAGTGGACATAATTATAGAGTTGCACAAATCTATTGAATGGATTTTATGGTCATCTCTATCAAACACCATGATAATTTAAGATTTTTATGAATGTTAGAGCTTAGGGTAATCATGGCTAGGGAGTTATGCTTGAAAAACAAGCACACAACTTATTTATCACGAAGTGCTATTGCCAAGAGTTTGAGGTTAATATTGCTGCCCATTAATGTGATGCTTAATTATAATAAAGGAAGGAGGTTACAGAGGGAAGTAGAGAGATTTTTTTAACCTCTATCAAAGTTCCTTTTCTTCATTTCTGAGTTTCTAAAGAGGCAGGACAGAAATATAATGCTTATTAAGGCCAGAATAAATTCTATGGAACATCTTTAAGAGACTTATTTTTACTTAAAACATGACAAGTGCTTTTAAGATTAACATATGTTATTATCTACGGTACTTTGGAATCTAAAATTAAAACATTCCTCATTTCTATACATAAGACTCTTCTACTTCTTGAAGTGTCATGGCCTAAAGAGAGGGTATATGGAAAATAAATTATAATATTCAGATTGAACTTAGAATACAGTTTACAGAAGTTCACATCGTGGGAGATCTTTTCCAAAAATTCAACCAGAGGAGGAGAAGTTCTGGAAAATATATTTTATTTGTGTCTTCAAAACTGACATAAGCTTTGAATATGGTTTGAGAACATGCCAAGTTTTTAGAAATGAGTTTAGCTAACCATATGTGGCTCATTTTTTTCAACCTAGAAGTAGAAACTAGAAATATAGAATAACATATAATGGCCTTGAACTTCCTGAGCAGAAGGCCTTAACTTAATGCCAGTTTAAAGTATAATAACTGGTTTAGCTTTCTAAAGGTATAATTTTTAAGGAGGACAAAACAACTCTGTCTTGAGGAATTTATTTACTCACTATTTATTTACAAAATATCCAAGTGCCTATAGTTTGTCAGGCAGTGAACAGAACAGAGTGGTCAGGGTCCTCAGAAAGTCACTGGCTCTTGAACCCCTATGATTTCAGCACCTTGTGATCAGATGTTCTCTCACAAGAAGTATAAGGCAGGTGCAATGGAACAACAAGTCCTGGGGCCCTAACAACCACCAAAGGGCTGGGAAGCCCCATGGGAAGATGTGGCTTCTCAGCTGATGCAGATCATGAGTAAGACTTCATCAGATGAAGAGAGAAGTGGGGAAGAAGGGGATTTGTGAGCTGGCAGTGGGGATCTATAGAAATTGAAAAATTATCAGTATATTTGGGCAAAACTTAATTGGTCCTTGTCTGTCTTGTATTTCCAATGGCTGGAACAGTGTTTGGCCCAAAGGCACAACCAATAAGTATTAATTAAATAAATGAATGTATACATATATGTTTGGGAATAGTTCAAGAATAACTCACAGGTTTCTTAAGCAACAGGATGGATGATACTATTATTTAATGACATTCTTCTCTATTTCCTTCTTCAGTGGCCATTTTCTCAATTTATGATGAAGGAGAAAGGAAAAGTCTGTGACTACTCATACACTATTAATTTTTGTCCCTGTTGGAACCAGTAATCTGAATGCAGAGATCAGCTTAATCCCCTTCTCTCCATCTCTACCGCTCGGCTTTGGTTTAGGTGCTCATCACTTCTTGGCTAAATTAATGCAATTGCCTCTTAGCTGATCTTTCTCTACAGTGCTGCCAGATTTATCCTTCTAAATGCAGATTTGCTCGTGTCACTCTCTAAATTAAAACCCTTTGATAGCTCTTCCATTTCTTTGGACTAAAAATCCAAACTTTTAAGTTATACTCATGGTCTTTTAAGGTCTGGATTCTATGCCAGTTCTCATCTACAACATGTTCCCTTTCTGACCTCAAGAATTCTCTAATGGAACATGTTCCTGCCTTAACATTGCCAAAGGACTCTATGCTCCTCCATGTGATAGCACCTCCTTTATCACACCCTTCAGGTGTGTTCTCTGATTTGATCTCCTCCACTGGTCTGTGAGCTCCTTGAGAGCACAGACCATGCATTGTTTGTAGCAAGTGGAAAGTGGGTAGAGATAGTGGAAGAGAGAGAAAGATGTGACCCAGTAAAAACTGCTAGGTAGTTTCAGAAACTTTTCTTTTTGAATTATTTTGGGATAGGCATTTTCAAGCTCTCATTGGAAAGAAAAACTACAATGATACTATGAGGCTTAGGTATGATTAGCTAATAATTGCTTTCACTGTTGAAACAAAAAAAAATGTATGATGGAATGCTGTTTTCAGATATCCCAACGGCCAATTTGAAAAATTCAACATACAATTCTAGCTCTATTACAAACTAGTTTTGTGACCCCAGGCACATTAATTCGTTCAGTTTTGTTATCTTCACCTCAAATTAGAGGCTACCAATATCTCTCTCTCATATTGTTTTATACATTATTTACATGCCTGAGATAACACAGTAGAAGCCTCTAAATTAATCATTATTTAACAAATCCCTGGATTAGATATCATTTTCCTTCAACTTTGTAACCATCTTGATTGACACCAATGGCATTTTGAATTCCAGAGTCAAGAGGCTACTCTCTGGTTTGTCCATACACTTATGATCTGGAGACTAGATTGTATGCTTATGAGATCAGTTATGTTTACTCTCAAACCTTAAGCCAGTTTGAAGTTGGACCTAGAGGGAGAACACATGTTCCTATTAGTAAGAACTGTAAAGTCATGCCCTGGATTTGAGAAAGAGCCAAACAACTCAAAGAAGTGGCAGATGCCATACTCTTCAGTATAATTTCAGTATGTTTTCTTCTCTGAAAAGTTTCCTATCCATAATAAGGCAACTAGTTACTTTCTCAGCCCAGACCATCATCTATGACACAGTATTAGATACTGACACCACCCTTGAATGCTTCCTCTTTTTCTGTTTTAGGGTGCAAAACTACCAAAATATGTACCCCATTTTGCAAAATCTCTATTCTCCATAATATTGGAAGAAAGGGATTAGCATGACCCCAAACTATTTCTGGCATGAAATTTCATACCAGAAAAATGAGTTTTCTTGAAACCTGTACTTCCCAGGTATATTGCCATCTATTCATTGACCTTCTAGCAGAGAGATGGTGTGATTTGTCAAACAAAATCAGAAGACTGAGATAAAAAAGTTTTCATGTCAGCTCTGTCTTAAACCTACAGCATTCGCCCTTCCCAAACATTTGTAATATGTGCTTCTTCTGATAATAGTGTCTTAAGATTTAATGAAATAATGCTCTAAATTTCTTGAACAAAACAAGATCTAAAAGACTTTATAGAAAGTACCTGAAAATTGAAAATATTTGAGCACAGTGAAATGCTTCTTGCAAAATATTCTGCTGAGGTCTCAAATATTTTGCAGTTTAAAACAGAGTCATGAAGATGAAAGGGAAAAACACACCTCAGACAGATCCAGAAATCCTAGCCATGTATTTACGGAATCATTGTGAAAAATGAACTACCAAGGAAGCAAAATAAAACACTGTTTCATCTTTCATATCAATTCAAAAATAATTCAATGTCTTTCTAAATAATGAATGCAACTTAAACTTACCCTTCTTAAGATAACTCTGCAGTTACACGTAGTACACACCTCTTTATGACTGCAAGCTTTAGGAAACCTCGGTTTTGACAAATCTGAACCCAGTCCCTCAGAATAATACCTCAAGGTCTATTTCACTAACAAGATTGTTGTTCTCCAATGAGAGGTCCCTGGGTCTTTCTCCTCTACATATTTCAATTTCTCTACATCATTAACTATATTTTTTCCTCTGGTATGCTGACTCAATATCTCTTAACAATTTTTATACATATATTGTTCTTCCACTTTATTCTCCATGGTATATTCTTCATTGATTATTCTCATCAGCAATCCTAAACATTTCCAACTCCCCTTTCTTTAGCAATACTTAGCTCAAACATCGTGAGCTCCTGCTTCATCTCTTGTATTCTTTCTCTGTTTCTCTCTATCCCTCCCTTTCTCCTTCCCTTCTGCTATTTTTTCTTGTCTCTCATTCGTTTACTAAATCATTCATTCATCTTTAATTCACAAACATCTATTGAGCATCTCTTTTGTGCCCAATACATTGTTAGCTGCCAGGGATGCACCTTTGAACAAGACGGCAAAGTCTCAAAAGGGGTTCTTACCTTCTTATCACTGTCCTTAAGTCACATTCTTTGTGTATCTGTTGTACTCTGGCTTCTACCACCAGAGTCTACTGAAATGGTTTTCTTAAAGCGGTGGCTCAAGCCTGTAATCCCAGCACTTTGGGAGGCCAAGATGGGCGGGTCACCGGGTCAGGAGATCGAGACCATCCTGGCTAACACTATGAAACCCCGTCTCTACTAAAAATACAAAAAAAAAATTAGCCGGGAACAGTAGCGGGCGCCTGTAGTCCCAGCTACTCGGGAGGCTGAGGCAGGAGCATGGCGTGAACCCCGGAGGCAGAGCTTGCAGTGAGCGGATGGCGCCACTGTACTCCAGCCTGGGTGACAGAGCAAGACTCCGTCAAAAAAAAAAAAAAAGTAACCTTTTCCTTGCTAGTGGCATAAACTAGAAAGTTTTATTTTTCTCTAGATTCTTCTCAATACCTTTAGAGCCATTTTATCTCTTTTAGACCGCAGCTTCTTTCTGGAATGTCCTATTTCCTTGGCTTCCTGAATACTGTCCTCTCCTGCTTTTACATTTTTCCAATTTGTCCTACTTGGTATTTCCACTGACTTCTCTTATTGCCCCTCATGCTTCAGTGTAGGTCAAAGTTCTGTTTCCCCTTTTATGATTTTTCTGTGGTTGTCTTTGACAAATATCAATTTTTAAGACTTCAATGCTATCCTGTCCACGTGATTTTCAAATCTAATATTCCATGGTTACCTGCATTCTGAGACATCTATTCGCCCTCTCAACAAAATACTGCGCATTTCCAAATGGGTGTTCCTTTGACACCCAAGATTAGCATGTTCCAAGCCAATGTCATTGCCATCTCCCTTTTCCCTCTAATGAAACTTTGTCTTCAAAGCATCATTCTCTCAGTCACAGAGAACAAATGCTTCCAAGAAATTTGACACCTATATACTTCCTATATATACAGACACTCAAACTGTCAACCGATTCTTCCTCTTCTACCTAGATTTCACATCTATTCCCTATTTTCCAAACCATCTACAAGGCTTTTTATGAACTTTTGGTCCCAGCTACTAAATGATATTCTTACTTGGATTATTTGTCTCAGTTTTCCCTAGCAATAATGCATTCATTGACCTAAAAAAAAAAAAAGTCCTAAAAAATAAATGGGATCACATCAATCCTCCTCTTAAAAGTCTTCAGGATTACCCAAAATAAGAGTCCAGTTCCTCTGTAAGGAATTTAAGCTCTGCTTAATGTGGCCCAGCCTTCTTTCTTATCTCGTCATATCCACTCACATAATTCTTCTTCCCTCCACTCCCCTGGGGTCTTTTCCCCTTCAAACTACATCTCTATTTGAGGAAAAAAAAAATCTCAAGTTATTCAGGGCCTAAACCAATGCCACTTCTTTCTTAAACTTTCATCAATACCCACTCTCTTCTTTAGTGAACTTCCTTCATATTGTCACTATTTGCCTTATATTACAGCTATTATATACAACCTTGACATTATACAATTTGTGAAGATAAAAATCAAAATGTGCATGTTTCCTTTATCTCCCATGGCATCTAGTATAATTCTTTGAGTGTAAAAGTTACCATGTAAATATTTATGGATATAAATTATTTTAGACCTACATTAAAAGGAATACATAGTTAATTATATTATTTCCAGGCATATATTAAAGAGTTACAGAAATTTTGCTTCAGTAGAATAAATCTAGAAGACCAAAATCTTTTTAAAATAGAGACTTGGCTTGAATAGGAGTAAAGAGATAAAGTGAAATATAGATAATAAGTTATGTCATCCAGAAATTTCCAACCTCTAAAGGGAACTGATCTCAGTATCTCTAATTGAATAGTCAAGCCATACATTTTCCAGGAAGTGAAAAAATTCCATCATCTGTGTGTCTATAGAAAAAGACACTATAGATCACACACACACATGCATGTACATGTACATTGTTTCCAGACAGAAAATTTCATTTCTAACACTGCTCCTAAATCATTGTGTGACCACTAGAGAATTCATTTCCCAATAGATTCATTCATTTATCCAGTGAGGTAGTAATACCTTACCCCATGATCCCTCAGGATCCTTGTGGGATTAAATGCACATATAAACCCAGGTCAGGTTTTATTCATGAAGAGTTTTTCCTAACTTAACAACAAAAAGCATTTTACAAACATTTCTATTGGACACATCACCTTGGCAAACTGATAAAGCTGAGAAGTGTCCTCCCTGGCATTTTTGAAGTCCATTTAAAAAGTCAGGCCTTAGAGTTCTAAAAACCCAGCTTCCAGCCCTCATTCATGTAACCGGAGTGACATGTAAATGTGAATCACTAAAGACGCTACTTAAGAGCCAAATACTTATGCGTGGATGCATTAGTTACTGTAAATAGAGTGGCCAGTGTGCTGTCTCTATGCACAACAGGTTGCAGATCTGCTTAATGTACCCAAATGTAATAATATGATAGATTGAAATATAGGTGGCAAAATTACCTATGCAGAGGCCAGGAGCTTGGCTCCCTGTTTTTCTAGAATAGCTTTCTGGGAACAATGCACTTTCCCTGATTGGTTTTCTTCTACAAAATAATTGAATCGAATGCCCTGTGTCAATGAAGGCACTTGGATTATCCGCTTTATGCTGTAGCCCTAAGGGGTGTCAGCGTCCAGTGTTAATTTGCCTTTGATCAAACCTCATCTTCTCCAACACATATTTATTCATAACTAATTAAAAGGTATTGTCACAACATATTAGCAACGGTTTTAATGCTCACAATGCATCTAAAAATAAAAAAAAAAATTCTCCATTACAATGGAGGCAGTATCTTAGTTGGTCTCATTATAGTATTTATCATCTATTATTTGTTGCACACAACAGCACAATGAGCCAGTACTGTACAATAAAGATATACACCCCTCAGGGTTTACAGTTTAACTGAGAGCACATTTAAATTTAAGATCCACCCTATTAAAATAAAACCTTCCTGTACACATGGAAGGTGACCAGGGAAATTTAACTTCACAGCTTCCTTATTGGAAAGAATCTCCTTTTTACTGAAGCCTGGTTCAACTTAAGGAGGACAATTAACTTAGTGATTCTTTGGCAAAGGTTTTCTGTGGGGCTTTATTGTTTTTGTTTTTGTTTTTTCCATTTATAACTCATTTGTGGCCATCTGTTTCAGTTTTTTCTTAAAGAGTTTGCAAACCTTGGAAAATACAGGATTTGGATCAGGGTAGGAATCACCAAAAGATATTTTCATTGCAACCCATGTAGTTTAAAAAAAGGAGGATAAAAAATGTAAGTTGTAGGCTAATTTGGGAATGCATGAGACACAGTGTTAAATATACACATATTCCCTGGCCACACACTTTCTTGAAATCTTCTCCCCAAAGATATTTTTTTTTTCTTCCTGTCATAGCCACCACACTCAGGGCCACAATCTGGACTTTTGATTACCAGTAACCTCACTCCCTCTGTAACCTCAGTTTTAAGCGTCTGTATGTGTGACTACCATCACTTGCCTTTTCAGTTTGCTTCCTTTGCGTTTTCAACCTTAGCTCTCCTTTGACCCCCTTTTGGAACTTTTTCCGTTCCTTGGTCTTGCAATCTTTTCTGTGTTTCTCAATTGCTGTAAATCTTGTCTTCCTAAATGCAGCTTAAATTTTGTGATCAATCATCTCTACCACTCCCTGGTATATACCTTCAACATGCTTATCCTTGAAGTGGTAATGTGATGAGCACAGGTGTGTCAAATGCGGAGGTCAAGATCAGTTAATTCAGACTCACAGCAGGTGGGGCTGTCATCATTTGCAAGGATGACCTCAGCAACAAACCAGATTTGGTCTGCGGTCTTCTCATCTATCTTCCATAGCTTTACTAGGTCAGTCTACTGAAGATATGCTTAAAGGGAACATTCCTTTGTTCAAATCCTTGCAATGGCATTTTATTTTAAAATATTACATAATGCGGCGACACTGCACATGTTCAATCTTATTTTCTGCTACAATAATCACCAGTATCTATTCTTGTGATTTTTATGGCCCCATAAAATCACAAATATCTGATTTATTAGTCAATTAATTAAACCCATAACTACTGAAGACCTGTCTGTCCTAGATAGTGTGCTAGGCCCTAGTCATTCAACAAAAAAACAAATTATCTCTCCCTGTAAAACATAGAGATTAGGGGTAGAGTCAGGTGATTAAGATTGATGCTACAAAGAAAACAGAGTGATATGAAAGGGAAAAATAGGGAGGACCTCCTTTAGATGGAGGGGATGAGTGAATAATGAATTCTTCTGATAGAACATATTCTTTCCATTTCTTTAAATCTCGCCTTATAAGATCCAGAGTCAATCCTCCAGTCGAGTTCAATCTATTCTCATTGACAGCTGTTTTCGAAAATTCCCTCTTTCCTAACCCCTGAGAAGTACAAATAGAATAGATATTCCCCCAAATTCACTTCATAGTGTTAAGTTTTTGTTTTTAAATAAAGTAAAAGTCTTGGGGTAGAAAGGCAATCAGTGCTGTTTCTTATACTCAGGTTTAAGCTGTATAGGTCTCAACATGGTTCTGAGCATTTACAAGACTATTTTAGTAGAATAATTGACCTACTAATATTTTCTTGTAAATTATTAAAATAAGCACACATGTAAACTTTATGCATAAAGTTATGTGAGCACTAATTAATTCAGCATAAGCAAATAAAAGTGTTTGAATATCTTGTTGCCAAATTCAAAGAATTTGCATAAAGTTCATGCATTACTGGTTTTTACATATACTAGGGTAAGAAACACAGACATAAACTCTATAGTTTTTTATATCTTATATTGAACATTCTTGTGAAATCCAAACATATCTTCCCACAAGAATGGAGGTGAAAATGCAGCTGTATTGTGTATACAAGCTGTGAGCAGCCACCACCTGATTCAACCTCTTTCTTTTTCCTTCTCCACTGCAATCCCCAAAGCATCATTAACAGTAAAAGTAAATAACCTTTCCATAGACAATATCACCAAGCTTAGAAAAATTATAAAAATACCAAACCTTACCTTGAGATGGCAAAAGCGTATGGAAGGCCTATAAGCAAATAATTTCCTTCTAACCTGTCTCACACTCTCTAGGACCTAATTTTCTGGGAGGAATGAAATTGTTTATCTTGATATCTGGTATCTTCTTTTAACAGCCAGGAGACAGGCTCTGGAGAAGAAATGAATGCTAAATGGGGATGAGAAGATGAATCCAGCAGAACTGGTGGTAAAGCATTAGTGACTGGACCTATACAATGAATGGGACTGGATGTGACTGAAAACACATGGCAACTGATTCATTCTTGCCTTATTAAGTCATCTTCAAAGTCAAGCAAAGTAATACTTCCCATTTCCCTGCAGAGGTATCAAGGCTATTCACAGTAAATCAGGTGACAGAAGGCTTGATTCACATCCAGTTTTGTGGGGAGACATAGTCATTGAGTAATTTGTCTTGCTCAGTGAAGGACAGTGATCTATGTGTCACATTAGGTGAACTGGCAGTGTTCCCATCAACTTGGATTTATAAAATATTTTTCTTCTTAAGAGCTCTTAATGCTGTCATACATTTTATGTGATGTGTTGCTACAGACACTTTCCCATTTTACAAAATAACTAAGTAGTAAAGAGTGTGAAACTAGAGAGAAGAGTGTAGCATTGGAGGCAAGATAAAAGAGGTAATCAGAAATTTCACGGCCATTGACTTGACTCATGGTCATTGTAAGAACCTTACTTTGAGTGGTTCAAGAAGTCATTGGGCATATTTTTAGTTGTGTACTGAGGTTGGATTACAATGGGTTGGCAGAGCTGCTTGTGCACTTCTTTCCAACTCTGACGTGACTTCACATTGGTAGCTTAAAATCAACCACTGTGAAATATTTCCACCATGGAAATTAGCAAATGCCACCAAAAAAATTCTTTTCTTTTTCCCTATAAAGGTCACTGTTAAACTTTTCATTCATTTTGAATAAAATAGTGACATGGTATGAACTACATTTCAGGTTAATAACAGGAGTGGGAAGTGAGATCAGAGGCTGAGAAGTCAATTAGGAAGCAATTGCGCAAATGCACGAATCCAGGTGAGAGCCACCGGTGACTCAAACCAAGGCAGTAGTAGTAGAGACACTGAGTTACCTTGTAAATCTCCAGTCAGAAAAATAACTCTACCAATTGTTTTGAGAAACTATGGAAATCCACACATTTCTGTAAAATCTCCCATTTTCCCTTATGTTGGTCACCCTGTACATGTTAGATAAACATGACTAAGCAAAGCTCCAGTTCATGATCCTGTATCAGCCATGCTTCTTGCTGAGGCAGTGAATGGCAACATCACTATTCACTAACGTAGGCTTTGGCAATGCATTTTAAACAGACTTTTTAAAAAAACATAAAAGTTGCTATGTGCCAGGTGTGGTAGCTCACACTTATAATCCTAGCACTTTGGGAGGCAGAGGTAGGCAGATCTCTTAAGCTTAGGAGTTTGAGACCAGCCTGGGCAACATGGCAAGACCCCTATCTTTACAACAAATACAAAAATTAGCCAGGTGGTGTAGCACACACCTGTAGTCCCAGCTATTTGTTGGGGCTGTGGCAGGAGGATCCTTGAAACTGGGAGGTAAGGCTGCAGTGAGCTGAGATGGTGTCACTGCGCTCCAGCCTGGGTGACACAGTGAGACCCTGTCTAAAAAAAAAAAAAAGTTGCTATAAAAGATATTATGTCAGCAGAGCACACATTCCTCTGCCAGGATACATTGATTTAGTTTGAATCTCCCCTCTAAATCTCATGTTGAGATGTAATTCCCAGTGTTGAATGTGTGGCCTCATAGGAGGTATTTGGATCACAGAGGCAGATCCCTCATGGCCTGGTCCTGTCCTCATAATAAATTACTTCTCATGAGATCTGGTTGTTAAAAGTATGTGGCATCCTCCCCTTCTCCCTCTCTTGTTCCCTCTCTCACCATGTGACATTTCTGCCCCTATCTTGCCTTCCACCATGAGTAAACACTTCCTGAGGCCTCTCCAGAAGTCAAGCAAATGCCAGGGCCACGCATGTACAGTCTGCAGAACTGTGAGCCAATTAAACTTTTCTTTATAAATTACCCAACTTCAGTATTTCTCTATCAATGAAAGAACAGAGTAACATAAACATTATGGAAATAACACCTAAATTATCAGAGCCCTTTACATTTATGCCAAATACATTTCTTATGTGACAAGTTTATTACCATGCCCCTGTTTTGCAAATGGAAAGATGAGTTGCAAGGAGTTTAACTAACCAGCCTAAGTTCTCATAACTTGGAACTGAGTTGGTTGTGAAGCAGGCCTACCTATCCCCAGAGTTATGCAGTTATAGGACAGAACACACAGGAATTCTTTAAAAGAAAAAAGATATATTCCAAGTGTAGAGTCTTAGAATGTAAATATACTTCTTGACAAGATGGCTTGGTTATAACAGTGTTATATCTGATGGTTCTGACATAGATGCTTCCTACAATCAACCGGCAAAGGAACAGTCACCAGGACACATGGGCATTTGCTCTTCCAATCACACACACCGGCCACATGGGCTATGGAGCAGCCAACATGTGAAAGGGCACATGGATCTTCTCCTGGCCTTAAGCACTCAAGTTCAGGTCTCTGCACTTGACCTGTCCTACCCAGGCCCTGGACTCAGCCCACACCCCTTGGGTCATACCACCACCTCCTCTTCTATACCTGTTCATCATCTCCTGGTTTCTTAGCCAGATAGGGTATAGGTTTTTTAAGTCTTTCACTACTGGAGAACATCCAGCTAATGCATAACGAAAATAAACTACAGTAAATGGTTAAACCACAAGCTTTTACAGCCTGGAGAATCTTATTGCTTTATATGAAGTATCATGCAATTGATGACTTTTGTAGACAGGGCAAACTTTTCTGAGATCATATCCAATCTGGAAATGTCTCCTGCCAAAAGTCAAGGCTGTTAGCATCTCTCATGACTTGAAATGTCACTAACTACATAGTAAAGACCCCCAGTCCAGCCCACTAGAGAGAAGCCATCTGTGGCATACAGTTTTGCAACATACGTATTGGAGGAGGGGAAATAGTACCAAGTTCTTTCCAAAGACAAACCATTGTAGTAAAAACTATAGAGATATATTTGATGAAGACTCTATATTTAAATCTAGATTTCAAGAAATTGCTGAGAAATTACAAATTCACAGACACTTAAATTCTCTGATTTAGAATCCATAATTTAAAAAAATTAAGATAGGTAGGGTGAGATGATAGTATTCAACATAAAATATGATTTGTGAATAATAAAAGGTGGTAGGACCCAGAAGCCTAATGATGGAGATATAGGTTTGACAAGCAATGGGACACTTCCTCGCACCTCAACCAGGCTAAGGAATTCACTAACTCCTTAAAGAGCAAGTTGTTCAAAATTTCGTTCTTGCCTTGTTTTTCATATAATGTATCACTTATTGCTCATGTAATTAAGCTTAAGGTAATAAACTCTAGGCAATTCCCCTTCTGTAGCCAGGAATTTAATTTAAACTTTTTTTCTTTTTTGCCTTTTTACAGTCCTGTGTCAAGAACTCTTCAGGCATCATTGGGAAGGGATGTTAGACAGGCTGAATGGGATTCAGAAGACCCCACTTGTCCATCTTGGTTTCCACTCTGTCTCCATCATCTAGGGCAGTGCTTAGAACACGAACACCTTCAGGAAATACTGGTTAAATAATGGAACAAATGAAAAATTCCATAACAGCAGTCAAGAGTGTAATGCTCCATGCAGGTGGGCAAATCTGAGAAGCAACATCTTTTAACAGTCATGAGTTGTGCAACTCAACACACAAATACTCAGCAGCATTCAGGTCACGGAAACTAATAACAAAGTTTAAGACAATGTTTAGCAACTCTGCATTGGAGAAAAGACAAAGGCACATCTAAGTTTTAATTTACATTGATTGCAATGTGTCTCATCAGGCCCCATGCCCTGTCAGGTTCCTCTCTGAGTCAGCCCTGCAGAGGCTCCCTTTTAGTTTCTGGCTTGGTAATCCTGGATTTGGATTGCCTAATCCTCTCAAGCTACATCTCTTCTTCAGTCTGCTTATCATTTCCCTCATCCAGGAGGCCTTGCTGTAGAACAGTAGCTGCTACTTATAAAATTTAATTTATAAAGAGAGTCAAGCAGATATATTTACATCTGCAAGGAAAATCCCCAGTCTTTCTCAAAGCTGGTCTTTCTCTTTACTTACAAAATGCATTTTATACTGATGCTCCACAGCATCCTTCATGAAGATGCCTTGACATTTTTCTTAAAAGGATAATGATTATGAGTCTCATGTGTTGCTGCTAAAGGAGTCAAACAAGAGTCTTTATGTTGTAAGTAATCAAAGGAATACCTTTGGGACAATATTGCATGTGGAATGGTATAGAAGAGAACAGAATGGGATGGAAATTGAGTCTCAGAGCCAGAAACTGCCCAAATTCCCTAGAGTATTTAGTTCAGTGCTTTCCAAAGTGCTCTGACAAATTGAAGCTCCTCTAACTGGATAGATATGAATTAAAGGAGATTCATAGTCAAGTCAAACACAGTTTGACTTGTCAAAGACAGTTCAGGAGGTTTCTTAACTGCAGGTCACTTGGATGAACAATATCAGAATGTGCATTGTGAACATCTAAGAACCTTTCACAGTTTGCATTGTTTCTCAAACTGTTTTTCCAGGATTCTCAGAACTATGAACACCCTTTGGAAAATGAGCTTGTAACTCAGCAGTTCTCAAACTTGGCTATACATTGGATCCACCCCGGGGAGCTTTAAAAAACGCTGGTGCTGGAATCCATCCCCACAGATATCTATTATTTGATCTGGGTCAAGGTCCCAGGACACTGGTATTTGTTTAGACAATTCTCAAGGGCCTTATATTTGCCAGTTAAGGGTTGAGAATCCTTGCACTGTGTGAGTTCAACCCCCGTTTTCAGAAGGAGGATACCCTGCTGGCTTACACATCCACATCCTAGCCATATGACTCCAGATTACTAGAGAAAGTTGGGTATTTCAGAATATGGCAAAAGCTGGTACTTGTTTCCTCTCTAAAAGGAGAAATAAATTATTAGACTTTTAGTAAGAAAGGAAAACAGGAATCTATTGTCTTATTTTATGATTAATTACCAGCTACAGGTGAATCTTAGAAAAAGGGGAGACCGGGCACGATGACTCACACCTGTAATCTCAACCATTTGGGAGGCCAAGGCGGGTGGATCATCTGAGGTCAGGAGTTCAAGACCACCCTGGCCAACATGGTGAAATCCCATCTCTACTAAAAATACAAAAAAAAAGTAGAGAGGTATGGTGGCGGGCACCTGTAATCCCAGCTACTCGGGAGGCTGAGGCAGGAGAATTGCTTGAACACAGGAGGTGAAGATTGCAGTGAGCCAAGATGGCATCATCACTGCACTCCAGCCTGGGTGACAAAGCAAAACTCTTAAAAAAAATAAATAAATAAAAGAAAGAAAGAAAGAAAAAGGGGAAAAAGGGGAGCCTCTTATATATGAGAAAATCTTTTACAAAAATATAAGTACGATGCAGACTTTGGAGTAAAACGTGCTGGTGAGTGAGGAAAACCTATTATTTCAGTTGACCATTGACATCATCAGTCATGAAATCATTTTGCAGATGAAGTTAGAGCAGTTCTTCTGCCTGGATTCTTAGCAAAGCTGTGCTGGTAAGCATTCATTTCCTTACCTGGGTGGCACACTTCCCTATTTACTATGTGGTTTTGAGCAAAGCTGCTCTTTAAAGGAAGTCCCTATTTCAATATTACTAATAAAATCAAACTCACCAACCATTGTAGAAGAATTCATTTCATGACTTGGTTCTGTAGACTATGAAAACTGTCTAAAGTCTGTCCCAAAAGAGTGTCTCTTAGAGAGAAGCCAAAGGGAAACCCACCTGTTCAGGAAGTTTGGGAAATAAAAATCCTATCAAAGGCTGGATGTGGTGGCTCATGCCTAAAATCCTGTCAAAGGCTGGGTATGGTGGCTTATGCCTATAATCCCAGCACTTTGGGAGGCCAAGGTGGGCGATCATTTGAGGCTGAGAGCTCGAGACCAGCCTGGCAAACATGGCAAAACCCTGTCTCTACTAAAAATACAAAAATTAGCTGGGCTTGGTGGTATGTGCCTGTAATCTCAACTACTTGGGAGGCTGAGGCATGAGACTTGCTTGAACCCAGGAGTCAGAGGTTGCAGTGAGCCAAGATCATGCCACTGCACTCCAGCCTGGGTGACAGAGTAAGACTCTGTCTTAAAAAGTCATATAAAACAGATGAAATAAAGATTCTGTTATGTTTATGTGATTGGCTTATAAAATGAGCAGTCTAACTTTTTTCTTAAGTTAAATAAACAAAATCTGTTTTATTTTATTTTTAAAGGTTAAGGATTATCATTCTTTTCCTGGCACTTATGACTTCATTAGGCATAAGCTGCCAAGCATGTTTGTTCACCTTCAAGCTCTGTGGGAGAATGATTAAGATTTTTCTGTCATTCCTTTTTCTAAGCAGTAGCAGGATTATGCAAAGGAAATACATAAATTTTGATTTAGCCTGTATAATGATCCGTGGATATGGGTCAGAAGAAACTTCCTAGGAGAACAAAGAGAACTTTGTGAATGCTGAGTCCAGATTTTCTTTTCTAGTCCCAGATGGGCCCCTTCCTCTTACACCAAGCACTTTGGGAATGTCAGCTAAGCTTCAGCCAATGCCATAAACAGATGTGCCATCATACATAGAGAAAGCGAATAGAGGATTTGGTTAAAACCAATAAAACTTAGAAATGCCACCTATAAAATTGATAATCTGTATGTGGGTGTGGGTGGAGGATATCAGAAAGGGGGATAGAAAATAGTGACTGCTAAAATATATCTATATATCTATGAACAAACATCCCCATAAATAAATACTATGTCTGTGTTGTATGGATAAAGCTGGTCTAGCAAAGCTAATTCAAAATTCCTAAATAAAATCTATCAGGTTGAAAGTTTGCCAGGCGTGGTGGCTCATGCCTGTAATCTCAGCACTTTGGGAGGCTGAAGCAGTTGGATCACTTGAGGTCAGGAGTTCAAGACCAGCCTGGCCAACACGGTGAAACCCTGTCTCTACTAAAAATACAAAAATTAGCTGGGTGTGGCGGTGGGCGCCTATAATCCAAGTTACTCGCAAGGCTGAGGCAGGAGAATCGCTTAAACCCAGGAGGCGGAAGTTGCAGTGAGCCAAGATTGTGCCACTGCACTCCAGCCTGGGTGACAGAGCAAGACTCTGACATGGAAAAAAAAAAAGAAAAGAAGAAAGTTACCAATTAGAAATGAGAAAGGAGGCTCGAGGCTACGGCAGAGGTCCAGGGGAGCTGTGAGGGCCATCATGGGCCTGAAGACCAGTGTTCCTGAGAGATCTCATGTATGTGCACTGTCCACTCCATTTACTTCCTGCCGAAATACTAGCTTGTGGCCAAGGCCAGGCCAGCATTTACTGACTCCTGGTGCAAAGCAGAGACTATGCCAATATTCTCCTTCCCAATGAGAGGGAAGTGCAGCCAGGGAAAGCCTACTCATTCCCCAGAGGGTGTTCAAGAGAATCTAAACTGGAGGAGATAAGAGCACCAGGCTGGCCTTGATTACCAGACAGCAATATGTGACTTTTGTCTACCTATAATTTCAAAAGTGCTACTCATATGTTTTCCAATCCCAGTGGTGTTCTCCTGCACTACTGGCTAAAGTTCCCTTAACTGTAGGGCCCTTCCCATTTAAAATGTTTAAATGTAGGGAATTCTAGGGAATAGCTGGAACTCAGATCTGTAGGGAGGAGGAGTTAATGGCTGGTATCTGATAATTTTCCCAAAGGGGAGGGCCCAGGGAGGTTGAACTGTGAAGGGAGAATATCCTATCAGAACCTCAAAGAGAGCATGGTCTCCAGCCAACTCACCTACAAAGTAGGCCCTGATGGGTTTCTTATTCTGCATTATAAAATAGCTACAATTGCTTTGAACGAGTACAATGAATTTAGATGAGCAATGCCTGGAAACAAACCCGGAGGTTATTTCAGAGGTTATTTATGAGACACAAATTTCTCCATGGAGAAAATCAGTGGGATTTGGAAGCAGAGATCAAGTGTACCTAATACCATAAGCCCAGCTCAGCAGCAGGCAAGGCTCAGTGCCTGCGCCTGCCTGCTCCTCACACTGGGGCTGTTTGCACAGGCCTTCAGAGAATTCTCAGTAGCATCAAAGCTTAGAACATTTACCTCCTACAGAATCACTAATAGCTGGCAGTTTTCTTTTCAGCTCATGCACTCCCATAGCTCCTACCCTTAGCTATTCTTTCAGAGGCCGCTGTTGCCAGGAGCATAGGAGTGCTGAATACCCTCTTGGTTTTACAGTCTACCTCTCACTGCTAATTTATTTTCCAAGCAGAGCAGCCAAGCTTCTCAAAAATCTGGGTCTCCTCTTTTTCACACTTGTTCTAAAATAATAGCCAGGAGAAGGAAGGCTTGGTGGATAATGGCTATTCCAGCCAGGGCACCACGCACCTTGCTCAAGGGTGGGTGGCCTCATGATAAGGAGAAAGTGATAAAGGGAATTCCGCAGGGTGCTAGTTCTCAACCAAATGGGGGTAGGAGAGAAGTGGGGGCAGTTTTACCACCGCCCACAAGGAGACATTTGGCAATATCTAGAGATAGTTCTGACTGTCATGACTGGGGGAGGGGTGTGGCTACTAGCATCTAATGATTAGAGGCCATGGATGCTGCCAAATATTCTAACATGCACAGGGCAGCTGCATCAGCAAAAACTCATCCAGTCCAGAATGTCAGTCACGCCGAGAAACCTTGACCTAAGGGCTTCTGAAGCTTTTTGAGGTAATGGCATGCTTCTCTCCTCTTTTGCCCAAGTCATTTGAGCAATTTGGAAAATATCCATCTCTCCCTTTCTGTGATTGCCCTGAGTGCAAGGCTGTGAGATTCAGTAAGAGGGGACTGAATTTAAATACATTTTATGTGTTTTTCCTGGATAAATGAATACAACAGGGACTCACACACACCCCTCCCACCAATAATCTCTGGCTCCTCCCCACCATTGTCCAGCTTTTAAACACTCCTCTGGAAAATAACATAAAGCCAGAGTCTAAAGGGAGTACATTCATCTTAGAGACATCTAAGTCTGCCTCCCTCTCAAGTAACCTTTCTAAAAATGCTGCTGGGTGAAGATGAGCACAAACCTAACTTAGAAATGAAGTTGCTAACATGGTTTGAGAGTTAATGACTGTATTTGTCAGTTCTCATGCTGTTAATAAAGACATACCCAAGACTGGGTAATTTATAAGGGAAAGAGGTTTAATTGACTCACAGTTCCATGTGGCTGGGGAGGTCTCACAATCATGGCAGAAGGTGAATGAGGAACAAAGTCATGTCTTACATGGTGGCAGGCAAAAGAGCTTGTGCAGGGGAACTCTCATTTATAAAACCATCAGAGACTCACTATCACGAGAGAACAGTATGGGGGAAACCACCCCCATGATTCAATTATCTCCACCTGGCCCCACCCTCAACACATGGGGATTATTACAATTCAAAGTGAGATTTGGGTGGGGACACAAAGCCAAACCATATTAATGACCAACTGCTGTAAGCATATTAATGAGACTCTGAATAGGCCAGGCTCAGAGAGCCTCAAAATTACCCACAGGGGTTCTTAAAACTCACACTGATGGGCCTCACCCTTAGGGTTTCTGATTCAATAGCACTGGGGTGAAGCCCAAGTTTTCATTTCTAGATGATGCTGATACATTTCAGATGACGCTGATACATTTCAGATGACACTGATGCAAAGACCACGCTTTGGAAACCACCAGACCAGGCCAATCAACTTTGATTTCAAAGCACGTGTTCAAGTAATAAGATTCACAGAATTTTAGAGCAGAGATTAGCCTTACAGAGAACTCTATTTCTCATTCTCCAAGTGAGAAAATATGACATTAAGCCAGTCAACATTAAGCAGGAGGCTTACAGTAGAGTAGAAAGAGTAAAAGATGTCTCATCAGGACATCTGGATTCTAAGCCAGTGGCTCCTTAGCCTATGGGCTAGTTGAGCTAACTAGCTCTGGTAAGTAATTTAATCTCTGATCCTCAGCCCCTCATCTGTAATCAAGAGAAAATACTTCCTTGCCTAATTCACACTGTCATAGAGATTATTAAATGAAATTTGATAAAATGATAAACTATGTCTTAACACTAGAGGCTAATTAATAGTAATGCCTATTACTTAGCAACTAGCCTGAAGCTGCAGATATAAGTGGCCGAGCCCCAGTGAAGGGCTGCCCTCCTAGCTAAGTCAACTAATCATTTGGGACGTGTACACTGAAAAAATACATGTTGGAACACCATCCTTCTTACAGTCCTACAGTTTATGGCCTGCTTGTAGAACTAAGACAAAAGAGCAAAGTGGATACAGGCCTTTAATTGCTGTTGGCATTTTAGAAAATGTGAGCACCAAATGCCACTCTTAGCAAAATGGAATACCTACACACATAAAGCACCAACTTAAAAACCTGATTTCTCTAAACAGTTAGTGTTCATTTACTATGGTGGTGGAGGAAAACAATCTTACTAAGTTGGAAATACCCAAGACCCTCAAATCCTCAAGTTTTTCCTGTAAACCACAACCTTGGCAAGTGTGAGTCCTTTAAGAAATTTCTTTCACATATAGTTATTTAAAATTTTAAAGTAAATTTTATCCATGTATTATAGTTTATCTTATTTCTTAAACAGAAGAAAGTATTTGACTCCAGATAGTATTTGAAATAATTTAAAAGACACTTTTCAAGAGAGTTATTTTTCCGTGCCTGAAATATGGAAAGGGCTATAACATTTTTTTCTCATTTAGCAATTATATCATCAAATTATTTCCGTATAAACCTTTTTGGGACTCAAATATAAACAAAACTTTCCATTCTCCCTGTAAAACTGAAAACGAACAAATATTTTGAGCAGTATGTTTTATTTAGAAGGTATTTTCTTCTTAGGTATGTTATTACTCATGCTATTATTTTAAATTGTGTGTGTGTGTGTGCACACACGTCTCACTTTTTCTAAGAGTTGCTCTTGTGATAATTGCAAATAATCCTAAATGAAGGTATTTTGACCAGTGCTTTTACCCAATGTTTACCAGTTCCACAAACAGCTGTAGAACTGAGTAAGAAAACAATACTATTTCTTTTCAAAGTCTCTGCTCAAACCAGGGCAGGGATTTTGGATGGTGATGGATTACCATATTTTTTTCTTACCATTATTTATGTATTTACATAAAAACTATGCATAATTAACAATTATAGTTTGATGAGTTTAAAGATATGTGGTAATAAAGCCATCCTCACATTCTATATCATGAACCTGCCTATTACCTTCAAATGTTTCCCCTAGCTCTCTTATTTATTATTATTATTTTGTGAAAGGAACACTTAACTCAAGATCTACCTTCTTAAAACATATTTAAGTATATGATACAGTGTTATAATATATAGATGTTATGTTAGTTAATTTTTTAAACAATTTAAAATAAATGACAGATTTTCACATTACTCATCACCTGGATATAAATTACCAGTACAGAATATTCAAACAGGTGCACTATAGCAACATATTTCTTACGAAAACACAAACCAGTCTCTTCTTGGTAAAGAAGTACAATATTTACCAGCTGTCTGAAGAAGTCCTGAACAGTCCACAAAATCCCTGAAATAATGGATCCATGGGCTTTGTCTTCTCTCCGTATACCATTTTCTCCATTTCTCCCACTCTGTTGTTCTTTGCATTAGCAGTAAGATTGCACAGTTGTTTACCCAAGGAGTTTGTTTGGGGTAGGGCTGGCTGGGGAAAAGAGCTGCCTAGGGAATCCAGCTAAGAGACCTAGAAGAGGAAACTTAATGATCCTAGAAGGGAAAGAAGGAGGTGACAGTGAGGAAAATAGGCTCTGTGGTGGTGGAGCAGCAAGAACATCAAGTAACATTTTGGAAGGTTTGATTTTTCTGCTGCATTTGAGTAAGGAGAGAATGAGAAAGGGGTAAACAGATGCATTTCAGAAGCCTTCGGGAAACCCCACACTCTCTTTCTATTGAAGTGACCCATCATTAGTAGCAGTACTTTCCTTTTAGTATTCCTTTAAACATTGCTGGCATAGTGAAGCAGAAAAGAAATATTGAATATATTATTTTTGATGAAACAGTGGCAACAAAGGCTAAGACTAAGGGAAACACTGCAGAGGAACCTGCAAGCAGCCACACTGTACACTACTCTAACAGGCACCATTCTATTACCAATCCTTTTTGTTCTCAGACCACTCATCTCACACACATGAATAAAGGAGGTGAGGGCAGCCCAACAAAATGGCCCCACATTTTTATGTGCAAAATCAGATAGGAAGATGTTTTTATAATGAAAAAACTTTAATGGAGCTTTCTGTAAAATCGCAGGTAGTGAAGCTTAAAGGGTTTTAAATCAAGTCACTGTAGAATTTTATGTTAAAGGAATAGAATATAATGGAATAGGAATTATTACTATGCATTATATGTAAAAATAAGATATTTTTGTATACTGTGGCTTCATTTAATTCTACTCTCATTACAGTATGCTATAAGTGTATGTCACATTGCTTTTTGTTAATCATCACAGTTGCCATTGCATGTTTATTTGTGTATGTGTGTGTGTGTTTGTTGTTGAAATTGTTGTTGTTATTGATGTCTCTCTCTCAACTAAATCACAAACTGCAGGGGCCTTGGGTTTGCCTCCTCATTCTTATTTCCAGCACTTAGCACAATGTTGGACCAAACTAGGAATCAAAAATATTTATTGAATAAATGATAAATGGATGCCTAAGGGGGTGGAACCTTGCCTCCCAAAGGCCCACCCTGACCCAGAATGTCACAAACTTCATCTATTTTGCATTTGTGGCTTTCAATATATAAAATATTCAGTGATTTTTCAAACTTCAAGAAATACTACTTCATATTATTGTTTGCAAGAGAGAAGTAGCTCACAGGTAAACATTATTAATTTAAATAAAAAACCTGAGTTTGAAAAATTAATAAATTAGTAACCGGTCCCATAAGTTTGTTCTCCATGTGGTTGTTCATGATCAATTAAATTCTTTATTAGCAGGTCAAAAAGTGAATAAGTAAATATGTTTTATGTTCAAACTTAATGTTGAAGTTGAGAACAAAAATGTAAAGGTAACAAAATGTGTTGATTCACTGGACTTTAGAGAGTATTATTATCCTAGAGCATTTTCTAACAAATACAACAGTCATTAGATTTTGACAATAACTAATAGAGAAAATAAATAATTATTATTATAATTTGACCATTTAGTGAAGAGAATTTGACCATGGATGTAAACACTGATAAAAGTAGAGTTATAAAAAGTACATGGATAACCTGACTGCTTCTTGAGAGATGATGAATTATATACAGGATGACACTTTTAATTGACAAATATTTCTGAGGAAAAGGTTTTTTAAAGAAAGAAACAGTAGAGATCAATAGTCATCATCCTACATTTCTCTGAGTTTTCCCTTTGATTTCATGGAACACATTAAGAATGATTCTGAAATTTCAAAGAGATGTCAACTTAAGGCAGAAACGGGAAGGAAAATATAAAGTTATGTTCTTGAGACTCTTGTTGAATTGTTAGGGAGTCATTACATCAAAGACATTGTAAATTAGCAGAAGGGGTGTTTACTCTCAATTTAAGATAGTTAATTCTGAAAATATCTGGATACATGGATCATGTTGTTGGACTAAAGTATAGCAACTATTTTTTAAAACAACTAGTTTTAATGTAAAAACCATTTATATAAGAAAGAAAACCAAATTGTCTCCTCATTGTTCAGATCATAGTATACAAGTTTTAAGTCATCTTCTCAAACACAGCTCCTATATGTAATTCTCCTGCTTAAATATCTTCAATGGAATCTATTTGACCATTTATTTTATTTTTCCCTTTAAGATCCTTCTTGCTATACCCTCAACCACTTTTGCACAGCTTCACAATATATCCTATGTCCCAATCACGCAAATACTCGCCTTTCTATGAAGCCTGCATTTTTGTGCCTCAATATTCCTTTATGCTATTTTCCTTCCTCGGCATGTCCATTTTGAATGAAGTTCACTTATCTACATTCCTTCAAGTGCTAGCTCAAATGCCCTTTTAGTTAAGAAATATAGCTTAAACTCACCCACTTGGTTTTCATCTTTCTCTCCTTCATATCTCCATTATGCTTCCAATTTTTAACAGTACATTTTGGTTTGTATCAGACTTTCATTTACATATCTATCTTCCCCTAGTATACATATATAAATCTTAGATGGAGGAGATCATTTTTTTCTTTCTAGAATTTTACCACACCCACTCTTCCCAATAACACCTGTCATGATACCCACATGTAGTAGACATTCAATAATATCTATTGAATTTTTAGTCTTAACATGAAATACCTTCTAAAAATTATTTTCTAAAAATTAAAAATGTCTCAGGCTGCCAGAAACAATTGTCTACATTAGGAATTCACAGATTTACAGAAGTTTGGATTTCCTTAGAAAGTAATACATACTTTGATTGACTTAACTTTTACCAAAGTTACTTGGCTGGTAAAGTCCAGTGACGTCAGTAGACAAGTAAAAGAAGTAGAAGAATTTCTTAATATATATTCACCTTTGGGATTGTTTGAAAATTGAAGAGAGGAATATGGAGGTGCAATACTATTTTGCATTAAGAAAGATGCTTTGAAGAAAATAGGACTGGGGAAAGGGAATCACATTGGTACAAATTTGATGAAATTACATGTAGAAAAAAATTTAGATGTTTTTCCTATCCTAACAATTTAGCTAAATTTAACCTCTGAATCGTCTGAAGTTTGTCCTTAAGAAAAAGCTAATCATAGCACAAAATATACAAGGTGACTGCAAATGCAAATATCTTTGGTAATTACTGGTGGATTTAAAAAAAAAAACTATGGTACTTTGGAATTCTAAGCATTTTCACAATGCATTGGAACCGATTCAAAAATGCTATTAGAAGTTATTATTTTGGCTGGACCACAGGTACCATGCAATGCTGAACTTTTGGCATGTCATACTCTTTTATTAAAGGACTTTTGGTCTGCATATAGAAACAGTGCCTTTTAACTATTTCAATGGATCACTTAGGATGGTTCAAATCATCTAGACCTTTTTCATTAAATATTCTTGCTGAGATTCACTTAATAAGTAGATCGTGTTGGCATAATCTAATTCACTGAGGTACAGTGTTAATTTAGGACAACTTATATTTTAAATTAAGAGTCACTAACCTGATTTTATAAGAATAAGAATTTCTCATGCAAATTATACCAAATTCAAAGGGATGGATTTGGTGGCAGTGGATTTATAACCAGATTTTTCTTCTGGCTGAAGAGTAGAGAGAAGCTTATGTTGCTGTAATTCTTACTCTTTCTTCAAATATCTCCTGTTCCTTTTTCAATCTTTTCCTATTGTTTTTTCCATTGGCTCCCACTCGTTGACTGTTCCCAAGTCACATATGAACATATTTTTCTCCCTCAATATTCAATCACATCTGCTAGTACAATTTTAAAACATATTAACACCATAATGCTGAATCTCTTATTTTTTTTCCCAATGATTGGATTCTCTAGCAGCATCTTAAATTCACAGGTCAAAGCTTTTGACTTTTGTGTTTGGTCCATGAAGAGTCATCTTCCAATCCTTGCACAATATTCAGATCATGCTCCTATACTAATAGGTGATACAAGAGATATTTTGAAATTTCCTGTAATGTTGTTTGAAAAATACTTTTTATATCAGGATGTAATGCCTGCTTTTCTTCACCACCCTCCAACAGGGTCCTGAATTACTCCAATCTCATGTTCCTGAACCTAGCTTTCAGGACCATTGTATTTTCATGAAAATTTGTCATCAATTTTGTTTTTTCCACAGATTAACCTTGAAAAAATTTAAGGTCACGTTGCCAAGAATAAAAACAATATGAGTGATGGACTGATTAGAAAGGGGTATCCCCACCTTCAGGCTTGAAGTTGGATTTGGTTCTGGCAAACCTGTCTTATGGTCCAAGACAAAAAGGTAGCATATAGAAGATTCCTCACAAACTCACAAGATTTATGACCATATACTTCTTGATTATCATGTTACTAAACCTGCTGTGAGTTCTTCTGTTGAATCACTTCAACTTTGGGAAAAATGAATTCATAAACAGAGTTAACATCTTCTTTTATTTTTAACTTA
The DNA here is from genome assembly GCF_000001405.40 of Homo sapiens. Taxonomy (NCBI): domain Eukaryota; kingdom Metazoa; phylum Chordata; class Mammalia; order Primates; family Hominidae; genus Homo; species Homo sapiens. The sequence goes on along the minus strand of NC_000002.12, from coordinate 225,478,360 downwards.
GGAAGAGAGAGAGAGAGACTGGCTTCTTCTTCCTGGATTCCTGTTTATGCAGCTGCACCATCATGTTCCCAGTTACTGGGGCTCAGCATCCCCGACTCTTCATCCTCCATATATCCAGGATCCAGATTCCTCCCAGTTCTTCCTTCCCTTGGACATAGGTGCTTACCACTTACCCCTAGCTTGTGACAAACAGCATCTCTATACTAAGTGTAGTTTGCCTCACACTTGGATAGCACCCGATTAAACTTCCTAGAGCATAATTCTTTAAATTAATGACTTATGTTCCTTAAATGCCTACAGGATTAATTTCAACCGTTCCTGGCTGAAACTCAGGGTTTTCTTTCTTCCCTTATGACCTAACATCTCATCAACCTTGAACTAATTTCGGGCTCCTTGAACACTTCTTTTAATACAAGGATTGATAAAGGCAGTTTCTCCTCCTCCTCCTCCACTAGGCCATGGCAGCAATTCCAACTCCCATTTTTTCTCCTGTTTTCTCTACAGAATGTCATTTAATTATATATCATTTTGTTTGAGTACATGGAGGGGCCCGTTTCAAATTACAGATATAGATATACATGTGTATGTATATGTGTGTATATATGTGCGTGTGTATCTATGTGTGTAAAACTGTACATGTGTGTATGTATGTGTGTATGTATCTAAACTAACATGCACACACACATATGCAGTGAGAGAGAAGAAGATTGACTCTTATAAAGTAAGTTTCTAAGGAAATTAGTCAGGGCCTTTGCTATTCAAAGTTAGGTCCAGAGACCAGCAGTATCAGTAAGATCTGTGAACTTGTTAGAAATAGAGACTCTCGGCCGGGCACGGTGGCTCACACCTGTAATCCCAGCACTTTGGGAGGCCGAGGCAGGCGGATCACGAGGTCAGGAGATCGAGACCATCCTGGCTAACACAGTGAAACCCCATCTCTACTAAAAATACAAAAAATTAGCCAGGCGTGGTGGCGGGCACCTGTAGTCCCAGCTACTCGGGAGGCTGAGGCAGGAGAATGGCATGAACCCAGGAGGTGGAGTTTACAGTGAGCTGAGATAGTGCCACTGCAGTCTGGCCTGGGTGAAAGAGTGAGACTCCGTCTCAAAAAAAAAAAAAAAAAAAAAAAGAAATAGAGACTCTCAGACCTGCTAAATCAGAATCTGCCTTTTAACAAGATGCCCATGTGATTTACATGCACAGTAAAGTTTGAGAAGCACTGCTACAGAGGTATACTTCCAAAAGCACACATATAATATATATACCTCACAAGTGCTGGATATGATGTGTACTACATATATGTGGGGCATTGTGTAATTTTTTTTCATATTCCCTTTCCTTCAAAGGCATAGGCAGTGGTGGCTTAAAGGTAGTTAATACAGGTCAGCAAAAAACAACCGTTAAAATTTCAGAAAATTTATGAGACAGTTGTTAAATAGCCGTTTTTTAAAGTCAATTATACAAATTCACAATTAAATAAATTATATTAAAAACAAAGGTAACATACTGAAACTCATCACTTTATAATTATTATATTCATTTTACTATTATCTGTATCTTAAAGTTACTTAGGTCTATTGTATCTGTATGGCATATTGCTATATAATGATGTATGTATCTCTTCAATTCTATGTTTAGGGACCACTGGTGTGTGCTTGAAATTCATCACAACAGTAGTATTTACACAATGGAAATCCATAAATACTGTAAGTAAGGGTTTGATATATTGTTTTGATTGTCTGGATTTAGGAAAGTGATAGAGAAAATGATAATGCAGATTAAATTTAAAAGTGTGTCATAAAATATATATTTGCATCCATTTTTCTGTTTTAAAAGCCTGTTAAAGATTTACCAGCACATTGCTGGGTAAAGGCATTAGAAATAGAATGTTCCTACAATGAACAAAAACCTGGCATATTTTTTAAGTAAATTTTTTTTTTTTTTTTTTGAGACAGAGTCCCGCTCTGTCACCCAGGCTGGAGTGCAGTGGCGTGATCTTGGCTCACTGCAAGCTCCGCCTCCCGGGTTCACGCCGTTCTCCTGCCTCAGCCTCCCGAGTAGCTGGGACTACAGGCGCCCATCACTACGCCTGGCTAATTTTTTGTATTTTTAGTAGAGACGGGGTTTCATCGTGTTAGCCAGGATGGTCTCCATCTCCTGACCTCGTGATCCGCCCGCCTAGGCCTCCCAAAGTGCTGGGATTACAGGCGTGAGCCACCACACCCCGTCAGTAAAAATTTTTTTAGACTTCTATTAAGACTAATCTGCCTCACAGATTTTTGTCAGTTCATTTAGACTCTCCTCATAGTTTTCTCTAAATCGATGTTGAGCTCTGCAGCACCACCATTTATAAATTATTCCATTAAATAGGTTCTGACTCCACTTATTTATTGGAAAATCATCTAATCTCTGCAGTTCTGGAAGCTCTGCAGGCTTCTGTTACTTTCATTGTAAAATGAAGAGTTCCATATTCCATAAGGTGCCATGTTCTCCAGAACCACTACTGCCAGAGAATATTCTAAATAAATAGCTTTTATGAGACACTGAAACAAGTATATTTGTCAGTTTCTCATTGGGAAATCAGTTCAGTATTATGAAAATATATCCCACAAAACCAGACTAGGAGATTTGAATTATAAACAAAATATTGATTTACTCTCTGGCTCTCTCTACTCAATTGCAAAATATCTGATTTCTGAAAAGATTTATTTTCAGATATGAAACTTATTCAAATAATAAACCTCACAACTGAATGCCTAACTAAACAATTTTTCAATCCAGATTTTGGGGAATAACACAAACACAGAAAAATGTCAAAATACCATTCTTGCCTTTCAGACTCAAATATAATTGTTTTTCCCTACCTTATTTAAAATTTATACTCATATACATCAAATGAAACTGAATTTCACTTATTTTCCTTAGTTTATGGCTTTAATAACAGCATTATCATTAACTAACATTACAGAGATAACTTTAACTCCTCCCACCAGGGGAGGGTAGAACAAAGAGAAAATTATGTCTTTGAAGAAGGAGAATGTACTACATCAGTGCATTGTATTGTAGGGTTTGGTTTGGTATGGTTTAGCAAAAGTGTAGAACTTGGCCAGGAAGAAAAATAAAAAAACCTGAAAAACTGGTCAGTTTGGATAAGTTGACATTCTTCAGATGATATATTCCAAAATGGAAATGGTAAATACATTTGTTTGCTTCATTTATGACTTTATTTTCTTATGCTTTTGCTATAGTTTTCTGTACTTTCAAAAGTTTCTATCATAAGCAGGTATAAATTTAATATTTTAAAAATTAGAATAAAGATTTCTTCTAGAAAACAGAAATACTGATCTTCCTAGAACTGGAGTGTTATGCAAACAAATACAGATGCTTTTATAGCTGTACAAAGTCTCACACTTGTACATATATTCAGAAAATAACAAACTTCTGTAACAGGTGATGTTTTGAAAAACAAAGGAGTACAAGACAGGGATGCCCTCTCTCACCACTCCTATTCAACATAGTGTTGGAAGTTTTGGCCAGGGCCATCAGGCAGGAGAAAGAAATAAAGGGTATTCAATTAGGAAAAGAGGAAGTCAAATTGTCCTTGTTTGCAGATGACATGATTGTATATCTAGAAAACCCCATCATCTCAGCCCAAAATCTCCTTAAGCTGATAGGCAACTTCAGCAAAGTCTCAGGATACAAAATCAATGTGCAAAAATCACAAGGATTCTTATACACCAATAACAGACAAACAGAGAGCCAAACCATGAATGAATTCTCATTCACAATTGCTTCAAAGAGAATAAAATACCTAGGAATCCAACTTACAAGGGATGTGAAGGACCTCTACAAGGTGAACTACAAACCACTGCTCAACGAAATAAAAGAGGATACAAACAAATGGAAGAACATTCCATGCTCATGGATAGGAAGAATCAATATTGTGAAAATGGCCAAACTGCCCAAGGTAATTTATAGATTCAATGCCATTCCCATCAAGCTACCAATGACTTTCTTCACAGAATTGGAAAAAACTACTTTAAAGTTCATATGGAACCAAAAAAGAGCCCTCATCGCCAAGTCAATCCTAAGCCAAAAGAACAAAGCTGGAGGCATCACGCTACCTGACTTCAAACTATACTACAAGGCTACAGTAACCAAAACAGCATGGTACTGGTACCAAAAGAGAGATATAGACCAATGGAACAGAACAGAGCCCTCAGAAATAATGCCACACATCTACAACTATCTGATCTTTGACAAACCTGACAAAAACAAGAAATGGGGAAAGGATTCCTTATTTAACAAATGGTGCTGGGAAAACTGGCTAGCCATATGTAGAAAGCTGAAACTGGATCCCTTCCTTACACCTTATACAAAAATTAATTCAAGATGGATTCAAGACTTAAATGTTAGACCTAAAACCATAAAAACCCTAGAAGAAAACCTAGGCAATACCATTCAGGACATAGGCATGGGCAAGGACTTCATGTCTAAAGCACCAAAAGCAATGGCAACAAAAGCCAAAATTGACAAATGGGATCTAACTAAACTAAAGAGCTTCTGCACAGCAAAAGAAACTACCATCAGAGTGAACAAGCAACCTACAGAATGGGAGAACATTTTTGCAATCTACTCATCTGACAAAGGGCTAATATCCAGAATCTACAAAGAACTCAAACAAATTTACAGGAAAAAAACAAACAACCCCATCAACAAGTGGGCAAAGGATATGAACAGACACTTCTCAAAAGAAGACATTTATGCAGGCAACAGACATATGAAAAAAGGTTCATCATCACTGGCCATCAGAGAAATGCAAATCAAAACCACAATGAGATACCATCTCACACCAGTTAGAATGGTGATCATTAAAAAGTCAGGAAACAACAGGTGCTGGAGAGGATGTGGAGAAATAAGAACACTTTTACACTGTTGGTGGGACTGTGAACTAGTTCAACCATTGTGGAAGACAGTGTGGCGATTCCTGAGGGATCTAGAACTAGAAATACCATTTGACCCAGCCATCCCATTACTGGGTATATACCCAAAGGATTATAAATCATGCTGCTATAAAGACACATGCACACGTATGTTTATTGTGGCACTATTCACAATAGCAAAGACTTGGAACCAACCCAAATGTCCAACAATGATAGACTGGATAAAGAAAATGTGGCACATATACACCATGGAATACTATGCAGCCATAAAAAACGATGAGTTCATGTCCTTTGTAGGGACATGGATGAAGCTGGAAACCATCATTCTCAGCAAACTATTGCAAGGACAAAAAACCAAACACCGCATGTTCTCACTCATATGTGGGAATTGAACAATGAGAACACTTGGACACAGGAAGGGGAACATCACACACTGGGGCCTGTTGTGGGGTAAGCGGAGTGGGGAAGGATAGCATTAGGAGATATGCCTAATGTAAATGACAAGTTAATGGGTGCAGCACACCAACATGGCACATGTATACATATGTAACAAACCTGCACGTTGTGCACATGTACCCTAGAACTTAAAGTATAATTAAAAAATAAAAGAAAAAAAAGAAAATCAAAGGAGTAACACTGCATTTTTCTATTGCTAGCAAGGAAAGAGATATCCCATCCAATTTCTTTCTAGATAATTCATACTGAAACAGTTTTGAACAAAAATTTAAATTAAAAAAATTACTCTTTGGACATAAATGTTTCTAACGATGATGAACTTCCTATGATTTTTACACAGCCCTCCCTGAGCATATCTTGAAAATTGGTCCCTTTTTTGACTACTCAGGGTCATAATTAAGAGCATAAATATTGTACCCTGATTGAAAATAGGCCCATGTCTTTAGGGACTGTTTAATTTTGAAGGACTCTTACCTCTGTACCAAATGCTGTCAGGCTGCAATGCACTTATGCTATGCCTCACAGTTAGCCAAACACACTCACATTCTTCAGGGGTCAGTGGGGCTATGGGAGCAGATTCCTCTTGTCCTGCCTTTTCCCTGTCTACCCCTTCAAATTCCTGCTTCTTACTTGCTGCTGGCTGAACATGCATAGGCAAACATGATAATTAGCTCCAAATAAAAGTAAAAAGCAACAAAATGAGAGCCTGAACAAATGAGTAGACATGTATGACATCAAAGGTGATGTATTTTAGTTTTTTTCTTCTTGAGAAGCAGGATGAGTCGTGCGAGCCAGATTCTTTGGACTGGTTGGGTGGGTTCAGATCCCAGCTCTACCTCTTGCTAGACATATGGCTTTAAGCAAGTCACTTAAAATCTTAATGCTTAGTTAATCCACTGATAAAATGGGAATAATATTCATATCTCCCTCGAAGGATGGTAGGGAGATTAAATGAGGTAATACATACCCAGTTCAGGGAATATAATAAGTACTCATTAAACAGTCTTATTATCATTTTTACCTCTTGGTTAAATTCTGTATGTTAAAATTAGTAGCTTTGTGATGTCTGATAGGTTTGCTGCATACTAATGGGTTCCTTGAAGCATTTTAGCTGTCACAGAGAGATAGCTGAATATGGCTTTGAAGGCAGAGCTAGTATCAGTCCTGGTTTTGCCATTTGCTGTGCACATTTAGAAGCAGCTTACACTCTCTCAACTTGTTTTCTCCTGTGTAAATGTGATAACACATATTTCACAGGGAATGCGTGGAGATTACATAAGATAATGCCTACATAAAGCACTTTATCTAAGACCAGCGACTTAGTAAAACACACTACAAATATTTGCTGAAATCAACTGCAGCCATGCAGGTGTTTGGATAGGGTAGCTGCCAAGATATTTCTGTTAATATGTTACTATATGTCTAATTTAGTGACCCACCCCAAATTACAGTAAGCTAAGTCATTTAAAATTATGTTTAAATATACCTGTGCCTCAATATTTTCTTGCACGCAGAGAATAAAAAAACTATTTGAGAGAAAATATTATTTTCAAACATCAGATTTTTAAATATTCGTGACTATAGTCATATTCAAGGATCAAAGTCACAAAAGAAGCTGGTTTTCTAAGCAGTAAAATAATTAAAATTCATCCAAACCATTCTGCGTCACCACATTCACTCACGTGTATAGATATAGACACACATGAGGACATGAATAGCTGTTCAGGACTGGATTTTAAATTGACAGTTGCTTCATTTGAGGACAACCATGTTTATAGTACATGCAGTAATGCAGACATGGTATCTGGCAGACATTTGTTGCAAAGTGGCTAGCATCTGTTTCATTTCCACAAACAATGGAGGTTTGTCTAAATCCCTCTATATTGATTTGAAGGTCAATCTTCAATTTTACTTTAACATATTTTGTGGGGAAGTTCAAAGATAAGGAAGCATATTAATAAGATTTAGCATCTTTTTTACATTGCCATCTAAAAAGAAATCAAGAAACCCCCTGCCTCAGTCTCCCAGGTGGGAAGTCTTCCCAGCTGGGAAGGAGGCTGAGGTAGGAGGACTGCTTGAGCTCAGGAGTTTGAGACCAGCTAGGCAACATAGAGAGACCCCATCTCAATATATATACACACACACACACATATACATACATATATATTTCATGTAAGATCTGTATATGTAAAATCTTACATTTAAAAAAATAGTTCTTACAAGCCAATGCAATCATGTGTTCTAGGTTCTTGCTTTTGTTTTTTAACCACAGTCCCAAGTAAGGAGTTGGCTATTCACACTTTAGAACACTGTAAGACAGCACGTATAATTTCCTGTATTCTGTGGAAAATGGGGATTTCTCAGCAGGCATTCCCCCTATGATGTTTTTATTCCAATTGCTTTTTACCCACCAGAAATGTTGAGTATCCTTTTCCTCAAGTGTGGCACAAATTTCAGCAAGACTTAACAGAAACTCAAAAGAGCTTGTACCATATATGCCAGACTGCCATGTATGCCCATATACCATATATGCCCCTAAATTTGGGGGTTTCATATAGTGCTCATGAATAGGTCAAATTGAAACCTCACGGTATTTTACTTTTATTTCTACTAACTGGGGAAATGGGTGTGAGTGCATATGCATACAATAAAAGAATGAAGAGAAGTGAAGAAAATAGAGAAGGGCAAGATTTTTCCATGGTATTGTTTCAAGGGAAGAGGCTTATCAAGTCTTTTACTTTAGGCACAAAAAAAATCAGGTCACAAATAACATTAGGAAAACAAACCCATTTTTTCACTGTGTGGTGGGTTCTAAGTGGAAAATGCACAATGCAATTACTTACATTTATGTATTGCTTAATAGATAAGACAGATGAAATATACTTCATTGTGAAATCTCCAGAACAGGCCTGTTAGCTATTAGGTGTTAGGCCCGTTAGCTATTAGCTAGTATTTTTTTATTATTCTACTTCAAGCTCTGGGGTACATGTGCAGAACATGCAGTTTTGTTACACAGGTATACACGTGCCATGGTGGTTTGCTGCACCCATTAACCTGTCACCTACATTAGGTATTTCTCCTAATGCTATCCCTCCCCTAGCCCCCCATCCCCCGACAGGTCACAGTGTGTGATGTTCCCCTCCCTGTGTCCATGTGTTCTCATTGTTCAACTCCAATTTATGAGTGAGAACATACAGTGTTTTGTTTATTGTTCTTGTGTTAGTTTGCTGAGAATAATGGTTTCCAGCTTCATCCATGTCCCTGCAAAGGACACGAACTCATCCTTCTTTATGGTTGCATAGTATTCCATGGTGTATATGTGCCACATTTTCTTTATCCAGTCTATCATTGATGGACATTTGGGTTGGTTCCAAATCTTTGCTATTGTGAATAGTGCCACAATAAACATAGTATGCATGTGTCTTTATAGTAGAATGATTTATAATCCTTTGGGTATATACCCAGTAATGGGATTGCTGGGTCAAATGTTATTTCTGGTTCTAGATCCTTGAGGAATTGCCACATTATCTTCCACAATGAACTAATTTACAACAGTGAAAAAGCATTCCTATTTCTCCACATCCTCTCCAGCATCTGTTGGTTCCTGACTTTTTAATGATCATCATTCTAAATGGCATGAGATGGTATCTCATTGTGGTTTTGATTTGCATTTCTCTAATAACCAGTGATGACAAGCATTTTTTCATATGTTTGTTGGCTGCATAAATGTCTTATTTTGAGAAGTGTCTATCCATATCCTTTGCCCACTTTTTGATGGGGTTGTTTTTTTCTTGTAAATTTGTTTAAGTTTTTTGTAGATTCTGGATATTAGCCCTTTGTCAGACGGATAGATTGCTAAAATTTTCTCCCATTCTGTAGGCTGCCTGTTCACGCTGATGATAGTTTCTTTTGCTGTGCAGAAGCTCTTTAGTTTAATTAGATCTCATTCGTCAATTTTGGCTTTTGTTGCCATTTATTAGGTAGTGTTTTTTTCCTTATTTTTTCCAATTGGAATGAGAGTCTTGAGGTACTACCTGGCCAAATGGCAGAGAAATTCTTAATGGCAAGGCTAGAATTTAGTAATTCAAATAAATAGTCCAAACTATTACCTTTACAGGTTACACAGAATCATTATCACAATTAGAAAGAAACTCCTCTTTTTGTCTTTTTTGTCCTCTTCATGTCCTCAGTGACTTATTCCTCCTCTGTCTCCTTAGACAGACTCTTGTCCAATTGTTTATTAGAATGGCTAGATTATTTAAATCAATGGTTTTGTGTATTGCTGTAGGTTAATTTCCTAAAGTGCTCCTTTGATCATACCTCTTTTTCTCAATGATTTTCTATTGTCTAAGTTTCTTCATTTATCATTGAATCACACTCTTAATCTGAATGCCAATTCTTCCTAGAATATATTGCCCACTTCAGTTGAAACAGTGGTTTGAATGACTGTATTTCTTTCCCCACTTGTTTGTGTCCTGTTTCTTGTCTATTCTTCCTTTCTCACTGGCCTGTCTTGGCTTCCTGTGTTAGTTTCCTAGGGCTGCCATTAAAAGAACCACATGCTGGATGGCTTAAAATAACAGAAATGTATTCTTTTGAAGTTCTGGAGGCTAGAAGTCCAATTCTTGGCATTCCTGGGCTTATCAACACATCATTCCAATCTCTGCCTACGTCTACACATGGCTGTTTTTCCTCTTCGTGTCTGTCTCCTTTTCTTTTATTATAAGGAAGCCAGTCATATCAGAGTAGGCCCACCTAATCCAGCATGATCTCATCTTAACTTGACTACATCTACAAAGACTTTATTTCCAAATAAGGTTATATTTATAGGAACCCAGAAGTTGGGCCTTCAACATCCTAATGTAGGACACAATTCAATCCAAACATTTCCCTAAAAGTGATTATATTATTCATCTCTCAGTGCTCAATATATGCCCAAACTCTATCAAGAGGGTTTTTCTTGTTTCTCCAGTTCACCCTTTTTTGAACTCTCATAGGCTTGAATGACTCCCTGGAGTACTCACTATGTCTGCTTTTTTTTCACCCCTCTATCCCAGGAGACTTGGAGTAGTGGCCAGCATGCAGTAGGAACTCACTAAGTATTTGTTGAATGAATGATTGTATTCAAAAAGTGAATGAATTTATACTACATACTTCAGTTATTTTTGTAAGTGTGGTGGCATAGTGTTATTTTCTGTCTTTAACTGCTCCTCTAAGGAAGTGTGAAAGACATTATTTTAACCCTATTTTGTATCCCAGAGCCACAGAGTCTTGCATGGAATTCTCACTTGGATAGTAATCTGATCAATGCTTTGCTAATTGATTGGTCTAGAAAAATTTGATTGAAAGGCAGTGAGACTTTGATAGTCTATTCTGAGGTATTTTTTAAAAATGGAAGTCTATTTCAGGTAGGAAAAAGGGCAAGGCCAAGTAGATTGGGTGACTAATGTTTTGTTTATACTGTTACAGTAGGTAGCTAATCAGACGTGAACAGGGCAGGAGAGGCATCAACCACAACAACCCCCACCACCCCAATCAGGAATGTCAGGTGACCATCAGTTGATGGTCAGGCAGTTTTTAACTGTCTCTCTAAAATAATAACTGGTTGCAGCTGGTGCAAGGGGTGAGTCAGTCTCCCAATAGGTAGGAAAAACCTGAAACTGGTGATCAGTGGCTTCCGGATAAGAAGATCTCAGGGCTCACACATGTGCACTAAGAGGCAAAATGGTGGAGTTTAATTGGTATCTGACCTCTAAGGACATTCGGCTGGTAAGGGAAGAATGCCTCAAGTGAGTATGCGTACAACTCCGGTAAACACACTGCGCATGTTCTCCTCCCAAGCACTGACAGGCCACTGCGCAGGCAGACAGCCCACCCCAAGGAAAGAATAAGGGGAGAAGGAACACAAGATCCGGAAGTATGCCAACGTAGAAAACCCCAAGTCAAAAGGTCAAACAGCACATTTGTCTTTCAAGTCACCCACTTGGCCCTCTCCCAAGTGTACTTTCCTTCCTTTTGTTCCTGCTCTAAAGCATTTTAATAAACTTTTACTCCTGCTCTAAAACTTGCCTCGGCCTCTCCTTCTGCCTTATGCCCCCCTCAGCTGAATTCTTTCTTCTGAGGAGGCAAGAATTGAGGTTGCCGCAGGCCTGTATGGATTTGCAGCCGTAACAATACCAAATACAAATTCTCTCAATATTATAAAAGATTCCAGATATCTGGCTGATCAGAATTGTTTAGATACCATCTTGACTTACCTTTTCATACCTCATGTTTTGACTTTTTGGATGCAAGTGGCTCTTGACTTTTTGGAAGCAAGTGGTTCTCTCCTTTTGCATGTTTTATTAGAAATATATAGTGCTAAACAGCATTTTCAACTGGAAAATCATAAGAATAACTCCTGCAGTCTCCACTCTTAACTTTGCATAACCCCTAATCAGTTGCACAATGGGGAGCAGAGCAAAGCTCACACCTGCGGTCTTAAATATGACAAATAATGCTTGAAAGAAAATAATTAAAATATTTTTCCACCTTTCTATTAATGTTTTCACTTAAGTAGTCCCTTTATCCCCCAAGTAAGCCCAAATGCTCACTTTCTAAACCCTGAAGAAAAAAAATCTAGAAAATATAATAGGCACTCATGACACCCACAGAAAATGAACAAAAGCAAAGAATTCAAACAAAGTCCCTTATATTCCATATAGGAATGAGAAAATAGAAAACAGTATTTGTCAAGAGGGCATATAAATCTTCAAGTGTTTGAGGAAAAGCATTTTGGAGAAATAGTATATTCAGAAAATGTTGTGTATGTGTTATTTGGTTAGTTTGGTGTGTTATGACAGCACAAAAAGAGATCGGGCTTCTCCAGGAGTTGCAAAGTGCTCAAGCCATTCACGTGGCTGGTTCCGGCTGCCAGGCCTACATTTGCAATGTAAATTAGCAAGCGGCATGGTGTCTTCAATTGTAGGTGAGCCTTAATAGGCCTGCTGATTGCTTCTTAAGAGTGTGGATTTTGTGCAGAAGAAATTGCTGAATGTTAGGGAACAGAGCATCTCACCAAAAACCCCACAAAGGGCAGAAGTGATTGAGTGTAGAAGAAAAGATTAAGTACACTTTAGTAAGTGATTGTGTTGAAGAAAGAGTTCAGAGTTCTGTCCACTGAAATAAGTCATGGGACACCTGACATGTCTTTCAACAATGCACTCAAGGACACAGAGAGTGTTTTTTGTTTGTTTGTTTGTTTTTTGAGACAGAGTCTCATACTGTCACCCAGGCTGGAGTGCAGTGGCGCGATCTCGGCTCACTGCAAACTCTGCCTCCCGGGTTCACTCGATTCTCCTGCCTCAGCCTCCTGAGTAGCTGGGATTACAGGCGCCCGCCACCATGCCCACCTACTTTTTTGTATTTTTAGTAGAGACGGGGTTTCACTATGTTGGCTAGACTGGTCTCAAACTCCTGACCTTGTGATCCGCCCACCTCGGCCTCCCAAAGTGCTGTGATTACAGGCATGAGCCAATGCGCCCGGCCCCAGAGAATGGTTTTAGAATGTATATAGATCTAGGAAGCACCCAACAACATAAATTTATTTGTGAGTCTATCCCAGGAGGTGTAACTCTAAGAAAAATGTAGGGTCACAGAGGTTGACAGAATATACAAATGGGCATATCTGCAGGAGGGTCAGGTTCATGCACAAGTAGAGATCTGCTTTGAGATAGCAGGCCTGGAATTCAGGTCAAGAGGACTCCTTTTGTCCCAGTGGCAAAGAAAATCATGCCCAAAGGGTAAGTCGATATGTCCTCCACTTCTCATCTATTTGCTTTTGGTTTTATGGGGAACCTAAGGAAATTTGCTATTTTCCTTATATCAGCTCTTTTAGATACTTAAAAATGGTATCTTGCATTGCCTTCTAGTATTAGATTCCTAAGTTTGTACCATAGAAAAGGGTGAGACGAAAATACTCATAACTTTTGCCAGTAATTGAATAAAAGTCTCTAACTAGCTCACCCTATGCTGAGGTTGTTACACAAATATTATCCCAATGTGAAATAGACAGTTTCAGAGGAAAGAGGAAAACGAACACGCATTACAGATAAAAATGAAACTGAAACTGCCTGACTACTGGTACCTGCTCAGTCAATGATCGTCTCTTCCCTTTGCAAAATGAGGGCACATCTGTGCCTATTGCTCACGTTCTTACTCTCCCCACCAAACCACCTATGGGTTGGAAAGATATACTTTAATCTAGAACAGAAAACTAACGTGGATTGCTTTCCCATAGCCTGTACACTTATAAGTATCAGAAATTTCATGTTAACAATTGTTTAGCTTCTCCTTAATCCAAAAGTTCTGGTAACCATGGATCCACAAGCCCCTGTCCCTGCAATGGCCGGGAAGTGAGCAGGCTCATGCGCTGCCCAGTTACCTGAAGTCACCATCCCTCCCTACTGACCTAGCATTGGAATTTCTCCATCGTTCATGCTCCCTTCCTGGCCCGCAAAGTATTTTCCCTGTGATCCAGAGATGTCTACCTACTTCTCTGCACCTTCTCCCACAGACCCTCTCACTCTGTTTTTCCCCCAGGTTTCATGAAATGGGGTTGCAGGGTGACACATAGGATGTTTATCACAAGGTGCCCTTGTGTCCAATATTTGCACCAGGGATAAGGAAGAGGCAATTGAGCAGAGGGAGAGGTCCAGCTGCAATGCAGTCTTGATGTCAGCCTTGACTGACACCACAGAGAATTCTGGAGTTAACATGGCTGTCAGAATCATCCTGCATTTAGCTTTTAGACTCCTGCCTCAATCGGTCTCTGTTTGTGGGTCTCCCTACTGTTCACCACACACCTAGCAGCTAGGAAGACAGGCTTTCCTTGAAGGAACTTTTGGCAGAGCATCTCTGAATGCACCACATCCTGCAAGCCAGTTTGCTGGGTCCTCCTTCCACAAACCCTCCCATCTGAGACAGCATTTAAAAAGTCACTGACAGGGCTGTTCTTTGTTGCATTCTAGCTGTAATCTCTACAACTGCTCTAAGGATCCCACACTTCTGTAGCTCCAGAGGGTAACCAGGATGAACTCCACAGCTGCCCCTCCACACAAGCAGAGTTTTCCAGGATTCCCAAAGTGCATGCTGCTCACAATCCACAGCCAGATAAACTCTGTGCTTATCCTGCTATTGCCTGCCACTCTTCATCACCCCAGTGCTTACTAAGTCTCCTAAAAAAGACCTGCATAGGGATTTTCTGGTAGCATATAAAGGAAAGGATGAGATGTGGAAGAAAAGAACTCCAAATGATTTGACCGAAGTCATTTTGTCCACACAGCACAATTTATCCAAATGGCACAATTAAATCTTGATTGACAATAAAATAAGCCCAGCACTTATTTTTGTATTTGTTTTTCACTTGCTGGTAACTTTAAAAGACATTGTGGGCAGGTTCCCCTGCCCTGAAGTATTCACTATTACAAACAGAGTTGAATAATACATTTTTCAAAGTAGGAGCACCTGAAAAAGAGATCAAATTATTCACAAATAAAATGTTCATCAAAGACACATGAGTGTTACAAATACGAGAAAACACATGATTGATTGACTGATCACCTATTCAATTTGACAGAACTATTTCTGCAAATTTGTTTGCCACTAAATACTCTGCTACAGAATCATTCCAAATGCCACAGATAAAACTGGGCTTGTCTTTATCCCACACTCTAGCACTGAAAACAGGGCTGCTCAAGGTTTTCACCCTGTTATGACAGCTAACTTTAAATCCAAGACTGATGCAATGCAGGTGTAAGCCTGCCTTAGCAATGCCTGTTTGGAATCCACAGTGTTAGAATGTACTATATGCATATATTATACCACTAGAGGGAAGAGGCAGCTGATGGACTTAATTGGGGCACCCCTCTCTAGTTTACCTGTCTCCACCTACTCATTTCTTATCTAACCTGCTTCATGATTTAAGTTACATGTCTGGTCTGTATAAGTTATTTGGGTTTGAATCTTCTGCTACAGATCATTAGTACATAGACACCAGATAATCACAACCATTTAAAAATATTGACACGGCTAAGATTATCCGGACTAAACAATCAAAATCAATGTTGTGAAATGCTCTTGGGGTAAACAGTCAGATGCCACTGGAAGGCAAAACAGGTCAGTTTTTTTAATGGACCAACTGAAGCTACTAGAGGGGGCTCTAAATTATATTTCAATCTGACTAGAACTCAGTATTACTAAAAATACTTCTATTGTCTGACATTCTGATTGTGCTCTGATTCAGGTCATTCACATTTGCGAAGTCAGGGATTTCAATGTGGTTTATGGGGAATTGCATTTCCTGGGAGCTGGCCTGGAAATGTATGATCTAATAAGATCAAGAAGATGAATAGAAGATGTCTTTCTCCTCTGACCTATGCATAACATCATCCGAGTTATAAAGTCATTCATTGGGATGGAAGAATTGGAAACTGGAGCCTTCTAGTCTGGGTGGGTGCATTTGGTCAGGATAATGGGTAAAACTTCTCAAGGCACAAAAGAAAGGTGAAGTCAGGTCTTGATGGAATGATGATGGGAAGAAGAAAGAGACAGGAAGAGAACACACAGAAAGAAAGTGCAAAATGAAAGAAAAGAAATGTACTCAACCTTCATTTCAAACATAAATCCACATTTTCATCATTCTTATGACTTAAACTTTCAGATCTTTTTTCCCAAGTTTAGTAACAATCACTTCCATGTACATTGATTTAGAAATATTTACAGAAATATATTTAGAATAGCAAATCCAATGATCTAAGCTTGAGTATTAATTAAATAAACCTATGCAACTATGCAGTGTATATGTACACAGTACACATTTATATGTGCAAGTTTATTTGATGAGATATTATTTCTTTATATGACATACAGACAGACTGCAGGGGGAAATCACTTTCTAATTAGGATTGAGTCCTTTTGAAATTTACATTTCTAATTAATTATTGTTGATGTTGAGACACCCACATTCAATTATACCGCAATCTGTGACAGAAGATACCTGTTTTCACTCAAATAAATAATAAAACAAAAGTACATAAATTATTGTCTTTCCTAAATTAACAATGACACTAAACTTGAAAAGAAATTAAAAGTCTATAATAATTATTATCACCAATGATTCAGAACCTAGCAGATTTTTCACTAACAGATCTGTTTAACAGACAGAATGAGGACTGGCTGCTTTTGTCAATGAAGATTATCTTATCTCCAATCCATGGAGAATAATGAAATTTTAGGGATATACTTTGTAGATAAAAGAATTTTTGGATTTCCCTCCTGCCCTGAGATGGTCTCCAAAATAAAATATGGTACAAGCTATGAAGCAAAAAGTAGGACAGAGACATCTGAAGACCAATGATGAAAGGTAAAAGTTACAAGGAGGTCTACCTCCGTAGACACAGAAAGAGACCAGTTTATCTTTCAAACTCACTCAGTCTTCCACTACCAGAAGCATATTCCAGGAACAGACTTTTCTCTATGGGTCCATTCTTATTTGGCAATATTAGGCAGTTTCTCGTTTTCTGTACAGTGTTCAACTGCCACTTTACAAGGACAGATTGCACAATGAGAAAAGATGTATGGAGGGTTGTGCACAACCTGGGTGCAATTTCAGGCTGGGTGACAATTTCAGTGCTACACACTTGTGTGAAAAAGCCTTGATATGTTTCCAAGTCCCTGAAAGTTTTTGGCACAGGCTTTTCTGGGCCAGAATCTGAGATAACCCAGTTAGACACCTCCACACACAGAACAAATGGTAAGGTGCATCTGGCATTTATTTAGAGGGAGCCATCATTTAGCTTTAAGCAGAACTATTTGCATGGGGAGGAACAATTCTGGTAGAGTTTATGAACAATCCCCACCATGGCAGTGTACAAATGATCACTGATATTCTCTTGGAAAACAAATCTTTTTTTTTTTTTTTTTTTTTTTTTGAGACAGAGTCTCGCTCTGTCGCTCAGGCAGGAGTGCAGTGGCGCGATTTCGGCTCACTGCAAGCTCCGCCTCCCAGGTTCACACCATTCTCTTGCGTCAGCCTCCCGAGTAGCTGGGCCTACAGGTGCCTGCCACCATGCCCGGCTAATTTGGAAAACAAATCTTATCCACGTAATGGATAACCTAACCTCTCTTTCAGTCATCAGAGTAAATTTTGGTCACTTATTGATGGGTATAATGAATTCATCCAACAGGAGTAACATGTTCATCCTGTTTACTAAATGCCAATTTTAAATTCCAAAGCGATGGTCTAGCATAGGCAAACACTTTCTCTCTCTGGCAATCTTAATGAAGGAAAATAAGAATGAACTAAAGTAAGCATATCCAGATAATTCTTCCAAATGGACCAATCGGAAAGTAACCCCTCCTCTCTTACCTTCAGAGAGAGACTAGAAATGTTACACTGATTGATCTTCCTCCATGTGAAGAGAAATATCAAGATTAGAGAAGAATTATTATTACCCACCTCCCAGCATGAAACAATAAACATATCACCAAATGTGACTTTATTTTGTAACTCAGTAAGCTTTCTAATGAAATCTGACAAATAGAAAAATAAGACAAATGAAGAAATTACAAGTTCAGTGTTTTATCAAAGTAATCAGTAAAAATAATCTACCATGAACAACCCTAGTAGAAACTGTCACCTAAAATACATATGTCAAACTGATTAATAAGAAATTGCTACCTTATTAATTATATAGTATCTGTAAGGGGGACTGGTAGCCTCTTGAAATCTTTCAAGAGCTAATATTATGGGTGATAGATAATGTATATACAAAAAAAATCATCATTTGATTGGTTAACTAATTGATTGATTAGAATCCATTCCACACCTAAAGAGGAGTGAATAAGAGACAATGTCATCTTGAATCTTTTAACCTACCTCAATTGCTAGTACTTTCTAATTATAATAAGCTACCTCGAACTGAGTTTCCAAAGCATCAAAACATCAATAGAGGCTGGGCGCTGTGGCTCATGCCTGTAATCCCAGAACTTTGGGAGGCCGAGGTGGGCAGATCACAGGTCAGGAGATCGAGACCATCCGGGCTAACACGGTGAAACCCCATCTCTACTAAAAACACAAAAAAATTAGCCAGGCGTGGTGGCGGGTGCCTGTAGTCCCAGCTACTTGGGAGGCTGAGCTGTAGTCCCAGCTACTTGGGAGGCTGAGGCAGGAGAATGGGGAGAACCCGGGAGGTGGAGCTTGCAGTAAGCTGAGATCACGTCACTGCACTCCAGCCTGGGCGACAGAGCGAGACACCATCTCAAAAAATAAATAAATAAAATAAATAAATAAATAAATAAATAGAGGAAAAAATGTAGCCCTAATCCATTATTAATCAAAGCTTCTGTTGTTCACTTTCAAATGTATATATGCTTAATTATTCAATTTAAGTTTCAGTATGTTGAAGTAATTATATGGAAGCTTAAGTTAGTCTGCAGACATAGTTCAACCATTGTTAGGAGGAGATATTTATTTTCAATCCGTTAAATTTCTTAACAGATTTTTGGAGTTCTTAAAGAAAAAGTACTGTGCAAACATCAGGTGGGAGAGGAAGTACTATGTTAGTCACTGGGGGATACAAACACCAACAAGACATCCTGACTATAACCCTAACCTAAATCCCAATGTCAACACTGCATTGTTGTGCATAAATATTGCTGAGGAAGAAGACAGGTGCATATCAATAACATTAGCACAATGAGAATCCAAATTAAAAACAGATATTAAAAAGTAAACATAATTTAAAATCATTACCATCAACATGTTAAACGGTTTAGCTATATTACATAGATTTTTAATCCATATAACACAGTATGATACAATAAAGCAGAAAGTAATTATGAATATTTCTCACTCTTTGCCCTACATATACTGAAAAATTGGTGAATATGCATCTTTTGTTTCTAGAAAAATAAAGAGAAACTAGAAAGAGACTAAATATGAGGTTGTGGAACTGAAAGCAGAGTAGACCAATGAAAAGTTTAAGCAAAACATGATTCATGTTTAAGAACGAGACCACTGTCCACACTCTCTGTCTGTCCATGGAAAAAGAGGAAATGGATTTAAATTTTACTATCCACAAAGAATTACTTTAAAACCAACACAGCTTCTTGACTAAAGTGGTAAGAAGGAACTAGATGTTTATATTTCCAATAAACCAAAACATACCATGTGAATTTAAATTTTGAGCTGCTAAAGGTGGGACACGTTTAGTGGAAGCACTTAACTGAGCACTCTTACCAAATCTTCACACAGACATGTAAACAATGGAAATGAAGCAGAGATCAGGCTTCTGCTCTTGTGAACCTGGATTTAACAGAATGTTCTTCTTCAGTATGAATCAGAACTCAGAGTTCTGTTTCCCCAGCACAAAGCAGCATTCCTTTTGTTTGGCAATCAGATAAATCTAAGCCTGTGCTATAGTCTATTAAAATAAAATCATTAAGTGATATTTTTTTCTAAATGTAAGGATTAAAGCTATACTAACATTGATTCAATAAAAAAACTATAATTCAATTTTATCTATAGATTCTGACTTGCATTTTGAAATATTAAAACTAAAGAGAATGCCTTAAAGTACGTAGATTTTCTGTCACCCAGGCTGGTGGGCAGTGGCACAATCATGGCTCACTTCAGCCTCAACCTCCCCACTCAAGCGATCCTCCCACCTCAGCCTCCTGAGTAGCTGGGACTACACGTGTTTGCCACCTGTAGTACGCAGAGTACAATAACAACATGTAGAATACAAAAGAGATTCATTTTAAAAATCATTAAAGAAAATGTAAAATGCCTGGCTAATTTTACATTTTCTTCAATGACTCCTTAAATGAATCTCTTTTGTACTGTGCGTATCGTTTTTTTTTCTTAAGTATCGGTGGAAATTAGTTAAGCTGTAACAACCAGGTAACTAAAGAATAAGGAGATAGAACTAAAGCCCAAAAAATTAGTTGCCAGAAAAACATCTTAGAAATGATTCTACATTATTTCTGCATGACCAAATGCTTTTGTTCTAAAAAAACATCATAGATGAGTACTGTTGCCCCTGTAGACTCATCTGGGTATTAAGACAGTTGTTTTCCTCTCATGATGTTTAATACAGAAAAGCAAATGTTTCATTAAGCACTATCTTTTTCCTACCTGCCTGCCACATGACCTTTGGTCTTGATTAACATAATAATGAATTACATTTATCTCTCTGTGTTCACAAATACACTCTTGGGGCCAATAAAATGGCATATGGCATAATTGAGTCATCTGTTCAGTCATAACTATTATTAGCTAAACACTTTCAGTCTGGTGGAAGTTGACAAGAGTCCATCGTGTTCCCTGGACTCAGGGGTTAAGATGTTACTCTGTTCCTTGTTTTAGGTTTAATTTCATTCAGGTTTTCCTATTTTCTTGATACTATGTACAGTAGCAGTGTCTGCTGTCTAGTGTTAGACTTTTTGTTCCTTTATTTGACTCATGAAAATAACCACAATAAGATATAAAGTGGGATTAGTTCAAAGTGCTTTTTTTAATCAATAAAGGAATGTGTCCATTGAAGGGCTGGTGAAATCTGCCCTTCAATGAAGGTGAAATTTACTCATAAATATTAGCATACCTTCTAGAAATAAACCTGAGAGCTTCATTAAAAGAATGTTAACTATCACATTAAATCTATGTAATAAAATTCTATTCTGCACTAGTTTCAGAACTGAGTAGAGACCAACACCAGGCACATGACAGCGATATTATAGGAAAAGCACAGGATGTACATTGCATTCACTCCGCATAGCGTAGGACCAGTGCCTGGCACATGATATGGGCTCGATAAATAAACAATGAATCAATAATGGAAGGTGACAGAGCAGGAGCACCATCATCTTGGACAAATACCGCCATTTTAAGTTCCAGCTCCCTTTCTAACCTCATGCATTTCAAGGAAATCACTTTTCTTCTAACAACAAGCAGCCAGAAAGAGCACAGTAAAACACAGATAAGATAGCTTGGGCACAGAAGAAGGGGGGAAAGTCTTTTGGGTAATCACCAAACTTCACACTTATACAATGGGCCCAGTAAAACAGTGGGCCCTAATAAGCACATTCCTTTCCCTTTAGGTGCACTCAGATAGGGAAGCTAGCTGGGGTATGCCTGCAGCTGCAGGAAGATATATGGGAACAGACACAAAAACTCTTCCTCTCAGATAAGCAAGACAAAGAGACACAAACTAAAAGTTGGCCTATGTGGTCTAGGAATGGGGTGAAAGCTGATAAAAACTCTTCTCTATACAGACAGCACACGTGGTTGTAACTGAACCATCAGGCCCTAGGAGGATAAGGCATCCCCTCCTCACCAGCCCCTGAACCCTTAAATACCCTCAGTCTATAAGAGAGAAGCTCCTGACCTAATTAGGCCAGAAGCTCCTCTCAGGTTTATTCTCCAAAATAAACCTGTCTTTGACTGTTGAGTTGCTTTTTGTGTTTCTTTCTTCCTTCTTCAACTCTTACAGAAGGGAGTGAAGAAAGGGAGGCCAAGGCAGAGACAGAGATTCAAGGCAAATTCATGTTCTCAGTCTCAGAAGAGAAGATGCCAGGACACAAGTCAGTAAGGCAAGTATCAGATCTTGAACTATCAATCCAAGACAATATGAGGAGCTCGCAGTGTCAAATGTTTCATCAGGAGATACAGTCTCATGCAGAAAGTCTGGGCAAGGGTGACTCAAATTCACTGGGCCATTTCTGGTTGTCTCAGAGCTTTTTAAAAAGAGCAGGCTAAGCCCATTGCTAATTAAGCAGTGGACTCATATGCAAATGTAATGTGTGACAAATGTCTTTCATCTGAGAACTGCAGCAATAAAGTAATTAAAGTGGCTGATTTTTGTATGCTTAGATACTGGGAGACCAACCTGCCTGGGGAATGAATATGCTGATTGTCTTATGGACCAGTGCCTCTAGAAATCCCAGAACTATTTACATGATACCTGATTAAGAGAATGAACGCATCAGACTCTTTAAAATTTATTTTCTAACGGCAGGTCTATGCATCACTTAATCAACACTGACATTTTAAGAGCTTGTCAATAATCATAAAGAAGTTGAGTGAATGCTGAACCTTCAACCAAAGCACTTAGTTTCTCAAACATTTCCATCCAGCAGTCATAAAGTATGGTCCTGGAGACTGAAAGATATGTGTGAGAGAACCCTACAATTTTCCAATATTTTCTTATTCACCTTAAAACTTATGTCAATATTCCATATTCTTCATAACACATCCATTTGAAAGTATAAAAATAACAAAAGGCTATAGGAGTATATGCCATGTTTATTCTCACTTTACATACACTAGTCTCATTTGTGTCTAAAATCAGGGACATTTTTATTTCCATTTTACACTGAGTCATTGGCCATTGCCTATCCTGCCCATTGACAATAAAATTATATGGTTAATTATGAGGAAAACTTCATTGGACTGTATATTGAAGGGGAGCCACTAATTATTTATCAGGCTGTTTGGCATTAAATAGTATATTGTACGTAGTGGATAATGTATAGCTGAGAATAGGGATATGGATATAGATTAGAGGTGCACATTTTGAACGTGCACTGCCTGGCCAAATGTTAAAATAATTATTCAGCCAAAGACAAGTGTATCCATTTCCTATTGCTGCTGTAACCAACTATCAGAACTTAGTGGCTTAAAACTACACAAAACCTTTCTCTTTGTAAAGCTGTGGAGTTCAGGAGTCTGAAATGGGTCTAACTGGCTAAAATAAAGATGTCAGCAGCTCTTTCCAAGACTCTGGGGGATAATGTGGTTTTTTTAATTTTGTTTTGTTTTGTTTTGTTTTTTGCCTTTTCCAATTTCTGGAGACTGTCTGCATTCCTTCACCCAAGCTCTTTACTTCCTCTTCAGTTGCCAGTGAAGTTTGCTCAGGTACTATCACTATGACACTTTTGCCTCCCTCTTTCCCATTTAAGGACACTTTTGACTACATTGAGATCACCCAAAAATAAATCTAATTTTTCTATGGTCAGCTGGTTAGCAAACCTAATTCCATCTGAAATCTTAATCGCCCCTTGCTATTTAACATAACACGGTGGTACCCAAACTTTTTGGCACCAGGGACTGGTTTCGCGGAAGACACTTTTTCCACAGATGGGGAGGGGTTTGGTCTTGGGATGAAACTGTTCCACCTCAGATCATCATCAGGCATTAGATTTTCATAAGGAATGTGTAACTAGATTCTTCGCATGCGTAGTTCACAATAGGGTTCATGCTCCTATGAGAACCTAACGCTGCCACTGATCTGACAGGAGGCGGAGCTCAAGTAGTAATACTCTCTTGCCTGCCACTCACCTCCTGCTGTGCAGCCTGATCCCTACCCCTGATGTAAGATATTAACAGCTTCTGGCAATTGGATGTGGACATCTTTGGGGAGCCCTTAATCTGCCTACTAAACTAAAATTGAAGCTAATATCACCATCATAACTGAATTCCTAGGACACTAGACTAAGTCTATAATTGTATTAAAAAATTCTATTGAGATTTATTGACAGTAATCTATTAGTCAATTTTTTAAAGTTTTTTGTTTTTGTTTTTGTTTTGTTTTTTGAGACAAGGTCTTACTCTGCCACCCAGGCTGGAGTGCAGTGGTACAATCATGGCTCATTGCAGCCTCAATCTCCTGGGCTCAAGTGATCCTTCCACCTCAGCCTCCCAGGCATTATAGCTGGGATTTCAGGCACATGCCATAATGCCCAGCTAATATTTTAATTTTTTGTGTGCAGATAGGGTCTCGCTATGTTGTCCAGGCTGGTCTCAAATTCCTGGGCTCAAGTGATTCTCCCACCTTGACCTCCCAAAGTGTTGGAATTACAAACATAGGCAAGAGCCACCACTCCTGGCCTCAAAAGTTTTACATTACAACACAAAAATATTAATTGCTCTATAAAAAAATTAATAGATGGCCAGGCGCGGTGACTCACACCTATAATCCCAGCACTTTGGGAGGCCAAGGCAGGAAGATCATTTGAGGTCAGGAGCTCAAGACCAGCCTGGCCAACGTGGTGAAATTCTGTCTCTACTAAAAAAAAAAAAAAAAAAAAAATTAGCCGGGCGTGGTGGAGGGCACCTATAAACCCAACTACTCAGAAGGTTTAGGCAGGAGAATTGCTCAAATTTGGGAGGCAGAGGTTGCAGTGAGCCGAGATCACACCACTGCACTCCAGCACTCCAGCCTGGGTGACAGAGTAAGACTCCATCTCAAAAGAAAAACAAAAACAAACAAACAAACAAAAAAACTTGATAGTTTTCTGAAAAGTATCCCATGAGACTTTAGAAGAATTACTGCCAGAAATTTTAAAACAGTAATTAAAAGTTATTTTGTGATATGTAATGAGCAAAAAAATCTCTAAAGCTTAGAACTACAATATCTCATTTTGATTTTTTGCTATATATTTGTATTAATTTTCATAATTAATTGTCACAAGCAAGAGTTAATATTTTTCAGGATTGGCATCACTGGGAAGCTTGAAAGAAATAACAGAATCTTAGAGCCAATCCCCTTGAATTAGATCTTAAGTTTTTACAATATCCCCAGCCAATTTGTGAGCAGAGTCTGAGAAGCACTGATATAGCAAACAGTCTCTTACTTAATATAAACATTTATATTAGCTGTCAATATGTTTCCCTGTTTATTTCAGTGTTTGAATGGCCTTTACTAATGTTTTGGTATATGAAATTAACAACTTTCATAATCATAGTTCTATTTGTTATAATAATAAATACACATTTATACTTCAAATCATTGGTAAGATTTTAATCTATAAAGACAGAAGACATACTGAGTTGCATCTAGAATTCACCTATATTTGAAAGTGGCTATTCAGACATAACCACAGAGCTCAGTGACATGCCCTGTTTCATCACTCAGCTGGGCATGCTGACTGGATGCGAAGGTATCCTAAAACATTTCATAATGGTTGATTATGCACAAATGTAACAATTCTGGGAATTCCATTGAAACAGGCATTTGGTTACTGTGCCGTCCAGAGGCCAAGGATAAAGCCAAAGCTAACAAGTAGATTTTAGCCAACCACTCACCGTGGTTGAAACTGAGCCCTGTGTGTTGAGCTCTGTTACGTGTGCATGTGTGTGGTGGGGTGTACGCGTGCATGACTGCATTAGTGGATTGTATTGTCTTTTACTATTGACTTGGAAAGAAAACAAATCAAAATAAACAATAACAAAAGACTAATCAACATAACACTCTAGGCACTCTTGGGTTGCTTAGTTTAGAATGAATCAAATTCAGTGGGAAACCGCAATTGTCTTTATAGATTTGAGGAAAGGAAAAAGGAGTGAGAAATGTCTATTGAGGCCCTAAGTGGTAAGACTGAGACCTATGTGAAGAAGTTACAGAGGAAGGATTTTTATCCTCATAAGATATAACTTACAACCATCCAAGAAAGCTGTCCAAAGATAAAATGAGCTGCTTGGGGACTTAATGAATTGTCTTCTGCCTTAGGTGTTTAGCTTTAGACAGAGTGCTGGCAGAAGGGATTCAAATTTCATTTGGATGATTAATAATAATAGCTCATATTTGTTGAGCACTCTTAAGAGTGCACTTCCTACAGTGCTAATGCAACTTACAATATTAACTCATTTGCCCACAACAGCTTCTTAAGGTAGGTGCTACTGTTCTTTATTTTAAAAAGAGATATGAAGAAGTTAAAGGACTTAGTCTAAGCAATGAGTGGCAGAAATAGCATTTGAATCCAAGTCCCTCAGATTATAAAGCTATAACATATTGCAAACGAAGCAGGATAGATTTGAGCCCTCATCTTCCCCTCAACTGGAACAATTCTTCCTGGTAATTGGTGTTAAGCATCTTTTAAGAATGATGCTTTACATTTTGACTTTTTCAAGGCATTGAATATTTCTCAATGACAATTTATGTGTGTGTGTGTATATATACGTGTGTGTGTATGTGCATATATATGTAATGAGAGAGAGAGAGAAATTGGGAGGTTGTCACTACCTTCTGTACAGTTATTGACAGGATCAAACAAGTTAATATAAAGCAATTCAAGAGTGAATGGTTTAGAAGAAATTCAGGAAATGTTTGTTGAATGAATGTACAAATGAATGAAATTTCCATTCTTATTAGCCTACCATATAACAGAGCTTTGAAGCTAAGAAAAACTATTTCACTCATTATTTTTAGCTTATATTTCTGAAATGCCACAGAAACTTGTACCTGCGTAAAGTAAGTAAAGGAGGTGGTATAAGGTTTTGTGATCAATATGAAATAGAATTAGCCAGCAGTTCCCACAGCTCTAAAGTGGTCTACCTGTTATTCTAAATTACAATCACAGTAATGGTTTCTGTAAAGAATACATCATCTGCTAGGTCTGGTAAATGCATTCATCCTGATATATATATATATAATAAGTAGTGATGGCATTGTGCCAGATCTAAGTTATCATAGTATAATTAAGAACACTTTGTTTTTTTAGCTGCAATGAAATTATTTTTTGTATAAAAAGGTATATTTGCATTCCTACAGATATAATTATTAAAATAAAGAAAATATTAATATTGACAGATCAAGTACATTTAAAATTCTTAGAAAAAAGCCTTTTTGCCATTCACAGTGGACATGAACAGATGGTGAAGAAAGTTTCAAATTGATCCTGGTAGTTTCTTGCCTTCCTGGTGCCTGGCAGCTGTAGACGGATCTTCTGCCTCCAAGTTTTCCTCATTTTGTTCACCTGTTCCTTCCCTTGCCAAAGATGAAATCCTTCTACAATCTGGTTTCCACCTTTCCTTTTAATTTAATTCATTTTTGAAAATTATTCTCTTTATGGCCTGCAGTAGTAATTTATGCGTTTTACTATTTAGCATTAAGTCCCCTTTTAGATGACAATGGCACCTCTGTTTTGCTTTTTGGAAATTTCCCCTCCCCCAGCCTAAGTGATATTTTTTCATCTATTCCAAAAGTATTCTCATGAACAGCATTCAACCTAGGTCCGACACAGGAATTTTCTGGCCATAGTGATTGGTGTGAGAATGACAAGGCAGGGCCATCAGGACTGTGAAGCAAGACATACTTTTCTACTGGTCCTCAGCCTTGGAGGTGTTAGATGCTGCACAAATCCTGAGAGATGGAGAGAGGTGGCAGAAATGCAAAGAAACTGAGCCCTAGTAATTACAAGATTAACATTTGTGGACAATTTACTATGTGGCAGCCACTTTTCTAAGGACTATAAATATGTAAATGCACAAATTCACTGGTCATAAAAATCAGATTCCCATTTACAGTTGAGGAAACTGAGGCACATAATTTTTAAGAAGTGCCAAAACACATACATTATCAAGTAGCGGAGCTGGAGTTTGAACCTGAAAAGTGTGGCTCCAGGAAGTGTGTTTTGTTCACCACTATCTTCTTCTGCCTTTCCGGGTGTCATAATGTGAGCCCAAAGCTAGTTCTATTGCTGTGATTTTCATTTCACAGAGCTCAAAAATTCCACTAGGACACCTTGAATTGAGTTTGCCATTGTTACTAAAGACCAGATCAGTCTCTTCAGAAACAAACACATCTCTTGTGCTTCTCTCTTCATATTTACTGATGTTAGAAAAAGTCCATTAAATCTATTCTTTCCAGCTGGGTATTTTCTACTGAAATTGCATTTTCCACATGAGGCTACCCTCACACCCTCACACACTCCAGTCTATGAGGCTGCTCCCTACTCTATACTTACTAAACCTACACAAAG
This sequence comes from Homo sapiens, assembly GCF_000001405.40. Lineage (NCBI taxonomy): Eukaryota > Metazoa > Chordata > Mammalia > Primates > Hominidae > Homo > Homo sapiens. The sequence goes on along the minus strand of NC_000002.12, from coordinate 225,450,164 downwards.
GTAGGTTATACAGCATTCTTGACAATGTCGAACTCCTCATTTCTAGTGTCTATGGCATCTGTTTTCTAAATAAACCATATGTCCTTACAGTAAGGATCAAGACCACATATTATCTTTCTCTATCTTTCTCTGATTCCTCAGGAGACATACTACCTAATGATATTTATTATACCTAATAAATACTTATCAGGTGTCAGATTATCAGATACAGGAATGGTGCATAGGAGCTATCTCGTGTATGGCTTATCGGCCGGGTGTGGTGGCTCATGACTGTAATCCCAGCATTTTGGGAGACCGAGGTGAGTGGATCACTTGAGGTCAGGAGTTCGAGACCAGCCTGACCAACATGGTGAAACCCCATCTCTACTAAAAGTACAAAAAAAGCAAAGTTAGCCGGGTGTGGTGGCAGGCACCTATAATCCCAGCTACTTGGGAGGCCGAGGCAAGAGAATCACTTGAACCTGGGAGGCAGAGGTTGCAGTGAGCTGAGATTGTGCCTCTGCACTCCAGCCTGGGCAACAAAGTTAGACTCTGTCTCAAAAAAAAAAAAAAAAAAAAAAAAAGAGAAAGAGAGAGAGAGAGATCTGGTTTCCTTGGGTGAAATGTAGAAAAGGATATTTTAAAATGAAAAATGTAGTTTGAAAAGAATCAATCCAGATTTTGCTTTGTGTTACACACATTTAATGATCTCATATTATCACTCTTCACTGCGGTTTTTGCAATATCAAGAATCAGCTGTCATATTCTTAAATAAATAGTAAAGTTCATTCTTGGAGACAGTACTTCATATCTATCACATTATAAGAGTTCATATTTGCAAAGCTTGTTGAAGTTTACTTTGTGTGGAATATGTGTTGTTTCATTAGAGCTTCAGAATGAACTTGTGAGGTCAGTACTATTACCCTATTATATAGTTAAGGAAAAATACATTCAAGGATAAATGACTCCTAGTGAGTGAACACCTAATATTATGCTGCGAAGCTTTGAAACTTACACTTGAACTCATTCCACTTTTAAATTTTATTATTTTATGACTAGGAGAATATCTACCACTTAGCAGATGCTCAATAAATATATACTTGTTTAACTGACTGTTATCTTAATTATTATAAATATATTCTGTATGATATATTGAATACTACAAGATTCAATGAGGTGCTATACCACACAGACATTTTTTATTGTGTCCAGGAGTTCATCATGCAGTTTGTACAGAAATGCCCCAACATAAACACATCGTGTCCTTTTCGCTCACCAGAGTTGGTGCAGATCTGAATATACACAAACCCATGGGCCATGAATATAAATAAAGATCACCCTTTGCAAACTGGTTTAAAAATTAATAACCTAAACTTAGAACTGCTCATTGAATCTCTCTGGCTAATTTTGATTCTGGAGCATGACAAAGACAATGGCTTGTCACCGTTCAGTGCTTCTAAATAGTAATGATAATTTGAAAGCTTGATAGTTGCAGCTGAAAGTGTGAGCTCTCTGGGGGAAGAGAGGGCCAGCCCTACTGGGAATATTGAAACCTGGATGCAGACAGGCACAGCCACAAGAGATGTAAATACATATATTAAGTTAGTTATAGAAACCAATCATGTAGAATCATTCCTGACCCATAATTTTAGTGTAAGAGATTTCTTTTAGGACATGTTTATTCACATACTTCTTTTTAAATTAATAAGGATGGGCACATTAATTCAGTGATTTCATTAAAAGAGAGGTAGCTGCTTCAATAATCTAGCATCCTTCCCCACTTCCATCCCCTTAATATTTCAGTTTAAATAAATCTCCTCTGTTTCTCTGATTAATTCCCCTGGTCGCTTTCAAGTGTGAAGCTACACAATCACAGCCATGTCACATTCTCCTGATCTGTAATAGTTATTGATGACTATCACTGAATTACAGCTCCTACCCACAAAAGCAGGAGGTGGTGTGTTAATTGGCTGAAAAGATTCCAACTCCTCCACTTGGCCCTCTGTCTCTATTTTTCTTTTTCCACCAAAGTGCTTTCTTTGCTCTGCTTTCAGAGAGCTGGATCTATCACTTACCAGCCATAGCGTCACACTTGTATTTTGCCAGCAGAGCTGAGAAGGCCCATCTCAGGTGGCAACAAACCGGGACAGCTTCCCAGGTTCATTAGCTTTTTCACTGCAAGTTCAATCTTCCTAAATTCCACTTCAAATGGAATCCCCACCTGAGTTCTTTTTAAACTAAAGATCACACCCAAGAACATCAAGAAAATTCACAGAAATTATATTTGTTTGAACAGCTGCTTGGAATTGCTCTCCCTGTAGTCAGAATCTTCTTTTATAATCTCTTGGTCAGGGAGCTATAAGTTCAAATTGCTAATATTGAATTAAGCATAAATGATGCGGTAGAATGTAGAAGACATCAATTTTACCATTCCCTGGCCATTTCTAAGTTCCTTCTAGTTTTAGTGCTTTGAGTATCACATATTTATGTTATTTAATATTTCAACCTCTTCTATTTAATCATTTTGTTTGATTTTTTCATGCATTCTATATTAATTTAAAGAATTGACAGTAGATTTGAGGTTCTAACCTTCAAGTTTAGAATGTACTCAACATTATTCTTATTTATATTTCCTTTTTGGTGCTAGTAGCCTACATCAGGTTTGGGATCTGTAATTCAAATTACTTATTTATAGAAGCTCCATATTGTCTTAATGTAGAACTCTCTCCATCTATATAATAAGCTTGGAGTTTATTTGATATTAGTATCAACTATGTCAAGATGTCTTGGGATTAACAAATCTAATATCATAAATAATGTTAGATATTAGTGAAAATTACAGTAGAAACAAACAAACAAAAACCTCTATGTATTTAACAAAACCTGAGGAAGGGTGCAGTATTGGTTATAAGAATCAAAGAACAATGGGGTCTAATCTAGAGGTAGAAGGGAACAGCTCCACTAGGAAGTATCCTGTTGAGTTTTCTTGTCTCCACCTGGGCTACATATGCAAGGCTGGACCACAGTCTTATTAGACTCCTGGCAGAAGACCCTGCAACTTCTGCTGGAGCCAAGGAAGGTAAGCAGTCTGGTGAGGAACCATCATGAGGCAATTTCTTATCAATCTTGCTCCCCCCACTCATCTTAGGCTATTGATACAGGATTCCCATTAAGTCTATAAAACTGCTTGGCTGTAGTTTAGCTTGGCTTCTCGGTGAAAGAGACACTGTCTGCTTTGTCTTCAGATAGCCTCTCTGGTTGAATTGTCCTGTGGGACTAGAACATGGGGAGCTGACTCCGTGCTGATCTTGCCTTTGCTATCTGTGTAAGTGAAAAACTGTCTGAATCTATTTGGGCTCATTGTCTTTTTACCAGCCAAATTTAACAGGCGCAGTAGTCATCCTTGTGGCCCTGTTAATCACCCTGCTGCTGTTTACAGACTGTTTTACTACTTAGGAAAATTACAGTTGCTTTGAAGTTACACTGTTTTCAATAAATCAATATTACATAATTGGATTTTACAATAAATTGCTAACCACTAAAGATTGTCACCATTTGTAGGTGCCACAGTATGGGGTCTTGCAATTCTAGCCTGTGTTCAGTTAACACTTCCTTCCTCTGTGTTTCTATATAACTTTGTATTTTCATATTCCTTTCTATATAACTTTCATGCAACTTCATAACACTTTCTCATGTTCAACAGAATTGGTAATGCAATTGGTTTTTGGGTTTTTGTTTTGTTTTGTTTTGTTTTTTGCATCTTTTTCCTACCCAGTGCAGTTACTCACCCTGGAGAGTATTTTTTGTTTTAGTACTCCAGATTCAGCAGAGTATAATTAATTCAATGAATGAATGAATGAACAATAGTAACAGCTAATATTCATTTTCTGCTTCCTAATTCCACATATATATATATATATATATATATATATATATATAGAGAGAGAGAGAGAGAGAGAGAGAGAGAGACAGACAGACAGACAGACAGACAGACAGACAGACAGAGAGATGGAGTCTCAGTCTGTTGCCCAGGCTGGAGTGCAGTGGTGCAATCTGGGCTCACTGCAACCTCCGCCTCCCGGGTTCGAATGGTTCTCCTGCCTTAGCCTCCAGAGTAGCTGAGATTACAGGCTTGAACTACCACACCTCTCCAAAGTTCCATACACTTTCTAAGTCATTTAATTACTTAATAATCACAATAACTCTATGAGTTTTACACTAGTTTTACAGTTGAGGAAATTTAGACACAGAAAGGTGATATAGCCCAATATAAGGTTGAATATTATTACTAATAAGTAAATAAACTAATTTTTCAAAAGCTGCAAGGGAAAATGATCATTTTTGGCCTTTTATTTATATATCTATACACTTCTATAGTTAAAATATTTTGAATTTAATTTCTTCTTTGTAATATTTTATAGGACACTCATACTCTAATTCATTCTTAATTTAGCCCAGCACCAAATTGGGCTGCTCAGATTTGATAGTAAGCCTTATTTTTTTAAGCTTCACATTTCTTAAGCTTTACATTTTTAATTTTTTAAAATATATTTTTAAAAGATATCACAGGTCACATAAATCACATCTTAGTGATTCACATTAGAATTTAGTTTTCCCAATATACATAAAATTCAGTATATCTAGTATAAAAAGTGGTCAATTAAGAGAGAAGCACTTGCCTTTTCCAGATGGCACTCTGAAAACTTTGTCATTCTACAATTCTAAGATCTGCTTACTGATTTTATATAAATTCAAATTAAGCATCAGAAATATTAGTGGGTGAGAGCCACTTTTATGTTCAATTGATACTTTGTTATTCTTTAAAAAATTAAAAGAGGAAAATTTTTATGTACTTTAGCATAATTTCCTAAAAAACTTTAGGAAAAGTACATAAAGTACATAATTTTATGTACTTTAGCATAAGTTCCTAAAAAACTTTAGGAAAATTTTTACATACTTTAGGTGAACGTGGTATTTTGGTAAACTTATATACAGAAAATAAGTCAACATTTTGTAGTTAGAGCAGTTGAAACATCTTCTGATTATATGAGTAACCCAAACATGTTTTTAATGTTTCGCCACAGAAAATGTCAGTTACATACCTCTATATTTTTTCCAAACTACAGCACTTTCTGTGGATTAGCTATATAAGCATAGTTAAATGCAAAGCAACATAACTCATAGCCAAGTCAGTAACAGAGAATACGGAATAGTTTTTTCATTCCAAATCTTTTGTGCTGTTAAGGGAAAGGGGGAGAAAAGTGTTTCAGATTTTCAGTATTTCTCTCTTCAATTTTATGAGAGGCACTGATCAATAGCACAAATAAGTGTTATTGTCTTTTAACATGCTATTATATACATTATTAACATTTCCAGAGTAGATTGGAGAAATGTTTTTGTTTCTAAGTTCCCATGATATTTTAGCCTGGTTGGTGGACAAATGGTGAGGAAAGTAATGCTTTTCAAGTTACTACTGGCCAATGATGACTTCAGTGAACTCAGAAATCCACTTCCCTTGCCTTGCCACAATACAAATTCTAGAAATCCTTCATTATCAAAATAAAGAATCATGTCCTTCAAGAAGTTTTCTCCAAGGAAGTTGATTGAACAGATAGTATTCTCTTAATTATGATTTCTACATTTTATATTACTGTGTCACGTCTGTGTGTGTGGTGTGAATGTGTGTGTATATAAACCCAGTAAATCAAATATTTCAGGAATGTATAAATTTATATGCAAATCTTTATGGGAAGATTTAACTTTTCAGAAACACTTCAGTCTGCATCATGATCTTAAATTCCCACTGGAAGCAGTGGAGATACAGATGATGTGTGTACTAAGAGAAAGAAACACTGTACTCAGGGTGAGTGTGGTCATCAGTGCACGTAATTTTACTTGTATTGATTCTGGCCATGTTGGTGTGAATGTTAGACCATATATGTTAAGTTTCTAAAGGAAATGTCAATGCTATAATGAAGACAGAAAACAAATCTCTCTGGGAATCATCGGCTTGTATGGTAATTCTTTCTTAGTTGTTGTCTGCCATTTAAATTTATACAGTTTCAGCCTTCTGAAATAATTCCAAGGTTATCTGAAAAAAATGCAACATGAGCAGATGATTGTCATTATGAATTTAACTCACACCATATGGAAATGCCCATTGAGATCATTTGAATCTAAGTAGCAGCTGCCATCATGGCGTGGCACAAGACCATGCAAAGGAATGTATAAAACTTCTTGGGGGCTGGCAGATCACACAAGGTCAAGAATTTGATCTTTGGAAAAGTATGTCGACTCAATTGGATCTATGGTCAGTGACCATTCCTTATATAAGTCTTGACAGGTGTCTCATAAAACTACTTTACTAGTCCACAGGGAAAGGAGTAACAATTATATGGAACAATTACTATAAAGCTGTTCTTTAGAAGAAAACTCAAAACTTTATGTGTAATATTTGCTTCCAATAAAAAATAATTGGTTTAGTGGTTAATACAGATGTAGTTTACAGGTAGTTTCTTGCTGGTCTAGCTCTATTTTTAATTTAGATGTATGATATTTCCTTTTCTTTTCTTTTTTTTTATTTTAGACAGAGTCTTGCTCTGTTGCCCAGGCTGGACCATATACATACCAGTACCATCATTTTGTACTATGCTTGTGGATTGGTTCAGCTCCAGTACGTAGTATTGATGTGTAAAAGGATCTTGGTTTATATCAGCATTAGAATGTCATTTCACCTGGCAACCTATGTCTGCTCCCAGAGCTGCGTGTCTGGGGTCTTAAACTGTTTCCTGTCCATGCTTCAGGAATGGCAGGAAGAAGAGGAACTCGTGTTTAAGTATCTTAGTAGGTGTTGTCATTCTGCTATCTCATTAATGCCTTACTGTGGGTCTGTCAGATTGGTAATTACCTCAATGTTATAGGTGAAGAAACTGAATCCTAGAAAAGTAATAATTTGCCCAGAGTCAAATTATAATTGGCATTAAATATTAAATAGTTTACAAGTGTGATATGGTTTGGCTGTGTCCCAACCCAAATCTCATCTTGAATTGTAGCTCCCATTATCCCCATGTGTCATGGGAGGCACCCAGTGGAAGGTAATTAAATCATGTGGGCAGGCTTTTCCTGTGCTGTTCTCATGATAGTGAATAAGTCTCATGAGACTGATGGCTTTATAAAAGGCAGTTCCCCTGCACACTCTCTCTTTCCTGCCACCATGTAAGATGTGCCTTTGTTCCTCCTTCACCTTCTGCTATGATTGTGAGGCGTCTCCAGCCATGTGGAACTATGAGTCCATTAAACCTCTTTTTCTGGCCAGGCACGGTGGCGCACGCCCATAATCTCAGCACTTTGTGGGGGCCAAGGCAGGTGGATTACCTGAGATCAGGAGTTCGAGACCAGCCTGACTAATATGGTGAAACCCTATCTCTACTAAAAACACAAAAATTAGCTGGGCGTGGTGGTGTGTGCCTGTAGTCCCAGCTACTCGGGAGCCTGACACAGGAGAACTGCTTGAACCTGGGAGGCAGAGGATGCAGTGAGCCGAGATGGTGCCACTGCACTCCAGCCTGGGCAATAGACAGAGACTCTGTCTCAAAAAATAAATTAATTAATAAAATAAAATAAAATACAAACCTCTTTTTCTTTATAAATTACCATCTCAGGTATTTCTTCATAGAAGTATGAAAATGGACTAACACAAAGTGAGAAATGTGATTTCCAGAAACTCAGACAGGAAATAATGCACATTTTCTTCATCAGTGATTCAAAAAAAGTCAAAGTAGCAATATAAGATATTTGGTGATTTGCCTTCACTGTTTGGTGGCTTCAGATTTTAATAAGCTGATTATTCTTTTCTACACAGTGGTAGAACTACTACTGAAATAGAAAGTGTCTCTTTTTCCTTCTCCAGTGCTTAAACAGGACCTGCCAGTTTTTTCTTTTGTGCCTCTGAATTTTGTATTTTTCCATGGCTAATCAACTACTCCTCCTCACCTAACTCCTGTATTGGAACAAATACGGATTATTTGAAACAGTCTGAAGTCAAGACCTGCTGATTATTTGACTCTTCATGAGAAATTCTCTGAGAAATTGAATGTTAATATAATAAAATTATCAGACAACAACTTTATTTCCACAGACTTGAGAATGCCGCACTGAAGAGCTGGCAGTGTTGACATTTTGGCTTCTGTTATTAATAATGAGGATGGTGATGATGATAGTAGCCATTTATGGAGTGACGACTGTTTACTAGGCACTGAGCTAAGTACAGTACATGGGTATGTATGACATAGGTATTCATGGCATTTCCAATTTATAGATGAGGAAACTGAGCCTTAGAAAAGCTAATGAACTTGTCCAACATTATTTCACTAGTCAGTAGTTGATATGGTTTGGCTCTGTGTCCCCACTCAAATCTTATCTTGAATTGTAATGGAGGGAAGGACCTGGTGGGAGGTGATTGGATCGTGGAGGCAGTTTCTCTCATGCTGTTCTCATGATAGTTAGGGAGTTCTTGTGCAATCTGATGGCTTAAAAGGGGCAGATTCCCCTGCACACTCTCTCTCTCCTGCCGCCTTTTGAAATCGTGCCTTGTTTCTCCTTTGCCTTCCGCCATGATTATAAGTTTCCTGAGGCCTCCCCAGCCCTGCAGAACTGTGAGTCAATTAAATCTCTTTTCTTCATAAATTAGCCAGTCTCATGTAGTATCTTTATAGCAGTGTGAAAATGGACTAATACAGTAGTCTAGCTGGGCTCTAAAATGTGACCATCAGACTTTGAAATTTACATATTATTTGGAAACTGTCTCTTATGTGCCTTTACATGAAATGACCAACCAAGATTTTCATTGTTTTGCCCTTGTTAATTATTAGATTTGGTTTATCATATTAAAGACAGCTATTCTATCATTTTCCCAGTTATATGTCTGAGATTATGCAGAATACATGCAAGTTTTGGAAATGTAGACTATTGTGTAGTATTAGTTCTGTAGAGGGATTCACTGATCTGCAGAGCTTCATGCCTGTGGAATACGTAGCTCTTAAGGACTCAGCCTAGTTCACAGTATTCTCATTACTGCAATCCTTGAGGGCCCAAAGGATGCCACTTATCACAGAGGATGGCCATGACACAATTTGCATCAGAAAAGAGTTATGGTTAGATGGTAATGTAGATCAGTGCACAGAATGTAACTCATAGAGAGCAGCAGTGATCACCAAGGCTCCTTGACACCAGCCTCCATTGACACCAGTGTCTCCATTCTAGACATGGAGACAGCCAGATTTTGTTTGACGTCTCTAAAGCAAGGAGTCTCCCATCTATTATCAGGGCAATTCATCCAATCTGCAGGTTCTCAAAATTCTAGGCAAACTTATTCCTACCCACCAGGAGAGCTGAATCTTTTGACAAACCAGAAGTTAGATAAATTCAATCCAGCATGCTTCACAGCTCAGTTTTCCTTGGACACAGCAATAGCCTATTTTTTTGCTCTTCTCCATACTCTTTTGTCTTTCCTCAAGTCTGTGCTTTATATCAATGCACCTCAATCTCTTTCACTCTCTCCTTGATCTTGTCCTACATTATTCCTCTTGCTCTTAAGTCTTTTTACTCTGCCCTCTCTAACCCATGTTTTACATTAACGAAATCCTCCGTACATTCAGAAGGCTTTATTGAGCATTTATTATTGCTCCTTAGCCTTAAAGAACCACAATGCTTCTCCAAGGAAGTTGTTTTGTTTTGCTTTTTGTGAATATTTGAACACAAACCGTCATATCCCAAAGGTCTTATACATGCTTCACCCTAAATTATTCAGGTAAAACCAGATTTCATAGCATTGTTGAAGTTATCAGCTAATATTTTCACTCTGTCATTCTCTCATTAACTGTTAGTGTTAATTGAAATATCTTCATTTATTCTACCCAGCGCATCCTATGATCTGAAGGTGGAATTAGCATCTCCATGCCTGCAAAATGCTGCTTCCAGGCATTTAGCCTGCTAGCCTCATGTAAAAAAATGGCTGTTTGATAAGGTTTTGCTCTGTGTCCCCACCCAAATCTCTCCTTGAATTGTGATTCCCATAATCCCCACGTGTCAAGTGTGGGACCATGTGGAGGTAATTGAATCATGGGTGTGGTTCCCACATGCTGTTCTAGTGATAATGAGTGAGTCTCACAAGATCTGATGGTTTTATAAGCCTATGGCATTTCCCCTGCTTGCACTCACTCTCTCTCCTGCCACCCTGTGAAGAGGTGCCTCCCCATGATTGTAAGTCTCCTGAGGCCTCCCAGCCATGCAGAACTGTGAGTCAATTAAACGTCTTTTCTTTAAAAATTAGAGTATGGGAGTTCTGTTTCCACTCTATTAAATCTTGCAACTGCAAAAAAATAAAAATAAAAATAAATTACCCAATCTCAGGTATTTCTTCATAGCAGCATGAGAATGAACTATAACACTGTTCCCTTGAGCTTCCTGACATTTGCTTAGCTTCCCTTATTTTCACCCTTCCCCATTTATTGAAGATAGGGAATGTGGGTCACTGTTGTCCCCCTCCACTCCATGTCTTGCCATCATTCTGGACATCTTCAATGTCTCATGAAAACGGACTCATGAAACATTCTTGTCTCTCATTGCCTTGGTGTCCTAATTTCCAAAACATTTGCTTCTATTTAACTTCAGGGACCCACCTCTATGGCTACAGGCTGAAATCTGTAGTGACCCACAACTCTCCACCACTGAAAAAATGAGTTCAGACATCTTATTCTGTAATCACAATTTTCCATCCTTTCAGGACTCTCAGTGACTTTTTCTCTTACTCACGTTCTACTACCTTGTCCATTAATCTCAATGAAACTCCAAATTTTAGGCTTTCTACTTTTTCCCTAACTATGAGGCCATCACTGGCTTAATCCCCTTCTTTATTTGGCTTAGAATCCATGATCTATTTTTTCAACTGTGCTCTTTCCTATATCTTCAACTTCCTTTCCTCAAGTACATCCTTTAAATCCACCTAATGAAAACCCAACCCTTATACACTTGGGTGTCTGCCTTCTTCATAGCCTAACCCAAGATCCTGGGCACTGGTGGATCCTCCACAGTCCCCAAACAGTCCTCAACTGTTACCGCCTCACCCTGCAATATTTACACCAACTTATACCAACTCACATGCAGATGTATGCATCCTCTGACTCCCGCTTTCCCTCCAGCACATCTCACTTACCCGGAACATTCTCCTTTAGTCACACCACTTCTTTGAGTCTCTTAAACACATTATACTTGGGTACTTCTGAGCACTTTTCTTCCTTTGACCTTGAAAACTCTTCTACTCATACTGTAGGTCTTACTTTATGTATTTATTTTCCCAGGAAACCTTGTTTGATACTCTAATTCTGGTTTAGGTGTATGACGTGTGTAATTCCAAAACATATACATCCCCATCATAATTTTTAGTGCAAAAACAAAGGTCAGTGTTAACTAAATCTGTGTTGAATAAATGAGTAGATGAATGAACAAGCAATTTAGATTGTCTTCTTGTTTTACCTCTGGACTTCTGATGATGCTATTTTAAAGATATATACTATCTTTAATTCTTAATTCTTTCATTTGGAAATACAGAAAGATATTATGTAAGTTATTATCTACCAAAACTTCTTGATATTTTTATCTTTGGAAATTAAATCAACGCAAAGTGCTATTGAACAGCAGCAGGCATTTGTCAGTGATTTCACAATACTTGCAGGGCTCAGTGGATGACCCTGTCACCATAATGCCATAGCAGAGGCAATGCACTGTGATGAATGGCAGGATGTGTCTATCTTTGATAAAGCTAAAGCACTTGCCAGACTCTTTTGTTCTGTGGCAGTCTCTTTACACCACTGCAATAGCATTATAAATGTTCCTGAGTTTGTCCATGGCATTACTTGATGTGACAGTTTTTCAGATGAAACTCATCTATACTCATAAAGTTAAATATCTAGAACCAATCAGTGGGAGTTTCAACACATCTACTAGATATGTGGTACTGGGCAGAGCAGAATAAAGTATCCAAGAGACATAAGATAAGACATGAAACTTGCTATTAGGAACATACTCAACATCTAACCTTGTAACAGGAAAACAATCATGTTCCAAGCTATTGTATTTCAGCCATAGGTATATGTTATACTAGTTCAGAGAGAGAGAGAGGGCAAGAATGAGAGTAAGAAAGAGAGAAAGAGAGAGAGAGAGATCATTGTTAGGCAGAGTAACTGGTGAAGCTTTATCATGATCTGGTCTGTGGCTATTTGAATTGATGTCCCCATTCATAAATTGCATATAGAAAGAGAATTGAGATGATAGAATAGATAGAATCATGAACTATGGAGTCAGATGGGGCTAGGTTTGACATGATTTCTGAAACTTACCTGCTGTTTCATGTTGGTCACCTTACTTAGCCTTTCTAAACCTGAGCTTCCTCATCTGAAGGGATGATTAAATCAGATGTTTACGTGAAGCACATAGCCCACTGTTTGAGGCAAGTGAAAGAAGACCTCATTTACACTTGCAGATATGTTGGTTTTATTTTATTTGGCATGGTGGTGGAGAGGTGCCCTTCTTTTCTGAAATGAGTTCAAAATACTACCATGCATTGTGACTTTGTTCCAATTAGTGGCAGGAAGTGAAAACATGAAACAATTGTGATCTACAAGCAGTGTGATCTGAAAGTGGGGAAGGTCATGCAAACATCCCCAGGTATCAGAGCCAGATGAAATGATTTTTACTTGTAGACAGAAATAGCCTAGCTACCTTATAGCTCATGCTGACAAACCTCCTTCAGTATATGGTAATACCAACAGTTCATATCTGTTTTTCTCTTTAGATGATTAAAACACAGGAGCAGAAAGTATCCTTCACAACTGTCATATACTGAGTCCTCCAAAGCTTAAACAGTTATGTGACTGCCATGAAGCCTTTCCACGTGGCTGTGGATGACTACCTGTGATGTGCCCGTGCTCCAGTCCAGCCCACTACCTCTTCAGAAAAGATGGCTGCTTGGTTTTAGAAACTAGACACCAAATAACAAGATTATTCTAATTTATATTGCTTGGGTGCTATATATACATATATATATATATATGATTTGATGAACTGTATTTTCCACTTCATAGCTCAGTTCTCCTTTTCCTTTGAATAATGAATTCCATTTTGACAATTCCTCAGGGTGACTTCTATGGCTACTCAAGCCAAGCCTTGCCCTGGTGGGTATCAAGTCCCTCAGCCCCACCACCAGCTCCCACTTGAAGGAATGAGGCTCTGATATGGCAGAAGTTCAGAGCAGAGTCTTTTCAGCAGGAACAGGACAAAGCCAGAGACAGTGGGAGTGAAGATGGGGACAAAGAAAGCAGAATAATTTTACCTGAGAAGAAACCAGGAGGCTTCTTCTTCTTCTTCTCTCTTTTTTTTTTTTTTTTTTTTGACTATACAGAAGAAAACTATCAGAGTTAGGTTAGAGAGTTGGGTTTGGGGTCAGGTTGTAGCATGTGTTATATTATGGGTTAAATTGTGTCCTCCCCAAAATTAATATGTTGAAGTCTTAACTCCCTGTACCTCAGAATGTGACCTCATGGGGAAATAAGGTCATTGCAATATAATTAGGTAAAATAAGGTCATACTAGAAGAGGGTAGGCCCCTAATCCAATGTGACTGGTGTCGTTATTACAAAGGGAAATTTGGACAGAGACACACATGGGGAAAATGCCAGGTAAAGATGAAACCAGAGATCAGAGTGATGCTTCCACAAACCAAGGAATGCCAGAGATTGTCAGCAAACCATGTCAAGCTAGGGAGGGTCTTCCTCACAAACCCCAGGGACAAACAATGCCAATACCTTGATCTTGAACTTCTCACCTCGAGAATTGTGAGACAATAAATGTTTGTTGTTTAAGCCAATTGGTTTGTGGTACTTTATTAGGGCAGCCCAAGGAAACTGATACATGTTTAAAGATTGTTTGACCTTTATTTTATAGGCAAAAGGAAAGCACAGAAAAAGTCAGGGCAGAGATATGATCTGACCAATTAATCTGGTTTCCATATGTTAAATTGACTAAACGGGGTGTGTAGGGGCTAGACTGGATGGAGTCCACAACACAACTGCAAACTACAGTGTCTGGTGCCTAGTAGGTGATCAATAAATAATTTTATCTTATATTTCCTAGTTCTTAATATCTGACATAGTTCTTGCATCACATTTAATGATTGCAACCACCCCATAAGGGAGATAGTATATCTCGTTTACAAATGAGCAAATTGATGTTGAAGAATGGTGAGAGATGGAGCCAAAAATTAAATCCAGATTTGTCTGTTTCCAGGGCCCAAGTTCTTTACTACTAGCATTCATGATCATGTAGTAAATATATGTTTAATAACTAGGTGAATGCATGTGGATGCTTGTGTTTGCATTCATGTGCATAAATATGACTGAGAAATAAAGCCAAAAAGAGTAACTGCTATAATATAAATTCATCCCTTCAGGTTACTGAAGTGGATATTTTACAGGGAAATTAATTAGAAAAAGAAATACCAATATGTAGAAAATTCATAAGCATTTTAATAATTAGGAATGATACACAATTTATTCTGCTCAAGGAAAACTAAATTAAGAAGCAGACTGTAGATACAGGCATGAGGAGATTTGAAATATTGAGTATTGGACCAGTCAAGTCAAATTAAAAACTTAAGCCAATTTAACCTCCACTTTGATGACTTCTTTTGAAGTCTTTAACTGATGTGTGAAAGATCATTTGACTCTCAAGAGTTTCCATTTCAACTCACTTTCATTTGTATTTATAACACGGGCACAGTTGAGTTTCAGTAGACTTATATTTTTTATCTCTTTATATGGGTCACTTTCTGTTTCTTACCCGATTCTTTACTGCCTTATGTATTCAATAAAATAAAATGATGCCTTTATTCATGTATGCCTTTGCTTAATTTACTTTCTATGCTTATTTGATTATTCAAGAACTTTGAGGGCAAATAGCAACTGTCTGGGATATAAATTCAGAGGAGAAGTGTCACCGAAAAAAGCAAAACACACAAAAGATCATGTTTATAAAAGGCCAATAAGGAAGTCACAAAATGGGTCAAAATGCAGGAAGAGTAGTACCATGAGATAAAATAAACTTTTTATATATCAGGACACTTTTCAGGCTTGGCTAGGAAAACACACTCAGCTAGTTGCACAATAGCTTTCAAGAACTATAATGTTCTTCTTAATAAAGGATTAATTCAGCATTGAGGTATTCGACAAGTCTAATCATATATGATGTATTTGACAAGTCTAATTATATATATATCAAGTTGCCTTTTAAACATACCTGTATCAGTTTTACACATGTGTGTACACACACACGTGTATATATAAAATGGTGGTGTGATTCACTTAATGAAACGTGTCCAACACATTAAATGATAATATAGAAACATGTATCATCTACAACAATGGCACTGTCCATGTATTTCTGTATTATGAAATAAGACAGTGTACAGTCTTCAGAGGAGAAAGTTCACAGAGAAAATGCATTATTAGGACATACCAGCTGGTGTTATGCAGCACCTCCAAGTTCATGCTATACGTTCCAGTGCCCACTAATAACATGGGCACAGAGTGGACAATCAATCGATCAGTATCAGTTGAATGCATGAACATTTTCAAAAAACTGCTTCTCTCTTCATGAAAATTCAAAGAATTAATTTTCAAGCCTCTACTTTTAATTGCACAAGTGTCAAACTTCTAAACTCTAAGAACAGCCAGTTCTTGTCCCCCAATACTGAAATTTGTGCTAGAATTTTATGAAAGAAATAGGTTTGTTTCCTTCATTTACACGTGGAAAAGCTGGTGCTACTGTGGCTGTGGGCTGACAGAAATGTTTAAGCAGCTTTGAAGCCCCCTAGGATGCTGCTGTACTGGAGGGCAGAGGGGCAGTTGTCTCTGACGCCGCTGGACAGCTCCCAATCTTACCTATTGCAGCTCCAGAGTACTGGTCTGTCTTTACGCTGTGTCATTTACATCACAGACAACCTTGCTAGGTTCTCCTTCCTAACTCTTCTGAAGGTAACACAAAGAGCTTTTCTCTTCAATATTCACACAAACCCTCCCTTACTACTGAATAGAAGAAACTCATGGGCAGTTGTGATGATAGATCTTTTTATTAAAATATAGTGGTCCCTGGTTTGGTAATTATAGAGATACATGCCATTCCAAATCATTTTATTCACATTCCATTTTACATCCCCTAAATACTGATATTTGCAAAATACAGCTTAATGAAACACCTGATGTTTTATCACTTCAACTGCTTGACTCTAATAATTCTTTTTTTTTTTTTTTTTTTTTTTTGAGACGGAGTCTCGCTCTGTCGCCCAGGCTGGAGCGCAGTGGCGCGATCTCGGCTCACTGCGAGCTCCGCCTCCCGGGTTCACGCCATTCTCCTGCCTCAGCCTCCTGAGTAGCTGGGACTACAGGCGCCCGCCATCACGCCCAACTAATTTTTTTAAATCATTTACTCAGGACTATTTAAAAATATTTGAAGACCATTAAATCACTTAGTTTTGGAACTTCCCTACTCTACTCATACAAACTAAAATAGACATACATATCACTTAATATCATATTTTGCTATATATATTTTAAATTTTTTTTTAAATTTGCCCTTTAAAAATTTGACTATACATTTCTTGTTTAATTTATGGTTACCTATAAATTTTTTCGGCAAATATACATACGCCAGGATTTTGGCAAAGGGAGGAAATTCAGTGAAAATATTGTTTTCCAAACAAATTGCTTTTTTTTTTTTTAAACAGATAGGGTCTCACTACTTTGCACAGGCTGGAGTGCAGTAACAGGCACGATCTTGGCATATTGCAGCTTTGAACTCCTGGGCTCAAGTGATCCTCCTGTCTTAGCCTCCTGAGTAAGCTGGGACTACAGGCATGCACTACTGCACCCAGCTAAAATGGCTTTCTTAGTGAATACATAATTAGACAATTAATGAAGTTGGTATACTTACAATAAGTATTTAATGAAATATTAATTACATTACATTTTATAGGTTTTTTTAAAAAAGTATTTTCGAACCAATAATTCAAGATGCTCAACCAATATTCATTTCCTTGCTGAGCTAAAAACTATACTTCCCAACATCCCTTACAGCTAGGCATAGTCATGTGACCCAGCCAGGGCATATGGTTTATGAGTGAAAGGGAAGTGTACAATTTTTGATCATACTGCAGAATAAAGGAACCTGCCTCCCCTTCCCCCTACTTGACCGCTAAAATATGTATGCCAGAAGGAGATGGAGCAGCCTTTTTAGATCACAAGAGGGAATTTGTATGGAGAAGACAGGTGAGAAAAATATGAAGGAGTCAGAACCTAAAACATGGTGGAGATGCCATATCAGTCCTGGACCGGTTATGCTTAGACTATCACACAGAGAAGGGAGGGAAGAGTCTTTTACTTTACTTAAGTCAAGGTTATTTTTTCCTTTGTTACAACAGTTGAATTGGCATCCTAGGTGGTATTTTGGAAAGTACAGAGCAGAATTAGATATAACTCCAGCTCTCAAGATGTTCTGGTAGGGGAGATATCTATATAGCCATATATATTTATATAAGCAATTTATCTAAATATAAATTTACATATAGCTATATAAATATACCTATATCTCTCTATTTATATATATTTATATAGCTATATAATAGATATACACACATATATACATAAATTTATATATATAAAGTTGATTTTATTTACACTGCCTTTTCTATCAAATCTGAACATATATATATAACACAGTACAAATGTACATATAATATCCCTGATCAGTCACCACAGTCAAGAGCTTTAAAACCTATCATTGCTGGCCGGGTACGGTGGCTCACGCCTGTAATCCCAGCACTTTGGGAGGCTAAAGCGGGTGGATCACGAGGTCAGGAGATCAAGACCATCCTGGCTAACACGGTTGAAACCCCGTCTCTCCTAAAAATACCAAAAAAAAAAAAAAAAAAAAAAATTAGGCGGGCGTGGTGGCAGGCATGTGTAGGCCTGTAGTCCCAGCTACTAGGGAGGCTAAGCCAGGAGAATGGCATGAACCTGGGAGACGGAGCTTGCAGTGAGCCGAGAGCGTGCCACTGCACTCCGGCCTGGGTGACAGAGCGAGACTCCATCTCAAAACAAACAAACAAACAACAAAAAAAACCCTATCATTGTTATAAATTATATGGCCACACACACTCTTGCAGTATAAAATTATAAAATTATTATTTTGTCACACGTCATGTAAGTCTGATGACTTTGCTCATTGATAGGAACTTTTGGTCAACCCTTCCCATGTTCAATTCCTCAACATTTCTGTGTTCACAGTAGATGGAACATGGCTTGCCTTATAAGTGGACTTCTTAATGCATAAATGCATTTTGCTAATGAGTTCCCGGAACATGCTAATGACATTTTGTTCTGGATCATTTCCAAAGTGGTTGCAAGCAAACAAGCTCATTTAAGAGAAAAAGAGAGAGAGAGAGAGTTCAGAGGAAGACATTTATTCAATGACTGTTAACTAAAAACATTTGCACATAAATGTGATTACTTGAGAAATTGCATCAGTCTGATTGACTGACATTGGAAATTTAAAATAGACTCCCTTGAAGTTCAAAGCTTTACCACAAATCACAAGAATCATTAATTACCCTACACAGGATCTTGGGAGTTGCCTGTTTGTAAAATCTGCTGCCTTTATGTTCAAAAAGCTTAAACTAGATAAGCAGAGTCCCAAAAAACAACTAGAAAATGGAATTTTGTTAATTAAAACAATATGTAAACGGAAAGTCTGAAAGAATGCCAACGGTCTACCGTTTGTTGATGAGGTATGATTTCTCTACAACAGCAGCATATGGAGATCACGTAACTGTGATGTATTTGATCCAAGTGGATTAAAATACTAGTCTGGCATTTGAAATAACTTCTGAAAAATACAGAGTTACTATAGTTTCATCATAATTTTCAAGAAATAGAATTGATATGTACCACAGAATTTATTTTATTTTATCATTTTATTTTTTAGAGATATTTGAACATGTTTAATGTAAGTCAAACCAATCTAAATGATGTAATAATTTGGAGAATATGTGAACAAGCTCTTTTTTGGCCACTAAATTTTTACATCTTTCCTTCTCTCTGAATGTACATTTTCATTGCCCAATCCTCAATTTAATCATTTACTTTTTTATTTTTTAAATTGACAGATAAAATTAAATGCATTTGTTGTGTAAGACATGATATTTTGAAGTCTATATACACTGTGGAATGACTAAATCTAGCCAATTAACTTATGCATTACCTCACATGTTCCATCACAGAGTTTAACATCTGTTTTTGTTTTGTTTGCTGTATTTTCCTATTTATGTCTGTATTTTTCTTTGTTTTTGGTTTTAATAAAAAAAAAATAGCATTCTAGTTAGGGCACTGCCTCTTGGGTTCAAATCCCTGATGTATTGATTAATAACTGAGCACTTGGGCCTCAGTTTCCTTATCTGTAGACTGGAGTTAATAATAGTAACTAATTCATAGTGTGGTGGGGTGTGAGTTAATATATGCAATGCACTTTGTACAGTGGCAGGCACTTTGTCAGTGTGTGGTAGATGTTAGTGGTATCATCCACCATAACAGAAGCAGCTAGCAAATTGAATATCTGATACATGAATAGATCACTTTTCACCTAATAAATAACTTTGATGCTATTAAAATAATGGCTAAGAAAATAATATCCCCTCATAAATTGAAGAAGGGAATCTAAAAAACATGGGCAGATTCCAATAATTTGTGCTGTAGACATGTCTGATTATTCTATATTTGGAAAGGCTTCATGTTATTCATGTTCTAAGATTTTGATGGGGGAAATTAATAAGGTCCTGGACATCGAAAAACATTTTTATCCAGTCATGGTGAGTTCAATAGAAAGGATTATTTTGAGAAAATCTAAGTTGGCAAATAAACCTTTAATCATTGTATTCTACATCTAAAAGAAGAAAAATAAGGGAGACAAAGAAGAAGAGAGGAAGAGAAAGAGAGAGAGAGAGATAAATATGAGTGAATAGATTTTAAAAAAGCAGAGAGTTGCAGGAATCAGAATAATCCAGAGTTTATCAGTTTACGCTGACACATTTTCCTGGCAAAGGCCCTGACTGTAGGCAGAGTCACATGACCAGGAGGCTGTGTGTGTGTCTGCTTAAGAGCCCGTGAAGCTCTTTGGCTCCAAACTAGCATGTGCACCATGTGACGCTGGGGTTGCCATGGTAAGTACATAGTGTGCAACTGATGCTTTTTTTCCTGATATGCTGCTCTATCATAGATGCACCAGAATTCAAATTAATACTAAAAAGAAAATGACTGCAAGAGGAAGCTTTATGGAGCCTTGGTTAAATATTCAGCACTTACGCATGGGCTTACCCTAGATTCTGCAAACATATGTGCTATATCTATCATTTTTCCTCAAATATAATTTATCTTAAAATAGTCAATGGATTATCAGTATACAATTAAATAAATATATTAACCTCAGTTTTATTGTTTTCTCTTTTGCTATGCAAAAAAGTTTCATTTTACAGTGAGATTTTTAGCTACCTGAATATTATTGATTTCAAAAGAAAATGATTTTTCTTTGTTCTTCAAAATATTCCCATGCAAAATGCCAGAGACATTGCAAGGAATTCCAGGTATACTGAACTTTGTGAAAATCTGAAGACACTATTACGGATCCGATGTGAAAGCTGTCCCAAGTACCAGTTTGTGGCTTTGGAAACTTTCAAGTGCTCAGAAGGTCCTCTTGGTTATCCAGTATCACTATGCAACATGCAAGCTTAGCATTTGAATTGTGAATTTGGAATCCTGCTGTGGTTTCTTTTGTGGTCTGCCAGATTTGATTCATATACAAGAAACTGATGGGCAGGTCATTATTTGTCCCTAAATCCCCCCTCGACACCCCCAGCCAAATAACGCATTATTTCTTATTCTCTCTTTCCTTTTTCATAACTGTTCTTGGGAGTCAGATACATCTGAGCTTTACCTTAATTCTGCCACTGGCTAATGATATGATTTTGGAGAATTTCTTAAAGTCTCTAAGACTCAGCTTAAATAAAACAAATGATAGAACCTGCCTCATGGAAATATTATCTGGATTAAACAGATGTCACATGTAAAGAATTTATAGGATATGTTATATAATAAGCACTAAATCAATGTCATCAGTTATTATGGTCTCTTTATGGTTACTTACATTTTTCTCTCTTACATAATGCAAATTTTTAAAAACTAGCTGTCCCAGAACTTTAAGAATTTCCAGAGATGTTCTTGAAGTTTTACTGTGTATGTGGATCAATAATCCAAAGAACTCAACCACAGATTCAATTCTAAAGCCCAGTTTCCTGATGCTTTCCCAGGAATCACGTTTGGGAAGGCCAGAATACACAGAAATCTCTTCCAAAGAATTGGCCTAGGTGATGACAATTAGGTCAACAAAATGAATGGATAGAGTAGTAGCAGGTGTTTGAAAGCTATGAACTGCAGGCCAAATCTGGCTTGTCACCTGTCTTTGTAAATAAAGTTTTATTGAAACACTGCCACACTCATTCATTTAAGTAGCCTTGAGGGCAATTTCATGCTACAACAGCAGAACTGGGTAGTTGCCTTATGGTACAAATGCCCAAAATAATCAAATTATTACTATCTGAAAATATTTGCTGAGCTATGGACTAGAGGGTACCTGAGTAGGAAAACACAGGAAGTGGGAGGAAGATTTTAAAGAGCAGAGCTGCCAAATGATATTCAGAACTCAAGTTTCAAGTAATCTTTCCAGGTTTCCCCTGGATTCCTATATTGAAAAAGAACTCAAAGGCCAGCAGGGAAGAAAGGGCAATAATCAACTATGACTGGGACAAAAATGAATATTTTAAATTATAAATGACAATAAACTTCATTGATTCTTTTCTTCCTAAGAAGGGAGAATGCTTTCTTACTAGGTCAGCCCAGGGACCTACTCTCTCGTACAGAGTTCAGATATCTTTCAAAGACTGAAAGAGGAAAAATCAACCCCTTTTGCATACCCATCAGATCCTCCAAATCCAGAAATGTTACCTTGATCTGCACAATAATGAGCTTAACCAGAGAGAGAAGTAGAGAGAGGGAAGACTGGGTTGGCTGGTATGGGGACTCTTAGGAGTTTATAGGAGGAAGGAGAGTCATTGTTTTTTAGGTTTTTTGTTTTGGAATAAAATGCTCCTTTGGGTATTCTTCCAGAGACACCAGCAAAGATCTGAATCACTTTACAAATCTTCCAGGTTATTAGATTCTCATTTGTTCAAAAGGGATTCTGTGCCAGATCTGGCCATTATTTGGCTCACTTTTAATTTTATGCATGGAAAGAAAATGATTAGAGGAGATGCATTAAACTCAGAATAGAATTATGTAGATTATGTAAAGAATGCTAGTAGACCAAAATAAGAGATAGCAAGCAATAGTGCCTGTGAAGACCAGAGAAGGTTTCAGTGAGATACCACTTGGGCTGAGTCCTGAAGGAGCCACAGGGACTTGGACAGGGAAGGAGCCACACGGGTGGTGAATGATGGAAAGGACACAGACGTGAGCAGAGGCTAAACTTGCAGGAGGACTACACATTCTCTACGGCTGGAGAGCAGTGACCCGTCCAGCAATACTGATGATCTATTTAGTCCTCACTACAATCTGTCAAGACGGACATTGGGATTGTGATTGTCACAGACGAGGAAACTGTGATATTAAAAGGAAAAATGTATTTGACTAAAATTACACAGTTTGATGAAGTGTCATTATTTGTATCTCACTTAGTATCACATTAAGAAAATTGTCCCTTTTGTGGACAATCACTGGGATGTTAAATTCTGGAGGGTGACTATTTGAGGTAAGATTGAATAGTTACCCAATCTGAATATTCCCTAACATTTCTCCATCTATTTTGGAGTTGCATGGATAAACTTTAAGGATGACAGGCAGCTTTTCTGCTCAGAGGTCATTAGGAGGTTTTCAAACTTTCCATTTTTCTTACACAAAGATTCTAGGTTTGATTGCCCAACTGATTCCTATGTCCAATAAAAATCTAAACTAAACAGAATAATTTTGGTTGGAACTAGTCTTATTTTTCTTTTAAATTTAGCAATGACTTGCTATATGACCACAGGTAACTCACTTTTCCTGTTTGGATGACATTACATTTTAATCCAAATCTGAGAAAAACTGTAAAATACGGGATTAGTTACCGGCTCAGGGCCACTCTTTATTTCACAGTCTTCTTGCTGCTTCTATTTTCCCTTAAAACTGCAGTGCTCTCTCACCTATTATGTGGAGTGGGCCTAATAAAATCACTCATAGTCAGGCAGAAGTGACTAATAATCATCAAACTGTACTAATATGTTATCTCTTCGCTTGTCTTATTAAAAGTGAACAAATATGCAAGCCAAAAGAATCGTTTCATACTTTGGGGATTTATGGCTTTAAGCATTTCAAGAGAGGTATTTTCTCAGGGTAAGGGTTGAGTAAGCACTTCCTCAAATTACACCACACGACTAGCTTCCTATTCATTCATTAATAAAATCTCAGGATATCAATCATTGAATCAATCACTCAGATATACTTATTGAGTGTCCCCTGTTCCAAGTGCAGTGGATGAGCAAAGCGAGTTCCTGCCCTCATGTTGTGGGTACGTTAGTGGATAAGAGTTCACACTGACTTAGCACTTACCGTGGATTCTCTTTTATGTTTTCATTGAGTCTAAAGTCATTTATTTCTTACAACATCCTAATCTGTAGGTACTGATATTACATGGAGAAAACTGCAGCCCAGTGAGTCTGAGTAATTTGTCCGTAATCACACAGCGAGGAAGAATGAGGGTAAAATGTGGCTTGGAAGGAAGTCTGACTCTACAGATCCCACTGCTACATTATATTATAGATTGAGGTGAAAATATTAAGTAGAATTTTTAAAAAAAAAAAAGAAAAGAGAAAGAAAGCAAAGTATAACATGTAACTAATTTTCTAGGGGATGTTATAATTTTTAAATTTCAATTATCAAGAATTAATTCCTGTCAAACTACGTCTTTATTTTTTTCATCTTGATGTTTCTCACTGTAATGAATTTAAACTTGAGCTTACCCTTAACTATTCCTCTCCCCCTTCATTTATTTCTTTCTTTTTCTCTCTCTCATACAATGACACACTAATTCTTTTTCACAATCCAGTCATCAAACTGAAAATAATACACTTATATGACATGTATGTCCAATTAGTACAGTTTCATTACTTAAACAAAGGAGTTTCCCTTGAAAAACTCTTCATTAATGTGCCTGCTAAAATCTATTATAATAAAACCCTTGGTGGTTGTATAAAATCCTAAAGTAATTCTAAAAATACAAATATTTATTTCTCTTCGATTATTCTCTGCACAACAGTCGTTTCCATCCTACCACAGGGAAAAAGAAGTGTATTTTTAAACATATTAGATAGGTCTCTTAGAAAAGTCCATTTTCAAACAGAAACTCAACAATAGAAAGGCCTCTTTAATTTCCCCTTCACATTAAGTTTCCCATTCCAAGTGTGTGTCAAGAATTTAATTGCAGCATGAAATTAGCCAGTTATAAAATACCGTACTTGTGCCCTTGCCTTCTAAAGCAGAATGCACTAAATAATTTGCTTAATGGCCTCTAACATGAGACCTCAATTTAATAACCAGAGTGCCCTTACTTGTTGGATAAATTCCTAGTGAGATATGCTCTGTGTGTAATCCATCAAAACATCAATAGATCAAACACACACACAGTCACACACACAGAAACTAAAAGAAAAATATAAATGCTGATATGCCAAGCTGACTAGTTTAAAACGAACCAGGCTGGCAGATGGCTGTACCTTTTATAGGAATGCACCTGATTCCTTCTCTTGTAGCTGTGTGAGCAATACCCTCAAGGACTCAACGGTGGGAGATTACATGGCCAGTCCACAGACATGAGTGTGCTAGGGACCTTAAATGTTTCTGTCTCCTTTTTCTGAAAGCTCTATTTCTTTTTTTAAAAAAAATAAGTTTCTATAGTTGAGGTTGCCAAAAGGTTGGCTTCTAGAAAACCAATGTTTCTATAATGATTATGTGTCAGTTTAGACATACCACTTTCAATATGATGGAAACGAACTCAATCTTTTTTTATATACTTCATAGAACTACACAGATTTCTTTTCCCGATTACTTCTAACAAGCATTTTGCAAACTTATTAGTTCAGAGACTAGAGAAGATGGAAACAAAATCTGGCTGTTTAGTGAACGGGCTAACATTTCTTGACCTATAATCTCCCTTTTTACTTTAGTTTATATTGAATTTATATCCACATATTGCTTTAGATTTATGAGAACTAAGTCAATGAGAGTAGCAGAAGACAATAGAATAAATATAAAATAAATTAAAAAAACAGAGGAAATTACAATTTGAGGGAATTCCAAAACCTTCATATTGACTTTTTGACTTTGTAGTTCAGATGGGTAAATATAGGTAAATGCATTGCTAAACCAGTGCATTTATGGCATTTATAGTGAAGATATTGAAATGTAAGGACTTGATAAAAATAATACTAGATCATAACTCTGGGACTTTAGGTCTCAAAAGCCAATATTAAAAAAAATTTAAAATTTCTATGTTAATTTATGAGCTAAGTAAAATGGATGACTCTTCTTACAGTACTTAGAAGTGTTGTGCTACATTACTTATTAAGTTATTTGCTTTGCTCAGAGATGATAATTAGAGTTCAAATAAAACAAATTGAAGCTGGAGAATATTAAAAGAAAGTAAGCAGATGAGATTGATTAATTTGACTTACTTATACCTCAGAAGAAAAATAATTTGATAAAAACTTAAATTTTAATTAGTTCATTGTCCTGCTATCACATTTGTTACAAAATAACATATTCTTGGTTCACTTTTTAAAATCTACGTTAATTAATTTGAAAGAGTTGAGAGAGACTCTCTTTTTCACCAAAGTTTAGATATGAATGTAAACAAAATAAAATAAAATGTCATCTTTGAGATATTCAGTCTCAATCTTGAATTCATGATATTACATTTCATCAGGTATCTTAGGGACTGTGTTATCAACATGAGAAATAAAGTATCTCTGCATCTTTATCTTAGAAAATTTCATAAAAAGATCATATATTTCCATCACTGATAATACCTTCATGATGCAGGTATTAAAAAGGTGAGGTTTTTATTAACTAAATTGACTGCTCAAGGAGTTGAAACTAGTGAATGTATCTATTATGTACTATTTCTTGTCTGCCAGAATACGTTGCATTCTTATCAGCAACTAACAAGAGTTGCTAGTTGGCACATGGAGATAGTTTTATTGTGCTGTATCAGGTTGAGCATTATGAGCCTGTCACTAAAATAGGGTTTTATCTATGTGACTGAGGTAACATAACATGCATGCATTATTAAAGCACATCATTAAAAAATAAACATGCATACACTTGTCTAGGCGAACACCAGGCCACAATATGAGAGATCTGTTTATTCCTCCACATGTTCACTGAGGCCATTTCATTTTTTTCCCAAGTTATAGTTCCTAGAATAGTTCATACATGCCATCAAGCCTGAATTGAACTCTTGATTCAATTCTGGGGTGACAGAGGTCAGGCTGTTTTCATGTTAACTAAATCACAGTCTGTCTCAAACCAAGATGGCCAATTGTGTTAAATTAAAGATAGAGGTTCTTTGCTGAAGGCAGCTTACACAGGGGGCTGTGTTGACACCTCTAAGCTGACTTTCTTTTAGAATTCTAAGTCACATTGAAATAGAATGACTTGGATAGACAGGGTCACTGCATTAATGACAAATCCACAAGCCGCATGGCATTCCTTCCTAAAACCCAATACCATCCTAATCTTTCATTCCTCTTCTTTAATGCAATCATATAACTGCAGAGGCTTCGTGTTTTCACCTCAATCCAAAATGCTCTCTTATATGCACCATCTCTCCTTGGAGACTTCTAATCTTGTAAGAAGTGATAGAATACTTTCCCTTCCACTATAGGCTCAGAAGCAAGTGCTTTTATTTTCTGGTATGTGTGACACTGATTGACTTCTTTAGAAAACTCATATGGTGTCAACTCAAACCAGAGTATCAGAAAGCCATATTTTATAGTGTCTTTTAATAACATCTGTTTATAATAATGAGAGCTTCTGATAGCTAGCCATTGGGAAGAATACTAGTCATAGTATCTATCATTAAAAAGAATCGTTCACGATTAGAAACCAGACTAAGATGCTGTCATTAAAATATTCATGGAAGCGTTCTGTTACTTTGTTTCCTTTTCTCCTTTATTCTCCTTGTCTCGTGCCTGAGAGTTTCCACCTGAAGGATATCTCTACACTACAGTGATGCCCTCATCTGACTTTGCAAATTTTGTATTGACTATACTTTTTTCCAGTTGTATTTTTAGCTGACACTGTTGGTAATGGTGTGTAGTTGAATTACTCCCTGCCAGTCTTTTTTTTTAATAATAGATCGGTTCACAGCGTCCTTGCCTATTGCTTATCTCTCCAGTTATCTGTCCTTTTTTGCTGTTGCTGGTGGTGTTCATTCAGACAGACATTATTCTTCCCTTTTACCTGTTTATTCCAGTCTAACCCTCTGAAAAAAATTTGTCATGAGTCAGGAGAAATTCCTCATGGCATGTATTATTGGTATTTGTGATTTGACTGGCAGCCGACTGACACTTAGAGAACAATTTATCTACCTGAATTGGACTAGACATCACTAATGCACATGGCAGATTGATTGCACAGCTTCAGTGGATGTATTCTTTATTAATGAGATTCAGTATGATTTGCTAAAAAGCCTTTTACTGGGTAGTCATTTTCCTTCCCCCTTCCCGATCTCTCTTTATCCCATTTAATCTGTTGAACCATGTACCATGTTTTGAAAATGTGTTCCTCTCCTTTACTTTTATTTGAAATACCCAGACATTTTAAGTAATTGCTAGCAAACTGAACAGAACAAACACAAAATAAAAGAAAAGAAATATTGGAATTGAAATGGATTATAAAAGACAGGAAACCAGAAAAAGAATTAAAATCCTAAAAAGTCATTTAAATGAAATAAATGTAAAATTATGTGGAAAAGAAGAAGAAGAAAAAAACAAATCAAGAATAACATTAGATATTTGAAATAATTGATTTCTAGAAATGAATGTATTGGTACTGATAGGGGTTGTAAAGTGTCATGGGATTTCTTTCTAAAGAAAATATGCTATTTGTATTGATTTGCTGAGAGTTGTGAGTTGCTGAGGTTTGGGGACTTCAAATAGGGCCCAGCAAAATCTAGAGAAAAACCATAAACTACACATCTCTTAACCCTTTGCTTCATTATCCAGAGGCCACTAGGCCGGAGAGAATACTTTATCTTAGCTTTGAGTTTTTTCTAGAACACCAGAAGGTGACATAAGGATGAACTATTTTAGATTCTAGTCTCACCCTGAACAAACATTCCCTCCTATGTAATTTCCAACCTGGTATAGGAGGAGGATAAAAAGGGAAGTGACTTCTCTACTCCTGAGAGAAGAGTCTTCATGTGCTCTGATCACTATAGATATTTCCCCATTGTCTTTCTTTTTAAATTTCCCCATTACTGTTTATTTTTTGTAAATCACAAAATGTCATCTGTCCCCTAAGTAAAATAAAATACCAGTTGCTGAAAGAATAATGTTCTCCTAAAAATAACCTAGAAAAAATTTGCTTGACAAATGATTTTCAATCCTATTTTGTCACTCATCTCAAAAACAAATACTATTTAAATTGTGTATACTAACAGGCTTCTAAATAATTTTTAAAATTATATGTGACAGTCTAGTAACAAGCATCCTAGGTGGTTAAGAAGCCTTCTCACTAGGTGTGGTGACTCATGCCTGTCTCCTCAGCGTTTGGAAGCCTGGGGAGGGAGGATTACTTGAGCCTGGGACTTCAAGGCCAGCCTGGGCAACATAGTGAGATCCCTTCTCTACCATTAGCTGGGCATAGTGGTGTGTGACGGTGGTCCTAGCTACCTGGGAGGCTGAGGTGGGAGGATCACTTGAGCCTGGGAGGTTGAGGCTGCAGTGAGCCATGATTGTGCCACTGCACTCCAGCCTGGGCAACAGAGGGAGATTCTGTCTCAAAAAATTCAAAAAAGTAAATAAATAAAATAAGAATCCCTGTAGAAAGAAATCCTAATAGCTCAAATTTATCCATGCCATTCTGATTCTCTATGTAAAAGAGCTGGATATGTCAGAGTTACGATGACTGTATCAAGTACTATATGAAAAAGGAAATACAAAAATTAGCCGGGTATGGTGGCAAACATATGTAGTCCGAGCTACTCCAGAGGCTGAGGTGGGAGAATCACTTGAGCTTGGGAGGTAGAGGTTGCAGTGAGATGAGATCACGTCACTGCACTCAGCCTGGGTGGCAGAGTGAGACCCTGTCTCAAAAACAAAAAAAAAAAAGAAAAGAAAAGAAAAAGAAAAAAGAACTCCTCTTTCCCTGTGCAAAAAGCAGCTATCGGTTATTGTTGGGCCAGCTTCCACTCACATCCTCAAACCAATATGAAGCTTCAACCTGTCAGTAGCATTTACCCTGTGATGTTGAATATACATTGCTCTTCAGAAAAGAAATCAAACTATAAAAAAATTTTAAAAATTATTTTAGGTTTTAGTTCTTGTAGACATAAAGTAGGCATTTTATCTTCATAATTCATTACTTCCTTCCCTCTTTAACTTTAGCCTAAATGTGTGGCAGTTTCACCAAAACATTTCTATTAATAGAGTAAAAATATAGCAGCTCATGTGCCCAGAAAGAAAACTTTCAGGGTAATTCCCTGAAAATATCTGGAAATTCATTAGCAAATTGCACTTAAAATATCACATGCTATGCCAGCTTATTTACTATTCCCTAGGAGAAGCCATCATCAATGCACTGAGTGGGTTCAACACAATCTGATTTGACAAATGTTTAATAACCTACTATGCACAAGAGACAGCTTCTCCGCTCTTGGAAGCCAGTTTAATAATTAAGACTAAACCTACCAATTATTGCATCCTTTTGAATCTATTCATATGCCAAAATTATCCTCATGTAATTTTAAGTATTTTAGGAAAAAGAACAAAATATGTGTACATTGATAAGATAAAACAAAATGATAACTTAGAAAATTCACAGTTGGGGGCTGGGTACATGTGTCATTTGCAAATGCCCAAAGCAAACAATCTTCCCCTGTATTGCTTTCTACTCTACATGGAAGTGGAATCTTTGTAGACATGGTGCCATGTGATGTTATTGAGATAGTCACATTAAGTGATAAAGATGAAGGTAAAAATGGTGACAGTAAAAATAATAACAGTAATAATAATATTAATACAAATACAATAATAGCAGCTACCAATTCTATAATATGTTGACTACCCCGCTAGTTGTGCCATGTGTTGTATCTTTTCTTTCTTTTAACAGCTCAACAAAATGAAGATTGTTATTTCCAATTCAAAAGGAATAGACGACTTTAAGATAAGGGACTCATTATGAATCTCACTAAAGCTAGCAAGTGAAAGAAACTGATTCCATCTTGTATTAGGGCACAAGGATTTTCCCACTACTATGTTCCGTTTCACCCACATCCACAGCATTACTCCAAGTTTCATTCTTACAATGAGGTAATAACCTACAGGTTTATTGAAATACCCAAGAACAGAAAACATCCCCAATGTGCATCAACTAATTATCTATGTCTCCATCATTGCAGAAATGTCTTAAGTGAACATTACCAATGCTAATAACTGAATCTTCCCGTTATCGGAGCATCTTTCCTTTTTGAAAATGTCAAGCATTCTGTAGGCCTACATCTGCCTTTTATCTTCCTTCTTGTATTACAGGATTTGTGACTGTCATCTCTGCCCTAAACTGGAAAGCAGCCGAGTGTGTGGATCATATAGCTCTTAGAATCAGTATCGCCGACTGCATGATTTCACTAACTGCGCAAAAGGCAGAGACCTCTAGGCAATTGTTCATTTGTTCTGGTTAATCTGGGCACTTGCCCTCCATTTGCTATTTAATGAGTGTAAAGTTTCAGTTTTGCAAGATGAATAAGTTCTAGAGATCTGTACCTGTAGTTAACAATACTGTGTTATACACTTAAAAATTTGTTAGGAGAATAGATCTCATGTGTGATGTTATTACACACATACAATAACAAAAACTTTCCTGAAACTTAGATGTGTATATGTATACAATTTTTAGAGTTTTATAAAAGTATTCAAAATTTTTGACTTTTCTAAAAGTATATAAAAAGTTTTATAAAAGTGTTAACATTTCTGTAAAATTTTTAACCTCATACCTACAAATTATCAAAAATGAAACATGAAATTCTTACAAATATCAACAAATCATTGAAATCCTAACACACATCTCAAACATACTATGTCTAAAACTTTTCTCACCAAACATGATTCTTCTGCCATCTTCCCCATCTCAGTTAATGGAAACACCATCCTTTTTGCTTGCTTTCACACCTCCCATCCAATCTGTCACCAAATTCTGTCAATTCTACCTTCAGAGTGTAACTACGATTCCAGCACATCTCACCTCCTCCAGGACTGCTGCTCTGGTCCCAGCCAACATCTTCCCTCATCTCTATTGCTTTTACAGCCTCCTGACTGGTCTCCCTGCCCTGCCCTTACTGAGACCTCTCTCATCCCAATTTCACCCTGAGCTAAGCCAGCTTCCTGACAGTAACCTCCATGTCCTCACAAGATTGGACTCCATTGCCTCTGGCCTCATCTTCTAACCTCCGCCTCACCTGCTCTGCCCTGTTCGAGCCACAGTGAGGTCCTTCAGGGACCTTCTATGTGCTGTGAATGCTCCCCATTACGACCTTTTCTCTCCACATTTCTTCTTCCTTAGAAATCTGTTTTTCCTGAGATCTGCATGGCTTCTCTCCTCACTTATTACTTCAGGTCTTTACTCAAATGTCACATCCTCAGTGAGTCTTTCCCTGAGCTTATTTTAAATTGCACTCTCCCCATACCCCTGACCCTCAATTCTCTAGTTTAGTATTTTTTTTTCACAGAATTTGTTACATTTGCACTTACTCTATATTTACTTGTTTCTTTTTTTGTCTGCCTTCTCCACCTCCCAACCCCCTACCAGATTGTAACTCCGATGAGGACAAGCATGTTTTGGTATTCTGTTCACCATCTTATCCCAAGCACCTAGAGCAATGACTGACATAAAATAGATGCCCAATATATGCTTAATGAAAAATATAATATGGAAACAAAATAGCTATGCAATACATATAAACATCAACCTAATAGAAAATTAAGAAGTATCCTTGGTAACGGCCCTCTTCATTCTTTGCTGAACCACTTCATTTTTTATTCAAACATCAGGATATGCTGAGTGGTATACTTAGCCCCAAATCAGAGACGAAAATGCAATTTACTAATTAAAATAATGGATTTTAAATACTTCTTTTTTATTTTTTAAAACATCTTCCTTGTACATCTTATTGAAATTGCTTTTCTCTATTTTTTTAAGTGATCTTTTTTTCTGCTTCCTAGCAGGCTGGCTATATTTACATTCCAGTATGGACATGAATATTCCATTGTGTATTTCCAAATATGAGCATTATTGAGAATAACTTTTAACTAGAGGCATGTGTTTCAAGCAGAGATTCATTTTGAGGGGGGACTTGATTTTCCTTTTACCAATTCATGATTAAAATTAATTTTAAGGTAACCCACACATGTATAATGAAGACATTTTCTTTAGGCTACCTCAAAGTTAGAAGACTTGGAGCAATTTTATTAGCATGCTCAGGCTCTATTCTAGCAGTTTCATTTGTTACATTACACACATTCTCTAGGAGACATTGCATTTTTAGTAGTTCAAAAAGTCCCCTGACTCATAGCCTTACTCCATAATAATTTCTTTCTCTTACGGGTTCTTTGGAAACATTTTACAAAGGCCATCTTTAGTTAAAGATATCCTCCAATAGCTTGAAGAATATAAAAAATAGACCTCAACAGGAAACTATTGACAGTCAGTCTATAACCATCTCTCCATATTCAACATTACTTTTCAAAGAAAGATTACCTTAAATTCTCCAACGGGCTTCTGTTTAATCATTCAATTTGCCATGGTGTTGGATGTTTGGAAGGTCCACTCTTCACTGCAATTTCCTCTGTCAGAAGAGCTTAATTCTCATGCTGACTGAGTAGCTCACATGGGGCTCTGTTCTGAAAGGCCCCTCCTCTTGCCAACATCTGTCTATTTATTTCAGATATAGAACAGATACTGAGCTTCTTAAAATGTAAAATAAGTGCTAGGTCTAGGATATAATTAAAGTCAAAACAACCAAAAGTATAAATAGCTCTTGAAAGGTACGTGAGAAGACTGAAGGAGGCTTACCCTAACAGGCACCTTTAAAGGAACTTTTTTAAATGTTGTCTCTAATCTGTCCTGGCAGGTGACTAGATGAAAAACCCAGGATTGTCTCTATTATTAATATAAGTATAATGTAAATTGTAAATTTATAAATTCTGAAGTTTGTATTAAGCATCTTGGGAAACTTGATGGCTCTAACTGAAAACAATAGGCCAGCAGGACAGACGCCATTTTGACCTGTATAAGGGGACTCCTTAGATTAACTTTTCCCATGAGCATTGAAAAAAATATATAGAGCACCTAGCATAAGTTAATTCATTTAGAATCAGCCTTGCAGATTAAACTTCTGGCTCAATAAAGAATTTTTCTGGTCTAATTTTATGGTTTGAGGAATAAAAAACTTGCCCATGCATTTGATTTTTTAACCAAAATTACTCCCATATATGAATATCTTGTTTAGCTTTGAGGAAGAAAATCTGGATGCATGATTTTTACATAAAAACAAGCAAAGCAACCTGTGGTCCCCTGAAATGATTAATAGAAAAGTGATTCGAATTAATCACAAACACAAGAGGAAGCTGAAATTAGAGAGGGTTATTAAGATACTGGCTGCTGTTTAATCTCACCCGTTATCAACACATTAACCTTGTTTTCTCTGCCTGAGCACTAAGTCCTACAGCAAAATTAGGTCAGAAATTCACATCAGATCAGATCAGCTGATTCATTCCAGCAAGACCCTGACATGCTGCAGATTTGAGTTTAATTCTAGATAGGAGGATGGCTGAGGGCTTTTTTTTTTATGTTGCTCAAAGCATAGGTTAGTTATACAGTATTTCTGTGCTACCTGTAGAGTATTCCCAAATACTCTTAGGCAAGCTGGTAGAGTATTTCTTAAAGTTGACAATGTGTTTCCAAACCTTTGTTTAACCATGTTCACTTCACCTGTGTAATGGGGCTTAAACACTCCTTTTCATGTAGAAATAGGGTATCTCACTTTTCTACATGCCTCCAATTAAAACAAATCTAATAATATTAGCTATTCGTGACAAAAATAGCTATTCATGGTGCAATGAGCGGGTATATCATTCACAAAAATGCACTTCAGTAGATGCTATTTCCACAAAGTCTACTGCCACAAATCATGGGTATGATCCCAGAAGTCATTACTATCTAAAGAGGATTTATGTAACTGTTAACATTTCTCTAATAAGAGCTCTCTGTGTAATTATGTCTTTGGGTAAAGTAGTCATTTAAAATATTAACCAATTCAAAACTTGGATATCATAGCCATTTGCTTTTGGGGCAGCAATGTATTAGTAAAGGAAAAACAAATATTTTCTTTATTTTTATTTTTGTTTTATTTTTCTTCATGGTCCAAAGGATGGACTTTAGTGGTTCTTTTTGAGTAACAGAAATACTGAATCTTTCAAATACAGATAGCTTTCAAGTATATATAGTAATATGCAATTGCATGTATTTTTTTAAAGGAGCTGTAAGTAATGTAATTCCATTTCTGTCACTTTTAAAGAGGAAATATAACCTCATATAGATCCCTTGAGGGCATCCACAGGGAACAGAGACATTCCTAATCAGCCTAAGTAGTCCTTTGTGTCAGAACCACTTTGCTAAAGTCGAGAGCTGTCTTCCAGATTCACAATGTTTTGGAAAATTTAACTAATGTAGCATTTGTTTGATTAGAAAAAAAAATCCTACCCTTACCTATGGTAGATATGATGCTCAGAAAGACATGTACTGGGAACAGATTTTCTTGTTGCTTTCAATTTAAAGGATGTTTCGTATATCGTTTTTAAAATACTATAGCTAATAGCAAAATCAGACAGTGCAGGGACCAGTTTCAGATTTAAGAAAGAAAACTTTGTTTGAAGGGACTTTTTGCACATTTAGCATACCAGATGATCTTTGGATTGCCCGTCCTTCTCAGTGAATATCGTCACTTGATGGCCTAAACTTGGTGGCCTGTAAATAGTCAACTCCAAGGAAGGTGTTCACAGATACACCCAGGTACCGCCTTAAGGGATGTTTGTGGCCGGACTCTGTTCTCGTTGGTCACTTGCCTTCTTCTCATTGGCTGGTTCCTGAGTGTGTCAATGGTTCAATACACGACTATCCTTCCTGTTTCTTACCTTTTCTCTCACTCACATGATAAACTGGGATTTTGCAACCCATCTCAAGGGAACTCATTTGTGTGAAGCTATAGGTTTTGTGTGTTTGTTTTCTTATAGGTTTTTCATAAAAAAGTAAATCTCATTTAACAGTGCCTGCACAAAACCATTAGGATTTAAAATAGCAGAAAAGATGAGCTACTAAAATATTTTTTCATTCTCCATTAACTTGTTTCCTTTAAGTCTTTTTCTCTCTTTCTCACCAAATGTTATTTGAAGCTGTTAAGAAAAACACTAAGAGCATCGCTTTTTATTTATTTGATATTTTTTCACCCAGCCAGACTTTTGAGTAAAATCCCATTTGAGAAATGGAAGTGAAGGTATGAGAAAGGTAATAGTGATAAGGTGCTCAAGTTAGTTGAAAAATAAGGAATTGGGCTCAGAAAGCCTAAGTGACTTAGAACACTGAGAAAGTGATGAGGATATTCTTTTTCTAAGAGCTCAGTGTTTTAAGCTTCCCAGCTTCAGCACAAAAGGCATTTCAGCACATATGTGATCCAGAAGGTCAATCATACGAAATCCTATTTCCATTTTTTAAGCAATCCTTGGCAGTCTGCACGTTTCTGAAATTGCAACTGGCATATTTCACAGAGAATTATCATCAATGCCTTTTCAAGGTCAAACATGCCCCATCTTTAGATTTTCAGCATGTATATTCTATACACTAAACAGCAGTATATTTCTACAAAGCATCCAGTAGATATGTTACATAATTTTAAGTAATTAGACTATGTTTATTAAAGCCTCATTGAATTCTCTCTACTCAATGTAAATTGCATGCTAAAAATATTAAAACGTGTTAGGTTTAGATGTTGGTCCTCTGTATCTTTCACCATCCCTGGAATCCCAAAATGCCAGTGTGACTAGGATCTTGCTATGGACTTTCTCAAAATATTAAAAACACATTTTTTTAATTAAGAACATGGCAGCAATTCCAAAATTGTAGTTTGAGGAAATAATAAAAGACTGTTATTATTTTTAAATTGTCAGAACTCCAAGATATCCAGTCACCATATGAATCAAATAAAATTGAATTTGGACATTACCATGAGTACTGAGACTAGATCACTTGAGATTCCACAGCTCTAACTGTAAACAAGAGGCCAGCAGGACAGACGCCAGTCTATCATAAGGAGGTTTAAGACTTTAGCCTCCTCCTCCTGTCCTATTTTTTATTTGTTTATTATTTATTTTTTTGGCCTGTTTCACTTTTCTCTCTCCAGCTTCCTCCCTTACCTATCCAGATACTATCTCTGTCCTCACACTGTACGTGGGTCCTGATTTTGGAAAAGAAAGACACTTGAGAAATCTCAACAACTAGAAGCTTTACTAGTATTCTGCCCCCTCCAAAGATATTTATATTTTAAATTAAAATTCTAGAAAAATATGTTGGGGGAGGGAGAGTAGGAAAGAAAGGAAGGTTTTAGATAGTAAGACACATACTACATTTTTCAAATCCTAGTGCATGTGCTGACTGTGAGGATAGTAATAAAATAGTGTTTGAGATATGATTGACCTCACCAGGTTTGAGGCATGGCCCGCAAATGACTGTCTCCCATGTGTGCACCTGGTCAGTGTTCCTGCTGCCATCTGAGTCTCTACCTGTGACTGTCTTTGAGGTGAGGTCTGAGTGTGTCCTGATGGGAGTAATTCCTCTGTGCCTCTGCAGTGCAGGCATGGAACAGGCTTCCATCTTGGTTTACTTTCCTAGCCCGCTATTTTCCGACTAGAACTTATCCTAGACCCAAGCCTCCAGCTCTTCTCCACTTGGCAGCTTTAACTGTACAGAAACTTTTGGAGAAACAGGGAGAAGGGATTGTTCTTTAATTCCACCTTTCTGTTTCTTTTTCTACTATTCTCAGCTGCTCTGATGGTTTTTCACAAATTTTACCTCCATAATTTGGCTCCTGATTTAAATCTATGTATTGACTTTAGAGAACCAGGTTTGGGGACTTTTCATGCCAGTTTTTAGTCTTTCATTCATTCATTATATATTCATCCACATAATGTGGCATATGTCCTCTTAGCAGGGCTGAGCAGTCCGTGCTCCATCTAAAATGTTCTAGACGCCTCCTTTCCTACCCACTCAAGGACACTCTAACAGTAATTTTTCCCTTTCTCTAAGTCATCAATATTTCTCTTTCTGCAGTAATCATTCACAACCACATTTTAAATATGCTGATTTTCTCCCTTCTTACAGGAACAAAATTTTTGTTAAAAAAAAAAAAAAAAAAAAAAAAAAGCCGGGCGCAGTGGCTCACGCCTGTAATCCCAGCACTTTGGGAGGCTGAGGCAGGCGGATCATGAGGTCAAGAGATAGAGACCATCTTGGCCAACATGGTAAAACCCCATCTCTACTAAAAATACAAAAATTAGCTGGGCATGGTGGTGCATGCCTGTAGTCCCAGCTGAGGGACTGAGGCAGGAGAATCGCTTGAACCTGGGAGGCAGAGGTTGCAGTGATAAATGATATATAAATGATAATATAATATTATTATAGTATAATATAATATTATTTGTAAATTATTTATTTAGAAATAATAAATATATCATTTGTAAATAATTATTTATATTATGCTTCAAATCCTTTATTTTCATTCTGTTGTGAACATAATCCCACTGAGTTTTGTTCCCAGCCCTTCAGTGAAATTGTTCTTATTAAT
The DNA here is from genome assembly GCF_000001405.40 of Homo sapiens. Lineage (NCBI taxonomy): Eukaryota > Metazoa > Chordata > Mammalia > Primates > Hominidae > Homo > Homo sapiens. Next base: position 225,411,834 of record NC_000002.12, on the reverse strand, counting down.
AACACAAATGTGGTAAAAAGCAATGGTCAGTTCTCAGGCTTCAACATATTTGATATATCAGCCAAATGTCTCTCTCTTCTTTAATCGCTTTTGACACTTCACTCTAAGGCATCATACTCCTTTGTGGTTCTCCCCTCTCACTAACCGTTCTTACTGAATTCTTCCACTGTTCCTATCATATGAGCAATCAGGTGCCTCCAGGGGGCAACCCTGGGTTTTTTTTTTATCATCTCTATTTAAATTTAAGTCCTTGGCTCATGATGGTGAAATCTATAGACTACAACTCTCACATTTGTACCTTCGGCTTGGAATTCTACCATAGCTCCAGATTCTTTACTCAACTGCCTTTCCATCATCTCCACTTGGACATTTAAAAGGCTTCATAAAATCGTCATACCAAAGCTGAGCTCCTGCCCCCCCATCAGTTACGCTAAACCTGCTCCCCTTTTAGTCTTTGCCATTGCATTAAATGGAAACATCATTCTGCTAGCTTAGGCAGAAACAAAATAAAGTAGAAAACAACAACAGAACAAACCTGAGGGCCACCTCTAATTAATTCTTTTCTCTTGCTCAACTACTGCATCTCATCAATCAGAAAATTCAAATGGTGTCCATAATTTGATTATTTTACACCACCTTTACTGCTATCATCCCAATGCAAACCAACATTATCTCTCAACAGTTAGGACACAACAAAAGGATGTACTTCTGTCTTTTGCTCTATACTCAAGTAGGACTTAAATTTTATCTTCTGCTTATGGGGTGAGTAGAAGTGAATGTCTCCAGATCATGTGGGACTTCTTCAATTCAATGTGTGATCTGAGTTATCTTTACTTTTATGCTATTAACATAGTTCTGAAAAATATTGCTTTATCAGACTAGCAGGAATCAACTCAAAGTTCACACAAATGGATTACTTAGACCTCACTTATTATGTAATGACAGGGTTTTGCTGTGTCTCCGTCTACCTAAATTTCTGTTCCTAAGTCCCTTGGACTTTAGTCCTCTGAGGTTATGCCCCTTTTTGAACACTTGACAGTTAAGCACCTAAAAATTAGCCATTTTTGTTGTCTTAACAACTATGAATCTTTAAATAGAAACCTACTGAAGCTTGTTAATGAAATACAGAAGCTAGTAGTAGAGTGATAAGCAAACTTTGGGTGTTCTGTAAAAGCTAATGGAATGATCCAGAAAATAATTTTATTTATATGCTTATAGAAAAGGATTTATTATTGAGTTTTAATGCCAAGATTACAAACTTCAGATTTTAGAGTTTTGAAGTTACTTTCAAAAACATGTAGGCCATCCGTTGTATTTTGAATTTTAGAAAACTCAGATTCATAAAACTAAAGTTAAATGCTCACACACAAAAAAATGTCCATCAAAAATACTTCACAGAAAAAAAAAATGTCCTAAGAAGGCATTTATACACTCTAGAAAAGAATCATGACACCAGTTAAAATTGGTTAGAAATCAAAATAACATAGTCCTCAACAACAAATTAATTGACTTTAAATATAAATACATGCAATTGTGAAAATGTTGATCAATTATGCAATTTCTATACCTGATAATATATTTTCATTTTAATCGTCCAGAGAAAAAAGAGTTCTCTTTTAAAACAATCTTGTACACCATTCCTTTCTATTTCTAGTTTTTTGCTTTCAAATCATCTCTCTCTCTCCATAAAGTTATTTTTAATTAAGTTATTGGAGTAGTGTGATCTCACCTAGCTTCTTTATAAGCATGAATAATTCATTTTAAGAGAACATTTTGGTTTTTTAAATATCACAGCGTTCAGAGATGATAAGCAAAAGTATTAATGCCAGATTAGATGAAAAAATCTCCCAATTAACCATCAAAATATCTTTCATATTATTACTATTATTCAGTTATCAAGCTAATTGATATGGATTAAGTCCCTATATTCTGGATTTTGCACTTAGTAAGTGAACTTTATTTGAAGAAACAGGACTCCATCTGACACAGGTGTCTCTCTCTGTACCACCAGAAGACACACACACAGGCAAACTGAAAACATTGTAACATTCTTTTTAAAAAATCAAAAGATATGCATTCTTCTTTTGGTGTCAGCGCTCTAGGAAATTTAACCTCAATTTGGAAGGCCACCATCTGGGGCTCACCAGCTAGTAGCTGGTAGGTTTTGCATCATAAAAGTAATTCCATTTGAACAAACTTGTGGCACTTGGTAACAAACAAGAAATTTAACAGCCATAAAAGTCTGCATAGGGAGAGCACACCCTGAGGATTCTACCTGCCTTCAGAGGCTCACGTAAGTATAATTATTGATGTATCTTGGCCATAATCTAGAAAGAAGATGAGCTCTATTTAAAGGTAAGAACTATAACCAAAGGCCATTAAAGGTAGGGATTTTCATCAATCTTGGGCTATTAAAAGGTTTGTGTGTTCCCTTGCGTCTTTGCCAAGAGGTTATTGAGTATGAGCTTTTGTTCAGAGGAAATTGAATTTTTCCCCATCCTGTCTGTAGCTGCATATGCACACACACAAGGAAATAACTTTTGTTAACTAAGGATGCTGTTGGCAGTGTGGGTGGTGTTTTTGTTATAGTTGAGGGGTCGCTTTCATATGCTCTCACCAAGTCTAACTGACTCTGGAAGACCTTTTCTGACCAAGTGACAACATCACAACTTTAGCAGCCCTCATGGACTTTCTCATGTGCACAAAACTCAAAATAATTTTATTTATATTTACCGCTTTATTGCTTCTTCTTGTCTTCGGCGTTTTTCATTCTTCTCTTTCAAATAGGCTAGGTTAGTTTCATTTCTCAAGCGATCATTCTCTCGAGCAATATCTGACGCATTCTGAATAACCAAGCCATCATAGGCCTTCATCCCCATATCCTCAATGTACTGGAGAAATGTGTCCAAAGGGTCTTCCTCAGGATTAGAACTCATCATCTTGGAGGATATCATGTAAAGAGGAACACTGCCTGCAGGGTGAGAACACATTTTACTTTTATCCAGGGTGGGGAAAAAAGCAAGGTGCTGTTTATTATCCCTAACAACTCAAAACTCCAATAATTATGGCCAAATCCGATTGGAGAAAATATCTCACTAGAATAATTACAACCACAATATTTGAAGTAAATATTAAATAAGTGCTACCTGAATAGCAAACCTTCTCTCAAAGCAGCAACACTAGCAGGACAAAGGTCAAAGCTCTTGAACTAAAATATGATGGGAAGGGGTAAATACTGTATGCAAAGTTAAACATTTGGTTGCATAATTACAATAATAATTTTGTTTCTTAAAATGTGTTTTCACACAAAGAAGGTATATAAGATCCAAACTTCATGTATTTCTGATTGCCATAAAGACTTTTCTGTTCAATTTCAAGTAAAATGATGTAATTATTTGGAAAGAACTTTTGTACATATATGTGCTTTCCTTAGTTTTTGAAATTAAAATGTATGAATCTGAACTATGTATGCAAAATATAGTAGTAGTAAAAGAAAAACACATTTCTAATATAACTTTTCTAGAAAAGAATCCTTTTTAACTCTTCATTTCTTTCCATAATGTTCCTCCATAATGCCTTCATACTACAACTAACATATCATAGGTCACTAGGACCACATTAGTCCTGACCAGTCTGGTAATTCAAGCATTGACAACTGTTGTCTCATTGTTACATGAAGTTTTCAAAACTTGAGCCTCAGAAAAGATTACTGAGAAACCAAAATTAAATCAAAACAAAACAAAAAAGCATAGGAATTTCAACTAGTATATATTACTCTCAACTGTAAAATGATGCTAGTAATAACTCCTACCTCCTGCTGATGTGAAGATTATGAGAGATGAAGACTGTAAATAATTTAGAATAGAGTTCAACAATAGTAAGTATATAATACTATTAGCTAATATTATCATTAAAAAGTATGAACTGGCAGCAATAGTAATGTCAAATGGATATGTGTGGCTAGATGGGGAGATGGACAGATGGATGGAAGGAAGGCTTACTGTCCTAATTGCATATTAATTGTGGTATAAGAAACTGGTATAATTGAGTCAGATTAAAAAACCAAAAGCAAAGTCAATTAACAAGGGGAAAAATTTCTCCATTCAAAAGTTATCAATTCCCTTGCATGTTTTTCTTTCTTTACAAAACTTAGAAAGATATTATTAAATATCAGCCCAACTATTTGATGTAAAACTCCCAGACTTTCACTTTTTCAATTACAAATAATTTTCATTCTGATTTTTTTACAGGTATAGTCATGTTCCAAAACCTGGATAATAACTATGGAAATTTTACTTCTCATCAGACTTTATTAGCATTTCAGCTGCCAGTCAATCCATATTTGATTTGGAACCCATCCTGAATTTAAGGATTTTTCTCTCCTATCTAAGAAATTATTGAAACTGGAGTCTAGATAAGGTTGTTTGTTGACTCTTGATTTTTATGTTAAGTTTTTGTATGTTTTGTTTTATGTTAAGCTGTAATGGGTTAGCAAATGAAATGGACTTTTAATTCCAACTATCTGGTGTAATTGAATTGTATTTTACTATCAGTCCATCAGATTAGATGCTTACATGATGGACATGAAGAATAGTAAATTAATGCTACAAATGATTGCAATTTGGGGAAAAATACAAGAAAATGATTCTCAGAGAGCTAAAGCATTGCCATTGTCAGGAATTCACTTCTACCAAGGACTTTTGCACTAGGAGTGCCTGGATAAAAAAGATCAGCATAACTTCACGACAATTAATTCTACCCAAGTTAAGCAAGCCAAGTCACTATTACAAGAATTCTAGAGATAATGCCTCCGGCTGGAAGATGATCACTCCTTCTTTGCCCTCTAGCAAAATTGTATATTTCCCAATTGAATAAGGCATTATTACCCAAAGGTTTTAATTTTTTTCCTTAAGTTTTCCTCCAACCAAAATGACACCAGAGATTCCTACGCAGTTTCTATATTCCAAATATCAATAAGTTTATTTGTTTACCTCTGAAAGTTAATTACCTTCCTAAGTGGTCTTTCAAATTGGCTGGAATTTAAATTATTTTTGTTCTGAGAAATTATTAACTAATAATATTATAAAGTATTTACACTATAGAAAGATGCATTTTTTAAAAACAAAAAGGAGATCAAATTTTTTGAGATGAAAATGAACCATCACATCTAGTAAAACTTCAAAGTAATGAAAATTGAATAAATGTTTGTACACATGCTCCTGCCACCTAATTCTAGAAAAGTATTAAATTCCATGACCATTCTTTTTTTTCAAGTATTTGTTGAGCACGTGTTATGAAAAGCCCTAATGAAGGCAGAATTGTGTCCCTCTAGATGTCTTCGTGGCAGTGTTAGAGCAAAATAAATAAATAATTGCAATACTTGTGACTAGTGTTGATTTAGGTGGACTTCACTAGTTGGTCATACATGTTTTATTTTCACTGTTTTTAAGGGTGAACAAGAAATATTTTTCAACAGTCGTGTTAGTCTCCGAAAACGGTCACAGGCCCTGTCAATGTCTAAACATCACACCTCTTTGTTTACTTGTCCACATGTAAAAAGTATAATAGTTTGTAATATTGAGGAGGCTGTGAGGCTGTCCTGAAGGGCATGGATAAGGAGGCTGGCAGAATGGCCTAGAAACCCCAGTGAAGGCACCTCTAGCTCTAAAACTTCATACAAGTTAATTACTGTTTTTAAACTTCAATTTCCAAATTAAAAAAAAAAATAGTGGTTGGAATAGACCCTTGTTGTGAGTATTGAGTTAGAAATGCATAAAAGTATTCCATAAATTTAACTATAATTAATAGTCACTAACATTACTGTTAGTTTCCCAATTCTTAAATGTGGCTAGAATTATATTTAATAATAATATAACCCCTTGATAAATGTAATTTTACTTTGAAACAAAGGTGAGTACAATGTTTATTGTAGTGCAACTTCCTTAAAATTGCATGTGTAAATGTGTAAATGGAGGCCAGGTTAGGAGTTGATACATTCTTCCCCCAATCAAATCTATATGGACAGCTCCACATAACCATTGTCCCCCATTGTCCACATCTAGAAAATAAAGAAACTGGGACATATGGACCACGAAACTCATCCCATCTCTCAAACCCTAGGTCTCCACCCTTCCAAGCCCAAAGTGTTTCTCAGACAACTGAACTATGAGTAAATAGATTCATGGCCTCACTAGAGAAAAGAGAACCTTATGTTCATTGTCTACTTCATTACAACAGCTACCAATTCAAAGCAGTGAGAACCCACAGACGAGTACAACCATAAATCTCTTTGTTTTTCAGAAATTTATATTTACACCTAAGATAGATATTGAATAACATATGTTGTAAACCACCAAAAACTTGACTGCATTTTGACTCTTAGATATTAAGTCAAGTTTATGTCAGGCCCTTAAATGACAATTATGTATGCAAGAATTTTATAAAGACTTGCCTTGAACATCTAATCCTATGTCAGCATCCTAGAAGACCCTATTTGTTAAGAGGCAAATGTCCCCTCTCCTCCAGGTAGCATCTTTAGCTCTGTCTCAGTAAGTAAGGGAAACTGGCTTACTGGACCATTAACTGGTGCATGAGGTATTTGTGACAACAGAGTGGGTGAGATTAAGGTGGAACTCTGGCTTTTCTACAGGCATCCCTTTTAATTGAGTTCATCCCTTTAATTGAGTTCATTGAGTCTGTTGCCATTTTTGCTCAAAACAAATTAGATATTTTAGCCCCTTCCCTGCTCCCTGAGCATTGGTTGAAAATGAGCATCCATGGTCTTCATTTAGAAGACAGATGTGTTCTCTTTGCAATGCACAATGTTGATACAAGTAGTGCAACACTGTGTGTGCATTCCTTGAAATTTGTGGCCAACATTTAAAATTTGTGTCAGGGACCCTCCTGGGAAGGCACCTAAAATCACCAACATCGGATTTCCTATACAATCTACAGATACCTTTACATCCTCCCTCTCTGCCTTTCCTCCACTGTGGTATTCTGCATTCACAAAAGACTCTTTTTGTTTAAGTTTTTAGATTACTGTATCTAGAATCATCACCATTCTAATATAAGTTAAAGATGTTGACTTTCACACAGCTGTATGGTTAATTGTTCAGCTTTATTTTATTTTTTCACTTTGTTATTTACATCATGTTGACCACACCCTTCACAAAGATCACTTTGTATAATACTGTGACACTTTCCAAAATTTGAAATTTCATTCCACCCAGCTAAATTGCACCAAATCAAACTGGTTTAATTCTTACCATAAGTTAAATACTAAGCATTTAACTGTTTATTGAGTTAACAATTTTCTTATTTTCTTTTGTGCAAGGCCATCATTATACTTTTCCAATGCTGAACCTAGAGCTTAAAGTAGCATTCCATTTCTTTACAATTGTTTCCACTGAAATAAAACTACCCATTATATACACATGTGGAGCATAAGCTAAGTCTGCTATGTCAAAATGGAATTCATAGAAACATTAAAACATTTAAAAAACAACTCGTTTTTTCTTTTTCTATAGTTTCCTGCTACTGCTTCCATCCAGAGAAGTCAAGAAGCTAAGACACTATGTGACCCTTAGTTCTGAAGCTTAAAAAAAAGCAGCATTTTTGAGAAAGAGGTGTATGCAAAAGAATCAAACTAAGATTATAGATTTATGTGGGCTATTCTCATTGTAAATTAAGGTATCAATTGCGTGTGGTCTCAATCTACCAGAGGGTATTTAATGTAGCACCAACTAATATCAAGATTGAGTTCCCCAAGGTATAGAGGGCTTTCGATTAATTCCAAGATACTGTTGAATCAAGGGTGTACAAAGAGTCAGATAAATATTAGGCATGCCATCTTCCTTCTCATACATGGTTAAGCATTTCTTTTCTCTTTGCTTCAGAGCAAATTTCTTCATGAGTGTAATTTCATACATTGTGATATCAACCACTCTAGCTCTATAAGGACTGACTAGAATGGACATGTACACTGATTTGTCAGGCAGAGGCTTCCAATGGGCAATTTATCTCCATTTACCAAAAGCAGAGTTTTATAGGTACTAGTATCATCTGAGTAAGTTAGTCCAGTAGCCTTCATAGGCACAGGTCCTTTTATCTTTTATTAAGGTATTTATCTGGAATTTCTGATATGGAGCTATTCTCCATCTGAAACTTTTATTTTCCAAGATATAAAGTTGTGACACCTCTGTTAATTTGGTTATTTGCCACATATACTAAGTGGTGGAGGGAGAAAAGGCTCTGTTTTGGGAAAGAATGGCTTCCTAATCTTAATACCTGAAGCTCTATGAGAAGCTTCCTTAATTTTAGGCCACAGTTAATCCTACAAGATAATCTTATAGCTATAATAAGATAGTTTATTTTGTGCGATTATTATAATGCTAATTGTGACCAGCCAGAAGAACACAATACATAGAATGGAACAAATGTCCTGATGGAAACCTAAATATTTTACTTTTATTGTACTTCACATTTGTGTTTTTATTTTATTTGCAGAGGGTAAAGTTTTCTAGTCTCCACCTTTATATATTTCTGAGCTCTTTAAACCACACCTGTCTCAATGCTGTGAGGAAGTTATTAGAATTTGAGTTATTAAGATTTGAGTTTCCTTCCTACTCCAATCATTGCATCTTCTTTGAGGTAGAGAATCCTACTTTTTTTCTAGTAGTATTGATCCAATAAAAGTTTCCCAAGGCAATTTTGACTATTTTTTGTTGTTTTTGTTTAGCAGGAGAAAAAAATCTTTTACAACTTTTGCATGTACTCAAACCAATTTGAAAACACATTGTGTATGAAAATGTAAGGATTTAAATAATCAGGCTTCTGATACATATGTAAAATACATATGCAAATTAATATTTAAAATTTGCTGACTTCACATAGGACCAAATCATCAGACTAGCCTGGTTATAACCCATAACACATGTAAACCATGTCAAAATTTTTTTCTGATAAAATCTTATAATTTGTCAAGCATTACTCCTATAATTTCACTTTGATTATGCTTGAAATCCTACTCCCTACCCCACAAATGGTCACACTCATTTTCTCATTCTCAGTGTCATCAAAATGCAGCTGTTCTGCCCAAAATGGGAAATGTTGAAGCTACAACCAAGAAAGCTTGCTAAAGTGACTACAAAGACACTGATTGCTTTTTTCTCAGAAAGCAGATTACTTTGCAGTGAGTTTTTCTCCACTATCTCTCTTCCCAAAATGAGTAAGATAGGCATAAATCGTGTTAATGCAGTAGCATCATGAATTGGTATCTCCCCCTCATCTTCCAGGTTGTCATGGTGCTGTTTGCCCATGGTGTAAAGAGATTGTACATTTCCATTAATATTGGAGACTCATGCAAAATGCCAGTGGCTGAGATACTTTTTGGAGGCTTGGGCCAAATGGTTCCAGATGCTTACAAGGCATTATTTGCAAAGTAGATGTAGTCAGTCTAATAAATTGCTGACTGGAGCTACAGTGGGAACCATCTAATTGAATTGGGAGTCTATAATTTATTTATTTTTTTAAACAATAACCAACCTTCTTGTGTCTAGGATTTTTACACTTCTCTTTCTAAACTTGACAGATGCTTCAAGTCCTCAGGCTTCTCCACTGTCCCTTGTGCAGTTGTAATATTTTCCTCTGGTCTGTTTCCACTAATTCTCTAAACTGTCTATGTCCTTCACATAGTCCCTTTCTTTGCTGAGTTGGCTCATGTATGTTGCACTTTCCATAGGAAAACAAAATAATTTCTGCATTTGTGGACCACATTTTCTCATTAATTTGTGTAATTAGTGCTTGACAATATATAAAATAAATGAGAACATTGTCTAAAATGTGAAGAATTAGGAAGAGAGTTAATTTTCACTCTTTCTCTATATTTGTTATTCCACACTACTTGGTTATAAATGCTTGGATGTTAAAATGACTAAAACTACATCATGTAAGCTTTTCAGAATTTCATTATTTTTCGGCTATATTTAGAAAAAAAAATCCAATTCTATGGTACCAAAAGAACTTTAGTATTTCCCAATGATAGTGAAAAATATTATTTTATGTAATAGTTTTTCCAGATATGAAATACTCACATGTCTTGTATTTAAAATATTGCTGAGTAGTTGGAAAAATTAGGATGGAGACACCCCAACAAAATAAGAACATGTCCCAAGTAAAACAAGTCCACCTAAAGTTTTACAGAAAATATTTATTGTGATGAGACTAATAAAATCTTTCTGACATTGAATAGTATTAAAAAATGTTTCTCAAAGAGGTTTATGTCTAATCAGTCAGGAAGAAGCAGTGTCGGCTTTGCTGTTTGTCTGGTAGTTTTGAATTTTGGGGGATACTGTGTCTTTTCTCCTGAGAATGTAAAATTGGGCTCTCACTGCTGACATAAATGTGCTAAGAGACAGTTGTAAAATATTTATGGTATGGAATAGCGGATAAATAGCTAGCATGCACAACTTGAATGCCAATTAATACCCTGGAAAACATTTTCAAAGCTTTAATAATTCAACATGGCTTATTTTACTAATGAAAATCTAGTTTAACCATTTCCATGGTAATGTAACTAAGTGGGTAAGGGAGTAAAAATAGCCTCAGGCTCACTAAAGCCCTGGATGCCTTCACTGTGGCTTTATTTCTGCTCCACCTAATAAGGCATGCAAACTTCAGCATTAAGTATCCCTAACTAAAATCCATTCCATTTTATCACCAGATTGCTTGATCTATTCAGTGCTGGATTCGATTAGCATGCTTAGAGAATCTGAAAAATGAGATACATACCAAAATTTAAGTCCCCAGGGAGAGCTAAGTGCAATAACCAGAAGGTGACTTGTGTCTGTCAGAGCCCTCTCTCACGGTTGATCTCAGGGCAGTTCTGTAGGAGTAATCCAGCACCATAAGAAATAGACTTGTAGTTCAGCTCAGTGTTTCTTCAATTAAAGTGCATTGTGTCTGGATGGGAAAAGTGTCGACTCCCAGATTCTTCATCACTAGATCAGAGCATTCTCGATGTCCTTCCTATCAGATAAAATGGCCTTTAAAGTTTGCTAGGAAGATGCAGTGGCGGAAGACAGGTGCTTGCTTCCTTAAATCGACATTCGGAGAAAAGAGGGCATAGCTAATGGGTGGGGATGAACACACAGCCCCTCTCCTTCCAGGTCCAGCAGGGAAGAAATTGAATGATTTTACCCACTTTGCTACACAGATGATTACAGGACCAGAAGCAATCACCAAGCTGGCTAATGTACCTCATTTGATTATATTCTGCGAAGACAAAAATAAATGAAAACAAAAAATCAGAAACATCCTTTCTAAATGTCTCCTTTCAGCCAAAAAGATGCTCTTTCTCATTGCCACTTACATACAGAAGGTTTGGAGCAGCCCAGCTTGTGGCATAGTCCCTCCCCCGTGACAACCAGCTCTCTCTCTCTCATTCTCTCTCCCTCCACTCCCTCCCTCCCTCCCTGCCCCTGACTCCCTCCCTTCCTGCTTCTCTTTCTCCTCTCCAGCTGCCTTAGTCTGTTGAAGCTGCTGCTGATTAATCAGGGATTCTGAAACAAAGAACCTACCTTCTGAAATAAGCAGTAATCTTTCTTCTCTGTTTCTGCAATCCGTCTGCATTGAACGGCAAGGCTGCCAGCGTTCTAGCACCTTGGATAGTTCCTGCTCACTAGGCCCATTGGAAAAGGGAGAAGCAACTGAAGAAATTGCAAGAAACCGGAAAGCGGCATCGTTCTACTTTGGATTTCGGCTCCCTGGGGGCTCCCATCCTCATTAAAGGCCTCACATCTAGGCAACAGAACCTCTCTCTTTTATCTAACTGAGCTGAAGTCTGATTAGTAAATAATAAAAGGAAAAGAGGGTAAAGAAACACCCTTCATTTATATTCACTATAGCACTAATTCAGTCTTTATGGAGAGGAAAAATATAAATCCATTGAAAACAAATGTTCTTACTACAGAGAATGGTTAAGTTATAAGCATTTCACCCCTGGCGTGGCTAATGAAAATGAACAACAACTTAAATGGAACATCTAGATCTCAGTTTGATACCCTTATTTGATATCAATTTTGCCTCCACCCTCCCTGCACAGCCGAGCCATGCACACAATTACTGCTGACGTACTTCAGGCTGCTGCTTGGGGAGAGAGGGGAGGAGCCTTTTAACCTCATCAAAACAGCTTCATGCCACCTGCTCCCATGGCATGAGAACAAAACTAGTCCACTTAGAAAGAATATGCACAGCACACACGTGTGTGGAACAAAGGTCTTACTCGGACTGCACATTTTTTTAACTAAAATAAGATGCAAAATAATTATGATATGTATGTCATTAATTCCTATAGACTCATTGTTAAAATTAAAGTCATTCTATTTCTGATATTTCCCAAAGACTCTCCTCATTCTGTTCTTAATACTCTACTGAATATATACATATATATCACATTATATACCACAACTTATATATGTGTGTTTGTGTGTATTTGTATTTATTAAGCTCAAAGTTTTTCTCATACTGGCTCCTCCTCAGTAAAAACTAAAATGTACATGTTTTAATCTATTAATTTTGCACTATGATAAAAGGAATAATATATAATATGTTTCTGATGGATATGAGCTTAAAAAGCAATTTTGATGGGAGGGGATGTGCTTATTACTTGATAGTGACCTATAGATTTTTCCCCTCACATTCTTTTTCAGTAACTCACTGTAAATGACCTTCACTTGCAGGTTGGTTTTCCCAAGAGTGTTTTTTAACGTCTATATTCATAACCAAAGTCTTAGAAAATAGTTTTCTGAATTTAGTTTTTAATGCATTGACAGACCACAAAAATAAACAAGTTCACCTGTCTAATTCTTAAATGTCACCTGAGACTGTGCTGTAATTTTCTTAAATTATATTTCTTTAACTTGTAAGTATCTGGGGAAAAATAAAATCAACACATTACATTACTATAAAGCTTTTCTATTTTACATGTCCTGAAGTGCATTCCTGAAGCTCATCACTTATTTCTTGGTCTTTGTGTATCTAGCTTTTGGTTAGAACAGGACATCTGTTTAATTTTAAGAAGGATTCTGCAAGATTAGATAGATGAAAAGGAGGAGAAATACAAACGGGGAAGAGAAGAGGCCAGACCTCTCTCATATTCTCTTCCCCCTATCCCAATGCTCTCCCTTTCCCTCTCTCTCTCTCTCTCTCTGCCTTATGAAGGTTCTAAATACTTAGCACATTGCTGAAAAGTGCCTCAAGCACCACTTATAAACTAGTAACAGCCACCACACTGTGATCAAGAGGTTTACTAATGTGCCATTATTTTGGTAGTGAAGTGTTCTCATAGATGTTGTCTTTCAGCACATGACCAAAGGTGGAAAAAGTTCTTTACAAAAAAAAAATTATTGACAGACATTTTAGAAAACGGAAACACTTTATCATGACTGATAATTTTGCCAGTCTGGGGGTCTATATTTTGAACTATGGAGAGCTTGAATAAGCTCTAGTGTAAAGCCCATTTCTATATGTAAGAAAAATACTACCAAGATAAGTAAACAGACTTACTTGTTTCTGACTTACTTAATTGCCTCATTAGGATTAAGACCCAAGGTCCCTGGGCTGACTGCAGGTCTCCTCATCTTTGGCCAGTACAGTGGTTCTCAGTCCCCTTGATTTCATGCACCAAAATAATCCAAACAAAGTGAGGAGAGGCTGACATACAGTTGCCAAGCATAAAAAATGAAGAATCTGCCATTTCCTCACCACAAAAATTCAAAAAGTAAAAGGAATCTTTATATTAGAAGAATAGAGAAAGCATATTTATAACAATAGATGGTCTTTTAAGTTTCATATATTCAACTTTAGGAAAATATATCTTTTTCTTTCTTTCCTTCCTTCCTTCCTCCCTCTCCTCCCTCCCCTTTCCTTCCTTGTTTTGTTTCTTCTTTCTTTCCTTCATTCCTTGCTTCATCCCTCCCTCCCTTTCTCCCTTCCTTCTTTCCTTCCTCTTTTCCTTCTTTACTTCCTTCCTTCCTTCCTACTTGCCTGCCTCCCTGCCTTTTTCTTTTTCTTTCTTTTTCTCTTTATATTACAGAATAGGGCTTGAGAATCATCACATTTTACCAATCCCATTTTCTCAATCCCACACTTTCCTCATTCTAGGTGTCAATGTCACTGACAGGGCAATATATTCTCTGGAGACATATTAGTGTATAGGAGTTTATAGAACCTTTGAGGATCGTGCTGAGAAGGACCCCAGAACTACTTTAGGTCTCACTGAATGAAACAGCAAAGCATCTTTACTCTTGCAAATCATCTTAGAGCCAAATGCAGAACGCACCTCTACTCATTTCAATAGTATCTGGAGAAAAGTGCGTTGGACAAAATTTAAGTTAAAAATCCTCATATCGGGAATAAAGGTATAGAGATATTTAAAAAGCTCAAATTATACTCATGTATTGGTTTATTTCTTGTGCATCTTTATAAAATACATGGATGTTTCTATTCTATTTCTACTCTATTGAATAGACATCTTATTGATGTCAATAAGAAACAAGTCATTGAGATACCTGATGACTTGATATTTCTTTTAAAGTTCTTTAGTCAGGGTAGAGTTTAGCTCTTTTGGTTACACTGTATTAATAGAGTTTGATGCTTTGGGGGTTAAATAGGTCCCTTCAGTGAACTTGGATAGACCAGACGAGTCAGCGCCCTGAAAATGCTTCTTATTCTATACATCAGCCAGATGGTGGAAAGTGCTTGTTGTATAAAAGTGACGTAAATGAGAAAAGTGAGAATTGAAATAGAATAATTTAGTTACCTAAATTTTAAAGGGTTTATTCAAATACATGAAGTGAGGATGAACTCTCTGAAGTCATATCAAAATTTACTACAAAGCCTTTCTAGTTTTTTTTTTTTTTCCATGATCTGTACTCTTTCTATCATTCTTTTCACATTTAGCTTAGGAAGGTGACCCCTCTGTTAAAATGAAATTATTCCACTAAGGAAAAAGCTAATCTCCTTCCCATCCAATCAGGATTTCTAACCCTTCTGGTAACAGTGTGAAATGAAAGTCTTGGTAGAATGAAAACCATATGCTCCTCATGATTTTTGCCTATAACAATGTAGATGTCGACAGAAGTTGCACATATGACTTAGGGGTCGTGGGGCAGCAAATGGTGATATGGGTGCTCCAAGATCCAGCATACTCAGTAGCTAAAACAGAAAGAAAAAGTAAAAGATTTATGGTCTAATAATACACACAAAAAACTACTTTTACAGTGCCAAGGGGGAAAACTGACAATAAATGAAATATTCCCCTGGCAAGAGACTTAGGAATAGATCCAAACATCCCTCCATTGTTTTGTCCAACAGATATTTTCCAGTAAAGATTTCAGAAATACCATCAATGTATTCATCGCTATACTAAAAATGATAAAAATATTTCTAAACAAGGATCCATATATTCTAGTGAATCACACACCCACACTCCAACCAACCATCTCTCTTCTTTGCATGAACAATATCTATACTTTTCAAAAGTCAAGTATGTCTTACTCTCATAGTTTGTCCTAATTTACCACATTCAAACTGGATGCTTGCTCTCTGTATTATGAAATATCCAGTATAATTAAAAATAAAATCATGAATTTTTTATACTCTACCAAATATTCCTATTTCATTGTTCAAATGTTTTTGCCTAAGAGTCCTTAAGAGTGGAGCCCTTCCTTTCTGTTCGCATGGCCCCAGCTTACTGATTGCATCTAGCCAGTGGTAGGGATTTATTGAATGAATGCATGACTACATATCTCATCTGGTGACATATTCTGCACAAGTAGAAAATTCAAATGTATCCATATAATGAACATGAGATTGTCTTTTTTTAAAATAAAAGTATAAATGGAAATTTAAATATACAAGTAACCAAACTAAACTCCAAGTAAGTGAGGAAGAAAAATATTTCCAAAGGGACTCCATAGTTTTTCTAACTAAAAATGCAAAATAACCAGTTTGAAACTTACTAGAAATAATAAAATTGCTCCATAGGAAGACCAACTGAATATATGAACATAAGGATCATATTTAGAGAAAACAGTAAGATTCTTCTAAGATACTGTTTTAGTCAACTCAGGCTTTGAAAACAAGATACAATCGACTGAGTGGCTTAAATAACAGAATTTTATTTTTCACAGTTCTGGAGCTTGGATACTCCAAGATCAAGGTGCTGGCAGATTTGGCTTCTGGTCAGGGATTCTTTGCTGGCTTGCAAATTGTACCTTCTGGCTGTGTGTCCTCACATGGGAGGGAGGGAGGGAAGGAGGGAGGGGGAGAGAGACAGAGAGAGAGAAGAGAGAGAAGAGAGAGTAGAGAGACAGAGAGACTCTTCCTCTCTTTACAAGGACACTAATCCCATGACAGGGGCCCCACTCTTTTGACCTCTTCTAAACTGTATTCCCTCCCAAAGGCCCCACCTCCGAATACCATCACGCTGGGGAGTAGAGCTCCAGTGTATGGATTTTGGGACAGACACAAAGATTCAATTCAAAACAGAGACATAAAAAAGATATGGGAAATTATAGGAATTCCTTGTTCTTGAATAGGAAGAATAAATTTAATAAATAATTACTTCTTACTAAATTCACTAGAGTGAATGAAATTCCAATTTAAATAAAACTGTTTGGTAGGCCTTGAAAAGCTATTGGCAGAGATGTGCTTGACTAAATATTAAAACATCCTGCAAAGCTTTTTTGATTTTATTGTAGTATGGCACAAGACTTGATTGTGAATCTATAGAAGAGGTTAGAAAGTGCAGGGAAAATATATACAACTGTAGATATTTAGCATATAAATATGTCATTGCATATCAATAAATAATAAAATTGAAAAACAGAGAAATGTACACATACACAATGAATTTTCACAGTTCCTTACATAAAAATAAATCTAGACACTTGCAACACAAAATGTGGTCTAAGAACCTACAGCACCAGCTCATTAAATACGCAATTTGGGTCTTTCCCCAAAATGCCTGTCTTAGTCTGTTCAGGCTGCTATAACAAAATGTCATAGACTAGGTGGCTTAAATAACAGAAATTAATTTATCACAGTTCTAGAGAGTGGAGGTCTGAGTTCAGAATGCCAACATGCTTGGGTTCTGGTGAAGACTCTCTTTCTGGCGTCCTCATATGGGGTGGGGGAGAGAGAGAGAGAGAGAGAGAGAGAGAGAGAGAGAGAGAGAGAGAGCTAGCTCTCATAAAGTCACTAATCCCATCATAAGGGCTCTACCCCATGACCTAATTACCTCCTCAAGGTCCCATCTCCAAATACCATCACTTGAGAATTTAGGGTTTCAACATATGAATTTGGGGGGACACAAACATGTAGTCCATAACATTATTCGAGTAAGGATCTGCATTATAACATATGCCTAGGTGATTGGGGGTACATATTAACATTTGAGAAAAACTGTTCAAATAAATTTATCTGATGATGAAAACGGTATATATCTGCACTGTCGAAAATAATAACCATCAGCCTGATGCAGTAGCGTGAACCTGTAGTCAGCCTACTTGGGAAGCTCAGGCAAGAGGATTGCTTGAGCCCAGGAATTCAAGGCCAGCCTGGGTAGCGTAAGGAGACCTAGTCCCTGAGAAAATAAAATATAATATAATAGCCACTAGCTACACGTGGCTATTGAGCACTTAAACTTTGGTTAATATGACCGAGGAACCACATTTTAGATTTTATTTTAATTAATTTAAATTTAACATGCACATGTAAATAATGGCTACCATATTGAACAATTTAGCTCCAGACATCTGAAACATTTGTATATAAAAACACTAATTTACTAAAAGAAACTTTAATATGATCTTAGAGTGGAGATGGCCCATCTAAAGATAACTAAAGACAAAGTTTGAAAAAACTAAGTGATAATAAAGAAAACTGAATACATAAAAGCGTAAAACATTTTTTAAAATTTATTTTTAACCTTTATTTTAGGTTCGTGGGTTCATGTGAAGGTTGATTATATTGGTAAACTCATGTCATGGGGGTTTGTTGTACAGATTATTTCATCACCCAGATATTAAGCCCAGTACCCAATAATTTTCTTGTGTTCATCTCCCTCAAGTAGACCCCAGTAACTGTCGTTCCCTTCTTTGTGTTCATGAGTCCTCATCATTTAGCTCCCACTTATAAGTGAGAACATGTGGTATTTGGCTTTCCGTTCCTCCATTAGTTCAACCACTGTGCAATGCAGTAGGGTGATTCCTCAAAGAGCTAAGAGCAGAGTTACCATTCGACCCAGCAGTCTCATTACTGGGTATATACTCCGAGGAATATAGATCATTCTACCGTAAAGATATATGCAAGTGAATGTCCATTGCATCACTATTCACAATAGCAAAGTCATGGAATCAACCTAAACACCCATCAACGACAGATTGGATAAAGAAAATGAGCTACATATACATCATGGAATACAATGCGACAACGAAAAATAATAAAATAATTTCTTTTGTGGGAACATGGATGGAGCTGGAGGCTATTATTCTTAACAATGTAAAACATTTAAGTAGGAAAAGATTATAAATAAAGTTAACAGTTACATATTTCTATATTTTATTATAAATAAACAAGAACTAAACACCATAGTACTAACAAGGACAAAGAAAAGGAATGGGTCAATCATAAATAAGAAATTGAAATGGCAAATACATACAAAAAATATGTTTAACCTTATAGTAATAAAATGAAAATTAAATCAAGAATGGCTCTTAGTTTTTCATAATAGCTCATGCTGGCATACATGTGGAGAAATGAATGGTTGTGTAAATGCACGCAACCAAAATGTGAGGAAATCTGATACAGTTTCAATTTTTTAACGTGCACAGCCTTTGAAACAATAATTTTACTTTCAGGACATGATAAGTGTGCCAGACTGTATATTTGAGACTATTCATGGTTTGGAATAGCAAAAATGTTAAAACTTCCTATATGTCTAAAAACAAGAGCTTGAAAGATAAGTTATTACATAACAATTAAAATTATAATATAAATCTATATTCATTTATGTGAATGTGGGTATTGTGAGGAGGGCAAGAGCATTAGCTCTGAGAAGGAATCACTGGGCTGGTGTACTGCTTACCCTGTAACCTAACTGTGTGACAATGGGAAAGATACATAATTTCTCGCTGCCTCAATTTCTTTATCTGAAAATGACAATAATGATAGTATAAACTCACACATTTATTTTGAAGATTAAATTAGTTATATGTAAAAGCCTATGTAAAATAACTACATTTAGAATTTAATAAGTATCAATAAATGCTAGCTGATCTTTAATTTTTATTTTTATTTTAAGTTCTGGGGTACATGTGCAGAATGCGCAGTTTTATTACACAGGTAAACATGTGGCATGGTGGTTTGCTGCACCTATCAACCCATCACCTAGGTATTAAGCTCAGCAAGAATTAGCTATTTTTCCTAATGCTCTCCCTACCCCCACCCCCTGACAGACCCCAGTGTCTATTGTTCCCCTCCCTGTGTCCATGTGTTCTCATTGTTCAGATCCCACTTACAAGTGAGAACATACAGTGCTTGGTTTTCTGTTCCTGTGTTAGTTTGCTGAGGATAATGGTTTCCAGCTCCATCCATGTCTCTGCAAAGGACACGGTCTCATTCCTTTTTATGTCTGCATAGTATCCCCATCAATGATAGACTAGATAAAGAAAATGTGCTACATAACACCATAACTGATATTTTAATAGATGTAATAATAGTAATAAGAAAGTACTTGGAAAGATAATCAGTAATAGGTCTGCCTTTGCCAAGTCACCCATTAGTTCATGAGTGGCCGTTTAACTTCCTTTACTATTTCACCTGAAATACTGTTTCATCCTGTCTTTCATGACATTGGATTATTCTGTTTTTCCTCTTATTTCAATGACTTCTTTCTCCTGGTCTCTTTTGCTGACTCTCTCCTCTGATTAAGTTCTAAATGTTAGAAAGCTCCAGATCTCAATCTTGGCTCTCTGTCCTTTCTCTATGCGTATTTTCTTCCTGATCCTTCAGTCTAAAAATGAAAGCCACCAGTCACTTATTATTACATCGACTGGATACATTTCATTGCAAATATGTACCACCATTTGAATGATGTTGTTTACACACACGTATGTAGGATATATTCTTACTACTGGTAATTTTATTAGTTTCTCCTTACTAAGATGCAAGCCCATGAGAATAAGAACCTTGTATGTGCTTGTTCATCTTTGCATCCCAGCATATGGATCAGTGTCTTGTATAAGAGTTCCTGAACTAAAATTTATTGAATAATTGTATTACCTAGGAAATAGTAACTTTTAGAACATGTGCATAAATACAATGCTTTTGCATAAACATAATATTCACAATAACAACAGTAATAGCAAGCACATACACAATGTTTATTATGTGCCCTACTTACATTAACTGAATCGTTCAATCACTACACTAATTTTAAGAGATAGGCACTTTAATTCTTCTCATTTAAAAAATTAGAATATTGAGGCAAACAGAATTTAAGTGATGTCTAAGGCTATGCAACTATTACATGTAGAGGAAAATGCATATTACGGAAATAAATAGCATAATTTTGTTTATATTTGGCATTTGTCTATTTTTTATTTAAAAATAAATGTCTGTGTTGCTTAGTTCTCCCCAATAGGTGTACACTATTTTTACAATAATTTTATATGGTGATTTTAGAGGAAATGTAAAATCCTATCTTCACAAAACACCCCCTGAAAGAAGAGCCTTTGGAATCTGTGGGTTTCCACTTATTTTTAAAATGAGAAGGCTGGGTCAGCAGGATTTGTGAAATAGAAATACCTCCAATGCATTACCAAGTTGGCAATATCTGCAACAAAGAGATAAAAATTCAAAAGTAAGTATGAGTGTATTGGGCAGATAGGATTTGGGGGAAAGTAAGAAAGGAGGGGATTGCAGGTGGAAACAGAACCTGCCTAATGGAAATATTTAAAACAGAGTTTAGGAGATGATGTCCTTCAGGTTTGGGGGCAGGCTGGTTTTCAGTGACTGGCTTCCTTGATGCTGAGCCAAGTCTTGCCCACTTTTTCAGCTTCTGTCACATAAAATACTATAGCCCGTTTCACCTAAATGGGGACGCTGTAGTTTTCTTTAAGCTCACACAGAGTTAATATGTATTTGAAAATACCCATCAGTAATTAGAGAACAGTGGAAGAAACAAATGACAGCTGCAGCCTACAATATATTCTCCAAGTCTATTTCCTCACTTCATTTAGTTAATTCAAGTATAGCAATCTGAGGGAATTTTAAGGCATGTGAAGTGGTCACGAGAAATTGATTACTGAAGTAAAACATGAGGACCTAACACTCTCAAAACTTGATAGTCAACAAAATAATAAATTCACAATTATATTCCTCCATGTCCTGATTTTTTAACACTAGGTTGACTATAAATTAAATTTAAGGTGCTCTAGGATAAAATTTCAATTTAATTGTTCTGTAGTACTCTCTATGTGGCTGACCATTATTATGAGGTCAAATTTAAATATAGAAACAGGATTTTGGAGATAATCTAGTCTAACCCCTTCATTAAACAGATCAGGAAATCGAAGCTCAGAAGTCAGGCAGCTTGCCTAGGAACACAGCACTGATTCTTCAGGTATTCAGGACTCGTTTCTTCTAGTGTGTAACACTTTATTTTCATTCATAGATCTTTCCCTTAGCTCTCTTTCCAGGCGGTTAAGATAAACTACTGGATTTCAAATGGAAATTAAGGAGTAAATTAAGGAGTAAACTGAATTTTGTGCAGAGAAAGAGGCACTAAAATGTCCATTGGGATATGAGACGGATTAGGCTAGCCTTGGTAAAATTGTGAAGTGGTTTTCCAGAGACCCCAGGAATCTCTAACTCCATCCTACTCCCTCAGCCAAGTGCCTCATGCCCTCTCCTTGACTCCTGAAAACTACAAACTACAGACAACAAAACTTAATAACAGATTGTCACGAGACAATCTGTTATTGGTTCCAGTTTTGCACTCATGACTTCCTCTATTTGAGAAGTTTTTCCCCCAGATACCTGTGTGTCTGTCTTTGATGCTTCCTCCAACCTCTTTCCTGAACATCACCCCCAGTCACTGTCATATTACCCTGTTGGCTGTAGAGCTAGATTAACCCAGGTTTACATTACAGCTTTAGTCTTTGTTAGCTGTGTAACATTGACAATGATTTAATTTCCCTGTGGTTCAACAACCTCATGATTAAAGTTGCAAGAGTACTTACCTTACAGAGTTGTGATAATTAAATGAGTGAATATTTGCAAGATGAAAACATTAGCTCCTATTACCCTATTTATTACCTTTCTTTTTAATTTTTGAGACATGGTCTCACTCTGGCACCCAGGCTGGAGTGCAGTGGCATGGTCATGGCTCTCTGCAACCTCTTCCTCCTGGGCTCAAACAATCTTCCCACCTCACGGTCTAGAGTAGCTGGAACTACAGGCACGTGCCACCACACCCAGCTAACTTTTGTATTTTTTTAGTAGAGATGGGGTTTCCCCATGTTGCTCAGGCTGGTCTCACACTCCTGCAATCAAGTAATCCACCCTCCTTGGCCTCCCAAAGTGCTGGGATTACAGACATGAACCACCGCACCCGGCCTTTATTACCTTTCATGTATTTGTATTATGTTATCTTAATATATTTACTAATTTATTAATTAATTTATTGTTTATCTCTGCTGTTAGGATACAATCCTAGGAGAGCAGGGAACTTGATTTTCTTTTCATTTTCTTTTTTCTTTCAAGACAGATTCTCACTTTGTCAACCAGGCTGGAGTGCAGTGGTGTGATCACAATCACAGCTCACAGCATCCTCAACTTCCTGGGCTCAAGCGATCCTCCCACATCAGCCTCCCAAGCAGCTGGGACCACAGGGGTAGACTATTAGCTCAGTTAATTTTTAAAACACTTTTTGTAGAGGTGGGGTCTTACTATATTTCCCAGGCTGGTCTTGAACTCCTGGGCTCAAGCAATCCTCCTATCTCAGCCTCCTAAATGATTTTCTTTTTCAGCTTATATCCCAAGTATTCAGAAAGTTTCTTTGCAAAGAGAAGGCCCTCAATAACTATTTCTTAAGGAGCCAACAGTTATTTACATTTCAGTGGGCACTCAGGTATGTCCTCAGGCCCCATCAGCCCCAGCCTCATTTTTTTTTTTAATTTTACTTTAGGTTCTGAGATACATGTGCTGAACGTGAAGGTTTGTTACATAGGTATACATGCGTCATGGTGGTTTGCTGCGCCTATCAGCCTGTCATCTAGGTTTTAAACCCCACATGCTTTGGGGATTTGTCCTAATGCTCTCCCTCCCCTTTCCCCCACCCCCCAACAGACCCCGGTGTGTGATGTTCCCCTCCCTGTGTCCATGTGTTCTCATTGTTCAACTCCCACTTATGAGTGAGAATATGTGGTGTTTGGTTGTCTGTTCCTGTGTTAGTTTGCTGAGGATGATGGTTTCCAGCTTCATCCATGTCCCTGCAAAGGACATAAACTCATTCTTTTTTATGACTACATAGTATTCCATGGTGTATATGTGCCACATTTTCTTTATCCAGTCTCTCATTGATGGACATTTGGCTTGGTTCCAAGTCTTTGCTATTGTAAATAGTGCTGCAATAGACATACATGTGCATGTGTTTTTATAGTAGAATGATGTATAATCCTTTGCGTAAATACTTAGTAATGGGATTGCCCAGCATCATTTTTCACCACTGAATGAAGCTCTGTTTTGTTTAAAGGTGTTTCAGGCCTCAGTAAAGAAGACTGTGGAAGGTGTTGCAGACTCATCTGTACAGGCACTACCAATTCTATGTCTACATGAGTGACCTCTGAGTGCTGAGCAGAGTCCCTTCCCCAAGTGGTTTTCCCACATGAACCACAATAGTTCCTGGAATTCCATTCTTCTCTTCACTTAAGCTCAGTCTTTACCAGAGGTTCACTAAAATACTCAATGCAAGATATTTGTGTTCATATACATGTGAATTCTAAGTTCTAGGTTATCAACTAGTTTAATCATTTTGCTAGTAAATAGGACTCTGACAACAAAACCAAAGCTTGTGGTTATAATCACCTAATTACTCTGACCAGTGCTATGTAAGTATCTGGACAACAGTACAGGCAATATGATAGAAATGAAATATGGAGGCAACATCACTTATTAATTTTCTTGCTATGAAAACTTTATATTTTTAAAAATGTCTTCAAGTTTTAATTTTTCTCCATTCTATGTCTGAAATAAATGAACCTGGAACAGAATGCCAAACAATCAAACAATATATAGAAAGCCATGCCTTGGGAAATGAAATAAACTAGCCTTAGACAAAAGTCAAGGATGAAAGAAAATCAACTGCTTTCCAAGTTTAGATCACGTTTGACCTAAAGTCTAAGAGACCAGCAATAAATCTGAAGGAAGCACAGATAATCAGGCCAAGCATAAATATCACCAGAGGTAAGGAAAGGTGAAGAGCTGATTTTGGAAGTGAAAAAAAACTTTTGAAGACATGGATACCCAACAGCTATCTAGTGCAGGAGCTACAATCATTTCAATAACTGCTGCTAACTGAATAATGTATAGCATAGAGGTAATAGGCTTTTTGCTTCTTTCTTCCTTTCTTTCTTTGTTTTTCTCTCTTTCTTTCTTTCCTCCTTCTTCTTTATATTGTTGTTATTATTATACTTCCTATGGCCATACAAATTTAAAGCACATTTAAGTTAATATTTATTTTGTGCTCCCACCAATTAAGTAAAAATAACTTAAAACAAATGTTTGTGACTGAGTTCTTCCTGGGCATCTAGTGAAGATGTTTTGAGATGAGGGGGAGAAAGAATGCAGAAATGGAAGAGGATAGACTTGCTGCTTCATTTATTTTACAGTTTGGATTAGAGCTTGGAACAGTCTAGAGATTTTTGTTAAATTTTCACTTATATACCTGCTGATGTTTAGATGAACCATTTCAATAAACTTGTGTTTTTCTTCCCTATTAATAAAACAGGGGCTATAAATTACTTTGTCTACACAAACAAAATAAAACCATATTAAAATTATGAGACTATAACTGTAAGAAAACCATATTAAGTGAAACCACATAACATAAAGCAGATATATAAAATTAATTTTTCCAATGTCTTTATTTTATAAGTAAAGAACATGGCACCACAAAAATTTGTGATTTGTGCAGTCCACCAATGATCAATCTGTGGTAAGATTCTAATTTTCTCACTCCCAGTTTGCTGCTCTTTCTCCCAGAGAGAAGACCTGGAAGAACAGAGGCTGGAGGAGATGTGACCAAGCTTCTACTTCTTCATCTAGAAAACAATATTTTGTGCTCAGGTGTGTTCCCAGGTACATTCACCTAGAAAATCATGTAGTGAGCAGCTTACAGCAAAGTGTATGTAACTGCATGTATATAGAGTCATCCGTCAGTATCCACAGGGCATTGGTTCAGACACCTGCAGATACCAAAATCTGCGGAAGCTCAAGTCTCTTATATAATAAAATGGTGTCATATTTTCAGTATTTTAAAATTCTTACACATATTCTTCCATGTACTTTAAATCATCTCTAGATTACTTATAATAGCTAATACATTGTAAATAATGTGTAAATAGTTGTTATACTGTATTTTGTATTATTTTTATTGTTGTATTGTTTTTTATTGTTTTTTTGGCTAATATTTTCAATCCATAGTTGAATCCACAGACAGATACAAATGGCCAACTATATTCTCAGAGTAAATGCACCACGATAATTTTAAAATCTACCCATTTGTGTGTTAAGGTAAAGTTATACTAAGATACAGGATTTGAAAAGAAGTGGTTTTTAGTAGATGCTCTAAATTTTAGTTTATAATACAATCAGGGTAGGCAATTTAGCATGGATGTACCATTAGCAAATAGGTAGTAAAAATCCAAATAAAAAATAAATTTTAAAAAGTTAGTAAAAGTCTAATGTAATCACAACTGATTTATAGTACAATATTTATTTTGAGTGGAGACTCTTATCTCATTTAAAATATTCAGAGCATTGTGTATAAGGATTAAAGTTTTTGATCCATTAAAAGAAAACATGCAAATTGCAGGATGCTCTAACAAAGCAAAACCAAACCCAAATGATAAATGCACACAGCCTATTTTAATCTGAGGTCCTCCGTGAAAGGTTATGCATTTACTTTTATAAAAAGAAATAAATGTACAATCATCTAAAATCATCTCAGAAACACCTTAAACTACTTACAGTATCTTTAATTTGGCTGTCTTCCATTATTTTCTTAAGGATTTTTTAATGGAAATGTTTTGCTATGAAAATGCATGTAAATGTTGACAGGTTATGTTTTAAACCCATTAAAAGCTATACTGTTCTCCTTATACCCAGGTTCTAAAACTAATAATCATATGCAACAAATAATTTATAAGTATGAATCCACTTTCACACTTCTATAAAGAACTACCTGAGACTGGGTAATTTATGAAGAAAAGAGGTTTAATTGACTCACAGTTTCACAGGCTGTCCAGGGAACATGGTTAGGTAGGCCTCAGGAAACTTACAAGCCTGGCAGAACAGCAAAGGAGAAGCAAGCATATTCTTCATATGGTGGAGAAGGAGAGAGAGTGAAGGGAGAGTGCTACATACTTTTAAACAACCAGATCTCATGAGAACTCACTAACTATCATGAGAACAGCAAGGGGGAAAAATCTGCCACCATGATCCAATCACCCCCAACAGATCCCTCCCCCAGCACTGGGAATTACAATTCCATATGAGATTTGGGTGGGGACACAGAGCCAAACCATGTCATTTTGCCCCTGGTCCCTTCCAAGTCTCATGTTCTCACATTTCAAAATACAATCATTCCTTCCCAAGAGTCCCCCAAAGTCTTAATTCATTCCAACATTTTACTTCAAAGTCCAAGTCCAAAGTCTTGTCTCAGTCCCTTCTGCCTATGAGCCTGTAAAATCAAAAACAAGTTAGTTACTTCCAAGATACAATGAGGATACAGGAATTGGGTAAATGCCTCTATTCAAAAATGGAGAAATTGGTCAAAATAAAGGGGATACAGGTCCCATGCAAGTCCAAAACCCAGCAGGGCAGTTATTAAATCTTAAAGCTTTCAAAATAATCTCCTGGACTACATGTCTCACATCCAGGGTGCACTGATATAACAGGTAATATCCCAAAGCCTTGGGCAGCTCCACCCTTGTGGCTCTGCAGGGTACAGCCCCTGTGGCTGCTTTCATGGGCTAGTATTGAGTGCCTGCTGAGTGCAAGTTGCCAGAGGATCTACCATTCTGGGGTCTGCAGGACAGTGACCCTCTTCTCACAGCTGCACTAGGCAGTGTCCACGTGGGGATTCTGTGTGGGAACTCCAACCCCACATTTCCCTGCAGCACTGTGCTAGTAGAGGTTCTCCATTAGGGCTCTGTTTCTGTTCTGCCTGAACATCAATGCATTTCCATACATCCTCTGAAATCTAGGCAGAGGCTCCCAAGGCTCAACTCTTGCCTTCTCTGCACTCACAGGCCAACACCACATGGAAGCTGCCAATGCTTGGGGCTTACACCCTCTGAAGCAACAGCCCAAGCTATATATTGGCCCCTTTTAGCCACAGCTGGAATTGGATCAGCTGGGACACATGGCACCATGTCCCCAGGCTGCAGAGGGCAGTGAGACTTTCAGTCCCACAAAGCATTTTTCCCTCCTAGGCCTCTGGCCCTGTGATGGGAGGGGCTGCCACGGAGGTCTCTGAAATGCCCTAAAGGCATTTTCCCCATTTTCTTGGCTATTAACGTTTGGCTCTTCATTACTTATGCCAATTTCTGTAGTCTTGAATTCCTCCCCAGAAAATGAGTTTTTCTTTTCTACCACATAATTGGGCTGCAAATTTTCCAAATTTTTATGCTCTGCTTCCCTTTTAAATATAAGTTTTAGTTTCAGGTCATTTATTTGCTTATAAAAATGAACATAGGCTTTTAGATGCAGCCAGGCCTCATATTGAATGCTATGCTGCTTAGAAATTCTTCCATCAGCTACCCTAAATCATCTCTGTCAAGTTCAAAGTTCCACAGATCTCTAGAGCAGGGGTAAAATGCCACCAGTCTCTTTGCTAAGGCATAGCAAGAGTCACCAGTTCCTAATAAGTTCCTCATCTTTATCTGAAACCACCTCAGTCTAGACTTTACTGTCCATGTCACTATCAGCATTTTGGTCACAACCATTCAACAAGTCTCTAAGAAGTTACAAACTTTCCCTCATCTTTATGTCTTCTTCTGAGCCCTCCAAAACTGTTCCCACCTTTGCCCATTAACCAGTTCCAAAGTTGATTCCACATTTTCATTTCCTTCCACTTTCATTCCACCTTTATAGGTGAGATGAAGATAAAGGTACTTTATAGGAATGTCCCCCTCCTGGTACTAATTTTCTGTATCAATTCATTCTCACACTGCTATAAAGAACTACCTGAGACTGGGTAATTTATGAAGAAAAGGTTTAACTGACTCAGAGTTTTGCAGGCTGTACAGGAAGCATGATTGGGGAGGCCTCAGGAAACTTACAATCATGGCTGAAGGGCAAAGGGGAAGCAAGCACCTTCTCCACATAGCAGAGTGGGAGTGAGAGTGTGAAGGGGGAGTGCTACACATTTTTAAACAACCACATCTCGTGAGAATTCCCCATCATAAGAACAGCAAGGGGGAAACCTGCCCCCCATGATCCAATCACCTCCCAACAGGTCCTTCCCACTATATTGGAAATTACAATTTGACATGAGATTTGGGTGGGGACAGAGAACCAAATCATGTCATTGTACAATTTCAACAAGTATTCAATTAGATTGAAAGATTTTGCTGTTCCAAATAAACGTTATATATATAACTCATTTATGTCTTCTGTGTAGGTAAACATGAGAAAAAAGAAAATTGTTTGATACTCAATGTTTAATTGATGTTTCTTCTAAGTTTTCAACTCAAGTCACATTGGAGGTCCCACATTTTTTCACTCTGCTATACGGTGTCACTAAATGCTAATAGGGCAATTCCATGGGGATATATTTACAAAGTCCACTATTTTTGCTATAGAGTTTATCCTGATTTATGAATGAGAACTCTTCTTGTGGCAAAAACAAGACTTAAATGAACTTAAAAGAGAAAGGGGAGTTATTTTTTTTTAAAATCATGGTATGTTGCTTTCATCTTCAGTGTCTGAACAATCAATTGTCTGAGGGCTGGATTTGGTGCACATAAGAGACAATAGACATGGGGTCAAATGCCAAAAGGAGAGTCTCATGCTGTCTCTTGCATGTTCTTTTAGCTCACCTCGGCTTGATTTTCTCTAAATACAGAGTAGTTTTCTTCACATGGCAGTGGACATGGCTGTCAATAGTTCTCAAGATCCATAGCTTACAGTTTTCCTCACCAAGAGGAATTATCCATTTTTGAAGTTCCAGGAGAGAAGCAAGAAAGGACAGAACACGTCTGTTTCCTTTAAAGCCATTACCTGAAAACTCCACAAATCACTAATCCTTAAATGCTACCAGTCAGAATTTTGACTCATGGCCAAACTTAGCTACAAGAAACACTGAAAAATTTGCCTTAACCAAGGCAGCCATGTATCCACATAAATTTTAAGAAATCTATTAAAGAATAATATGAATATAAAAGGACAACTAAAATTCCACAATTATGGCAATGAAGATATGATAAGAATTTAACTCAAGCATTAATAGGTGGATGTAACTGAGTTACAAAGGGGAACCAAAAGAAAGGTGCTTCCCAAAATAAGACAGAAGGCTTTAGAACAGGGGTCCCCAATCCCATGTTCTAAAGACCCACCAGTACCAGTTTGTGCCTGTTAGGAACCAGGCCACACAGCAGGAGGTGAGTGATGGGCAAGTGTGTGATGCTTCATCTGTATTTACAGCTGCTCCCCATTGTTCGCATTACTGCTTAAGCCCCGCCTCCTGTCAAATCAGCAGTGGCATTAGATTCTCATAGGAATTCAAACCGTATTGTGAACTGCACATACAAGGGATCAAGGTTGCTCACTCATTATGAGAATTTAATGCCTGATGATCTGTCACTGTCTCCCATCATCCCCAGATGGGACCGTCTAATTGCAGGAAAACAAGCTCAAGGCTCCCACTGATTCTACATTATAGTGAGTTGTATAATTATTTCATTATATATTACAATGTAATAGTAATAGTGATAAAGTGCATAATAAATGTAATGCACTTGAATCATCTTGAGACCATCCCCCCAACCCACCCCAGTCTGTTGAAAAATTGTCTTCCATCAAACCAGTCCCTGATGCCAAAAAGGTTGGGGATGTCTACTTTAGAAGACATGCTTTAAAAAAATTCCTTTTTATAGCTGAATAGTACTCCATTGTGTATAAGTACTACATTTTCTTTATTCATGGATTAAAATGAAGGTCATTATGCTAAGTGAAATAAGCTAGGCACATAAAACAAACATCGCATGTTCTCACTTATTTATGGGGTCTAAAAATCAAAACAGTTGAACTCATGGAGATAGAGAGTAGAAGGATGGTTACCAGAGACTGGGAAGGATAGTGAAGCATGAGTGGGAGAGGTGGGGATGGTTAATGGGTATAAAAATTAGTTGGAAAGAATAAGACCTAGTATTTGATAGCACAACAAGGTGATTTTAGTCAATAACAATTTAGCTGTACATTTAAAAATAATAAAAGAGAATAACTGGATTGTTTGTACCAAAAAAGATAAATGCTTGAGGTGATGAATACCCCATTTTCCATAATGCAATTATTACCCATTGCACGCCTATATCAAAACATCCCATGTAACCCATAAATATATACATCTACTATGTACTCACAAAAATTAAAAAAAAAAGTTTTTAAAAACCTCATTACTGCAAATAAGTCTTTTACTTTCAAATTATTTTTTACAACATTTTTAGCTGGCTAATAAAATTAAGGTCAAAGCAGCTTAGTTTTGGTTTCCTCCATTGTATTATGGTAGTTTTATTTAAAAGGTTAATGAGTGAGTGTGCTTGTCAGGAAACTCAGGAACCTATTTGCTTTCAGATGGAATATTGCTTCCTTGATAATAACACCTGAACTTCTGAAAGCTTCTGATTAAGAGATTAAAAAGAATGTGCTAGACCCTGCCAGTTGAGTCACTACTCACTAGATGAAAAAGTAGGACATCAGACTCACAGAGTAATTTTCTCCAACAAGTGTTAAATGGTACTTCAGTGAAGCCGTGCTGACTCCCTCATTCTAAGTACCTATTTAAGACCTTGGAGCAGTTGAATCACGCAGTAGAGCCTGATCCAATCCACTTTTCAATTGCTCCCCTCATTCCATATAAAAAGCAAAAACAATTAAACCTCTTTCAAGCACCCAAATCAGAGACACCCCCAAAATATTGTCAGCACCTGATGTAGTGCCTATGGCGTTCTCTAATGGAGATCTATTATGTGCACCTAAATATCTTTCACATTTTAAATCTGATGAGTAATCCTTTGTATCACCTCCTGCCAAAATATCTATTGTATATTTTAACTAGGAGAGGATGGCTGCCATGTAGCTAAATTGGAAGTATGGATATTTTTAGTGCTTGGTGAAAAAACTTACATAAAGAGCAACTCTATTCACCCTATTGGGATCGTCTTATGTAAAAGGCCTGGCACGAGTGCAAGGTATTATTATGACTATAAAAGCGCCTCAATCTGTAATCATAGGAAAGGCAATATTATAGAGAAATACCATGCAGTTGCATGGCAACTGAATCCTGGTGGAGTTAGCTGCCACGCAGTGGAGTTATTACGAGTGCTTCGATGCAGCCCAGCCAAAAGAGCACCCAGACCACAAGCAGGTAAACACCTACCTGTTGCCTGAGGACATTTTCTCCTCCACCCTGGTAGTCAAATGAAATTGAAGATGAAGATGTGGGTTTGCTTCCCGATGCAGAGCCTGAATACCAGTTAAGGTTGTTTTGTTTGACAAATGTCTAGCACCTTGGTTTATTGTGTAAGAAAGAAAAGACATGCACATCACAGTGTCAGCAACAATGGGAAATCCACGACAAGAGCTTGTGCCAAATTCAGATGGTTCTAGAAATGTAAATGTACCTTGCTGTCTTCCAAAATGGGTGTAATAGCTCAAGGTCTTCTCTTGTTAAAAAATAAAAATGTAAGTGCTTGATATTGGGTCGTTGTTATGTTTTACCTTCCAGTATTCCTTCTTTTTGCAATGAATAGCAATTTCAGCTTCTTTTGAGAACTACACTTTCCTCACTGTCAATCATGCAGTTTCGGTGAATCTCATCTGTGGCAGGGATAGGCAGGTGATCCAGACGTGACCCATTCCCCTATTTCATTTACCTGATAACACTGAAATTGGGTCAGGGTTGGGCATAAAGCAAAGCCAGGTGAATGAGACCCATTCTGGGGCTTCTGATGGAAGTTTTCTAAAAGAAGTGCTCTCTTTCTGCTGGGCAGTCTTAGTCGGCCAGAGGTTCCCCAGGAGTGGCTGGCGGCCACCTTGCCTCCTATGGACATGCTTTGCTAACTTACCCAAAGTGAAGACAGCTCTGAGGAATGCAGGGCCAAGAGATGCAGGAGACAGCTGGTTAACTGCATCATTCCAACACCTGCATCCTGCTGGGACAAAAATCCTACCCCCAAACTTTGGCAATAGGTGATTTATTTGTCTTTTAAATTTAAGCTATTTTGAATTAGGTTTCTGCCCTTTGCAAGAAGACAGGTTCCTACCAATATTCAGCACGAACTTGAACTTTGGAGTTTACATCTGCTCTCTACCACTTACTAACTGTGTGAGCTGGGCAAGCTACATACTTTCTCTGGGCTGCAGAATCTTTGTTTTTAAAATGAGCCTAATAATGGTACCTTGTTTGTATTAAATGAGACAGTGCATGTGAAGAACTTAGCCACGTTCCTGGAATGAAAGATGAGCTCAGTAAGTGGTATTTATTATTTGTTAAAGATTTACAAGGGTATTTGTATGAGTTGAGCGGAGTATGTGATTTGCAGAGAACATGACCCTTTCAGGGATATCCTCCATCACTCATATACTACTCTCTGGGCCCCTAGTTCTTGAATTTCATTTAACCCAAGAAACACTAGTGAGCCTTTAATAGGTTCAACAAATTCCTCTTACACCAAGGTCCTTGGAGCACTGCAAGAGAGTAGTATTGGCCACTACTATTCAAGCAACTTGTGGATTTACATCTTTGTCCTATGATTGAGGGAACCCTCCCTGGGTCTTGTTCCCTCAAAGCACACTTTCCTCTCTTCTCTCTTAGAAAACTGATAGACTCTTAAGCCTTCAAAGCCATGCTGGGAAGTCCTCTGCATAAAGATTTTGCTCTGCCATGCAAAATTTCTCTGTAGTGATAAAACACCATGTACAGGAATACATCATTGGAAGGAGAATGTGATAAAAGAAAAAATACAGAAAGCACAAAATGAAATTAATATCCCAATATATCGTTCCTACCAAATAGTTAATACTCAGTGAGTTGTCACAACACCCCCTGTGCTAAGCAGAAATCCCCACCCTGCTTATATCAGTAACTTTTTCATGGCACCTGTAGGCCAAAAGAAATACCTAACAATACTATTTATTAAATGGTTAGGTCCAAATACCTAAATAACTACATTGTAATAACCTAGTATCAATTTGAAAAATACATTAATATTGAACAAAAATATTTTTATTTCATTTAAAAAATATCCACAGTGATTTACTAAAATCTGTGCACACGTATCAGATGTCGCACAATTTCTCAAAACGCAAAACCAGTTTGGGCATTGCCAACCTCATTTCCTGTTCCTCGTTGACTTTTGCATGACACTTACTTTTTATCACAACCACTATCAAAACCCAGCTTCACAAAGATATGACAGCATCAAAAATAATGTTGTGCAACCTTACATTTAAACTCAAAATATCTCTGCTATGAGTTTGCTGCTAGCACTCAGGGGCACCTGGGCACAGTTTGGGGACTGTGATGCAAAAACATTTCCAAGTGTTACCTTATGTTATGCACACAACAGTCTTGTGAGGAGAGGGACTTTAATCAGGTTTCAAAGATAAAGAAACCAGACCAGATTTTTCGGTATAATAACTTGTTTAAAGTTACTAAATATGGGAAGGCAGGTACTACTCAGGGACTCCAAAGTCCCTGCCTTCAACTATTACTCTCTTTTGTCTAAAGTAGGAAAAAAAATGTATCTATGTTTTTCATACTGTTGTTAATTTCACTCCTTAATTTATACAGTCACACATAAAACATCTCATAAACACTAACTTTGTGCTCACTGCCAAGCTTGGGTCTGAAAATTCAGAATGAGTAAGAACTCAGAAAGCAGAGGGGACAAATAAGGACAATAAACGTTTGTAAAGGTGCTGTCACAGAGTATAGAGGGTACCGTGGGGATCCACAGTCATAAAAGCTTCATTGAGCATCTGATGCCTCAGGAGAAGTTGAGATGATTAAGCAGCATCAAGGTACCACCACATTGTTCAAAAAATGTCATCTCCAGCAGAAGCAGTAACATACACAAACTGCCAAAGACCATAAACCATCTGAGAAAAGGGGGGTGCAGAATGTTATGGAGGCAGGAAGGATGAGGCATATCTAGATATGGGGCTGAAAAATAAGGGAGGGGTCAGATTATCAGCATTTTCCCAGGAATAATCCAGTACATCAGTGTTTCTCCAAAAAGTGACATTGATGCTGGAAAGTTGATTCTTAAAAAATGGATCCCCATAAGTGTTGAAGAACCACTCTTGGGTTTCAAAATGAACAGAAGCATTACAAAAGCTTTGAGAATATCTGCTGCTTCAATAAAAAACAACTAAACAACAGTAACAAAAAGCTTTTTTCTGAGTGTTTCTAGTCCTTGGAAATAGTGCACTCTAGGAGCCACTGCTTGTGGCAACAGGGAGCTTTGCCTTCTCACTCACCTCTGACAATGACAATTCTTTAAACTGTTTCAGATAAATCTGTTTTTCTTTAAAAAATGCGTATGCATTTTTTATTTCAGATGTTGGGAGGAGATGATAGGTTGATACAAGGATGATGATTATAATCCAAGTGGTCCAGTGTCTATGCCCTCCAGCCCAGGGATGCAAGTAACTGCCAGAAATTTTAGGTATAACAATGAGTTTGCAACCTGAGCAGCTCTGATTTGGTGTTCTGAAGAGAAGCCTGTGTGACTTCAGTTACAAGTTCTATCAAAGAAGCAGAGCCCTGTAGACAGGGTGGAGCTGAAATAAATACGTATGCCAAAATCCCCTTCAAGGGGAGAGCAAGGTTGTCTCTACTCAAGGGTGGAATTGGCTCTGTTACAATTCAAACATATCATAAAAATGCTTAATGATGCATGTTCACTAGGCTTGCCCATCAAAGTCCCTGCGTGCCTGATCTTACAATTGCGACGCTAATGGATCAGAGTTTGGAGGGAGATTTATTACCAAATTAATGGGGAAGTGGCCATATACCAATAATGGTTATAATATATTGAGCATTTATAATATGCTAAGACCTGTATGAAATGTTTTACATGCCTCTGCTCAAATATCAAACAACTCTGAAGAGCAGATATAAGCGGTTCTAATTTTACTGACAGGGAAGTGAATTGTAAAAGCATCATGCCATGATGTTAGCAGCTGTAGCAGGATGGGAATATAAATATGAAGAAGCCCAAATCCGTGGTCTTCATTGCTTTTTCCATTTTTTTTAACAAACAGATTACAATAAAGCCATTTCCAAAAATGTGTGCTTTATTTTGTGTAATGACACCAAGAGATTTCAGCATTCAGGTCCCAAGGAAGCTTGGCTGTTTGAAGCTTTGTTTCAGGCATCCGGATCCCTGCCTCAGTTAAGAGGAGAGAGAGGAGAGTACCTGACTGATCTTTCTCATGTTGTTTCCTGACAACCTCTGGGATCTGATCCAACAAGGGCGGATGTGATCGGAAGCTCTGCATATCAATAATCCCTTCATTAAAGGTTTTAGACACCTGACTTCACTGAAATGCTTCACCACACTTGTGTGTGAAAAGATCCCTGGGGTCTTCTGCATGGTGAAAGTACAGTTAGCAAGCAGGTCTAACCTGTATTTCTTGATCAGACTCTTCTGGTTATCGGTATACTAAGATATTTTAAAAGGAAAAGGAAAAGAAACACAACCACTTAACAAAGAATATGCATGTTAAGATTTTGGTCACCATTTTGAAGGGAGCATTAGGAAAAAAAAGTAGATTTGTAAGTCATTCCTGACTTTATTTGTGTATCAACACAATTCTGAAATTGTCACAAACATGGAAAAGATTTGGAGTCTTGATTTACCTTTAAAATTAAAAAGAAAAAGAACCTTCTGTATTATACCACTCATCAGCAGGGCTATACTTAAAGTTCTGTCAGTGTTTTCATTAGCCTTTTTCCCTGGCAGCCATTGACAGCTATATTCTTCCTAACTAAGATAAAACAACACTCCAATGCATCTGTAGTGTGCAGCAAAATCCTCCCCATAAGGCTGAAGATAGGGAAATTCCAAACTACCCAGTGAATACATAGATATAAGGCACATCAAGCAGGTATAAACCAGTCATAAACAAATATAATAAATAAAAATAATTGTATTTAATAATTAAATGTTTTCTTGATTCTAAGGGTCTCTACCTGTCATAGATAGGGTTATTATTCAGCAAATATTTAGGCCCCATACTTCCTTTGAATGTGATTTACCTTGACCTTTGGACAGTGAGTAGATGTGATGCTAGCAGAGATTTCAAATGTGCACCCATGATTCCTGTTGTCTTCCTGTACTGCTAAGATGCACATAAGAAAAGCATACTCTGGTAGCCACTACCTCTTCTCCTGTGGGACAGAATCATCCCAAACAAGCCAGCCAAACTGCCTGCAGCCTTCTGAAATGACACCTTTCACTGTGACTCCTGACTCATGAGTGAGAAAAAATAGATGCACGCTGCTGTATTTTGATATGGTTTGTTAGACTGAATTATTGCAGCCTAACATCCCACCTCACTCCACCTCCAGGGATGTCTAATGACAATTTATTCTAGACAACTCTGGCAAACTGTACAGGATCAAGTAATTTTAGAGGTCAAATTAAGCTATTCTTTCTGTCTCTAGCCAGTACGAAATTCCCACTTTAAAGCTCCCTCTCCATTAGCAAAAATGTTATTCTGTTTCTATTGCCCAGCTTTTAATTTCACAAAACTTGCCTAGAGCCCTTAACCAGCTGGTAAAAGAAGGACTACACCATTTGTTTAAGAGATTGTCAGCACACAAATGCACAGAGGGTTTGTATTTGATTCCATATTTCCACCTTCTTCTTTCTCTATTTTCACCATTGGAGTCCTCATAGCCGTGGGCTCTCTGATGCTGGCTGGTCCAGCTACTCATGTCTTAGTGGTGACTCTCTCATTCATGTTATTTTCTACTTTTATGTTTTGATAAATGAGAGGGTCTTGGATACTTAAATAGATTTATGCACAGATTCTCACATAGCTGAGAGTGTGGCAGCCTGGCCACTTGTCCAAAGACCATCCCACAGCCTCTGCTGGTGGGGTTATTTCATCAGCCTCTTTGGGGAGATAGCAAAATATAACATACTCCCAAATTACATCCATGGTCTACCTTCAAGCCTACAGGGAAACTAGGAACACCTCCAATGGAGAGACGTCTTTGCCCTCTCCTGCCCAACCCTGCCACTTGGACACTGCTCTTTCCCTAATACAAGAGCAGAGCTTTCATGAGATTCTCAACCAAAACCTTCTGTCAGATTTCTCAGATTTACCCGAATTTATTTCTTACCCTTTGCTATCACAGGCAAGAAATTTGAACAAGTAGGATTCCAGCTGGGTTAATGCAGGAGAGAGTAATTTACTCACTGCCAAAGCAAAGATCAAACAATCAAGTTTCTTTCATTGCAGCTTGGTATGAATCTGGGGAGTGAGATAACAAGTATAAATTTCAGGGAGTAGAAGAAAGGATTTATAGTTACCCATTAGAGAAGTTACTGTTTATGCTCTCTGCTGTTTTTGATGTCAGGTAGTCAAAGAAGTAGAGAAAAGAAAACAGAAATCAATATCTTATATTTCAAGTCATTGCGGTCATTGTTTGAAAATCATGTCAATGATGTAATTTTTCTTTTAAGCAAATGCATTAAAGAATACATTTGATTGATAATTTGGATTTGAG
Source organism: Homo sapiens (assembly GCF_000001405.40). NCBI lineage: Eukaryota > Metazoa > Chordata > Mammalia > Primates > Hominidae > Homo > Homo sapiens. The sequence goes on along the minus strand of NC_000002.12, from coordinate 225,373,520 downwards.
CAGTTGGATGATTGTCTACAGAATGTAAGCTCCCTGAGTACAGGGACTTCATTTTGCTCACTGCAGGGAACAAGAGTGCTATGTGCTTAAAAAAAAAAAAAAAAAAAAAAAAAAGTAGTAGTTGAGTGAATTGATATAAATAGCCTGAAGAATTTTTTCACCATATGACTTTGACTTTAAATTATCTGACAAATTTTGGATCAACTTGAAGAAGATAGGCTAGCTATTATGTTTCCCCCTCTGCCCCCCGTCCCCCACCCTCGATTTCAATTTCTTTTTCATCTATCCTACAGGTTCTTCTCTTTATTAGGGAAACGTCAAACATCGCACATACATTACTCTTTGTTATTCAAATCCCCACATTATTTTCTTTAAGCCTAGGGCTAAGTATCATTAAAAATTAACCTGTTCATTATATTTAATAGTTTTTATTCACTAAAAGTAAAGAACCCACTTTCAGTAACAAAACCTTTCAGTAACTTTCAGTAACAAAACCCACAGTGTTTTCTTAACCAAGAAAACACTGAACTAGTTTGAATAGAGTAGTTGTAGTTTTCCTAAAACACACCACACACACATACACACATGTGCATGTGTATATATATATATATAAAATAATATATTATATATATAATAGGACACATATCCTTTGGGTATTGTTTCTCTGGAAAACCTTAAGTAATATGTACTCCTAAGGCAGTTTTAATTGGTCAAATCTGCCTAAGCACAAACATTCAAACATGTCAGTGGACAGCAGGGCCCTTTGGACATCTATTATCATCCCACATCAACATCATAAACATTCTGTAATCTGTGCTGTTTAATGTGGTAGCCACTAGCCTGGTGTGGCTATTTTTATTTATATTAGAATTCATTAAAATTAACGAACAGTATAAATTCAGTCCCTCAATCACACTAGCCAAATTTAAGTGTTCAGCAGCCACATGTGGCCAGTGGCTACCACATTGGACAGCACAAATGTAAAACATTTCTTTAATGGAAGAATATTCTTTTGGATTGCACTGGCCTATACAATGCTGAGTTCTTATTCCATTGGCCCATAATTGCAGAGCCCTCTTGTATCCCTTTATTTCACTGCAAAGTTTCTAGCGCAGTAGAAACAAATAGTGTATAGTCAAAACTATTCCTGAAAATGCATCAAGGATATTGGTATTTTGCACATAAAACCTTGTACCAATATGTAAAAGTGTATAAGGTATGTATAAGTGTATTTATATTTAAATACAAATATATGAAAATATATATATGTGCATATATAACATAGTGTTTAACTATTTCATTTATTCTCTAATAATCCCTCCCTCTGACAGGTGGAGCATTCCTGAATTTACATCAGTATAAAAGTGAAACTCCTCTGTTTCTGTCTAGGTTTCAGGTACACAAAGGCTCTCTTACATTGTGCTAGTATATTTCCAAATCTGGCTCTGGAAATTCAAGATCTGAGTGTGCCCATTTCACTGCCAATAGTATGGCAGTACCAGGGACAGGAATTGGTTCATCAATTAACATTATCAGAATGACTACCTCTCCACTGGTAGTAAATGGGTGCCTTCCTCAACCTGCAAGGACTAGTATGTGAGAAGTAGGGAGGAATTTGGGTAGGAGAACAGTGTGGGGGAGTCATTATTGGGTTAGGCAAGATCAAAGGTAGGCCTTGAAGAGAACATATAACATGGTCAGGTGGAGAGGAACAGGTAAGATACTTCAATCAGAACTACTGAAATGATCTACGGCACAAAGGTGAAAATTGGCACAGCCACTCATGAGAAAGAGAAGACCAGACCTGTCCAATTTCATATCCAGCCATTACCAATTATGCCTCTTATGCTTCAGTCACATCTGAACTATCTCTTATTCCTCAACATACCATTTTTATGTTCTCTCTCTCCCTCCCAATCTTTTGCATCTGCTATCTCTAGAACACCCCGAAAATCTTTCTCCACCAAGGAAATTCTTAGCTCCTCTCATCTCCCTGTCATCTTCACCTCTACAGAGCTTTGTCTGACTCTTCTAGGCAGTCACACACCGATTCCTCCACACTCTCACAGTACATTGTTTATCTGCTATCCTTTTCCCATTGCATGTTTGTGTGTCTGTCTTCTCACTAAATTCTGAACTGCAGGGGGCATGTCCATGTCTTATTAAACCTTGTGTTCTCAAGGCCAAAACAATGCCAAGGACACCGTATGTGTTTACCCCACTTAAGAAGAATCAATGGTTGAGAGATGGATAAGAAAGAGTGGCTCAATAGCTCCAGCCAGTTATTATTGAAGTCTGCATGGATTTAGTGAAAGTGCTACTATGGATATTAGAAACCTCTCAAATCTGTCAATATTTCTGGATTACTCAGAATATTTTGTTTTCAAGTAACAAAAATCCAACTCAAAGTGGTATAATCAATGGAAGAAAATCTTTGGTCTGGCTGATAAGCCTCAGCACAGCTGGATCTAGGACAGTAGCGTCAGGTGTCAATCACTTTCCAGCTCTCAGCTGTGCTCTCTTATCTGTTGGATTTGTGTTGGACAGTCCTTGCAATGTAGTGATCTGGCAGCTCCATGATGACAAGTTACTGTCCCACCAACCTTCCTAGAAAGAGATCTCCCATTTCTCTACTGTGCTAGGAGAATTCCAGGTGAGCCTATCTTTGTACCACTGGAGGTGGTACTTCTCTGGAGGATGTGATGTGGAGTGCAGAGGAGGTGATACTGTGATTATCCCGACTTAGGTCACATGATGATTCCTGGAGCCAAGACTGGCATTAGCCTTGCTGTATCCACAGTGACTGAGAAGTCAGCAGTGGTAATCCAAAGGAAACCTGAGGTATTCTTATTAAAGAGGGAGGCTATACACTGGGCAGACCAAAACAAATGTGTCTCCTATGGTTCCTTTTCAATGTAATTATCTTCCTGCTACAATATGAAAAAAACAGTTCATTATGTGTCTTTATTTTCTTTGTGGTAGAAACTATTACACCAATGCTTTTCTTATTACTGTCTCCAAACCTACAAGTGGCTATTTCAAATAACAGAGGGAAAACAAATGTTACATGTTGATTTGTTCTTTGAATCTCCTACCGGTCATCATCATGTATTATAATCAACCTCTTCCCAACTCTAATCTGCTATTGCTAGCTATTAGCCAAGTGATTCAGGTTCAGATTGGTTCACTCGTTTGTTCTCTCAGTGGCAGAAGAATGAGCCGATAGAACATTTTTTTTCTCTCTTTTTTCTGATAATGCTCATAGGATTCCATCTAAACTGGTGTTCCTTCACTGCAGGAGGTGCTAAATGCTTTTAGGTGGCGTGGCATTAAACAGCGTCAATCCACATGGTGAAAAAGTTAATCTTCCTTACATTCTCTAAATCTCCTTCTAATTATAGAGCCAAGAAAATCTGAGTTTTGATTCCAGTCTTGTTTTTTCGTATTTCCTTTTTACTGCATAGAGTCAGCTTTACTCAGATTTTTTAGTGGGTGCCAGTACATGGATAAAAGTCCATAATATTTTGTGGCTTTTTTTTTTCTAATCTTCAGTTGTACCATTAACATCTATGTATCCCAAACAATGGAAGTTTCCATTTAAAGCAGTGTGGAAAAAACAACCTTATCTACATTTATATAGGTAAAAGAAAGTAGTCAACCTTTGCTAAAATATTAAATCCATAGACATACAGATGATATGTTATAATGCTAAAGTAGGCATAATTTCGAATGAGTATAGTTTTGGCAGTGCTAGGAAGCTAAAATGTGACCCAATTTAGTGCCTTCAATGGGCCACTTTTGTTTATACAAGTCGGGATTCAGTAATGGAAGTTTTCTTTTTAAGTTTCTAAATTGTTAAAAAATGTGTTTAAATATACAGTGAATAAGAATGATTATATTAAGTAATATTTTGGGGATGTGAATTTTAACACAAGATGTAGTTTTATTTAATTAGCAGACAAGTGGGGTCTTTGAGGGTAGCTGGTTTTACATCAGTTACTGCAATGCAAGGAGGAAGCATCACGCCAAGGGTCCTTCATGTCAGGGCAATATGGAGAGTAATCACATTTTACTAGTTTCAAAATAACCACACAAGACAACCTCTGTGGTGCTGAAACAAGGGGCCCATGGAATTGTAGATTTGCTCTAAGAGAAGGTATTCAATCACAACTGTCATCGATTAGCCACAGTTTAGGGGTAACAGATGTCATCCTCTTCCTGTGCAGGAAACAAAGTGTTAACCTTAAGAAGTTACTTCAACCAACAGTAGAAGCAATCCTACCTGGGAACATCAGAATAGATAATGACATATGAAGCACAGGTTTTCCTGAACCAAAAACAGCAAAAAAAGAATTAAACAAATGATGAATCAATAGTTACATATTATGTTCCCTTATAGCATTTCAGTAATATTTTGGCTCCACTAAGACTAGGGGGTAAGTGCAGTTCAAGAGCAAAAGTACTGGTGTCACAATCTGAGCCTATTCTTCCTTGAATGCTAGAACATGTCTATTAGCTTCAAATGGACACAGAAAATGGGTTTCCTAATGAAAGTTTCCTTCAAATTTACTCATGGTCATTAAAAAAGACATTTGTTTTCTTATTGCCCCTAATTTCCCTAGCAGGCTAAAGAAGTAAAAGTTAAAGACTAATAACAAAAATAACCTTGGTAATTGTTACACTGAAGTAAAGAAACAATAGAGAGGAAATAAGGGAAAACAATAGAGAGGAAATAAGGGAAAACAATATTTCCCCCAGTCTGGGGCATAGTTAAATAGCAAATACACTCTTTCAAACATTAGCTGAAACAAACAAATTATTTCCTACTGCATCATTCTAGATTTTAACAGCATCTGTTTTAGCTTTAGGTGCAATATTATGAAGCTCAAAAACTCAAGCAATTCTTGTGGAATTAATACATTTCAGCATTCAGGGTCTTTAAACACAAGTTGTTCAGTATAAAATTGCTTTTTAAAATGGTGCAAAACATAGGCTACATATTGAAGCTACATATTGAAAAGACAAGGTGTATGGTTTCCATTAAATATGTAACATTATAATAGTAATTCTATAAACAATCATAACATAACATTTGAAGAAAAAGGCCCATATCTTATTTCCACTGGATTTTTTAGATTTTAGATTTAATGTAAAATGAAAATAGCATTTTCAGTGTAAATTGATTAAGAGTACATCCTGTAAATCTCTGTGAGTTATAGCTGTGCCCCAGTGAAGTCCATATAAATTGAACTCTTTTAAAAAGGCATTCAAACATTAGCAAGTTAAATATGCCCTGTGAAGGTAAATAAAAACTGAGGGAAACTGGATAAATAAAACAGACATGAAAAAAGTCATGTATTGGGAAAAATACGTCTTGGTTCTTTTCAAGGGAGAAGAATACTAATATGCATACACATTGCAAATTGTCAAAAGCAAACTTATGGTGGGTACAATAAAATCAAAAAGATAAGAAATACATATATACAAAATTTGGTTTAAAACAGAAAAAGAGTTGTTTTTTGTTTTTGTGTTTGTTTTCGTTTTGTTGTTGTTCTTTGTCACCAGCAAATAATGCTTCCTATGCTTTGTAAAATAGATTGGTGCCTGGTAAAAAATTACACTATCCAGGAATATTTTACTCAAGACTATTGCAATAGGGGAGAGATACTGAAATTGACTCCATTGAAACAAAGGCAAGAGAGATTTTAAGCAGTGAGGTGAGCTTGTGAAATGGTGCTGAAAGATGGAAGACATTTGAGGGGAGGGTCTTGGTCACTGAGATCAGGCCCTCTGTGTTTGCTAAGGGCCCAGCGAGGTCCCTAACTTCCTGCAAAGCCTGAAAGACAGGAGCACTGCCTTTCTTGATGATTATCTTTCAAAGAGATGGCTCTCAGGTCCTTGAGAAAGACATTCCTGGTTTGTAAAACTGGCAAGAGTCTGGGAGAAGGTTCATATTTCAAAGGAGCAAAGTGTGCAACTGCAAGTTTTCTAAAGTAAACCCTCTTAAGAAAAGGGAAGTTAAGAGTCTAAGGACAAGAAGAAATCTGTCTTAAGTTTAGTCAAGTTGAGGGGAATGTTAAGGCCCTCCTGGTCAACATACACACACACACACACACACGCACACACACACATATAAGTATACAAATAAAAGGATGATGCAGCCTACATAAATACATTTTCTTCCAGAATTTTTCTGATAAATATTCAAATATTGTTGATAAAAATTAAATACCCATTCTAGATTTAATAAAGAAAATCAAACAAAAAAGCACTGAATAAAATAGTAGAATTCTTCTTTCACATTTTAAAATATCTATCTTAAATCAATAATCAACATTCTTTAATAGTTCAACTGGAAATATTTCCAATAAAATCAGGAGCAAGATAATGATATCCACCAACACCACTATTTATCTTTTCCTTATAGTTCCAGATCAGTGGTTTTAAAGAGGTGGTCCATGAACCAGCCATACCAGCATCCTCTGGGAGTTATTAGAAATGCAAATTCTTAAGCCCCACCTGATTCCTATTGAATTGTAAACTCCAGAAAGTAGCACAGAGCAGCAATCAGAATTTTTAAAAGTCTGTCAGATGACTCTAATGCATACTGAAGTTAGTTCTTGGCAATATTCCATACCACATTCCAGACAATATTCAACAGGCAAAATTTTTCTGCAAAGGACCAAATAGTAAATATTTTATGCTCTGTATCCTTGTTGTCTCTGTTACAACTCTGCCAATATAGTGCTAACAGAGACAATTTTTAAAGAATGGGTGAGGTTTTGTTCCAATAAAACTTTATTTTAAAAAATAGATTGAGTAAAATGGTCAATAAGCACATGAAAAGATGTTCAATGTCATTAATTATTAGGGAAACGCAAATCACAACTATGAGATACCACCCACACCCATTACAATGCAATGGCTACTACCAAAAAAAAAAAAAAAAAAAAGCCAGAAAATAAGTGTTGGTGAGGATGTGGAGTTATTGGAACTCTTGTGCACTGTTGATGGTAATGTAAAATGGTACAGCCACTGTGAAAAACAGTATGGAGGTTCCTCAAAAAGTTAAAAATACAATTACCATATGATCCAGTAATTCTGGGTATATACTCCAAAGAATTAAAAGCAGGGTCTTGAAGAAGCATTTTTGTACAACCATGTTCATAACAATTACTTACAATTGCTAAGACATGGTAGTAACCAAAATGTCCAATGACAGATGAGTGGATAAGCAAAATGTATTATTCAGTCTTAAAAAAGAAGGAAATTCTGACATATGCTGCAATATGGATGAACATTGAGGACATTATACTCTGAAGTAAGCCAGTCACGAAAAGACAAATACCATGTGATTCTATTTATATGAGGAATTTGACTTATATGATGATTTTGAGTACTCTAAGTAGTATGATTTTGACTACTTAGAGTACTCAAAATCATGGAGACAGAAAGAAGAACGATGATTTCCAGGGGTTTAGGGGGAAGGGAGAATGGAGTGTTTTGAATAGGTACAGAGTTTCAGCTTGGAAAGTTGAAAAGTTCTGGAGATGGATGGTGGTGATGGTTGCATTACAATGTGAATGTACCTAATGCCACAGAACTGTAAAAGTTAAGAGATTTAAGATGGCAAATTTTATGTTTTGTGTGTGTGTGTATATATATATATATATATATATATATATATATATGTATATATATATATGTATATATATATAATCATAACTTTTTAATCCAGAAAAAAACTCACTCAATATATTTAATACCATTAAACTGTGCACTTAAAAAATGGTTAAGATGGTAAATTTTATGTCATGTTTATTTTTATGTGTACTACAATCTTAAACAATGTAAAAACAGATTGATGGCTGAATTTGGTCCTCAAGCAGTAGTAGCCTGCCCTACATTTTTTCTAGAAGCCAGAATATAGATGACATGAGACAAGAAGCCTAGAAAGAAATACAAACATTAGAACATAGAAGTAATTTTTTTCATTATTTCTGGCTGATATAACACTCACTATCTTCTAACTATATATTTGATTTACTTACTGGTTTATTTTCAGAATCTCTCAACAAGAGGGTGAGCTCTGTGGTTACTGAGGTTTGTGTGTGCCGTGTTCATTGCTGGAGAGCTGGCTTACAGAGCGGTGCCTAGCACATAGTAGGAATTCCATTGATATTTGTTAATTAAAGGAATTTGATAATTAAAGGAAGGAATACTTATTGCTCTCAAATTAATTCCTAGAATCAATGTAATCCCCAGCTGGAAATGGTTTGAAATTTAACAAAACAAACTCAAGATTCATCTAAACGAGTGAAAACAGACAGTTATTGGGGGAGGAGAAGCAGCAGGGGTGAGGGGGGTGAAATGTAACTTTGCTGATATTAACCTGTAGTCACTGTAATTATCAAAATATTGACAAATTAGAAATCTAGCCAATGAGTCCTGAATTTAATTAATATAAGACAAAGATGGTATGGCAAATCTATGGGAAAATAAATATTGAATATATGGCATTCTTAAAAGAATAACCAAAAGATTATTATATCAATTTAAAAGCAGGCAAAATAATTGAATGTCCTTGAAAAATGAAGTATCTGTGTGGTGGTAGTATAGCCATGGGTAAAAACTTGGCTTTTTGATTTTGGAAGCTCAAATTCAGATTCCACCATTGAATTATAGTTTGAGCTTGGGCAAGTTATTTGTCTTCTGAAAAACCTTGAGCCTTCTTTGCAAAATAGGACTTAGAGTGTTTATATCATAAATTGCTACAGTCAGTTAAGGAAGTAATATACGTAAAGAACATAGCATTTCATTTATCTTGTAGTAAATATTTAATAGGTGCTGATTTCTATGACATCAAAACTGCATGCAAAAAAATAACCTGAATGTCCAAGAAAAAAGAATTGAATGATTTAATTATAACACTGCCTAAGAGATCATTATGCCAAAAATAAAATCATGTATTTGAATTATATTGAAGGACATGCAAAAGTAATTAGACCAAAAAGGTAAATCATAGAAGACAACAACACACAAATTGTATAAAGGGGATGGTAAAGATTTTAAGAGATAAGGAGAGAGAGAAAGATACATGGATAGAAGCATTGAAATGAATACTGGCCAAAAAGCACGCCAAGCAATTCATGGAAGTCCTCTCTGAGTGGCAGGCTTATGAGTGATTTTCTAGTATGAACATGTGTTACTTATTATTATTATTATTTTAGTTTTTGTAGAGACAGAGTCTTGTTATGTTGACCACATTGGTTTCAAACTCCTGGCCTCAAGTGATCCTCCTACTTTGGCCTCCCAAAGTTTTGAGCAAACGGGTGTAAGCCACCATGCCCAGCCTGTCATCTTTTTAGTAACAGAATAAATAAAGGAATTCTTAGAGATTAGAATAATTTCCTAATATAGATATATCTAGTATATGTATTTCAATGATCATTAATTCAAATTATTATGCACTTTTATAATGACATTTTAAGGAAACAGATTGACATGGAATTTTTTCCCTTGAGATTTGTGTTCATGGTGTCTAGAAAGCTCACGTTTTCTTTCTTTGTGTGTTTGAGACAGAATCTCACTCTGTTGCCCAGGCTGGAGTGCAATGGCATGATCTCAGCTCACTGCAACCTCTGCCTCCTGGGTTCAAGCGATTCTCCTGCCTCAGCCTCTCAATTAGCTGGGATCACAATCACGTGCATGCCACCAAGCCCAGCTAATTTTTGTATTTTTAGTACAGACGGGATTTCACCATGCTGGCCAGGCTGGTCTCGAACTCCTGACCTCAACTGATCCACCCGCCTCGGCCTCCCAAAGTGCTGGGATTACAGGTGTGAGCCTTCGTGCCTGGCCAAAGCTCATGTTTTTACGTTTACTTTCTCTTAAATATTTCCAGACTGAAGAAGACAGAGCTCTAATTTAATATATTTTGGGAGGTGAGTGGAAGGAGGGGAAAGATAATTCTGAAGGTTGTGAAGAAAGGCAAAACTGGCATGCTTAATATGTCCTTGGAGAATCAGTTTAACAAGCTAAATTGGTTTCTTAGAAGACTGGGATCATGTTGTTTAATAAGAAGGTTCCTGTTTCCAGGATTCTATTCTCTTCTTATCTAAAAATATCCTGGACTGCGATAGTCTTAAAACCCCTTCAAAACTTGGCGTTCCTAAAAGGCATTTCAAAATAAATTCAGTTGCTTTATTATAGAAGACTTGGTTAGGCTCTTATTTCACACATTATTTTAGACACTGACAATGAATCCAGAAATTCAAAACATTGGTAAATAATTCAAAATTACCCTTGAAAGGCTACAAAGGAGGCAGTGGTAGGGAAAATAATATTGAGCTGGAATAGAACAGGTTGTATTTCTGGATTTGTTACCAGTGTCTGTGTCACCATAGGCAATTCATTTTGATTCACTGGGGCTCAGTTCTCTGATCTGAAAAATGAAGAGGCTGGATGTGATGTTTCTGAAGAACCTTTTTAAATGTAAAGAGAAGCCTGTGAAATTTCATGGATTTACTTGATATTCCCAGGATATATGAATTCTATAGCCATGATGACATACATTAAAATCAGTACACTTTTTCTTTTAGTGAGAAGAGATGTGATAAGAATATTAAGTTCAATCCTTAAATTCTTAATATAGGGAAGGTTATCAGTGCAGCAATTAGCAATGCAAACCTTTGAGTCCCAGTAAAATCAAACAGTAGATTTTCCTGTGTTATAGGAAAATATCAGCAACCAGAATGGTTATATGTTAAAAAAAAAAAGTGATGAGCTTTAATTAATTGATTCCCCGCTAAAGGTAGAATAAAAATCTACCAATATAGATCATCTCATAAGGAATCAGTCTTCAAGCCAGGACATTTTAGTCTTTGATGCTGTCCTAATAATAATTTCAATTATTTTTTCACTGCCTCTGTCTCTCTCACACACATCTCATGAAAAAAAAAAGTCTTTAAAAATGTTTTAGTTCTGCCCAAATATTGATAAAAATCTTTAATAAAATCTACTTGGAAACTGGAAAAATGGTTGATTCTGGCTTCCTTAAATATCTAAGGTCCAAAATCTCTGATAAAGCTCTATGGACAAGTTACCAGACAAAATACAAAGTCTGGAAAGGCTAAATGTAAAAGATAGTGAGTGTTCATATATTGTTCTTTTAATATTTAAAATCTTACCCTTAACACATTGCCTAATAGTTATGTTTACATGATGGCATCTTCTTCTGTACTGTGATCTCCAGGGTGCAAGTAGCCTATCTCAGTATAAATCTCCAGAGCTTTGAATATGGTGAATGCTTAATACATGTCTGTGCAATTAATGTTGGATGAATGAAGACTCAAGAGTATGTCCTGGATTTAAGACATATTGGTTTCGAGTTTTTGGTTTTGTTTGTTTTTATTTAAACAAATTGTCTTCTCTCATGCTTTTGTATTTTGATAAATAAAGCCAAGTCATTATAATATCACAGAATTATTTGATAGTGAAATAGTGTTCATGAAATTACTTTCTTGTATAAATATCAATCCTAATAGGTTGCTATTATGTTTACCAATATAGCATAATATTAAAGGAAGGCCTCAAACTGAACAAAGTATCTATCCTCTTGGTTCTAATGTCACCTGGAATTTCTTGGAATGTTGCAAAATGCATTATTCTTTCATAAAGACAAGACTGAAACAAAAAACAAACATCCTTTTGAGGAACAGCAGAATGACATGGTTACATACGAGTTACTGATGTCGGATTTTTTTGGAGTTGGACAGAGAAAAGGCAGAGGAAAGTGTACGTGCAATAGGAAAGATATGGAATGACAAAGAAGTCCTCCAAGGAGAGGACGGCTTCAGGTTTCCTAAAACTAACCCTCAGGATGCTAATGCCCTAAATTCTATGCTCAGGGGAGTTTTTTAAGTTCTTTTTTCATATTCTGATTTTTAAATAAAATAATTTGCAAGTCCTTCCTTATTCTGGAATAAAAATGGCAACACATTTAGCAGAGGAACTCTATTCTGAGGGTACAGAATATAGAATCACGCATTCTGGCTGACTGCAGTCTTGATTCCAGCACTTACTAGCTGAGTGACCCTGAATGAGTCGTCACTCTGAGTCTTGTTTCCTCATTTCTAAAGTTGTCATGGTATCACAGAGCATATGGTTGTCATTCAATGTTAGTTTTCTACCCATCCCATCCACCATACTTGAGTAGGAGAATTAGTGAGCTGCATGGTTTTACTATTAGGTGTACACATGACAATACAAAGAAAACACTAAACACACTCAAAAAATAGTAGAATGAGCCTCCTGACTTGAGGTGGGTATAGTGGAGGAAGGACAATGTGGCCGCAGAAGCACTAGCTCCTTGACATAGATTATTGTGAGATGTCAGTTTGTACTGCCTTCAGATTAATTAGTTTTTCTTATGCTCTATTTAGAAGGAAGTAGCTTAGGCACAGATAAGCTAATATCCTTATATTACTTTCTTTTCTTCTAATGGAATATTGTTGCTTGAAATCTCTCATCTACCCCCATAGATGGAAGTGTATGTCTCTGAATCTCTAGCGAGATAAAAAGAATTAATGTGCTCAAGGGTATGGTTATAATCGTTGGCAAGACGTATAAAAGGGAGTTTGGTTGGATGACTTTTGCAAAATCTCTTATTTTATTAATAAAGTTTTTATTTCCTTTGAACCAGCACTGTAATACTTGTTAATAGTACTGTAAATAGCTATTATAAATATGTTATCACTATTAGCAGGAAGTAAAGGAAAAGGCTTAATTGAAAAAAGCACCTGAAAAGATTTTGGTGATATTAAAAGCATAAAGTACAGAGACTAAGTCATCTCCATAACTCATTATGAAAAAAAAAGTGTATCTCTATTAGGCTAAACACTCTGCATAATATGTTAGCTAGGCATATGGTCAACTATCTTTGCAATAGAAATAGGCCAAGTTAGAACTCACTAGTCTTTTTTACCAGCTGTACTATAAAGTCATGGATATGTAGGAAATCCCATTACTGAGCATCTCCTTTTATTTCCTCATGAGCAAATGTGTTCTATCCACACTGGGTCTTCTTTCTATGTTTTTCACCTCATTCTACTTTTGGCTTTTGCTCATACATCCACTTAGAATGCTTTGCCCACAGATCTTGACCTGGCAGTTTCATATAACCTCTTCAGGGAGGCCTCCCATACTTTGGCAGTTTTCCTTTCATCTTAAAATTTTATTTTGTCTTTAGAACATGAACTTGTCTCCCCAGTGTCTAGAATGGTGTCTGATACTTAAAAAGCAACAGATGTTGAAGGATGAATGAATGAATGGCTAAGTTCTTGTACTTTAACCCCACAGTGTGGATTGATTCAAAGCCAACATAAGACAAAGATGCTCACAAACAATATTTTTAAATGTTTACTTTTGAATTTTATGCCTTACTCCTTATAAAAAAAACACCTGAGTAAAAGGCAAAATATAAACATTAGTGAAGTCTTTCTCCTCCAAGTATGCCAGTGTAGGTCGGCCAGTGTCCATCCTTGACACCTCCCTCTTTGGTGGTATGAAGAAAGAAGAGGCAGGCCAGGGTGGGAGGTGTGCAGAGGGACCCAAGAGTCTTAGGCTTTCAGAGGCTCTAGCCTGCTGCTCCAACATATAAGGACAGTTGAAGTTTTAGAATATTTTTTAAACACAATTGGTAACCAAAATGAGCACCTGGAATCTCATTAAGTTCTGCCTCATATTTCATGCTTTGAATAATCAATCAAGCTGCTATAATATTTTCCTGAAGTAAAAAATAAAAATAAAAAATATGAAAATGTAAATATTTTCTCCAGCTACTTAAAAAATTTACATTTTGGCTGGCTCAAGCCTGTGGCTTAAGCCTGTAATCCCAACCCTTTCAGAGGCCAAGGTAGGAGGATTGCTTGAGGCCAGGAATTTGAGACCAGCTGGGGCAACATAATGAGACCCCACCTCTACAAACATTTTTTTAAAAATTGCTCAAGTATGGGATCAGTGCCTGTAGTCCCAGCTACTTGAGAGGCTGAGGTGGGAGGACTGTTAGAGACCAGGAGCTCAAGGCTGCAGTGAGCTATGATTGTGCCACTGCACTTCAGCCTGGGAAACAGAGTGAAAGCCTGTCTCAAAAGAGAAAAAAATGTTTTATTTTAAATTTACATGTCAAAAAAAGAATATTGTCACTCAAAGAGAATAGGACTGAACCCTTTTGTGAATTGATTATTGAGCAAAAATATGTTTTTTTCCCTTAGTATTATACACATTCATTATACGTAAAATATAATGATAGGCCAGGTGCAGTGGCTCAAGCCTGTAATCCCAGCACTTTGGGAGGCCGAGGTGGGTGGATCACCTGAGGTCAGGAGTTTGAGACCACCCTGGCCAACATAGTGAAACCCCGTCCCTACCAAAACCACAAAAATTCGCTGGGTGTGGTGGCATGCACCTGTAATCCCAGCTACTCGGGAGGCTGAAGTGGGAGGATTGATGAACCCAGGAGGCAGAGGCTGTAGTGAGCCGGGATTGTGCCACTGCACTCCAGCTTGGGAGACAGAGTGAGACTCCATCTAAAATATATATATATATATATGTAATTTACTCATTCATTCTTTCCATGTATATTTGAGTATTTAGCACATACTAGCTTTGTCCTGGTTTCTGGGAATACTGTAGGAGAAAACATGGCTGAGCACTCTGCCTTTGTAGGATCTATGTTCTACTGTAATTGGGGAAAGCAAGAATACACAAATACATGAACTGGCACATTTCCACCCAGTCAGTGCCAGTTGTATATAAGGCAAACGTGTGTGTGCATGGATTAACTTGGAGACACACTTCTTTTTATTTATTTCCCATTGGATTTAAGCAGGTCCAAATAGTCCAAAGACCATAGATGATACAAAGCACTAGATGCTGTTCCTTCACAAGGAATAACCAGCACTTTTTCTGAACAGATACGATATATCTTCCAGTGCCGATACCTCAAACCCAGTGTCTTTTTCAATTCCTTTGTCTTCAAATATATGTGAAGTGATCCGCCAGTTTACAAAAATCCAGCCACAAGTTGGAAGGAGTAGATTAAGCTCTAGTAATGCTAAATTTTAACTAAATCTTAGAAAAAGATATTGTATCTAATGTTGGGTAAATGGAAGAAATAAACCAGGCAAATGTGCAATTGCAATTAGTGGATACATTTAAACTCTAACTTCGTAATTTTCTGTTAAGAATAGAAGTCAACGGCTCTTCAACTGACATTGAACAAATTGCATAATTCTTTCAAACTTTTCTCATTTTGTATGCCAGTGTTAATACCATTTTCCATTTACTGACCTCAAACAAGGATCTGTCCTAGAGTATATTCTGTGTTCTAAGATCTGCCTATAAAAATTTTCTGCATTAATAGAAATCACTATTAATTTGTTGAAAATTAATATGTCTTGGTATTTATACAGCACCTCAAAGAGTTAGAACCTTGTCTTCCATCTTAGCACACACAGAGCAGCTGAGTTTCTGCTTAATTTCTCCCACAGGTGTTAGTTTGTGTGTTTCCAGTATGGGGCTTTTTTTCCCTGGTCATACGTCTAACCTCTTCAGACTTTTTTATGTTATCTTTTCACCCTCACTTGTGAATTCAAAATCATCCCATTTAGCATCATTAGCAAATTTAATTAACATATTTTTCCAGATAGTAACGATGTTAAACAAAAACCTTACATGTTACTATAATGACATCAAATTCAGTTCACTTTTTGAGATAACTGGCTACACAAGAGAGCAGATGTGGGAGTCTCTGCCACAAAAGGAGCAACTGAGAATAGAACGGAGCAAGTTGGGAAGACATGGGATAGGACATCCTTGCTATTGTATTCCAGGCTGATGACCAATAAATGTACTCAGAAAATCAGAAGCAATGGAGTGGCAAAACAATTGTGTTTTGGGTCCCTTCAGGTTAGTGTTAGGAATATCACTATATTGAATAAAAATAATTCTGAGTTTCTTCCTCCAGGGGATCATCAGACAATTGAAAGTTAATAATTATAACTAGCATGCACTGAAGACCTGATAGCCACTGTGATTGGCACTAGGATACATTTTGAAAAGCCTTTAAGACATGAACCCTGCTTTTAAAGAGCATGCATTGTGTGAGAGACACAGAAGCACAGTTAATTTTAATCCAAAATGAGAAGTGTAAAATGGGCCTCAGCGATAGAAGAGACAGTGAACTGGGTGAAATGGGTGGAGCTCAAAGAATAAATGACATTTGAATTGAATTTGTAAATAGCAGTTTGATCAGAGAAAAATGGGAAGAAGTTTATCAAAGGGAGAGATGCATGTGTGCAAAGGTGTTTGAGAATGAGACATATTCCTATGCTGGGGAATAGCAAATAGGCTTAGTGTGGTTGGAATAAAATCTGCCAATGGTGAGAGCAGGTGGAAATGACGGAAGATAAGGCTTAAAACCATAAGACCGGCTCTTGGATGCCTTGTGAGGGTTTGAAGTTGACCCTGTAGACAATTGAGTGGGGATTGGGAGCAGCATAGAATTTAAAGTTGGGAATTAATATGATAAATTGATGTCAATATTGTGATAACTGGACTGATGTGCAAAGAAATTTTAATCCTGTTACAATGTTTATGTATTTCAACCATTCTAATAAAAGCTATATTACCCAGATGTAATAAATAGATCTATGCAAGCAAAATTCCACACAAATGAATAGTTTACCTATTGATTTCTCCTCCATCTCTGAAAAGAAATTTATTGTCATTAAAATATTACTCACTCCTCTAAAAGGAGATCACATAAAATGTATTATATAGTAAAAAAATGCCACTTACTAAAATGTTCATGATAACATAATTTTTTTCTAATTTTTCTAGTTATGTGAGAATTAATTAGCAAGGCTCTTTTTTAAGTACTGCTATTAAGACATGCATAATTCTTTATATATTTATACAGATTCAGTATATTTACTTAATTTTCTAGTTGCCTTAGAAATAACTAACAAAGACTTTGTTAAGGTCTGCTGTTATGAAAACATTTCTAAATCATTTCAATACACTATTCTGCCTCAAGAAACATAATTAACATGATATTAGCACTGATGATGAACAATTCTGCAGTTAATTAAAGCCTGGATATCAATTCCAATTTTTATATATTAGCAAACATTTAAAGACAGATGGCATGAAAATAGAGTTCTGTAGATCTCAAGATGTTATAAAAAGCTTTAATTTTTTTTAACTTAATATATGAGAACAACATGTTCGGTGGATTTACTCCTAAATAGAAAGCCCCCAAAATTAGTTAATAAGGCTTTAAACTAATAGTGTGGAGCATGACGCCATCCACATACTAAATTATAGATGTATGTTTGTTCATTGAATGAATGGATCTTCGGTTAAAGCACTTGTAATGTAAATTGATTAAATATATGACTATTATCCATTCTACTGACAGATGTTCACCATTCCCCTGAGGCATACTACTTGCTGTTATCTATATTTATTGAGCATTCACAAAGATTTAGGCACTGGACATGCCCTTTGCATTAAGGCTCCCTGTTTTTCATAGAATTTTACCTTCTGCCAGAACATCACCTGGCTCTTAGATACATTAAACGTGTCACAGCAAGATATAAATGCAGTTCTACTTACATATCCATTCAACCAATTTTCTTTTATTGTATTTGTGTGGTTGGCACTATGCTAGGTGCGTGAGATATACACAGCAAAAATGGATAAATAGGACCAGTGTGGTCTCCACCTTCATGAAATTTATGGTGTATCAGGCAAGAGAGGCATTAAGCAGATACTTACAAATGTTAACACTGCTAAGAGAATTCGAAATATTAAGGTGCTGTGGAACCTGTAGGGTGGGCGCTAGGTTAATTTGGGGAGCAAAAATTATCATTACTTGTTTCTTCAGTTTTGCTCTAGTTACTTAATTTTTTAGGCTTGGTGTTGAGACCATGCATTTATTTGTTCATTCCACCAAAGTTAATCAGTTTAACAGTCAAGTCTATCAGGATGAAATGTCAGAATGTTCATTCAAGCAATTCGGAGATACTCCATTTATGATAGGGCTAATAGCGGGTGGATATGTGAGGTATTTAAAATTATATTTTAAAAACTGTAGAAATCATTTATTTCTAGAAGAAAGGAGCCCCCCAAAAAATCTGAAAACTGAATAATTACCTTTTTATTCCAAGAGGAATTATTTTCATTATTCCCACATATGAAGAGATAGTCATTTTCCAAGTGTTATTCATGTTAAACTTTCCACATCCAAATTTATAGACAGTATTTTAGCAATCAAACCAGCTTAGAAATGAAATGCCTAAGGTTTCATTATTTTAATAGAAATCTAAGGAGCAAAGTTTATGTGCCTCTTTTATCAATCAGGATTTTGATCATCACTGTTAATGCCACAGGGATATAATATGAGAGGTGAAGTGAATTTTCTATCCATGCAAAAATAGCAATAAAAAATGAAGGTGACATTATTACTTCTTATCTGCTAAGCTTCATTATTCATCTGTCTTATGCCATTCCCCAACCACATTATCAGTGCCTCTTTCCTTGGGTGTTTCGGATACTTAACAATGGTTTAATTATAGTTACCCAAAATAATATGGGGAACAAAATGATTATGCACTATAAAGGATATTTAATTTCCCAATGTCAGCCACAAAACAAGTTTCATCTAAATGACTATTTTAATTATATCTAGAAGTCTTGTCCAAGATCTATACCAATGCAATGGCACTTTCCACTGATGTAATCTGTTAGTTAAAACATATGGACCAAGAAGATACAGTTGTGAGTCATAAATAGCTGCCCCTGACCCTCCCCACTTTCTCATTACATACAAACTCTCTTCTTTCCCTTTCCTATTGTGATCCATGACTAATTTACAGCAGCTGAAAGCTGACCTCAAAGAAAAAACTTCCCGTCTGCTCTCCTTTGATCTCTATGGCAGCTACAAACTAAAACGCTTTGCAAATCTCTAAGTCTAGGCATCCAGGGACAGACTGTCAGTCAGGCAGTAACCTTTATTTAGATTCAGCGTGCATGCAGGGCACTGCTCTGGAAGCTCTGGGATATTACAAAGGTACTGAATGAAGTTCCTGCAGAAGCCCTGACCATCAAGGGCTCTTAGAGTAAAAGACAGTAATCAATTCCAGATGAATCTATGACTATACAAAGAAGATCTATTACTGCTGGAAATTTTCCACTGAACTCTACTCTTCAACCTCTGAGCTTGCACTGAAATACTGATAGGATTGCCCATGACATCCTTTTATAATTCAGCTGCTGGCTCAATCCCACCCAGACAAGTCAATCATTCCAGAGCGAGAATAATGAAAATAATCCCTCTTGGAATAAAAACGTATCACCATATACTCTAGAGAAATAGTATTCTTTTGATATTGATGATTGCATTTCATTTAACAACACATTTAAGTTTTGTTTGTTTGTTGTCTTCTAGTAGTTAACTGTATTGTGTAATTTGGAGAGCCTTACAGGGGAAATTTTGCTATTCGTATGCATGGTGTTCCCATATATGAAGAGATAGTCATGGATTGAGGGATGATGATTAAGCAACAAGGGATTTATTTTTGGGGTAGTGAAAATCTTCTAAAGTTAATTGTGGTGATATGAACATACTGAATGACATTGACTCACCTCCTTTAAATGGGTGAATTGTATGCTATGCCAATTACATACCAAAACTGATTTAAAAATCTCTAACTTTCTGTATTTGTGGGCTTTTTATTAAATAATAGCCATGACCAGCATTCTTACTCCTTTGTTGATTTACTGTATGTGACTGTTTGCAAAATTCAGGTTTACTTATTTCCCTTAGCCAATATAAAAGAAAAAAAAGGCCAAGGGTCTGAATCAGATATTACCTAATGCACATGGTTTAATTAGATGCAACCTTTTTAATTACAAAACGGTATTCAACTATCCAAAATGCAGACAAAACATATAGTTGTTCCCATCATTCTCTGCCTTTGAGAAGTACTTCTTTGTTGTGCTTTAGCTCTAGTCTGTGATGTGGGTTATTGAGGGCTTTCCTTTCTCCTTCATCTTCCCCCCGAAATAGTTCTCAGACCAACCTGCTCCTTAAGCATTAGGCTAACAGAAAGTGACTAAGTTTTTTCAAATTACAATTTCTCTTTTTTATTAGTGCGGAAAAAGTTCTGAAGTCAAGGTGAACTCCAGGGCCATTTTAAGGCTATAAAATTAACAGAGATTATATTTAAAGGCTCCAATAAAGAAAATAGAGTAATTCAAGGTGTACCCCAATCTAGGCCTTCATGCTTGTCATGCTTGGAACTATTCTTTGGGTCTCCACAGCCAGTGGTTTTTTTTTTTGTTTTTTGTTTTTTGTTTTGAGACAGAGTCTCGCTCTGTCGCCAGGCTGGAGTGCAGGGGCGCCATCTGGGCTCACTACAACCTCCACCTCCCTGGTTCAAGCAATTCTCCTGCCTCAACCTCCCGAGTTGCTTGGACTACAGGCACACACCACCACACCCAGCTAATTTTTGTATTTTTAATACAAAAGATTTGTCGTACAATTTCTCTTTTTTATTTTTTTTAGCCAAGTATAAGTACATAAAGTATTATATTATTCCTAAGTACATCAAGGAAAATGTGTGCATTTTATGACTTGCTTGCTTTCATCCTTGTCCAAATGCCCTCCCTCACAAAAAATTAAGTTGTAAAAGAGGTATATATATATATATATATAAAATGGTAACAAAGCAAAAACAAACCAAACTAACCTCAAAAAATGTAATAATTATTGAGAAGAAAATAAAGGGCTGGAATAAGGAGCAATAAAAAGATGCCAGGTACATATGGCTACTTGGCTACCACAGCTGAAAGACAAAACATTCTGAAAACTACATAGTGACATTTGTTTCCCCAGTCCAGCTCCCTGTCCCAGGCTCCTTTCTGAAATTGATTTGCTTTAACGTAAAACCCAAGATAAAGCAAACCAATGGAGTTGTTTATTTAAGTTCATTTTAAGTTTTAGCTATTCTTAGTGCGGAAAAAGTTCTGAAGTCAGGTGAATTCCAGGGCCATTTTAAGGCTATAAAATTAACAGAGATTATATTTAAAGGCTCCAATAAAGAAACTAGAGTGATTCAAGGGGTACCCCAATCTACGCCTTCATGCTTGTCATGCTTGGAACTATTCTTTGGGTCTCCACAGCCAGTGGTTTTTTTTTGTTTTTTGTTTTTTGTTTTGAGACAGAGTCTCGCTCTGTCACCAGGCTGGAGTGCAGGGGCGCCATCTGGGCTCACTACAACCTCCACCTCCCTGGTTCAAGCGATTCTCCTGCCTCAGCCTCCCGAGTTGCTTGGACTACAGGCACACACCACCACACCCAGCTAATTTTTGTATTTTTAATAGAGACGGGGTTTCACCATGCTGGCCAGGATGGTCTTGATCTCTTGACCTCATGATCCACCCGCCTCGGCATACCAAAGTGCTGGGATTACAGGCGTGAGCCACCACTCCCGGTCACCACAGCCAGTCTTTTATGCTTAGGACTAATCTTTAGTTTGAAACTAGCAGGGAGTCTCAATAATTTAAAAACTTCAGTCTTATCATTTATGTCCTGACAATTGATAATATATTGGCTCATTAATTAAAAAAACTAGCATCATCAAAGCTCTCACTCTTTCTTAGCCCATCTTTCTTTCACTTCCCACCTTCTAAACATAATATTTTTCCAAACTCATTACTTAGACTCTACTAATGTCCTCCACATTTCCTTCATGGAAAAGATACAGCTAGTACCTTTACAGGGAATCCCAAATTCTTATCTCCAATCTAGTCCTTTCACTCAAGTGCCCGGACTCAAAGTGCTAGTCAGTCACTTCTACTTAGATTTCTCAAAAGCATTACATTTGAAACTGAACTCTTCACACACTCCCATCTTCCAAAGAACTTCCCATCATAACCACTGTGTTTTGTCAGAGGTTGTTACCATTTTCGCAATTTCCTGAGCTCAAAGTACTAGTATCATTTTGAATCACCATTTTTCTTCATTTCCTACATTCATTTAATCCCTAAGCCTTATTGATTTTTCCTTTAAATTGTTGCATATAATTCTTTACATTTTCACTGTCATTTTCAAAGTGTAACACCTTTTCTCTGATTTACTGCAACAATCTCCTGGCTGATCTCCACACCCCTATACCCCCAATTTCAGAGTTGGCCTCTTCAAATCAATGTCAAGCATAGTTCTCAATTTAATCTCCCCTAACCATTGCCCTTGCTGGTTCATATGGTTTGTGATAATTTGTGATAATTTGATGCTTCTTCATATTTGTAAAGGAAACATTTTATTTGGAGGTCAATTTAAAAGCATACATTTTTCCATATAATTTTCCCTGACTGCTTCAAATTTCAACAAACTCACTCCTCTGAATTACTTTAGAACATAGAGTTTGCACAACTTATCAATTAATTGCATAAGGCTTTGTTTAGCCAATATTTTTTCCTTAGTACTGGTTGAGATTCTTGCGGATAGGAACTATGTCCTTTGTGGTTTACTAAATAATGATAATGGTGGTTTAATGATGATGATACTGATATTCACAAGTCACTCACAGTAGTATGGCACAGCTATGTTGGAACATAAGCTGCCCACTCCTGGGAGAAAAGAAGGAATGAGCCAAAGATGATTTGATGGGTTTGGGGGGAAATGTATTCCAAGGAGAGAGTAAGAGCCAAACCACTAAAAATAAGGCATACAGCAAATGCAAGGTTGGGGAATGAGGTAACAAGCAGAGAAGGGGATTCTAGGAAGTGGGTTCTATCTGAATCACAGGTCAAGGTAGTTCCTTCCAGTCCATTTGACAGATTCTAGAAGCAGAACAAAGGCTTGAAAAAAAAAGAGGAATGGTAGTAATTACATGAGAGATGAAGATTCACAACCTATAAGACAGGAGAGACCAGAAATGGGAGTTGATCAGGAAGATTATGCCAGCCCAGAGAGAACACAAGGTGTCACATAGATAGCTTGCCCTTCCCATGCAAAGAACAGTGTTTATGGGAAAAGTATCTAGGGTGAGGTATTTTCTTTATACATTCCTAGGTTCTTGTTTCTCTCCTACCTCTTGATCAAAACGCAGAATGAGAAATTCTGATGGTGTATATTAGCTCATTGGCCTAATTGAGGCAGCTAATCTATAAAAATTCGTAAATCTCAGAAATCTGATGTATTTCCTGTTTCTTTCCTTCCTGGACTAGTACAAGGCAGTAACTCGTATAAGTGTTTAATCTGAAGACTCCTTTCCTTTGACTAAGTCTGGATCAGAGTCAGTGTATAAGAGGAAGGAGAGACAGATTGGTAGCAGTCTATTTTGCTCTTATACTAAACCACTTTCTAGTGCAGAACATATTGCACAGGTGAAAAAAAATCTGTAATCTGTTCAGAGATAGTTTTTCTGCCCAAGGCTAAAGATAGAATAAAATATTCAAAATCAATTTATTAGTTCAAAACAGCTGAGAAGGCAGGAATAAATCAAGTAGATATGCTCTTAATAGTGGAGGAATGGACATATTCCTCCACTATTAAGTCTGGCAAGTCTGGCAAGATATAGACCAGACTTGTATGCATGACTTCAGCTAGAGGCTTTGTAGTGGTTGTCAACCCATGGGATTGAAGAATACTGACAAAAAGTGTCTACTTCAGCATTGAGAAATATGCTGTTTGTCTTTCTGAATATTTTTATTAATAACAATACCAATACTGCCACCAAAAAGAAAAACCCAAAAATCCTACAAATGTTCCCCTAAGGACAAGTTTTGGTTGTTATTCCGTATGTAATAAAAATTTACTGAAACCTGAAATCATGGGGCCAACTCTAGTTATTTAAAGACTATTCTTCTAATGAAGGATTATCAGCTTTATTGTAATTTTGTCTATTAAAAGATAAAATGTGGTTAATCTTTTGTTAATGTTAAAGAATAGAGAATATTTGTATTATAAAGAAATGCTAAAAATAAATTGCTTACCCTCACAATAAGATATAACATTTTATTAAATATTAAAGATTAAATTGCTAATCATGATGATAAGATATATCTATAATTTGAAAAGGGCATTGAATAAAGCCTTTAGAAACATTGAAGATATTACATATGTACTATCTTCAGGATATATAAAGCTATCAGTCATTCATTCCAAAAAATCTTGTGTCTTTTGCCAAACACTCTTCAAGGCAGTGAAGATATAATGATGAAACAGACTAGGGATCCTGCTTTTATAGAACTTACAAGCGAATTGAATACTTCCAAGGTCATCTTTTAGCTTTCTTTGTCTATCATTTCTGATTTTCTCTGGGTGCTGGGTTTGTTTCAATGGACTGCTTTCTTTATACTATGGACACATAGATGCCTCTCAGCTTGACCTCTCAGCTTTTTGAATTTTAAGAAAGAAACTATGGAAATATTATTATTCCTCAGTTTGGTTGGATACACATTCCTTGTGACTGAATGTGAGTGTCCACATTGGTAAGAAGATGTCAGCCTCCTTTGGAAATACAATCATAGCAAAGGGAAAGACATTTTCTGAAAGAAATACCAGTGGAATACTTGAAAGACCAAATAGCACACCACAAAAGAGCATCTGATAAATTTTCAACTACATTATTTACATTATCAAATCTCAAAAGAAAACAAAGAATAGTGAAAGAAAATGTACAAAGCAACAGCTGAAGGACTGAAAGAACTCAGCAGAAATTTCATTTTGTTCCCATGACAAAGAAGCCAGAATATAGGGCCTGAGTCAAGAAAACTAACTGCCTGCTAGGTCAAATAAACATATGCCAAAGATAACATAATCCTGAATCTCTATAACAGCAACCACAGTGCCAAAATAATTTTAAAGATTATATATGCAAAGAAAAAGAAAAATATGACTTGAAAAATAATTGGAAACAATCAAGATGCCCCTGGTGTTGGAATTCGTGGACGAGGATGCTAAAGCTCTATTTAAATCTTTCAGAGATTTAAAGGAAAATGTGATCATAATGAATAAATAGATAATCCTGGCAATTACATAGAAAGTATGAGAAGAACCAACTAAAGTTCTAGAACTAAAAAAATGAAATATCTAAAATGCTAAATTTATGAGATTGGCTTAAAAGCTCATTGGAAATGTCCAGAAGAGAGAAACAGTGACCTGAAGGTAAATCTATAGAAATTTATAGATCTAAAACAAATGAAAGAAAAAACATCTAAACACACCAAGTAGAAAGAAAAACAAATGAACTGAGCTTCAAATATTTGTGAAATAATGTCAAGTGAGCTGACATATCTGAACTTGGATTCCTAGAAGGAGAAAAAACGAAGAAAATGAAGTTAAAAACATAAACAAATCTGTGAGGCTTAGTAAACAAGATAACAAAGAAAGAAACCAATATTAGATGCATTATAGTCAAGCTATTTAAAACCAAAGATTAAGAAAAATATTACAAACCAGAAAAAAACATCAAATTATATAAACAAGAACAATTACAATAACTTCTTATCAGAAACAAAGCCAAAAGGCAATGGATATACTTTAAAAAACAGAAAGTAAAAGAAATCTGGGGATTCAGAATTCCACATGCAGTAAAAATACCCTTAAACATAATGATAAATATATCCCTTTTAGTAATGAATGGAACAACCAGGCAGATCAATAAGGAATAGAAGACTTCAAGGATACTATAAACCAAATAGAACTAAAAGCTATCTATAGAAAAGTCTACCCAACAACATCAGAAAACATTATTTTCATATGCTTGTGGAATATTCTCTAAGAGAGATCATATTTTAGGCCTCAATGTATTTAAAATGAATGAAATCTTACAAAATATGTTCTCTGACCAAAATGGAATTAAACTGAAAATCAATAACAGAAAGAAAATTTGAGAAAAACATAGGAATTAAAAACACATTCTGAAATAATCACTAGGTCAAATAAAACATCCCAAGGGAAATTAGAAAACACTGGGAGATGAGTAACAACAAAAATATAACATACAAAAACTTACAGGATGTGCCTATACAATCTTTAGATGGATATTTATAGCTATAAACATCTACATTTAAAAAGAAGAACAATTTCAAACAAATAAGCTAAATTTCCACCTTAACAAACTAAGAAAATAAGAGAAAACTAAACACAGAACAAACAGAAGGAAGAAAATAATAACAAAACTACAGTACAAATAAATCAAATAGAGAATAGAAAATAACCACACATTGCTCCTTTGAAAACATCAACAAAATTGTCATATTTTAGCTAGGTTAAACAAGAAAAACAGGAGATAACTCAAATTAGTAAAATCAGGAATGAGAGGGGCTATCACTACTGACCTTACAGAAATAAGAAGGATTATAACAAAACACTATGAACAACACTATGACAACAAATTCAATCACCTAGATAACTTAGCTACAATTATATACAACTTAGGTAGAAAGATGTAAAATACTAAAACTAAATTAAGAAGAAATTGAAAATATCAATAAACTTATAACAAGTAAAAAAAAAATAGAATCATTAAGCGAAAATCTTCCCAAAAATTAAAGCCTAGGTCGAGATGGCTTCACTGGTGGATTCTACCAAATTCTTCCCAATCTCTTCCACAAGAAGGAAAAGAGAAGAGGAGGAAGAGGGAGGGGAAGATACTTCTCAAATCATTTTATAAAGCCAATTACTACCCTGATACCAAAACCAGAAAAAGGAGTCACTAGAAAATAGGCCCATATCCCTTAAGAATATAGATTCAAAGTCCTAAACAAATAATGAATTGCAAACTAAATCTAACACTATATAAAAAAGTACTATACACTATGGCAAAATAGAGTTTATCCCAGGAATGCAAGATTGGAGTAATTTTAAAAATCAATTAATATAATACACCATATCAACAGAATAAAAGACAAAGAATGATTATTTCAATAGACACAGAAAATGCATTTGAAAAAATCCAACACTGCTCCATGATAAAAAAAATACTCAATAAATGATAAATAGAAAGGAACTTCCTTACCTGATAAAATTTATCCCTGATAAATTTATCTCTGATAAAAAATTATCTCTGATAAATTTACAACTTACTATCATAATTAATGATGAAATTAATTAGTCCATTCTCATATCGTTATAAAGAGCTACCTGAGACTGAGTAATTTATAAAGAAAAGAGAAGGTGTAATTGGCTCCTGGTTCTGGAGGCTTTACAGGAAGCATGGCTGAGGAGGCCTCAGGAAACTTTTAATTATGGCAGAAGGTGAAGGGGAAGCAGGCATGACCTACATGGCTGAAGTAAGAGGAAGATAGAAGAGGGAGGTGCTACACACTTTTAAACAACCAGATCTCATGAGAACTCACTCACTATCATGAGAACAGCAATGGGGAAGTCTGTCCCGCTGATCCAGTCACGTCCCACCAGGCCCCTCCTCCAACATTGGGGATTACAATTCAACATGAGATTTGGGCAGGGACACAAACCCATACCAAATCAAAGATTGAATGCTTTCCTCCTAAGATTGGGAACAAGAGAAGGAGGTCTGTTCTAAGCACTTCTATTTAATATTGTGCTGGAATTTCTAGCCAAGGCAATTAGGCAAGAAAAAGAAATAAAATGCACCCATTTTGGAAAAGGAGAAGTAAAACTATCAATTCTTGCATATGACATAATCTTGTATGTAGAAAATTCTAAGGAATACACACACCCATACACACACACACACACACACACACACACACACACACAATGAGAGTAAATAAACGAGTAAGATTTCAAGATATAAAACCAGTACACAAAAATCAATTGTACTTCTATACTTTAGCAATGAATTATCTAAAAAACTAATTAAAAAACAACTTTACTTACAATAGCATCAAAATGACTAAAATATTTAGGAATAAATAATAACAAATAAGCCAAAGATTTGTACACTGAAAACTATAAAACATTAATTTGATATGTATGATAAGCCTTAACATTAAAGCTAAAACCATAAATCTGCTAGAAGAAACTATTGGATAATCTCTTTATGTAGTGACAGAAAGCAAAAATTTCTTAGAAAGCAAAAAGCAATAATTTCAAACATAAAAACAGATTCAAAAATAAAGGTTTTTCTCTATAAAAAGAACGCTTAAGGAAATGAATAAGCAGCCACAAACGGGAGAGGATATTTGCAAAACATATATTTGACAAAAGGACTGATGTTAAAAATATATGAAAATTACTGCAATTAAATAAGAGGATTACAACAAATTAAATTTAAAAAACACAAACCACAGACAATAGACGTTGGTGTGGATGTGGAGGAAAGGGAAGGCTTATGCACTGCTGGCGGGAATGTAAACTAGTACAACCTCTATGAAAAACAGTACGGAGATTCCTTAAAGAGCTAAAAGTAGATCTACCATTCAATCCAGCAATCCACTACTAAGTATCTACCCAAAGGAAAAGAAGTCATTATATGAAAAAGACACCTACACACATATGCTTATAGCAGTAAAATTTACAATTGCAAAGATGTGGAACCAACCTAAGTGCCCACCAACTAATGAGTGGATAAAGAAGATGTGGTGGGCTGGGCGCCGAGGCTCATGCCTGTAATCCCAGCACTTTGGGAGGCTGAGGCGGGCAGATCACGAGGTCAGGAGATCCAGACCATCCTGGCGAACACATGGTGAAACCCCGTCTCTACTAAAAAAAAAAAAAAAAAAAAAAAAAAAAAAAAAAAAAAATGTGGTATATATACACGTCAAATACTACTTGGCCATAAAAACAAACAAAATAATGTCTTTTGCAGCAATTTCGTTGGATATGGAGGTCATTATTCTAAGTGAAGTGACATAAAAGTGGAAAATAAAAAACTATGTTATCGCTTATAAGTGGGAGCTAAGCTATGAGTATGCAAACGCATACAAAGTGATATAATGGACTTTAAAGACTCAGAATAGGGAGGGTGGGGAAAGGGTTAGGGATTTAAACAAACTACATTTTAGGTCCATTGTACGCTACTTGAATGATGGGTGAACTAAAATCTCAGAACTCACCACTACACAATTCTTCCATGTAACAAAAAAACGCTTTTACCCCAGAAGCTATTGAAATCAAAATGTAAAACACACGCACACACACACACACACACACACACACATTCTTGAATGAACATTTTCCAAAAAAATTTATGAATAGCCAATACAATAAGCACATGGAAAGTTATTGAATATAGTCAACAGGAAGTTGTAACCACAATCGAATATCACTACAATCTCACCAGAAAAACTAAAAATAAAAAGATTGACTGTCAAGTCCCAAATAATGGAGAACATATAGAGTGGCTGGAACTTTCATAAATTGCCAGTAGAAATATAAAATGATAAAAAGATTTTGGAAAATGATTGTGCTTTTTGTTTGTTACAAATCTAAGCATACATTCACCTGTGACACAACAGTTGCACTCCTAGGTATTTAATCAAGAGGAATAAAATAATACGTCCACAAAAACACTTAGTCAAGAGTCTTCATAGAAGCTGTATTTCTAAGGGTCAAAAACTAGAGACAACTCAAATATCCATCAATGTAAGACTGGATATATAAATTGTAGTGTAATCATTCAGGGGAGTATTACTCAACAACTAAAAGAAATAAAGTACATACAAAAGCATAATGAATGAATCTCAAGGTCATTGTGCTGAGCAAAAGATGCCAGGCACAAAATGGGTGTGTATTGTATGTATACGGCATTTCGTAACTGACAAAACTTATACATAGTAGAAAAATCCTCACAAAGATAAGTACTTTCCTATGGGTGAGCAGGTGGAGATTGGCTGAGAAGTGGTAAGAGGAAATTTCCTAAAGTTATGAAATTGTTTGTAGTTTAATATGAAACTGGTGGGTTTCAAGGGCAATTGTATTTTTTAAAACTCTTTAAATTTTATTCTTAAAATTTTTCCATTAAGGTATGTAGAATTTACCTTTAAAAATACTGTAAGCAAATAGTGAAGATAGAAAGCCATGAAGAAAAGCGATTACTCATGCTTAATGCCCTTTAAAATAATATTGTTATCTGTTCAAGATGATTGAAAGCAAGATAGACCTAAGGATTTGAGATGGTAGGGAGAGCAAGTGCTTGCTAGAGTAAGCTCTCTGCCTCCAAGTCCAGAAAGCTTTACAGTATATTTGTAATGTGAAGGAAAATATGAACTCTGTCATGTGAACGTTGAGTCTAATTAATAACGAGAAACTGTCAAAGTGATGGAAGAATAAAATCATACGATCTTGGAATCATTAGTTATGAGAGAGAGAGAGACACTGAATAAAGCAAGGTCACTCCATGTCTGTCGCCCTGTGTCTAGCTATAATAAACAATGGAAAAATAGGCATCTAATTGTTCACATGTTCATTATTGAACACCATTCAGGGTCTTTGCATGCACAACTCTAGGACTATCATTGGCTATAAAGTTCTGTTCTAGGAAAGTCCATTCAAGACAAGAATGTGAATGGTGACCTCCTGGAGCCATGTAACATGGCAGGTGATTCAGGTACCATTTATATATGACGAGAACTGTGCCAAGGTCTGGGAATAATTACAGAGGCATTGTTCTCAGAGAAATCACAACTTGAGGCAGAGCCACAAACAAAAATGCACACTCTCACATATAAATACACACATCCACATACACACACACACACACACAATTTCAAGCTAAGCTAAGAATTGTATTTGTAGTAGTATTAAGTGGTTAGATACTTGGTAGTGCAAGGCTTTTGAATTATCAGAAATAGAATTTTTGAAATTTTTTAAATCATCAGAATTATACATGGACTTCAAAAAGGATCATGAAGAGTGATGGGAGAAGCTGGGGATTTTAGACATGCATATCAATTATAGCAACAAATAGAAATGCATTAAACACTCCAATTAAAATAATACAACTCTCAGATTGAGTCAAAATTTAAATATGTGCTGTTTTAAGTAAAAAGCCTAAGATAAGAGTACTTTAACAATTTAAAAGAAAAATAAGAAAATGCTTAGTAACAAAAAGAAAAGCAGTAACCCTACACTGAAGAAAACTACAGACACCATATTAACCAAGTAGTCAAAGCTAACATTACCAGCAATGAGATAACTAGACACTATGGGCCTCCTGATATGATGCACTGAGATTCCTGTGGCATTGTTGAAGAAGAAAGCATAGACTAAATTTAATTATGAGAAATTATCAGACCAACTCAAATTGATGTACGTTCTACAAAATAACTGCACTGTACTCTTCCAAAGTACCAAAGTGAAGAAAGACAAAGAAAGGCTCTGAATCCTTTCCAGATTTAAACAGACTATGGGAGATATACTATTCAGTTGGAAGTTATTTAGCTGTTATCATTTCTAAAAATTTATATAAAATTAGTAGATTTGATTAAAAATGTGATCATATTAAAGTAATATTCTTAGCAGAAAAGAGTATAAGGAGACTTGACAACTAAATACAACATATCATCCCAGATTGGATCCTAAACCCAGGAGAAAATTTGTGAGAAAGGACATTAAGGATACAACTGGCAAAATTTGAACATAGACTACAGATTAAATGATAGTATAGTAACAATGTTAAATTTTCTGATTTTTATAATGGTAGCACAATTATGTAACAGAAGGCGCTTGTTCTTAGGAAACACTCATTGGTGTGTTAGAAGAAAGGGGCTATAATGTCTGCAGCACATTCTCCAATAATTCTGAAATATAGATACATGATGGACAGAGAAAGAGAGAGAGAAGTAATGTAAAACAATTATACAAAGTCTTTGAAATATTTAAACTTAGGTAAAGGGTATACGTAATATCTTTATATGATTCTTGCCTCATTCATGTAAGTTCGAAAACATATATAAAAGTTACAAAAATGTTTAATTTCACTGTGAATAAATGAAAATTCATATTGAAGGGGTAGGTAAAGGGTTGTTCTAATTTTGTTCATTTTCTCAGAGTCAAAGAAAGTAGGAACAAAGAAACAGATAGTTATTTAATATCTAACAAAAGGACAATTAAGAACCATATGGAAGTTATTTTTCAACTTGAAATATTAGACCTGCCAGAAGTTTTTCTGTGTGAACAACTCTTTATACATTTTAATGGATTAACATCAAAAATTCTTTGCGTTTTGATCCAAACTGTATTTGAAATTCTTTCAGTACTCTACCATGAAACAAATTTAGTAAACAAGTGTCACAGGGAAGATTTCCCAGCTTTAATATCTGCTCTCAAGATCTAAGTTTTTGGAGGCTAAATTATTCATTTCCTCATTTTGGTTTTGAAGGAAGGGTGAAAAACATACACTGACTCATTTATTTAACTTAGCACTCAATTCTCACTCAACAATCTGACATCGTCACATTTTTCTTTTTTGACCATACATGCTATCAGCACTAAGGTAAATAATTAGAATAGAAATAGTATGTTTTCTCTTCTAGGCAGTATTTTTTAATTATCATGCCCTTTAATTTCTTTCCTTAGGAAATTTTAAAATAATTTATGTTCCCATCCCCCAAGGTTATTTGTTTTTAAAATAGTGATGTGTTATAACTCAAAAAATTAGTAGCATATAGAAAAGTAAAATAAAATCTTCAAAGCCTCTAGTGAAGTAAAGTCATACAAGTCAACATTCTCTCATTTCTATTTTCTTTTTTTAAGTTTTAATTTCTTTCAGTTTAGTGAGAACACTACATTAGAATAGTTAGAAGCCAGAAAGAAAACTACTCAATGTTCCATTACCTAATGAAATCAATGTCTTTGTTCATGGTAACCCTTGAACTTGTGCACATGCACATTTTTATGTGTATATGGCAACATTACAGATAGAATTTTATTCTACATATGATATAGAATACCATGCATATATTCTTATTTGCCACAGCTTTTTTTCTTATCTCTTCTTCTTCTTTCCTTTTACTTTTCTCATCCAGCTTTCCATCCATGGTAGCCAATGTTAATAAATTGACATATATCCTTTCATGTGCGAGTATTTTGCACACTCACAGTATATATATATACATATGATCAAAGATCTCTTATCTCATTCATCAGAACTGGGAATTCTTCAATAAATGGGGAGTATAAAACTGATAGAGGTATAGCTTGAAAATCTTCTAATTTAATCACATACATTTAAACACATTATATTTCTAAGAGTATGAACCAGCTGATTTTAAACTTTCTCGCATTAGCTACATCAAAACTTCCAGTTTGGGTTTCTTTAAAGTGCATCAAAATTTTGAAGTCATTTGCTAAGCAATTTAATGTAGAATTTTCTACCCTGCTCCTTTCACAATGGTTTTGTCCATATCTGTGTTCTAAATATATATGTTTTAGTGATTTTCATTTCTGTAGTCTTTCCAAAGTTTTTAATTTTGCTTTCATAGAAGCAATAACTCTTTCATCACATTTATTTATAATAACTTCGTGTAATGTTTTATTAAATGTCATAATTGCAATAGGAAGAACAAGTGCACAAAGAGATTTGGTAACAAATACAACTAATCCTTAGTAAGTGAAAGTTTAATGGTAGGAATAGAAATGTGTGGATAACTAGATTGAAATCAATTTTCAGGGAAAAATCTATGAGCTTTTTGCACATTTTATAGAGGAATAAGGAACATAGATGAATTTGTTGCATCAGTTAAGTGGAAGGTGGTTGAAAGAACTACTTTCTGTACCTTTTAGATAATTTGTTTTACATAAATGAAATTATCCAATACATATTTATCAACAACTTGCTTTTTCACTAACTATATATAATTGCTCTTTTCAAAACAATAGTTTGGATCTAATGCATTCTTTTCAATAGCCGAATGATGTTTCATGAAGTGAATATGTTAAAGCCCCAATCAATCTTTTCTTACTGATAGACATTCAGATAATTTCCAGGTTTGGCTACTTCAAACATTGTTTTAATGGAGAGCTTTATACATATATCCTTAAATACTGCTGCCTTTATTTCTGTAGGATAAATTCTCTAAAGTATATTTCTCTAACCTTATATTTCAAATATAATTATACAATACTTTATAATAAGGCCAGGGTCTCAAAATGGATCATTATAATTCAACTTTACACTTGGCAAGATTTTGACCAGTTTAAAAATTTCAACCAATCTGTGAAGGAATTGCTGTTAATTTTGAGTCCACTAGGACTCAGTAGCCTATCATTCATCTATTGGTTTGAAGAGTTTTGTAAGTAAGTTTTCTTGGCCCCCATACTTCTTGTATATGGAGAATACTACATCTAGAATCATGCTTATTTATTCCTATGATTTCTTTCACTGAAAAATCTGTCATCAAGTCCGAGAGAGACCAAGTAAAAGTTAGTCTGAATTGAGATAGTATGGGAAAATATGAAGCATTTAAACACATAAAATGTTAATATACATCTGAACACATGGTTTCCACTTCTTACAAATCAGAAAAATGTTATACCTGTAACGTAAAAGTTAGCTTTGTTTTACCCATGATAATTGTAAGTTACTTTAAATGTTATATTACAGGCCACTGGGATGTAACACACCAGCATGTGATTAATAGACTCCCATAAAACAGTGACCAGTATTAATAAGCTATTTTTGGTAGATTCAAGGTTCATAAATACTCTAGAAAAGTATTGGGGCTACCAGGCTACATGAATCTTCCCTTTAATGTCTCCAGTAACATTCTGCATCTTCTAAATCAGCTGCTATGCACAAGCATCTAATGACATTTGACTGCTGATTCTGCAAGATGCACTCCTATGTGCTTTGAGATAGAGGAGACCTCATGTATCAATAAGATAGTTTTTCTATTGATTATCAGTATCTTTGAAAAGCTGTGGAAATTTGCTAATAACTTGAAACTTGGAAGTTGAGTTTTGCTGTATTTTTTTCTTTAGTCATTGTAGACCTACCTAGTATATATAAGCTCCTGCTTCCCTGGGATTCAAGTACCCCCATTACATTTAGATTTTCCAGTTTGGTGACGGCAGCGCCCACTGTAAGGTCTGGTCTACAGAGAAGAGTAATCATAGATCTCTTCAAGGATGCCAGGGATGTTGTAAATTTACTTCTCATAGTTTTGGTAAAAGATATGCCTTCTGGACCTTCCCAGTGTGGATAATGAGGTCTTAAATAACAAACTTATTCTAACATTCCAATCACCTTAACCCTTTGAGTCCCCTGCTCTATGTTAAATCAAGTCAGCCCAGCATTTCCAGCTTGATCACTGTGATCCACGTTTTTTTGGTGAGTATTTCAGCCAACCAAACAAATTGTTATAGCCCTTTCTATCTTTTCAAACTGCAACATTAGATGCAGAATCTGTTTGGTGAGCCCTTACAACTAATTTTTTTCTGATTTGACATTATGTTCCTTTTACCTTTATTTTGATGTTAAGATCTATTCCAGCACATGTTTTACAGATTCTGCCTGTATAAATTAGAAAATTTGAGTAGTTATTTTGAAGTATAGAGTGTCTCCTCATGGATTCACATTCTTTGTACTTTACCCTTTGGGCTCCCCTAAGACATAAGTCAGGTTGTAGGTCTAGAATCAAGGAGGAGCAGTGAAAGTGAGTCCCAGGGGGACTTAGCATTGTCTTCAAGGCAACTGTCTCAGGGGAGCCCATTGCAATTTCCTTGGGCAATGCAGGGTTAATCCACTTAGAAGGAGAAGGTTGTGGAGAGGCTGCTACCCCTCACGGGGGAGAAGCCACTGGCAAAGAAGTCTCATCAGAGTTTAAGGGCTTAATGACCCAAATTTCATCAGGATCTTCCCACATGTCTCAATTCTAACATGCCGATTCCAATTTATTCCAAATCAATGCCCTCTTTTATAGTTGCCCAACTGTAAAAATGCCTAAATTTTACAGTTGATATTCTGCAAGGCTGAGAATTCAACTTATGTTGTAATTGAGACAGTTTCAGGATGATATCCTGTGTTTGATTTTCAGCAATCTCAATCGTGTGGCTACAGGATATAAGGGTCTCTTTGAGGGCATAAGTAGAAGCTCTCAGCTTATTTATGCAGTGCTTGAGTTGGAATTTGAATTCCTGAGCTCTGAGCTCATCTGGTTTTGTTTTGTTTTTTAAACCACTTTGTTCAGCAGCATTAGCAGCAACCAGTTAAACTTACTTACTCATTAGTTTTCCAAGAATGTTCAAAAGTATTTTATAAACAGTCACCCTGCTGCTTGCTTCTTATAAGTGGTAGATTAGGAGTATCTGATGCAGATATTTTGCATATCTCAATTGACAGATAACATCATAGACAATCAATGCTCTTTACTGCTAGAAATAGTCATTAGTGTCTTTAAATCTAATCAGAGACACAATTCCAGAAGTGCCAGAATGAATTCAGAAAACACATCCTTAAAATTGTTCTTCTAGGACCACTCAGTACCAAAATCTGTATGTCAGGGTTCACCAGAGAAATAGAAAAAATTGGAGAGAGAGAGAATATTAACGATAGATAGATAGATAGATAACAGAAAGATAGATAATAAAGAATTGGCTCATATGATTACGGAGGCTAAGCAGTCTCAAGATCGGCAGTCACCAAGCTGGAGACCTAGGAGAACCAATGGTGTAGTTCCAATCCAAGTCTTAATCCAAAGGCAGGAGAAGACATGTCCCAGCTTGAAGACAGTCAGGCATAGAGAGGGAATTCTTTCTTACCGAGCCTTTTTATTCTATTTAAGGCTTCAATAATTGAATGAGGCCCACCGACGTTTGGAGGGCAAACTACTCAGTCTACCAATGCAAATGGTAATCTCATCCAAAAAGACCATTTAAGACACACCAAAAATAATGTTTAACCAAATATCTGGCCACCCTGTGGTCCATTTATGTTGACACATAAAATCAACTAACACAGGTCATGACTGGGGTTTGAAATAAGTCACCATATGCAAAACAATACTAACTATTTTAGGTAAATCTAAAACAATTTAACATGATGTGTTTTTTCCATAAAAATATAATAGTCCATAATTGCTTGAGACAGTAGAGCCTTATAATCACATATCTACACATGTATTTATTTATTCTACCACTTGATCTTCCATGAGATTTTGTTGGAAGTAATTCAACCATTCAGCATCTCAGGATTTAACTCTCAAGTAGAGTCATTATGTTATACTCTTCTTACTAGAAAGTTATGACTAAGTAATGTAAATGGTAAGAATGTTTCAAATTTTACATGAGCAACAATATCACCCTAAGCTATAGGACAACCTTGTGAAATATAACTTTCTGAAATGATGAAAATGTCCTATACCTATACTGTAGAATTAAAAAGTCAGTGACTCAGTTGAAATAGCTACCTTTCAAGTGCTCAACTGCCACTTAATGAAATTAAATTAAACCTGAACTTAATTTAATATGGTTCCCATATGGAAGTGCAGCCTAAGAAAGCAAGCTACCAATGCTTTTTCCTTCTTCATCAGCAAAATTAACAGTTAGCCAATAATTCTGTTCCATGAGATGACAATCATGGGATTTTGAAAAAGGAAATTTGCTTATAAATGTTAAAAACTATGTTTTTCACTAATAGTGGCAAAAGTAAAACAAAATTATTTATACTATCACAAGAAACTGATCAGGTCACAATTTCCAGTATCATCTTCCATCTTATTTGAAATATTTCCAGTCCTAAAACTCCCCTAAACCAAAATTCAACATGAAGTTTTCCTATAAAATGTTTATTTATAGGAAAGTCTATTCTAAAAACTTAAGTTTTAAGAAGGGAATTCTTTGTATTATTCAATAAATTTGAAACCAACAAAGTTTGTATTTAAAGACTTGTGTGGTTTTATACTGTTTATTAACATTCAATGATGTTTGTAAATGTATGTTCACTCTGCTTTTTGATGTAGGAAGCATACATACTGCAGCACATAGATTTTTAAATAATTACATTTTCTTTTATAAAAGGAATGTTAAACATAGCTGAGGACAGCTAGAGGAAGGTAGAATAAATATTAGAAATGGGCACAGATATGGTGGTCAATAAATGAATATTTGAATGAAGTCTTACTTCTTTAAGACTCATAAAAGTACCCAATATAGATGCTTATTTTTTCTATTATTAATCTTAAAATAAATGTTCACCTTATAAAACATGAAGCACTTCTTAACACTTAGTGATATATCTAAAAATTATTTTTTGGAACTAAAGTGTATATTTAGTTGAGAAACAATTTACCATAAAATTCTAAAATTCGATCTCACTCAAAGAAGTATCTGTAAGCCTGTGGCTATCCTACATTGGGCAAAAGAGCTTCTCCTACTGTTTTCTAAAATTATTTTGGACCCAATTTAAAATATAGCAAAATAAAACAATAACAGCAACAAAAATATTTATAATTCTAAATGATTAAATGAAATTTTATTGTTACTTTTTTATTAGCTGATCTCTATGATGGGCATTGATCTTTTGGCAACACTGTTCAAACTCTCTAAACGATATGCCAGGAAAAATATGTATTTTGTTTACCTGTCCTAGAAGGACTTAGAAAAAAATTCACCTAGTTCCTGCAATTAAAATGTCAAAGGCATGCACAAAACAGTTTGGCTGGTACGTTCAATGATAAGAAACACAGGCTTAGTTTAATTCATTTTTCTAAAGTACCAACTGACAAGTTTTCATTGAATTCAGTCCAGGCTCAAAAGTATAATTGACGTCAGCTCAGATTCTTAGCCAAAGACAAACACTGAATCTGTTGCTGTTGGCTTTGTTTGGGTTTCAGGTGCAGGACCACCGCCATATGGTAGCCTTGAGGCTGTTTTTGTTATGGCGTGTGGGTCTGTATGTGTGAGTGTGTGTGCTTTTTAATATTGCAAACATCCTTCAGTTGCAAAGCAAACAAAGAAAAGGCAATCCACTCATTGCCTAGAACCACTACAGACCACCAACTGTTGGGTGCTATTAAAGTTATACAGAGCATTAGACAAATAGAAGTTCTTGTCAAAGATATTGCTTCACCACTGAATTCTTTATTTGCCCCTGACATCCTGTTTTCTTTTCACCAACAAATGGCTATGCATTTATAATTAATGAGTTTACACTGTATTATTAATATAGAATTGAGGACATTGTACAGCAAGCCAGTGTACACTTTCCAAGTTTTGCACCCACAGTGTTTATTGAATCATCATTATCTATGAGACTAGAGCAGTTTTCAATGTGTAAAAATGTTTTATTTCAAAATGGGAAATAATTTGGACTGAATGATAAGCAAATGAATCAGTGAATGAATCAATGAATGACTGCTTGTGGAAGAAGCTATTACATATTATAAATAGTTTTCTCGGTCGGGCGTGGTGGCTCACGCCTGTAATCC
Source organism: Homo sapiens (assembly GCF_000001405.40). Lineage (NCBI taxonomy): Eukaryota > Metazoa > Chordata > Mammalia > Primates > Hominidae > Homo > Homo sapiens. The sequence goes on along the minus strand of NC_000002.12, from coordinate 225,334,091 downwards.
CAGAACTTTGGGAGGCCGAGGCGGGCAGATGACGAGGTCAGGACATTCAGATCATCCTGGCTAACACGGTGAAACCCCGTCTCTAGTAAAAATACAAAAATTTAGCCAGGCATGGTGGCATGCACCAGTAGTCCCAGCTACTCAGGAGACTGAGGCAGGAGAATCGCTTGAACCCGGGAGGCAGAGGTTGCAGTAAGCCCAGATCAGATTGCGCTACTACACTCCAGCCTGGGCGACAGAGCGAGACTCCATCTCAAAAAAAAAAAAGTTTTCTCCAGCACAGTCAATATATTTAATACTATATTCAATAGCTTTGAAAAGATTTACAGTTTTCTTCCTTGTTTAGATAATTACAACTCTAATTCCTCAATCAAGTTATTATTAAAGACATAAAAGTTCAGGCACTGCACAAGGCCATATGGTAAACATCATAAAAAACAAAAATCTCTAGGCTCAAAAAACGGAGTTTTCATATCTAACAGGAATATGTATGAAACAACAGTGGATACTGTAGGCAGAATATAATCATTAAATACAAGTAGTATAGGATAAAAAGGCCAGTATATAAATAATACTGGGAGGTTCCATAAAGGGGGTGGGGCTTACAACAACTCGGAGGAAGAAATAGATTTTACACAGAAAGGTGTGGATATTGAACATTCTTACAGGACAGACTAACAGTGTGAAGAAAAAGGAGTGAGAGGGAACACGCTGGGTTATAGGTAATTATGAACAATATATAGTGTGACTACAGTGTAATAGGCAATATTGTTAGATAATTGAACTAGCAGGATTTATAAGAACCTGATTTCTAGGCATTTAGACTTGATGCAATAGAGTAGTGTGTTCAATAAAATCTGGGATTGTAGATTAATCTATTCAAGGCCCCTGAAGTTATCTGATTTCACTAGGAAATCTCCATTTTGGTCTGTTTCATATGTTCGGAAGACATTGTAAAATTTTGTTGAATAAAATGGTTATGATATATAAAAAATACAGTTTCAACAGGCAATAAGAAATTTCTATTTACTTAAACCAATCATGAGATAAACTTAGCCTATATAAACACATATAATATATTTACAGTGTAACAATTTAATTTTTCTGACTTGGTCATTATTATGGCTATTAGTAAGTTATAAACAGAAGCCAAAATTCTAAAAAATCCTGCCTCTAATTTGTACCTACCCCTTTCTTATAACTGATACTCTAATTGTAATACAATTAACAAACATATCCCCAATGACGAATTAGTTGACCCTATTGAGGAAATATAGTAGGTGTGTATATTTATATATATACTTACTATATATTATATATTATTACAACTACTATATATTATATACTACTATATAACATACAGTACTATATATTATATACTACTACTTACTACATACTATATATTATATACTACTACTATATATAATACTATATATTATATGGTACTACTATATATAAATATAAATGTATTTTTTTATAAATAAATATAATTTCTAGTAGGTGTTAAGCTACTTCTGCTAGACATTTTTGAAGGGCAAACTTTTCAAAATAATTACAGGTAAGAGAGGTTTCTCCTGTTATTACTGCACACTTCAAGAGTTCAAAGACTAATAAAAGTTATTAGTTTCACATTTATCAGCTTTATCTGTGTCTTATTTTTCTTCTGGGCCCTCATACAACTACTAAGTCTCAAAGATCAAGTATACGAGACACATGGTCAATTCAACATCTAGCTCATGGGAAAACCTTGGTCAAATTCTTAATGATTTCATTGTCTATCAAATTATATTAAAAGCCAAGCTCATTCTAAAAGGTGTGACTTCCTAATGAGTTCACCTCTAAGCACTTCTCCAGCAGTTACCAAGGTCTGTGTTTCAAGTACTCTAACTTGTAAATTGGAAGTTTTCCTTGATTAGAACTCTGACTCAAAAGCTCTGGGTGGAGGTTATAGATAAAGGGTTTTGACTGATTTTCAAAATGTTGCTTCATCAATATGGGAGCTGATTTCTGTAGTCGGTGTCATTAAATGCTCCTCTGAAAGGTCAAGCCGGTGTGGAAGACAGTGTGGTGATTCCTCAGGGATCTAGAACTAGAAATACCACTTGACCCAACCATCCCATTACTGGGTATATACCCAAAGGAATATAAATCATGTTACTATAAAGGCACATGCACACGTATGTTTATTGCGGCACTATTCACAATAGCAAAGACTTGGAACCAACCCAAATGTCCAACAATGATAGACTGGATAAAGAAAATGTGGCACATATACACCATGGAATACTATGCAGCCATAAAAAATGATGAGTTCATGGCCTTTGTAGGGACATGGATGAAGCTGGAAACCATCATTCTCAGCAAACTATTGCAAGGACAAAAAACCAAACACCGCGTGTTCTCACTCAGGTGGGAATTGAACAATGAGAACACTTGGACACAGGAAGGGGAACATCACACACCAGGGCCTGTTGTGGGGTCGGGGGAGGTGGGAGGGATAGCATTAGGAGATATACCTAATGTAAATGACGAGTTAATGGGTGCAGCACACCAACATGGCACATGTATACATATGTAACAAACCTGCAAGTTGTGCACATGTACCCTAAAACTTAAATAATAAAATATATATATATATATATATATATATATGTATATAAAAAGGTCAAGCGGGGCTGACCAATTTGTCCTGTGGGATATTAAATTTAACCTTTGGACTGTTGCTCCCCCTTCTCCTAATCCTGCCCCCTAGATACTCCTTTTCTTTCCATGCATTTCAATGGAACTTGGTGGCCACGCTGTTAGTCATTAGAAAAGGCTTTGTTACAGATTTATGAATGTCCTGGATGCTGGATAAAGTGTTTTTAGTAAACGAGTAATCATTATGTACCTTATCTGCAGCTTTTCCTTACTCTTACAACCATTTCTTTAAAGTGGTGATTCTCAACACTGGCTTGACATTAGAATAACCTGAGGAGCTTTTCTACAACTTCAAGGATAGGCCCCACCACAAACCAATTAAATCAGAATCTCTGGCCTTGGGATCCAGCATCAGCATGTTTTTAAGGCTTCCAAGGAGATGCCAATGAGTAGCCAAGGCTGAGAACTGTTGTGGTAAAGAGATGCTTTGTCTTCTCAGATCTTTGTCTAAAGGTTATGAAGAACTATTTGACATCTTTCAATCTCTGGTTCTCTGCCTGGAAGTTCAATTGGATCAGTGTCACATGCTTCTAATTTGTGCCATATTTTATGATATTATGCTCCATCTAGTATTTCCCCAAATTATCGTAACTCCATTCTCTTCTGTGGATTCCAGAGAGTAAGAGAGACGAAGAGTTGGCTTGTAAAGGGGATGCCGCTGCACTCTTTCTTTTGCAAGTGATAGAAGACTTACCATAAATTAAAATAAGGAACATAGAATAACACTTACTGAGTTATGTAACTGAAATGTTCTGGGAGTGGGACTAGATCAAGAGGTGGCTTGATTTCAGAACTAAAATGATGGTGTCACCAGGACTTGGTGTTTCTTTATTTCTTGGCTTCATCTGCGGTCCTGTTGACTTCATTTTCAGATCCCGTATTTGGGGACCCTTTCAGTTCCAGGCTAATATTATTCCAAGTACAAGCTAAATAGCAGACAAGTCTCTTTAAATAGGCCATGTTTAAGCTCTGGCAATCATTCTAATAGGCTACCTAGATCTTGTATTCCTGAACCTACCCCTAAACCAATTATGACCTATAGAGATATTTAGAGTATAAAATAAGGCCTGTGTTTTCCCATGCTCCCTCTCTGGAGTCAGGATAGTGTGAAGCACAATACCTGAAATTGGAGACAGGTATTTTCTACCAAAATTTATATTGCTCCTACCTAAAGAGAGGGAATCAGTAACAGGCTTCAAAAAAACTAACAAGCAAATTGTCCATCACAGGGCAACAGAGCCAATAGGGTGAGGTCTCCAAGGAACTTGCAATAAAAATGAGTCTCTCTCATAGATCAGTGAATGACAAATATGAAAGAGTTTCTGGGGACACCTTAGCCATGGCCAGCTTTTTATTAACCGTAGGCAGAAAGGATCCAGTATAATGATGGAAGGTTACAGGATATTTTAGGAAAGGCAAGAACCAGTAAAGAATTACTTGATATCAGCATGTCTTTCTTAATGAAGTGTAGGTTGTAAAAACACTCATTTAAGAAAAAAAGAGGAACTAAATGACATTTTATAAAGTAAAAATGAGAGATAAGCAACAGTTCTTTTAATTTAGCTGTTTCTCTATTACCTAAAAAAAAAAAAAAAAAAGATTCACAAGGCTAAGAATCATGCTTTATTCAATCTGCATGGGAAAGCCTATAAATATTTGATAAGATGATGCTATGGCCATAAAAGAAAATGGTGAGAAAAGGTCCCTTCTCATTATCATGAAGATGATATGATCTAGAGATTACACAGGTTTTCAAATCAATTGCTTATTGAATTCAACTTCCATGTGATGTTTGGTGAGACTTTTCACTTCTGCCTCAGCTGCTTAATGTCTAAGGTCGGATAATAATAATTCTTACCTATAGCGTTTTGAAGTGAGGTTATCCATGAAGCATGAACAAATGTTTGGCACAGAGTAAGTGCTCAATAAATATTAAACATTTATCTCTTCCTTCTCCTCTCCCTCCTCCTCTCTTTTATCTTATCATGATCATAATTGTTATTGCATGGCAGTTAATGTTATTTAATCACTGAAATAATGTACTATTTTCCTTTGGATTTTTTAGTTTAATTTATATATCTTTCTGGTCTGTTTCTATTCTAGAAGTAATAAGACTCGATATGGTTTGGATCTGTGTCCCCACACAAATCTCAAATGTAATCCCCAGTGTTGGAGGTGGAGCCTGATGGTAGGTGATTTGACCATGGGGGCGGTTTCTCAGGAATGGTTTAATACCATTCTCTTGGTGCTGTTCTCATGATAGTGAGTGAGTTATCATAAGATCTGGTTGTTTAAACGTGTGTAGCACCTCCCTACTCTTTCTCTTCCGCCTGCTCCCACCATGTGAGAGGCCTCATTTCCCCTTTGCCTTGTGTCGTGATTGTAAGTTTCCCAAGGCCTCCCCAAAAGCTGAGCAGATGCCAGCATCATGCTTCCCGTACAGCCTGCAGAACTGTGGGCCAATTAAGCCTCTTTTCTTTATAAATTATCCAGTCTCAGGTATTTCTTTATAGCAGTGCGAGAATGAACTAATACAAGATATATAGGAAAAACAAAATTATAAGAAAAAAAAGGAAACAAGAAACCATGATGTGAGAACTAAAAATAAAATCCTAAGTCCCCCAAAGGATGAAACAGACCCCTTTTGGCCAAGAGGATCCTAGAAAAACCTTAAAAACTGAGTTCCCAGCCATGATAGGAAGAGAGGTTGGACACACCTTGTTGTACCTCCTCCCTTTTGCAGTTCGGACACAACTGATCAGCATTAATGTTAAAATAGAGACCATAAGACTGATGGAATAAACTCTTTGTGGCAATAAAATACCAAATTATAAACAAGACCTAAGGCCATGCCAGGCAAGGATGAAGTCACTCATCCTTACATTTAAATAAACTATGTTCTAACTGCCACAATGTTGTTCTTTTTTTCTGGTAGCTAAATAAACAATGGCCTTGAGATAAGCAATATTGAAACCATGACGGTTCATCCTCCTCCAGACACTGACTCACTGACCCCCTGGCTCCACCAGCCGTAACTACAGCTTTGATCAAACCAAGAGACTGATTTTAGTAGTTTTCTCCTGATAAGAGAACGCTGACCATGGACTGGCTCTGACTGGTTTACAGAGACTGGGCACCTGAGCACTCTGCTTCAGCTTTTGATGTATACCGCCTAATTGTAATATATTTAAAGGTAATGTCTTCATCCCAAAGTGAATAGGGGGTTGTATGAAACATGGATGTTTGTTCAGTACGCACATGTCAGGACCCTGTTTGTGAATATCCATAGCTCCTCCTATAACTTGTTGAATACTTAGCCAACCCCTTCACGATAAATTCCTGTCTCACCTTCCCTCCTTCCAAGTTCCTGCCTTTTGGCTTTCCTGGTACCTATGCTCCCCAGCCTGGGTGGTGGCCAACCTGCAGATTGTAACCTTTCATAAGAAATAAAGTCTCCTTTCTAAATTTATAATTTGGTGATTTTTCAATTGATGTATCCATAATTCTGTCATTCAAATTTAAATACTACTAAATATTTTGGTGTTTTTCTTCCTTCATTTTCTTCTGAATAACTTTGATATGCTTATTTTTTATTTTAAGAATAAAATACTCTATATTTGTTAAAATTGCCCTCTACTAATTTTTAAATGTTTGTATCCATAGAAGATATAGCATTTCCCACAATATTCAAAAAATGTAAACATTCACCTGAATTCCTATTTTTCAGTTCTTTAGTTAGCTAACTGGTTAAATAGATATTCATCAGATTTTCCATTTTAGTTTTTATATTTAAGAATCAGGAAACATTTTTTAAACTTCTGCAGACTAAAAGTAGCATTGGATATTTTCTTAGTCTGGGTAAGTGTTGGAAATAATCATAATCATTTAAGTGCAGATTTTACTATGTAAACCAATTAATACATATCCTAAGTAAGATAAATTACATAGTTTCCTCAGAATGGGGCAGGTTCAAAAATATATTTATAAATTATTTTGAACTCCAAGTTAACCTTAAGATTAAACTTAATCTAACATGTAAACAATTCATTTTGTTATAAACCCATTGGGAATCATCTTTTCTAAAACTGCAAGACAGAAAAAAATAAAAAACATATTCCCAGTTCTCCCCTGTGGAGAGAACAAGCTTTTCCTGACTTTCTTACACATTCTTGAAAGAACTAAAGAATTGCTTCATCTCTGCTGCAAGCGGACAATTACTCTCCCACAGTCAGTCACACAAGGCAGGCATGCCCCAGCACCACTTACAGCCTGCTGAAGCACAGCCTCTCCCACCTTCCACCAGAGGTAGCAGGGAAATCAGTAAATAGGCAGGGTGGCAGAATGGAAATAGGAAGAAGTGAGACATCCTCATCTGAACCTTTTTCAGCCATGCACTCTTCTTCTTCCATCCCTAGTCAATTCCAAGAAGAACTGCAAGTCAGGTAAAAGACCAAGAAGAACCTAATTGTTTTCTGCTGTTCATATCATGAACAATACCCCAAGATGAAATAGGCTGAATGTGAGAGTGCTTTTGATAACAAAAACAGGAAAGTTTTGGCATCACCACCAACTCAGCCCCTATGGTCTTTCCCAAATGCCTATATCTCTCTTACTTCCCTGCCACTCCCATGGTCAATGGACCACAGACGTACCAATTCACTTACCAGACAAGATTTCCAAGTGTCTTCCCATTTATTCTCTTCTCCTTTCTATTTACTTAGTAACTAATTCTCATCCTTTCTTTCATAAACTGGCTTAGGAAGCTTCAGTTGGTCTCCCTGATTCCCATACTCCCAGTTCCATTTATTCTTCCTGCTCGTGCTAAGATTTATCTGTTTGTACATCTGTCTAATTGTTCTGCTTTTAAAAATATATAAACAAGCCAGGCGCGGTGGCTCATGCCTGTAATCCCAGCACTTTGGGAGGCCGAGGTGGGTGGATCACGAGGTCAGGAGTTCAAGACCAGCCAAGATGGTGAAACCCTGTCTCTACTAAAAATACAAAAATTAGCCAGGCGCAGTGGCAGGTGCCTGTAATCCCAGCTACTCGGGAGGCTGAGGCAGGAGAATCGCTTGAACCCAGGGAGTGGAGGTTGCAGTGAGCCAAAATCGTGCCACTGCACTTCAGCCTGGGTGACAGAGTGAGACTCCATCTCAAATAAATAAATAAATAAATAATTAAATAAATAAATAAATAAATAAATAAAAATATATAGAAACAATTTCCACTCTTTCTTCGTGTGAATGAGATAGATACAAACTTCTTAGGGTGGCGTAAAAACCTTTGCATGGCATGTTTCTACTTTAACATCAGGATGCCATCTCAGCCATCATCGCTCCTGCTTTATCCTCTCCCCACCACACCTACTTTCTTTTCTTTTCTTCCTCCTCTCCCCCATCACACATGCCACCATTCTCTTCATACATCATTTCTTTTCCTGCCCACATACACATACACTTGCATATGCCATTCTTCCAGCACAGGAAAGAATATGAGAAGTAACATTTGTTGAGCACACTTAATTTTTCAAGCATGCAACCTGCACAGGATTGTAAAGACATGGGAATGATTGTTTCTATATTGTAGGAAAGAAAACTGAGGAGAAGGAAACTCTCCAAGCACATTATGATGATTGGCGGTGTTGCCTGGCTTAAAATTTTTGTCCTTTCTCCTGTGTGGAATGCCGTACACCCAATTCTTTGCCAGAAAAATCTTCATTTGGCCTTTAAATCTCAGTTTAGATATGAGCTCACCTCCCAAGGCTCAGAGAGAAGAATAGAATAACTTTCTATATAATGTTACTTCTTCAGGTGATCTCAAAATTTCTGCATGGGAGACTCAGAGGAAGAATCCATTTGCAAGGGAAGGATAGTGGGGGCAGGCAAGGGGACCCATCTTGGAGCTTTGTTTATGTCATGAGCACACAGTTTCAACTTTGTTTTATGCTGATGAAGATGAGTATGCAATGCCTGCAGACAACCTGCCTCTTGGCATTGTAATATGACATCTCTTACGACACAAGTTATATTCTAGTCTTCCATGAATATAGCTACCTGATAGACTAATAAAGTGAGCTTCCTGGGTCTTGCACAACATCTCATTCATCTTTCTTTTCAATACCCTCGACAGGGATCTAGCTTTCCATAGGTGCTCAGTAATTGTCGGGTGAATGAGAGCAGGAATAGATGAAATGATTATTTCCTGCCACAAAAATACTTTGGAATCTTTCAATGAACTTCGTTAGCAAACAGTGTGGAAGTATGGTGTTTTCAAATATCAAAAACCAAGGCTCTAAGTACCTGTTAATGGCACGTGTGGCTATTTTAGTTAAGTTTTAATACGTTTAAACAAATAGATCACTTTAATACCCAAAGTCAATGATCCATTTAGCCAAGTAATGCCATAATTTACTCTCAAAAAGATCACGTCACAGTTCCACTTTAATCTTGGTAATGGTTGTATTTCTATTATTGTGATTCAATTAAAATTAAACAATTTTCTTAAAAAATTAAGGTGGAAACTTGGATAGTTTAGATAAAAATAGTAACTGAAAATTATAAAGGTACTAAGAAAACATGTCACTTATGCTTTTATAACCTCAAAATGGGAACTCATAAAAGACAGGGCTGTAATTCTATAGGAGATCTAATAGCCAAGATCCTAATATTTTGTATCAGATGTTGAGGAAAAAAAGTTGACAAAGAGCCACATAAAGCTCATTGCTTCTTCATTTACCCAATGAAATAAGGCCTCAGGCCACCATAATATTTTAGTTTTCTCTCTAAACTAACTATGACAGTGACTGTTATTTGAGTCTCCATCAGACAAATCACTAGATTCTTTGCATGAACTATCCTTCTAATTCTCACAAATATACTTTAGAGTAGATAATGTTCTCTTTTCTCTACAAATAAGGACACTGAGGTTCAAAGAATTTGTAAATGATTGGACATGTATCTTCTATAACTTATCTGATATCTAAAGCCTGACAATTGTTTCTATACAATTCTACACTTATAACTATAAATTCTACTTAGTTATTTCAGGCATATGGAATTCTTTTTTTTTTTTTAAATTTATTTATTATTATTATACTTTAAGTTTTAGGGTACATGTGTACAATGTGCAGGTTAGTTACATATATATACATGTGCCACGCTGGTGCGCTGCACCCACTAACTCATCATCTAGCATTAGGTATATCTCCCAATGCTATCCCTCCCCCCTCCCCCAACCCCACAACAGTCCCCAGAGTATGATGTTCCCCTTCCTGTGTCCATGTGTTCTCACTGTTCAGTTCCCACCTATGAGTGAGAATATGCGGTGTCTGGTTTTTTGTTCTTGCGATAGTTTACTGAGAATGATGATTTCCAATCTCATCCATGTCCCTACAAAGGACATGAACTCATCATTTTTTATGGCTGCATAGTATTCCATGGTGTATATGTGCCACATTTTCTTAATCCAGTCCATCATTGTTGGACATTTGGGTTGGTTCCAAGTCTTTGCTATTGTGAATAATACCGCAATAAACATACGTGTGCATGTGCCTTTATAGCAGCATGATTTATAGTCCTTTGGGTATATACCCAGTAATGGGATGGCTGGGTCAAATGGTATCTCTAGTTCTAGATCCCTGAGGAATCACCACACTGACTTCCACAATGGTTGGACTAGTTTACAGTCCCACCAATAGTGTAAAAGTGTTCCTATTTCTCCACATCCTCTCCAGCACCTGTTGTTTCCTGACTTTTTAATGATTGCCATTCTAACTGGTGTGAGATGATATCTCATAGTGGTTTTGATTTGCATTTCTCTGATGGCCAGTGATGATGAGCATTTTTTCATGTGTTTTTTGGCTGCATAAATGTCTTCTTTTGAGAAGTGTCTGTTCATGTCCTTCGCCCACTTTTTGATGGGGTTGTTTGTTTTTTTCTTGTAAATTTGTTTGAGTTCATTGTAGATTCTGGATATTAGCCCTTTGTCAGATGAGTAGGTTGCACAGGGATGCCCTCTCTCACTGCCCCTATTCAACATAGTGTTGGAAGTTCTGGCCAGGGCAATCAGGCAGGAGAAGGAAATAAATGGTATTCAATTAGGAAAAGAGGAAGTCAAATTGTCCCTGTTTGCAGACGACATGATTGTTTATCTAGAAAACCCCATCTTCTCAGCCCAAAATCTCCTTAAGCTGATAAGCAACTTCAGCAAAGTCTCAGGATACAAAATCAATGTACAAAAATCACAAGCATTCTTATACACCAACAACAGACAAACAGAGAGCCAAATCATGAGTGAACTCCCATTCACAATTGCTTCAAAGAGAATAAAATACCTAGGAATCCAACTTACAAGGGATGTGAAGGACCTCTTCAAGGAGAACTACAAACTACTGCTCAAGGAAATAAAAGAGGATACAAACAAATGGAAGAACATTCCATACTCATGGGTAGGAAGAATCAATATCGTGAAAATGGCCATACTACCCAAGGTAATTTACAGATTCAATGCCATCCCCATCAAGCTACCAATGACTTTCTTCACAGAATTGGAAAAAACTACTTTAAAGTTCATATGGAACCAAAAAAGAGCCCACATCGCCAAGTCAATCCTAAGCCAAAAGAACAAAGCTGGAGGCATCACACTACCTGACTTCAAACTATACTACAAGGCTACAGTAACCAAAACAGCATGGTACTGGTACCAAAACAAAGATATAGATCAATGGAACAGAACAGAGCCCTCAGAAATAACGCCGCATATCTACAACTATCTGATCTTTGACAAACCTGAGAAAAACAAGCAATGGGGAAAGGATTCCCTATTTAATAAATGGTGCTGGGAAAACTGGCTAGCCATATGTAGAAAGCTGAAACTGGATCCCTTCCTTACACCTTATACAAAAATCAATTCAAGATGGATTAAAGATTTAAACGTTAGACCTAAAACCATAAAAACCCTAGAAGAAAACCTAGGGATTACCATTCAGGACATAGGTGTGGGCAAGAACTTCATGTCCAAAACACCAAAAGCAATGGCAACAAAAGCCAAAATTGACAAATGGGATCTAATTAAACTAAAGAGCTTCTGCACAGCAAAAGAAACTACCATCAGAGTGAACAGGCAACCTACAACATGGAATTCTTTAAGATAACAGCATCATTTAGAATCATAGGCATATATTGAAATTTACTTAACCTTTGTAATGTCTCAATTTACTTTATAAAATGATTTTGAGGATTAAACGATAGAATCAATGTAAAGCAACAGCTCTGAGCTTATAATAAGGCTTTTAAGAGGTTCCGAGCTTATCATAAGCACTCAATAAACTTTAGATGATGATGATGGTCATGATGATGATGATGATGGTAATAATGATGATAACAATGATTTAGTCTAACCTACTCATTTTTCTGTTTCAATAAGAAGCTGACTCAGAGAAATCAAATGACAAGCACCCATGGGAAAACGGTGGTAGAGCTGATTCTCACTTCTCTAGGGCACTGCTTACCTAGAGATTGCTTGATGATACAGTATGATGAATATTACCATGTATAACCTGGCATGCAGCTAAAAAAGAAAACAAACAAAAAGAGGTAATCTTCTCTAGGTTCAGAGTGATATAATATCTTGCTACTCAATGTGTGTTCCACAAACTAGCACCATCAGTATCACTTGAGAATTGGTTAAAAAGGCAGACTCTCAGACCCCTCTCCAGACTTGCTGAATCAGAATCTGCATTTTAACAAGATGCCCAATGATTCATAATCCCACTAAAGTTAGAGAAGCATGGCTACAGTGCTCAACCACCTGGAAGCAAAATAAAGATTAAGAATATGGGCTGTGGAGAGACACCTGGATTCCAACCCTGTCTCTAGCATTTCATAGCTGTGACACCTTGGGCAAGTTCTTATAAAAATTAAATGCTATCACCTGAGGTTAGGAGTTCAAGACCAGCCTAGCCAACATGGGTGAAACCCCGTCTCTACCAAAAATATAAAAAATTAGCTGGGCGTGGTGGCAGGTGCCTGTAATCACAGCTACTTGGGAGGCTGAGGCACAAAGAATCACTTGAACCCGGGAGGCAGAGGTTGCAGTGAGCTGAGATTGCACCATTGTACTCCAGCCTGGGCAACAAGAGCAAAACTCTGTCTCCAAAAAAAAAAAAAAAATTAAATGCCATAGTATATTTAAAGCACGTAGTACAATATGGTTATACTCATGTCATAATAATGAAGACAGACCTAAATACTAAGAAGTGTACTTTAAATGACAAATAATGAGAAGATAGAGACTTGGACATGGGTCTAAAATTTTCACCTTCCAAATCAAATAGGAATAAAAGAGACTTACAGAAAAAAAAATGAGAGTAATTATGAAACATCTAATTTTTAAAAATGTATATATATGCATATACACACATGCACATATATATGTATATACATATATGTATGTATATGCGCATATACATACATATATGTATACATACCTACACATACAAATATATATATAATTTCTCAGGTTTATACAAAATGTTTGTTATCATTCTCAAATACAGATCCTATTCATGCAGGGAAAATGAAACTGAGACTGAGTCAAGAGTGCATGTCAGATTCTGTCCACTAGCTATGTCTAGATCCTTAACTGACTATTCTCATTTTTCACAATCAGTTTTCATGGAAATGGACATTTTCTACTTGCTGAGTAGAGAATTAGCTCAGTGTTAATGCTCATCTTATTTCATAGTTTTCAGTGTGTTGTAACACTGACACATCTACAAGATGACCTGTCATCTCATCAGCCTGGCCAAGTAAAACTTAAATAAAGATAGATGGAGATTAATATGACTTATATCATAACAAGATAGCATTAACCAGAAAAGATAATGGGGGCCCATGAGTTTTAGAAAAAATTAATTTCTCTTGAGCAAAACTGAAGTTCTTTTTACTAACAGTACTTTCCAAATGTACTTGAATTCCCACAGTATCATTTTCTATATTTGTAAAATAATGATATTATGACAGTCACTGATGAAATGGTATATCAAAGCACATTTTTGGATTTGGAAGCATATTCTATCATGCCTAATGTCACATGATTAATCTGAGTCTGTGCCAAATTGAAGCCCTAATTAAACATGCACTTTTTAAATGAAGATGGAAGGGTCTTCCTCCACCAGCCATGCCTGGTAGCATCTACCTATTCATTCTCCATCATGTGACCAAAAAATGTGCTCTTTAAATTTGTTGTAGCTGGTGTTGTAAATGAGAAATGAGTAGTCTTTAACCTGTAAGCCCACCAGATGGCTTTAGCATAGATCAGATAACAGGATAATAGTACTACAATTTCTCCAGGGCATATTTTTCTCCCTATATGGATAATTATATCTTCTTCATCTCAGTTTTTTCTGAAAATAATAAGCAAATTACAAGTTGGTGACTGTAATTGTCACATTTCAGTCTGTATTTTTCATTACCTAATGTTGGTTTTCAAGTATTCTATGTGTAGCTGGGGCACTAAGGTTAATGTCTAGTTTAGGACAACTAATTTTAGAGGTTTTGATAATGAAAATCTAAAACCATAGAGACAGATTGATTTGGGTTGTTTAAAATTAATTTGGCCTCTTATTTTAAGTTAAAAAGAAGTCTGGATTGTGTCAAAGATTAGCTGACCTCTCCCTCAACAAATTGTTCACCAATAAAGCTTAGGACTTAATTTTTACTTATCATGGTAGCCTGTCTTTGCATTTATTATCAGTTCACACCATGGACCTCTAGGGAATTGCTTGTCAGTGCTGATTATTTTTGTCATTCCAGAGATCCTTGAAGTATTATATCTGATAATGATCCTAAGATCTGATTAAATTGCCTGAGATGAGAGGCTTTTTTCTTGCACCTCATCCAGATAGATAAGTTATCTACAGCCACTAAGAGTCAGTCAGAATGGATTTCATTCTGATAATCAAAGCCTAAATAAATCTCCTTTTCCTGATCTTTGAGGTTAATATGCATCAATTTCTTCTCTCTTACAAGTGATGCCATATATAAGTATATGAAAATAATTATTTCATGTTTTTATAATATTGCATTCTTCTTTATCTAAAGGTTTTTAGTTTAAGCTATCTTAAAAATATTTGAAAAGGTCACTGACCTTAAAATTGCTATAAATTATATGGAATCAAAATTTTTCATCAATATATCATTAAAAGTTTATTTTCCAGTTCAACATCTATAACACGTTACAGAAGGTGCTGTAAAATACATTCTGTGTTCCACACCTGTGTATTATCTGCAACCACCTCACATCTGAAGAATTGCAAAAGAGTCCAATCTGTTCTATCTGCTGCCTTTCTTTTTTTCTGTCTAATTATTTAATTCATTATATTCATTCATTAATACTCTCTTCTGGTTCTCAGTATATGCCCTCTCCTGGGTTTTATAAGTACAGTGGAGAGCCGAAAGAGATGTAGTTTCTGTCCTTAAAGACCTTGCAAGCAAGTTGAGAAAAGAAAAGATAATCAGAAGACAAATGGACAAAATAAAGTTGCCAATTACTTAGTGCCAAGCAGGAGATGCTGTATAGTTAAAAGGGGGATGAGGGTGGGCTGGGCGCAGTGGCTCATGCCTATACATGCAAGCTGTATTTGGGCCCCTTTTAGCCATGGCTGGAGCAGGAGCTGGAACTGGTGGGATTCAGGGAGCAGTGTCCCAAAGCTGCACAGGGCAGTTGGGCCCTGAGTGTGGCCAATGATACCATTCTGTCCTCCCAGGCCTCCAAGCCTGTGATGGGAAGGGCTGCCACAAAGGTTTCTGAAATGCCTTCAAGGTTTTCTCTCCATTGTCTTGGATATCAGCACTTGCCTTCCTTTTAGTTATGTAAATTTCTGCAATCTGCTTGAATTCCTCCCCTGAAAATGGGCTTTCCTTTTTCTACTATATGACCAGACTGCAAATTTTCCAAACTATTATGCTCTGCTTCCCCTTTAAATATAAGTTCCAGTTTTAGATCATCTCTTTGCTCACACAATGGGAATAGATGGTTAGAATCAGCCAGGCCAAATCTTGAACACTTTGCTGCTTGGAAATTTCTTCCACCAGATAACTTCAGTAATCATTCTCAACTTCAAACTTCCACAAGTCCCCAGGGCAGGGGCACAATGCAGCCAACCTCTTTGCTAATGTATAACAACAGTGACCTTTGCTCCAGTTCCTAATTAGTTCCTCATTTCCATCTGAGACTTCCTCAGCCTGGACTTCATTATCCATATCACTATCAGCATTTTGGTCACAAGAACTTTACAAGTCTCTATAAAGTTCCAAAGTTATTTTCCATTTTCCCACCTTCTTCTGAGCCCTCCACACTATACCAATCTTTGTCTGTTACTCAGTTCCAAAGCTGCTTCCACATTTTCAAGTATCTTTACAGCAGTTCCCCACTTCTCAGTACCAATTTTCTGTATTAATCAGTTCTTGCACTACTATAAAGAAATACCTGAGACTGAGTAATTTATAAAGAAAAGAGGTTTAATTAACTCATGGTTCTGCAGTCTGTACAGGAATCATAGTAGCTCCTGCTTCTGGGGAGGCTTCAGGAAGCTTACAATAATGGCAGAAGGTAAAAGGGAGGCAGGCACATTTTAAATGGCCAGAGTAGGAGGAAGAGAGAGAGGGGAAAGGTGCTACATACTCTAAAACAATCAGATCTTGTGAGAACTCACTCACTATACAATACCAAGGAGGGGATGGTACTAAGCCATTCATGAGAACTTCAACCTGTTAAATCAAACTAAATATGGCCTGCAAAAGCTTCTGTACTTCCATATTTGAGTCCTTGAGAACAAACCATAACTTAACTAGTAGGTAGACAAGACTGAAAACTTAATTTAGGAGTATGCTTCTGTAACAACTGCTGAGTCTCAGCCAAATCCAGCAGCCATACTTGAACCACTCATATGCTGCTGACTGTTCAACTGTGTTCAAATAAAGCAAATGCCAAGCTGTAACCAATCCAGCTGTTCCTGTAACTCATGTCTGCTTTCTGTACATCACTTTCCTTTTTTTGTTTATAAATTTGCTGTGACCATGACACACCCCTGGAGTCTATCTGAATCTGCTGTGATTCAGGAGTCTGCCCAATTTGCAAATGTTTTTCTCTTGCTCAATTAAACTCTGTTAAATTTAATTTGTCTAAAGTTTTCTTTTAACTGCCCCCATGATCCAATCACTTCCCACCTGCAACACTGGGAATTACAATTGAACATGAAATTTGGGTGAGAACACTCAAAAAAATCCAAGATCCAAGCCATATCAATGCTGTTACCACTTAATAGACTGAACTCACAATATCTCCAAGGTATGCCTGTAAAAGCTATGATTCTTGACATAAATATGACATAAATATGTTTTCTCCTCTTCCTTCGTCCATCTCTTTCCTAACTTCACATTTCTGTTTTCCTTATCAAAGTACTTAGTTCCATTTTGATAGCTTTGCTCACACTGATCCCTCCCTCCTCCACCTCTTCCCAAACCATAACTCAACAATGTGTTTCTTACTCTTTACCATTTTTTTTTCTGTCTTTTCCTCTCTTCAAGACAGAACAAACTAAGGTCTATACCTAATTAAAATCTCAGCTCCTTCATTGTGACCTCCTAGAACACCTTAGTCTTTTTTGGTTATACCTCCTTTGATTTCAAATTCCTACAGGAATAATTCTCTTCCCCATTTGTCCATCACTCAGTTTGTGCATCAAAGCATTTTTATTTATTTTTCTGTGGAAATAATTTAGATATTAAACAGAATTGCACATCCCTGAAGAACAGAATCTCTTAAAACTCCTTATATTCCTATGAATGCCATAGTGAATAATTAATCCTGAAGTCACATTATTTTATTCTTATACCTGTGGCTACAGGGTAGCCTCAGTCCCATCTAAATCTCACACAAAGGGATCTCCAAAAAGAAAGTCATGTTATTGGAAAATGGAAGAAATCAGAGAGGGTAGAATTAAACAAAGCAGAATAGAAGAGATGGCCTCTATAATTCACTTATTCATTACCAGCTCTTTGTGACAGAGCTATCACATTCTCCTGCTTATCATTCTAACAATATAAAGTGCTATATTGTGTAAAGAAGGCAATTGATAAATAAAACATGGGGTATATAATTCCAGCAAGGTAGTAACAAATAAACTTACACCTTAATTTGAATTTTGGAAATTAGGTTAATAAAAGCAAGAATGCTTATTTTCTTAGTAAATATTTACTTTGGGTATTTAGAACCTATTTCAAGGCAAACGGCAGGTGCATAAAATTGACCCTCAAGTAAGGCGTCAATTAAATGATGATTACTTCTAACCTATTCTTGCCCAGAGCAGAGTAAATGGATGTTATCTCTTCTCTAAACTGACCATATGTTTTCTGTCTTCCCCAGGGCTGACCCAAAACTTCTCGTGTTCTTTCACTTTCCCATACCTTGAGTCTATGCATTGCTATTCTACTTTTTCTGTGAGTGAACTTTGAAACCCCCTCCACTGCCAACCTTTTAGGAAGCAGACTCTTCCACTAATGATCCAGACAACAAGACAGAAGTAACAAAGAGGTGATAGCATGTTCTGACTGTGTCCCAGCCTTCCTCAAAGAGGGAAAGGCTGTACTCACCCAAAGCACCTACTGCTCACACTTTGACCACTGCCTCTCACCCCACTTTCTCCCATATCCCTCATAAATCTTCTCAGTCCTCTTACTTTCACTCTTCCCACCCCAACATTTGTACCCATGGCGTAGCCATCATCCTCCATTTGTATGCTTTATAACTCAATAACCAGGGTGCACCTTCCTCATACTTGTTTTTGCTTAATTTTAATTATTCACCTTTTTGTTTTTTAATATGTCTTTAGCTCATTTAATTTTGCTACTATTTTATCTATTTTTAATTCTTACCTTATATTGTGGTCTTATTTCTAATTCCAATGTCATGCTCCATATTAGTTCTTTCTGCCATTCTCCTTTTAATGTTTTTCTGAGAGTTTCTCTCTTTTAATATTTTTCTCTTCAATCATTTTGATTTCTTTCTTTAGCAACATTTTAAATTATTTTAAAATAATAATGACTCAAGGCAAGGAAGATAAAAAGGGGAAATTCCTCATGATTCTCATGCAAAATATTTATTCAAAACTTTATAAAATGTTATATTTCTCTGTTTTCCTCATTCCTGAATATATTCCTCTATTTATTTCTCTATATCCCAAGGCAAGAACAAGCAACTAATAAGACTTTGTGACCACAGTTAATAATAATATATTGTATATTTCAAAATTGCTTAAGAATAGATTTTTAATATTCTCCCCTCAAAAAAATGTTAAGTTGGTAAGGTGAAAGGTACGTTAATTACCTTGATTGAATCTTTCTACAATGTATACATAGAACAAAACACCACATTTTACTACTTAAATATAAGAAATTATTTATTTATTTATTTAAGAGATGGAATCTCACTCTATTGTCCAGGCTGGAATGCAGTGGTGCAATATTGGTTCACTGCAACCTCCGCCTCCTGGGTTCAAGTGATTCCCCTGCCTCAGCCTCCCAAGTAGCTGTGATTACAGGCGTCCACCACCATACCCAGCTAATTTTTGTATTTTTAGTAGAGACGGGATTTCACCATTTTGTCCAGGCTGGTTTTGAACTCCTGACCTCAGGTGATCTGCCCACCTTGGCCTCCGAAAGTGCTGGTATTACAGGCGTGAGCCACTGCACCTGGCTTATCATTATTATTATTATTATTTAAGATAGAGTCTCACTCTGTCACCCAGACTGGAGTGTAGTGACACGATCTTGGCTCACTGCAACCTCCGCCTCCCAGGTTGAAGCAATCCTCTCACCTCAGCTTCCAGAGTGGCTGTGACTACAGGCATGCACCACCACGCCCAGCTAATTTTTTTGTATTTTTAGTAGAGACAGGGTTTCACCATTCTGGCCAGGCTGCTCTCAAACTTCTGATCTCAAGTGATCTGCCCACCTCAGCCTCCCAAAGTGTTGGGATTACAGGTATGAGCCACCATGCCTGCCTAAATATAAAAAAATTATCTGTCAATTGAAATTTTGTTTAAAAAGACACTGAAATCCCATAAGCTCCTGGCACTGGTTGAAGTGGCACGTGCAGGGAGGAGAAAATAACAGAACAGTTAATGGAGATGCTATTATGACTAGTTTAAAAGAGTCTCCAGATCAAAAGGTTTGTGTTTGAAGACATTCCAAGGATATCAGCCTCCACAGTCGTGCATACGTCAGAAAACATCAAGAATATTAGCAAAATGCAATGTAGACGCCATACCGTGCTGTGGACCCAGAGAGCAGCAAATGTCCCCAGTGTAATTTGCTTCTTTGGAACAAGCTCAAGTTCAATGCCTTCTTAAATCTATCAAAAGAGATTACTTCTCATCTTAATGACACCAAGGGGCTGAAGAGATTTTCAAAATTATCACCAAGACAGGTTCTTCATTTCTTGATTGTCCTGGAATTTCAGAAAAGCAGAAAATAGGTTGTTCGGAAATCCCTAGGTTTATTTTTAGAGAGTCTAATTCTAGAATCCCAGATCTCAGTCTCAGTACTTTTTCCCAGAAGGTGCTTGGTGGCTTGGTGTAATCAGACAGCCTAAGGTTCAGAAAACACAGAAGTCGTTGGAAACCAGCCAGGTGGACAATGTGGAATACAGAATTGCACTTGGGTTTTCTAAAAATAATATTGGTTAAATTTGCACTTTATTATCCCTTTGCCATAATTTCCCTTACTTACTTTATACAATTCTTTTCTTCTTGAATTTTATGGGTAAATACTTTGGAGGACAATGTGGGACACATGTTAGTTAATTAATTAGCTAATCAATCACTGCAGAGATAAATGAACACAAATGTTTCTGTAGATGTAAGTTTTATTGAGCTTTCTTAGACATTCAAAAATTAGCTATGAACATGCAAAAAGGCTCAAGTCTTTATTCATGTTAACTTTATTGCATTTTTATGATGAAAAGAGTGCTTTAACTTTATAGCACTTTTTATAATGAAAAGAGCACTGTTCTGATTCCATATTTTATTTTAGTTCTTACTCTTTTTGTAAACTCCTCCCACTTCCATTCTCCACCTGTCTTCAAGGTGCACCCATTCATTTGATATGCATCCTATTTTATAATATTGCATTGTTTGTGTGTATTTTTAATTTATATAAATTACACTGTTATATATATTTTATTCTGCTTCTTTTTTTTTCCTATTCAATGCTGTTTCTAATATCTACTCGTGTTGCTCTATTGATCTAGTAACTTTGTGCTCTTTTCCTATTGCTGCTGTAACAAATTACCAGAAATTTAATGGTTTAAAACAACACAAATGTATTCCCTTAAGTTTTGGAGGTCAGAGGCCCAAAATGGGTCTCACTGGGCTAAAATCAAGATGTTGACAGCATTAGTTTTTTTTTTTTTTTTTCTGGAAGCTCTAGGGAAGAATTTGTTTACTTGCCTTTTCCAGCTTCCAAAGTCTGCCCACATTCCTCGACTTATGGCCGCTTTTCATCCTCAAAGCCAGCAGCAATTGTTTGTTGAGCCTTTCTCACATTGCATCACCCTGACAGTTCTGCCCCTCTGCTCCCCACTTAAGGATGCTTGTGATTATCCAGGGTCCACCTAGATAATTCAGAATAGTATCATAATTTTAAGTTCAGGTGATTAGCAACTTGAATTCCATCTGAAAACTTTATTTTTCCTTGCCATGTAACCCAACATATTCACAGGGAGTAGGACATAGGAATCTTTGGGAGGCCATTATTCAGCCTACCCCAAATGACATCATATTCCTTACTTTATCTGCCATATTTTCATTTACCTCTTCCTCTTTCTAAGGGACAGTTGCACTGTCTCTACTAGGCACCATAAAAATATTATTATAGGTTATGTTGCATTAATATTATATAGCATATATTACATTGCATAGTATAAAAGTGTTATGTTGGGCCGGGCACGGTGGCTCACGCCTGTAATCCCACTTGGGAGGCCGAGACGGGCAGATCACGAGGTCAGGAGATCGAGATCATCCTGGCTAACACGGTGAAACCCTGTCTCTACTAAAAATACAAAAAAAAAAAAAAAATAGCCAGGCGTGGTGGCAGGCATCTGTAGTCCCAGCTACTCGGGAGGCTGAGGCAGGAGAATGGCGTGAACCCGGGAGGCGCAGCTTGCAGTGAGCGGAGATCGCACCACCGCACTCCAGCCTGGGTGACAGAGGGAGACTCTATCTTAGAAAAAAAAAAGTGTTATGTTGGATAAGTATATATAAATGTCTAAGTCAATATTTTATATTAGATATATATGTACACACACATACAGTTGGCACTCTCTACATCTTTGGGTTTCATATCCACAGATTCAATCAAGTGAGGGCTGAAAATATTTGAAAAAAATTTAAATAACAATGCACCAATAAAAAATAATACAAGTGAAAAACCTTAGCAGAAGTTGCCACAGGCTGTATTTAGAAAGGCCACATAAGTTCTATAGTTATGAATATCTTATTTTACTAGTTATATTAGTTGCCCAGCTTCTGTAACAACTTACTACAATGTGTTGGCTTAAAACAATAGAAATGTATTCTCTTAACGGTTCTGGAAGCCGGAAGCCAGAAACCCCAAATCAATTTTAGTAGATTAAAGTCAATATGTTATCAGGGCTGATTTCTTCTACAGAATTCAGGGAAGAATTGGTTTCTTGCCTTTTCTAGATTCTGGATGCCACCTGCATTCCTTCTGCAAATGACTTCAACCTCTTGCTTTCACGGTCACATGTTCTAGCTCCTCTTCTATCTCCCTCTGCCTCCCACTTATAAGAACACTTGTGGTTACATTTAGGACCTAGCTGGGGCCACAGGGGTAATCTAAAGTAATCTTCTCATCCCAAGATCCTTAACTTTATCATATCTGCAAAGTTTCTTTTTTCAGGCAAGTTAACATTCACAGATTCCAGGAATTTTGACAGTGATGTCCTTGAGAGCCATTATTCAGCTGACCACTGAATTCCTAGTCTTATTTCACAATGCACATGTTCTCATTATTTCAATGTATTCATTTATATAAAAATTATTATATACAGATAATATTTCAGACACAGTGTCCTACAGTGGAATGATAACTTCATAATAAAATGCTTTCAAGGGGCGGAGAGAGGATAACAACAAAACATGGAATTAGTACTAAGAATTGTTTTGACTTTCTGGGTTTCCAATACATTCTGCACAGTGTCTTAGTTACATTATAACATTACCTGAATATTACAAACCTGCTTTATATCTGAGTCTTATGCAAATGTCTGGACTCCTATTCCACTATGAGCCTCCCTTTTATACACCCCCACACAGGACTGATTCTCTAGTGCCAGACCCAGACTCCACCTTTCCACTCATGTCTGGGCCCTCTTCCAAACCTAATTTACTCCAGCATGCAAACCTGCCCTACACCCCTACCCTTGGATCAGGCTGGCTTGACTGATTAACTAAAGGATCTTACTTTTAGCCTTTAAATGACATCATTGAGAACATCAGTTTACATCAAAAGAAGATGACTTGCTGTGCTCCATGAGTTGTCATTACACATAATTTAAGTGAAACATCCACAGCATATCTATTTTATATATCCATAGCCTTCAGGCATTTACATCTTATGATAAAAGATAAAAATTATGTATTACTTAAAGCCATCATTTATCATTATGATTAACAAGGCCATTCAATACATGTAGTATAAAAGAGTATTGGGAATCTGAAATGCCAAATATAACTTTAATATTGAGCTATTATTTCTTTGTCTATATGTACTAAATTCTTTCACTTGCCACAAGCCTCCAGGATGTTTATTTATTTTTCAGGGACCAATTACTCTCTGGTGGAATGCAGAGGACTAGTTGGAGGGAAAACTGGTGGAAAGGAAAAAGTCCTGGCTCTTGGTCTCAGAATAAAAGCTACAAAGCAGTACACGTATAGACGGTGGAGATAAAATTATTTTAAGAGTTTCTTCTAATTAAGATGATATAGAAAGAGGAAGAAATAAGATACTAGGAATAATGGAGAGTGCTAGGGTAGTATAAAATTGTCCTAGGTCTCAAATGGATTCTTAAAATTTTTGAGAAAGACAGAATAGTCGATTAAATAACACATTTAGTATTAGGCAGAAAATGTAAGAAAAATCGTACATTTGAATTCATTGCATTTCTATCCTAAGTCTTCCGCCTTCTCTCAAAAGCTAATTCTGCTGTTCTACTCATTGGCTATTTCTTTTCTACTTTTATTTTGCCATTTGGCTATATCATTTATTTAACTTAATTATCTTAAATTAAATAGAATGTTTCAGGTGTGGATAGACCAGAATCAAGTAGGCAGGCAAGGATAATTGACTCTCCGAAATGTGGGATAATTGCTCCTGTAATGTGAGCTCAAAATAGGGTATCCAATTTCCATGCTTTATAAGACCAAAGTGAGAGAGTGTTCACATGTTTCATCCTATTATTCCATTTTTTCACAGGTATCTTACCATATTGGATCACATTTGTTGATTTTTTTAGTTTTCCCTGGAAGGATATACATTCAGTGTGAATAACTTGGAAAGCAGGAGATGCTGTGAGTGAGGCAGAGACCAGATGGGGAGAGCAGATTAGTTATCAGTTTGTAATATGCTTCAAGGGGACACCAGGCCAACACAGTTGGAAGCTGCATACTCAGTGATTCATTCCATATACTAATTTCATTGGTAAAATAATTTTTGTGTGGATGAAAAGAAGTGAAAATGTAAATCTTATTTAGGAAGGACTGAAGTTTAACATAATGCCCTTGTAACAAACTCAATAAGATGAAAAAACAAAACAAAATAGGAGATGTTAAAAAACCAACTCATCTCTAGAGTTCCCTGATTATTTATAGAAGCTAACCTGGATGGATTTTATACCTGAAATGCCTGACATCTGCAAGCCAGGGTTCTTTCCCATAGAGGCACAGCCCCTTTCTTTGACATGTGTGATTTTTCAGTGGCGCCTAGAACCCATACATAAATGGAGGATGAAGGTAGAGTACAAACAGCCCATTACTTGAAATAATATTGGATCCAGTTGCAAAAATATGACTTTCTGCATTAAGCAAGTCATCATTACACATAAATTAAGTGCAACATCAACAGTGTATCTATTTTATATATTCATAGCCTTCAGGCATCTACATCTCTTTGACATGTCACGCCAAATACAACGTAGGTATAACTGTCATTTATGGAATTTTGGCAACCCTGTGGATGCCAGGGTGTCCAACATGTCCTATGCAACATGTGAGATCTTCTCAGCTGCAACTATCACCAAGGTCCTTCTCCTCAGTCCCTGTAGAAACCAGATTTTCATGTGCACCACCAGAGGAATTCTGTACTCCCAATCCTACCCTGCACACTTTGTTGATCTGAGGCTTCCCTGGTGCAGCTGAGGTATGAGACATGTGGGACCGGCTCAGTGGGATTTAACATACTGCAGGGTGAACTGTTGACCCCTGTGAAATCAAGAAGCCGGCAGGTTAATTCTTTCTCTTCCACAGACAGGCTATCCTGATGCAGGTCTCCATATGGTCTCTCTAAAGATGGTCTCATGAGATCAAGCAATCAGGTGTGCTAGTAACAAGCAGTGACCAGAGGGCTAAAACACTTCCCTGTATTTGCTCTTCCACCTTTCCTGCCTCAGCTCCCTTGTCCTTCACTCCTGATTTCCTGGGATTGTTCTTCTGTATAAAGTATCCATACATAAGCCTTTGCCTCACACTGCTTTCTAGAAAAGTTGGTTTAAGAGAAGTAGCTGTAGGCAAAGATGTGTATGAGTGGATTCCTCTCCCAATCCAACCTCTGAAAGATAACTTAAATGAATCCAAGAATCTTCTAGTTTTATATGAAATTCTAGGCAGTTTTTGTCCTAGGTGTCTTTTCACTTTGAACCATTTATCCTATACTATGCCTCCCAATCCAACCTCTGAAAGATGATTCGAATGAGACCAAAGATCTTCTAGTTTTAAATGAAATTCTAGGTGGTCTTTTTCCTGGGTGTCTTTTTACTTTGAACCATTTATCCTATAGTATGCCCCATTGTTCCTCTCCCAATCCAGCCTCTGAAAGATGATTCGAATGAGACCAAAGATCTTCTTCTAGTTTTAAATGAAATTCTAGGTGGTCTTTTTCCTGGGTGTCTTTTCACTTTGAACCATTTATCCTATATAGTATGCCCCATCATTCCTCCCCCAATCCAACCTCTGAAAGATGATTTGAATGAGTCCAAAGATCTTCTAGTTTTTTGGGTTTTTTGTTTTATTTTGTTTGTTTGTCTGTTTGTTTTGAGAGAGAGTCTTGCTCTGTCACCCAGGCTGGAGTGCAGGGCGGTGGCTCACTGCAACATCTGCCTCCCCGGTTCAAGCGATTTTCCTGTCTTAGCCTCCAGAGTAGCTTCTTCTAGTTTTATATGAAATTCTAGGTGGTCTTTTTCCTGGGTGTCTTTTCACTTTGAACCATTTATCCTATAGTATGCTCCTTCTTTTTGCAACTAGATACAATATTATTTCAAGTAATTGGGGTACTCAGCTATAAATTGTGCCCCACTGGTAGTGTATTTACCATTATGAGAAAAATCACGATTTAGGCTATGTCATGTTAAGGAACGCTCATAAACATGATACACAAGGTAAACACTGAACATTGGGCTCACCAGTTGAATAGAAGAAACTCCTACTGCTCAGTCTCATCTAACAAAAGGAGATGGAATTCTCCTATTATTAGGTTCCATTCTGAACCAGGGGCCTTAAGGCAAGCTATGTAAGTTAGGCCCCATTAGGAAGCTGTGCAATTTGGTAGAAACTCTCAGGAGAGAGAAGGAACAAGCACACATGAGGCATTAGGCTCAGGCATTGCAAAGGTCTGTGCTCCTGACACTTGAGCAGCACTTCCATCAGCAAAATGATGAATTCTAAGTTTTGGTTTCATAATTTTATGAAACTTATAGTTTAATTTCAAGAAATGCAATGAGACCAACTAAATCATGCCTGAAGACTTTTAGTATACAAAGCTCTAGAGCAGCAGTTATTAAACATGGTCTCAGGAAACTTCTATACTCTCAAAAATTATTGAGGACCCCAGTCCTTATTTTAATTTGGATTATAGCTATCCCATTTTACTATAGTAAAAATGAAAATTGAGAAATTATAAAAAATATTTATTTAATTCATTAAAATAGTAACAAATACATTTTATGCTAACATAGATAATATATTTTTAGGAAAAAGTATATTTCTAAAACAACATAATAATGAAAAAGGAAACATGGTTTTACATTTCTTCAAATCTATTTAACGTCTTGCTTTGTAGAAGACAGCTGAATTCTCATATGTGTTTTACATTAAATCTATAGTTGAGAAAGGCAGAAGTGTTTCAATAACTTTTCAGATAACTATGGATATTCATATTTGGTACTACACTAAAACTTAAACAGTTTTAAGAGGCATTTCTTTTTTTTTTTTTTTTTTTTGAGATAGGGTTGCACTCTGTCACCCAAGCTGGAATGCAATGGCACAATCCCTGCTCAGTGCAATCTCTGCCTCCGGGGTTCAAGTGATTCTCCTACCTCAGCCTCCCCAGTAGCTGGGATTACAGGCATGCACCACCACACCAAGCTAATTTTTGTATTTTTAGTAGAGATGGGGTTTTGCCATGTTGACCAGGCTGGTCTTGAACTCTTGACCTCGAGTGATCCACCTGCCTCCGCCTCCCAAAGTGCTGGCATTACAGGCGTGAGCCACCATGCCTGCCTGAGGTAGTTCTTAAAGAATTTTTTGCAATGTGAATCTGAAACCATATTAATGATTTTTGTTGTCGTTGTTGTTACTCTGTTACATTAAAATCCCTTTGGTCTAACTTGTACTTTGAATGGATGTTTTACCTATATATTATTTTGTAGCAATATATACAGATCAATTAGAAAATACTGATATACTGAGTCATGCACATCTTCCATATGCTGTAATATGTTCATATAAAATAGCAAAAATATCACAACCACCCTGATCACAAAAATGTTTATGATTTAGGAGACAGTCTAGTTCACAATGATACCTAGAAATTTTCCAAAATTTCTGGATAATGCTAAAGAGCTCAAATTTTATCACTGACAATGAACATTGTCAGTTACTGTCCATGATTCTATGAAACATTGGTTATTTGATGCTGACAATGAACATTGTCAGCTATTTGCCATAAATTGACTGGCTTAATTCATTCCTTTTTGAGAAAATATCTACCAAATGCCCAAATCCGATAACCAGTTTGCCTGTCAGTAGTTTTTACAGGTAGAATTTAAAAAAAAAAAAAAAGAAAAGAAAGTCAGTGCTAGCTCAGCTTAAAACTAATACAATCACAACAATCTCTTTCCTCAAGACAACATCAAACTTTAATATGCAACAAAGTGCTTTATATGCTTCCCATGTCATCACATAGAGTGGAACATTAAAATAACATGCATTCAAGGTCAACAGTTAACACGATTAATAACATACTGTTTTAGTAAGGACAATTTTTTAAAAAATGAAATTGGCCTCTTTTTTTCTGCTAGTATGTGGTGATGAAGAATTTGAGAATTACTACAGTTCAGTAGTAATCAAGCACATTGTCTTGATTCATGGAGGTGCCAGCAACATTGCCCACTATTGCTCTGTGCAAATATTAACACAGTGAAGGAAAGAGGCATATAACATGTTACTATTGTGAAAATAGTTTTGGCCTCTTAGGTCTGGTCAACCACCAGATGATCACAGACTACACTTGGAGAACCTCTGCTCCAGGATATTTTGTGGGGTGGGAGAGGATCCAGTAAAGCACTTCCATGAGTCTGAAGTTCTGTCAAAGGGAAAAAAGAAACATCTGTACTCCAGTTTTGGAAGACAAGGGAATCAAAAGCACACAAGAATCAAGAGACAAGGGGAGTCCTCCACAGAAGGTGGTTGCCAAATCAAAGATGGAGGCCAAAAGAAGAGATCACAAAGATCACAAACCCAGTATTAAGTTTAGGAATCAGAGGACCACGTAAAGAGAAAAATAATGGTTAGAATGCCAGCAAGAGAGACACCTGAGTGAATTTTGGGAAAAGACAGTATCACGAAATTATTTGTCTTGAAGTCTCCATTATATGAAATAGGAGAGTTGACTGTGTTTAAAAGGCCAGTGACCAGTGGCTTTAAGGGTCTCTCTAAGTTGAATGCTGGGTATGTTGATGAATCATAAGCATATTTAGATGTACCTGCCATTAAGGAAATCATAATATGCAAAAAATAAAAAGTATATAAGCTAAGGGCAATTCTGTATATTACAAAATATTGATACACAACTTACAAAAGGATTCAATATGTCATTCCTTTCAATATCGCCCTACTGATTTCATCAAGCCTGTAAACTAGGTGACTCACAAAACTTCAGACTTAGGGAGAAAAACACTGATGTGAGTAGGTTTCCTCTAGGGAAGTAGAGAAGTGAAAACATTTCTTATCGACACAGCTTCTTAAATGGAATACGGTGACATTAATTAGGCTCTCTAAAAGGAGAAAATATTCAAGAAAACCGAACAATAATGTGCTGCAAATAAAATTTGATATTTTAGTAATTATGGAAAAATAGAGACTACAAATCACAAGGGAAAGAACTGTAAATAATGCATCTTAAAAATCTCAACATTAAATAAAACTCGAACAATAGGATTTGCCACTTCAGTTTTCCATACTATTCTCCTAAGGCTCTAAACCATGTTTTATGTGATTTTTTTTTTAAACTCAGGTTTATTGTGGTAAAAATTTACATGCAATAAAGTGTACCCTTTTTCAGGTGACAAGTATTTTGACAGAAATATACAGTCAGGTAATTACCACTAGCACAATCAAAACAAAAATTCCAATTACCTGAAAGAATTTTCTCATGTTCTTTGGTAGTCAATCCCTGACCTGCAACGCCAACATGGGCAACGGGTTATTCGAATTCTGTTTCATAATTTTTCTAGAATGTCATATAAATGAAATCATACAGTGTGAGCCTTTTGTGTCTGGTTTCTTTTACCCGGCCTTATGATTTTGAGATTTATTCATATTGTTTGGTACTGCAGTGTATTAGTCTGTTTTCACTCTGCTGATAAAGACACAACCAAGACTGGACCATTTACAAAAGAAAGATGTTTAATGGACTTAGAGTTCCACATGGCTGAGGAGGCCTCACAATCAAAGTGGAAAGCAAGGAGGAGCAAGTCACATCTTACATGGATGGTGGCCAGCAAAGAGAGCTTGTGCAGGGAAACTCCTGTTTTAAAAACCGTCAAATCTCCTTAGATCCATTCACTATCATGAGAAGAACAGCATGGAAAAGACACACCCCCATGATTCAATTACCTCCCACTGGTTCCTCCCATGACATGTGGGAATTATGGGAGTTACAATTCAAGATGAGATTTGGGTGGGGACACAGAGCCAAACCACCCTGGACCCTCCCAAATTTCATGTTCTCACATTTCAAAACCAATCATATCTTTCCTAACAGTCCTCCAAAGTCTTAACTCATTTCAGCATTAACTTAAAAGTCCACAGTCCAAAGTCTTATCAGGACAAGGCAATTCCCTTCCACCTATGAACCTGTAAAATCAAAAGCAAGTTAGTTACTTGTGGTCAGGTGTGGTGGTTCATGCCTGAATCCCAGCACTTTGAGAGGCCAAGGCAGGCAGATTACCTGAGGTTAGGGGTTCGAGACCAGCCTGGCCAACATGATGAAACCCCATCTCTACTAAAAATATAAAAATTAGCCAGGCATGGTGGTGGGCACCTGTAATCCCAGCTACTTGGGAGGCTGAGGCAAGAGAATCACTTGAACCTGGGAGGCAGTGGTTGCAGTGAGCTGAGATCATGCCACTGTACTTCAGCCTAGGTGACAGAGCAAGATTCCATCTCAAAAAAAAAAAAAAAGAAAAAAACAGGTTAGTTACTTCCTAGACAAAATGGGGGTACAGGCATTGGATAAATACAGCCATTCCAAATGGGAAAAATTGGTCAAAACAAAGGGGCTACAGGCCCCATGCAAGCCCAAAATCCAGCAGGGCAGTCAAATCTTAAAGCTCCAAAATGATCTCCTTTGACTCCATGTCTCATATCTGGGTCATGCTGATGCAAAAGGTGGGTTCCCATAATCTTGGGTAGCTCCACCCCTGTGGCTTTGCAGGTTATAACCCCCTTCCTGGCTGCTTTCACAAGCTGGCATTGAGTGTCTGTGGTTTTTCTAGGTGCACAGTGCAAGCTGTCAGTGGATCTACCATTCTGAGGTCTGGAGGACAGTGGCCTTCTTCTCACAGCTCCACTAGGTGGTGGTTCCCAAGTAAGGACTCTGTAGGGGTTCTGATCCCACATTTCCCTTCCACACTGTCCTAGCAGAGGTTCTCCATGAGGGCTCCGCCCCTGCAGCAAAATTCTGCCTAAGCATCAGGGATTTCCATACATCTTCTGAAATCTAGGCAGAGGTTCACAAACCCAATACTTGACTTCTGTGCACTGGCAGGAACAACACCATGTGGAAGCTGCCAAGGCTTGCAATTTGCACCCTCTGAAGCCACAGCCCAACCTCTACATTGGCCCCTTTCGGCCATGGCTGAAGTGGCTGGGATGCAGGGCACCAAGCCCTAGGCTGCACATAGCACAGGGACCCTGGGTTCCAGCCCCCAAAACCACTTTTTCCTCCTAGGCCCCCAGGCCTGTGATAGGAGGAGCTTCCCTGAAGACTTCTGACATGCCATGGAGACATATTTCTCATTGTCCTTGGGGATTAACATTTGGCTCCTTGTCACTTATGCAAATTTCTGCAGCTGGCTTGGATTTCTCCTCAGAAAATGAAATTTTCTTTTCTATCACATTGTCAGGCTGCAAATTTTCTGAACTTTTATGCTCTGCTTCCCTTATAAAACTGAATGTCTTTAACAGCACCCAAGTCACCCAGTCACCTCTCCAATGCTTTGCTGCTTAGAAATTTCTTTGACCAGATACCCTAAATCATCTCTCTCAAGTTCAAAGTTCCACAAATCTCTAGAACAGCAGCAAAATGCCACCAGTCTCTTTGCTAAAATAGCAAGAGTCACCTTTACTCCAGTTCCCAAAAAGTTCCTAATCTCCGAGACCACCTCAGCCTGCACTTTATTGTCCATATTGCTATCAGCATTTTGCATAAAGCCATTCAACAAGTCTCTAGTTCCAAATTTTCCCACATTTATCTGTCTTCTTCTGAGCCCTCCACACTGTTCCAACCTCTGCCTGTTACCCAGTTCCAAAGTTATGTTCACATTTTCAGGTATCTTTTCAGCAGCACCCCACTCTACTGGTACCAATTTACTGTATTAGTCTGTTTTTACGCTGCTGATAAAGACATACCCAAGACTGGGCAATTTACAAAAGAAAGAGTTTAATGGACTTATAGTTCCATATGGCTGGGGAGGCTCACAATCATTGCAGAAGGCAAGGAGGAGCAAGTCACATCTTACATGGATGGCAGCAGGCAAAGAGAGAGAGCTTGTGCAGGGAAACTCCCTTTTTAAAAACCATCAGATCTCATGAGACATATTCACTATCACAAGAACAGCATGGGAAAGACCCACCTCCATAATTCAGTCACCTCCCACTGGGTTCCTCCCATGACACGCGGGAATTGTGGGAGCTACAAGATAAGATTTGGGTAGAGACACAGAGCCAAACCATATCATCTTTTTATTGTGAGTAGTACTCGATTATCCACTTACCAGTTGATGAACATTTGAGTTGTTTCCAGTGTAGGGCTAAAATAAATAAAGTTAACAAAATCATTCACTTTTGGGTCTTAGTAAAAACATATGTTTCCATTTCTCTTAGGTAAAAATTTCTGGTTTATGATGGTAAGTGTATTTTTTTAACTTTAAAAGGAGCTGCCAAATCATTTTCTAAGGTGGCTATATGTTTTGCATTCCTATCAGCAATACATGAGTCTCCATTGCTCTGCATCCTCACCAACACCTGTTCGTTTAAATTTTAGTCACTGTACTCACTGTGTATATTAGTATTTAGTATCAGAGGTGGCTCTGACATACCTAATGTTGAGCACTCTCCATATGCTTAGTCACCATCCATACCTCTTCCTTGGCAATATCTATTCAAATCCTTCGTCCATTCTATGTGGAGGTAAGCGGTGGAACATGTGCACATGATTTGTAGAGCTTGAGGTAAATCCTACTCATGGCCAGAAATAGATACACTTCTGTGAAGTGGCTAGAAGTGAGCTGAGTCAATTTATACTTGTTGTTTTTGTCGCTTTGGTCGTCAGCACATCAGCAATGTCAAATTCCTTGAGCTGTGGGCTGCTATTCCCTGGCATTTCCTGTGGAGTGTGGGAAACAGGTTTTCCCAGTGTCTTGCCTCATCCTCAGGTTTCAGCAGATCCTGCACACTCGTGTCAGAAGTGTGGGGGTGTGTCTCTCTCTATCCTATTATTCCTGTACCAGCAATACACTTTTTTTTTGCTTCTTACTGCCACCTAATCTCACGGTAGGGAAGGGGTGGGAATGGGGATAGGGGAAAAGATCGTGTTTTGTTTTCTTGTCCAGCCCCCGTTTTGGTCTGAGAACATTTCTCAGTTCACCCTCCACTTGCCCTCCATGGCAGCAAAACTCTGCCTTGTAACTGTGGGGATCTTGGTTAGGAAACTCTCCCACCTCTTCTACAGTGACAGAAGATCCTGGCTTTGTATCAGTGGAAGAACTTGGGTCCATTGGTATTTCCTGACCTTATCCTTGAGAGCAGTTGTTTTCTGTTTATATCTTCCCACAAGGTGCAGGATTCTATCTCTTCCCTGTACCTACATGTGTGAGAAAGCTACACATGTGAGAAAGGTCTAGGGAAGTTACACCTCTCTCAAGTGGCAGCCAATCACCACACACTTGTCTGTACTACCAAGGGGGATTTCTCTCTGATCGATTGCCATGCCTCCTCAGTCTTTCCAGTAAGGACCCAGTAATATGCAAAGTAAAAATAATCTATTTTTTTTAAAGACAGGAATAAAATATGCAGAAATGATAATAGGTGTGTCTTTGTAGTGGAGCTATAGATTAATTTTTTAATACTCGGCACTTTCCAAAATTTCTTAAACAAAATTCATTACTTGTCAAAATGATTATGAATAATCAATACAAATAGAAAAAAACTTTTGAAAGTATGCACTGATTACCTGCCTAATGGAAGGCATGAGTCTGGACATCACAAGTTCAAAAGTAAATAAGACATGCCCCTTGCGCTCGTAAGAAACGGGCTAGAATTTCCACAGATGTTTCATGTGCATTATTTTACTTCATCTTCCCAAACACTTTGTGAAACAGACAGGTCAGTAATCATATTGATTTTATCAATAAAAAACTGAGGCATAAATAAGTTAAGTGATTTGTCAATGGTCCTGTTACCACTGCTTCATTTTAAAAAATCTCAGAATGTAGCAGCTTAAAATTATTTTATTTTTCTCTTGATTTTTTGGGTCATAAAATTATCATTTTATTTTTCTCTTGATTTTTGTGGGTCATAACCTTGGGAGGGCTTGACTGGACAGTCCTTCTTGGGATCTCGACTGGTGGGTAACCAAGATGGTGCCCTCACATGGCTGGCAGATAGTGTTGGCTCTGTCTGTGGGCTCAGCTGGAGCTATCATCTGGGGCACCCATCTCTAGCCACTCGAGTATAGCAGTCTCAGGTGGTCAGACATCTTCCCCACCTACTAGAGAATCAGTTCGAACTTCATTCAGGTAAAGCTTGAACTCTCCTGATCTAGCCTCAAATGTTATAGAGTGTCACATCCACCGCATTTCTATGGTTAAAAGGAAGTCACTTAATGTCAGCCCACATTCAAGGTACAAAAACGTAAAGTCCACTTTCCAGTGAGAGGCATGTCAAGAATTTGTGCACATTTAAAAACTGTCGCAATCAAGGTGGCATTACAACTCAGTGGCAGAACCAGAATTAGAACACTGGTATCTCTTCCAAGCACAGTTTTCTTTACACGATATCTACCTCATTTATGGATATTTAATTTATACATTTAATTATGCCCTTCCAAATGGAAGCTGGGAAGTTGGAAAGGTTTTGAGAGTGCCACTTTCAATTTTCACATTAACATCCCTTTTTAATTAATTGATTTTGGCAACACCGCACCTGCATGTATTCAAATGAAAGCAATGCAAAGTCATCAACCAATTCATTGAAAATGCTGTGCAATCTTTAACCTCCTATATTGATATAATCCTACAGAGATTTTGTTAAAAGGTTCATATTTGTCACATGTAATAAAATAATTTTTGGATTCCTGTATTTTCTCTGTTGCTCTTGGTCTCCTGTGTTGAAGTGGAAGTGTTAGTTTAAAAGTTCATTTTTAAAGGTTTGATATACTGAGGCTGGTCAATGGCAAGCATCTTTACCATGACCTACCTGGCGTGAAGGCAGTAAACATTCTCACCTGATAATTAAAGACTAAATTCAGAGCATATTTATTTGAATTCAATAGTGAATGTTTAAAGATAAGCCTCTGCTTCCCTGAGGAAGATAAATTCTGATGGGATGTTCTGTCACTGCTGATGAAAAAAATCTTTTCAAAATTCTACTATAAAAAGTTGCAAAAACCAAAAAGTAAAATCACTTATTGTGCGATTAAAACTAATTATATGGTATCTGTATAACAAAATAAAGGATAAGCTTGTGATACTTTGCTGTAGAAATTCAAGTGATTAAAATACTCATTACCTCTCCTAGAATTAGGAGTTACTTTTCCATCCATAGAGCTCAATACCACCCTTGCCGTTAAACCCAAGGATTTGAAAACAATAAAAATTTCGTAGCTAAATGGGATATGGTGAAATGCATCCCATCCCACTATTACTGACCCACTATACAAAGGAGCATAATCTACAGCACTATTACTGGAGTTTTTCTTGGTTTCCCAAGAAATATAAAATATACTTATCACTCGGAGCCTCGACATTGCTGGGCTGTAGTACACTGAGCCATGAACTTCTCTTCCTCTCTGTGCACAACCGATATCATCCATAATGAGAATTCAGTCACCTGAAATTAAGAAAGAAATAAAGCAACATACAAAATTGATGAACGAAATTAGTACTCAAAATCTAGAGAAAAACTAAACTCAAATATTGGTAGAAGTAAAAATATATTAATTGCCTTTTCTAAGAGTAATCATATGGCTATCTCGAAGAACAATCATAGTTTTCTTTGAAAAAATGGGTGATGATACACGGGTATTTCCAATCTATAGTATAAAAATCCAAATTTAGACAGGTGAAAACTATTGGTTAATTTATTGACATTTCTTTTCATTTATGTTCAGATTGCTTTCATTCCATCCTAAATTCTTTCAAAGTGATCATATGTATGATCTTATCACTTTTAAAAAGGGAAGGAAAAAATATATCAAATCCTGTCATTATTCCATTTTTAGACATGTGTGCAGAATGCACATTTTATAAAATAACGTATATTGGAAAATACTTGTCATTGTTTTTATTGTTTCAGTTTTCCTGTTTTGTTTTGTTTTTTCACTGTCTTCTATTTTGTGGGTCCATTCCCTGTGTTGCTCTATTCTATTTTGTGGTTGAATTTCGTACTGAACTCTTTGATGTCAGGTAAATCTTTTTCTTCAAGTATTCAAATTTCTGAGCAGGGTATTAGTGTGAACCTGAGAAAAAGTTGAGAGAAAGAGTACTATGAAAATTTTTGGTTTTGCATACTCAAACATTTCCAAAGTTCAGCAGGGTCTGGTTTTACACGTAGAGAATTTTCCACATAAAGAACTCTTATGCCTCTGAATAGTTAACCACTCTCCAAAATATGGAAAGTCTAATTAAAACATTACCAATAGTAAGATTTTTATCCACTGTCTTAAACAGAGGGCTTATAAAAGAACACTTATATTGGAAAGCAGACAAGAATAAAACTGACT
Organism: Homo sapiens; assembly: GCF_000001405.40. Classification (NCBI taxonomy): domain Eukaryota; kingdom Metazoa; phylum Chordata; class Mammalia; order Primates; family Hominidae; genus Homo; species Homo sapiens. Next base: position 225,297,318 of record NC_000002.12, on the reverse strand, counting down.
TCACAATAAATGGATTACTCTAGGAGTTAGGAGCACAGGATAGCCTCAGAGCAAAAGTTCTTTTTAAGTTTTCTTTACACGACTTACAGAGTGGTTTAGAATGCCATGCCTTTAACTTGGCTTGGTTTTGTTAACATATGGGCAGGGGGAGCAGTACAGCGCTAAGGAGAAATGTAGTGTTTTTTCAGTCTTGTTCAGATGGGTAATAACAAACACACTGTTAAAGTCCCTGTCCCATGAGGATTCTATTTTTTTCTCCAGCAGAAGGACATCAGCTGGCTTTGTGAGACTAAAACCTAAGCAATGTATGCATTATAACTGAATCCTTCTTGTATAAAATAACACTTTCTTCCCCTTTCCTTAAACTCTGATAATCCTTGACTTACAGCACACTAAGTTTTCTCCTTTAATTTACATGTTGGATTTCACTCATACAGTGAGCTTCTCTGGATTTTAACTTTCTAGAACCTGCTTTTCAAATTTTAGCATGCATCAGAATCACCTGAAGAGTTTTCTAAAACACAGATCTCTGGGCTCATTCACAGAGAGTTGGAATTCATGTGTCAGAGGTGGGGCACCAGCACTTGCATTTTCAGTAGACACCAAGGCCTTATTAAATCCGAGTATAAGCGTGGTACAATTAACAGTGCTTAATTACCCATTTCATTGAAATGAAATGCATGCATGCATTTAAATATGCTTTACATACAAAATTAAATAGATAAAAACTGAATGAGAAACTACTCATCCCTTACCTACTCAAGCACAAATTTGCATAGAAGTTTTCTGAAATAACTTGATTTACATTTTGTATGTACATTGAGGTATAGGTATTCACACATAGCCATGTCAAATTAGCTCTAGTTTTAGGGAAACTGAATACATTTGCTCCACTGTCACCATATGTGTTTTTAAAAAGGTATGCAATAGTATTCTACATTGTGGTTGGCTGATACAATACAAAAAGAAAATCCAGAAAAACACCCCAAGTCATACTTTTTACAACTCAAGGCTTCAGACATTTGCTCTAGGCTGCCCGTGCCTTATAGACAGTTCTGTCTTTAATTCTTTCTTAATTCAAAAATATTCATAAAGCACTAACTATGTGCTAGAAGACCTCAGGCTTATAAAGATTATGAACTGACAGACTGTCTCAGGGATGTCTCATTGCATTGTCTCAATGGAGCTCCTGTACCCATGACTATATCACAAGGCATATAAAAATGTTGAGAATATAGCATGGGAATTTAAAGAAGAAAGAGATTATTTAAATTTGTAGACATAATTAAAGTACTATGTTGGAGCAGTTGGAAGAGAACTTAGAACACAGGAGGTGATCAACAATTCATCATCAAATGGAGATGCTGTGTGGCTTGGGCTTTTAGAGACAGATGCAGGATCCAGACATACAGAACTGGAGAAGTTAACATTCCAAGAGTAGGAACAGTTTGAATGTGAGAAAAAGACTACTAAAGCATGGAATTCTATGAAGGAATTATATTAATTTAGTTTTATGGCAGTATAATGTGCATGAACAAAAATAATAAAACTAGAAGTTATTTAATAATAGTTGACATTAGATTGAAGAGATATTTCAGTTCCACACTTAGGATATTGGTCTTTATTTGGTAGGAAATTGGAAACTCTTCACTGCTATGGATGACAGAAGTTTTAATAAATATTAGTCTGGCAGTAAGTATAGAAAGATTTAACAAGGAAGAATGATAGAATCTGGAGACCAAATAAGAGGCTATGATAACAGAACCCTTCTAGTAAGGTAGTGGGCATGGAGAAGAGATGGATTTGACTAATGCTAAAAGTGTAGAATTCATGGTACACAAAAACTGGTATTTGTTTGTGAAAGGAGAATGGCCTAATAATAAGTACCAGGTTTCAAACCTTTATCACCAGGAGCTGTGAGTCCAGCGTGATGATAATTATCTAATTTAGACACATAAATATTCATGTGTTGTATAACAACATTTTGCTTATTGACAGACCACCTATTACGTCATGGCCTCATAAGATTATAATGAAGTTGAATATCACCTAGTGACATCATAGCCATCCTAAGTCACACCACACAATGCATTTTGCATGCATTTAGGACGATACTTGTATAAACAAAATTATTGTACTTCCAGTCTTATAAAACTATAGCACATATTAATATGTATAATACATAAGAATTGATAATGATAATAAACAACTATGTTACTGGCTTATGTATTTACTATACTATATTTTTAATCATTATTTTAGAGTATACATCCAGTACTTATATAAGGAAAAAGTTGACTGTAAAACAGCCTTAGGTGGATCTGTCAGAAAATATCCAGAAAAAGGCATTATCACAGGAGATGACAGCTCCATGTATGATATTGCCCTGAAGACCTGGACAAGACATAGGGGTGGAAGACAGTGATATTAATCATCCTGACCCCATGTAAGCCTATGATAATGTGTGTGTTTGTGTCTCAGTTTTTAACAAAAATGTTTGAAAAGTAAAGAAGAAAATTTAAATAGAAAAGAGCTTATAAAATAAGGATATAAAGAAAAAATAGTTTTGTATGGCCGTACAATGTTTTTGTGTTTTAAGCTAAATGACATTACAAAAGAGTCAGAAAGTTTAAAAGTAAAGTTTACAAAGTAAAAGTTTACAGTAAGCTAAAGTTAATTTATTATTGAAAAAATATGTCTAATAAATGTAGTGTAGCCTAAGTGTGCACTGTTTATAAAGACTACAGTCATGTATAATAATAACCTAGGCCTTCATATTCACTCACCACTTGCTCACTGACTCACCCAGAGCAACTTCCAGTCCTGTAGGCTTCATTCATGCTAAGTTCCCTACACAGGTGTCCCATATTTTGTCTTTTATATTGTATTTTTACTGTATCTTTTCTGTGTTTTAATATGTTAAGATACAGAAATACTTAACATTGTGTTAAAATTTGCCTACAGTATTCAATACAGTAACATGCTGCACAAGTTTGTAGCCTAGGAGCAATTGGCTACACCGTCTAGCCTTGGTGTGTGATAGGCTACTCCCATCCAGGTTTGTGTAGGCACGCTCTATAATATTTGCACAATGCTGAAATCACCTAATGACACATTTCTCAGAATGTATCCCTGTTGTTAAAAAAATGCACTGCTGTAGTTTGAGGAATACTTTAGTAGTTATACTTACTTTCTGCTTTTTTTTTTTATGAATGAGAAACTCTCCTATCATGTTTTTTTTAAATCTATGCCCCAAATCATATTTTAAATATGCATATTTCTAACATACGGCCTTCTTTGACCAAGATAGAATGAAAAATGATTATACTCATTAATGTTTAAATTTGCTGGCTATAAAATTGCTAAAATTAAGTTTCTGGCAAGCGAGTGCATTTTCAGGAATAAACAAGTGCACTGCTCTTCATAGTCTTTGCTGGCACTCTGGTGAGCTGCAACGGCACGCCAGCCGAATTGCCTCTCTGACAATCTGTTCATTTTGGTCCTCTCCAGAATCAGCGGAGTAGAATCATTCATATGCTGCTTGTCACTGAACATAAAAATGACAGAAGTCAGCACATTGGCAAAGCCACCATCCATTCATTCGCCTTCTAGAAAAGTATCATATGTGGTTTCTGTACCCAGATTTTTTTCTTGACTCATTTTTTTTCTAGTTTATTATTTAAATCAAGAAAAAAGCTCAAGTCTACCTAAAATCAATAGGTACATTAACTTGCTCAAGATATGATTTTGATTTTGAGAAATTAAATGACACAGTCTAGAATTGCTGAGAAATTAATAACTTGGTTGGGATTAGAGTGTGGGATTTGTGTTTTCTGTGGCTATGGAGAATTTCTAAAAATTAATTTTCACATACTCAAAAGTAATTAAGACTTTCAAATTTCTTAAATTCAGACAACAAAATTGTATCGAAATATACGCTTTCCTTGTATTGGAGAAAAACTGTACCTTTCACCATTTTACATAAGAATTATAAGCTTTTTGAAATTCCATGCATGTTCAAGGATGGCATATTCTTACACCATCACCTCTAGGACAGCACTGATGTCAAGAGAAAGGGGAGGACAAGATGAATCTGAAAACACTTTCAAAATAATGAAGTTGTCACTGATTATACCTTCCATCTGTAGGTCATAAAGCACTGTACATAACAGTATTCTTTCTCAGTCCTTGTGAGGTAGGACTGTATTACCTGTATTTTACAGTTGGATAAACAGGAGCTCAATCTAGTTTAAGATCACACCATGGGAGAGCTGGGAGAAGAGCCCAGAAGATCAAATTCCCAGTTAGTGGCCAGAATCATTAGTGTTGCTCTAAATACACTCTTCTCCTTGGCTTGACAGTGAACTGTGACCCTGAAAAACAGGGAGAGAAAAGAGAAAGGAAAGAATAAAGACAGGAGAGAAGGAAGAAGGAAGAAGAGATGAAGATGGTTACGGACCCAGTTTATTTTTGTATGTGTTCACTGTAGAAAAGACAGGCATGTACCTATTTGGTAACGCCCATAAATAGCATGAACCATATGCATCATAAATGCAAATACACACACACACACACACACACACACTATTAAAAACAGGCAACTCGGCATCATAGATATTTCTGCTTAGGTTTGTCATCTTATTCTGGCACTACCAATGGTGTGATTGTGGACAAGTTATTCAAACTCTTTGGGCCTCAGTTTACATATGTGTGAAAGCCAGGTGGTAATTCCTACATCACAGAATTGTTGTGCACATTAAATAAAATTCTTAATATGTAAAGGATGTCAGTTTTGCCACTGTCCAGTCCCATCCAAGTACATATGTTCAGTACTTTCCTGACCATACTGCCACTGCCTTTCTGGGCTTTAAAAACTCCACTGTCTGTTTTGGGGCCATGTCCAAGACTTTAAAGTGGGCAGGTCCTTACTGAAAGTTTGGATGGGAAATTTGGAAAGGCCCAGGTCATAACCAGGAATCACCTATGCTGGAGGATCTAGAGTAGATATAGAGAAAGCTGCTGATGGAAGGTCTTCATCAGATCACAAAAAGGTGTTGAACATGAGCACAGGCAAAGTGAAGAGCTCACCCAAGCCCTAATGAGATGCTTGGACTGCAGAACAGATGTGGTCCTGCTGGGGCAGCACGGAGTTCACCAGGATGTCAACGCTGTCCTGAACTTTCCTCCGTGGGTCCCCTCAGGGACTTCCACTTAAGGCCAAACCCCTTCCAGATTTCCCCATCATCTCCTGTCTAGTTAATTTCCATCTTGTTATTCTGACAGTGAGCTAGGCTGGGCCTTCTTTTACTCTTTTTCTACTCTATTGTGGCATAAACTCAATGCCCGGCTTCCTTTGGAGCTATCCCAACTGCTTTTTCCTCCCCTCCAAAAGTTTCATTTTATTTCAAGTGAAAAACTTTGGCTTTCAGGGTGTTATTCCTGTTATGAGACTTAAAAGATTATAAATTGTTCTACTATAAAGACATATGAACACGTATGTTTATTGAAGCACTATTCACAATAGCAAAGACTTGGAACCAACCCAAACATCCATCAAAAATAGACTGGATAAAGAAAATGTGGCACATATACACCATGGAATACTATGCAGCCATAAAAAAGGATTGGTTCATATCCTTTGCAGGGACATAGATGAAGCTGGATACCATCATTCTCAGCAAACTATCACAAGAACAGAAAGCCAAACACCGCATGTTCTCACTCATAAGTGGGAGTTCAACAATGATAACACATGGATACAGGGAAGGGAACATCACACATTGGGACCTGCTGTGGGGTTGGGGGCTAGGGGAGGGATAACATCAGGAGAAATACCTAATGTAGATGATGGGTTGATGGGTATAGCAAGCCACCAAGGCACATGTATACCTATGTAACAGAACTGCACGTTCTGCACATGTACCCCAGAACTTAGAGTATAATAAAAAATAATAATAATAATAGCACCAACAACAACAACAAAAAAGCCTATTTGGGGTGTTTTAATAACCAGATATAGTTTCTTCCTGCATTCTTCCGTTTTGTAATGATTATAAGTCTCCTCAAGGCAAAGGGGATGCAACTGACCCAACTAGGGGATGAGTCAAGTACAAGAAATGCTGAAAAGGGAAGTGCCGGGATTAATATTTCAAGGAATTTCGTGCTTCATATGTGAAGCACTTAATGCAATGTCAGCCACATGTTAAAAATTTAATAGACACTGGGTCCTATTGCTTTTATGTCTGTTTCTGTCTGATGTGGGTCTGGTAAAAGCTTTTTCTCCATCCTTTTGGTTCCTTCCATCATCTACACACATTTGATCACCTACTAAGAATTGACTTGTACGTCAGACACTGCACGTGTTGACAGGAAATAGTAAGACACGTACTATCACCTCATCATTCAAAGAGATCATCATTAAGTAAAACAGGCCATCAGGTTGACAAATTGCTTGACATATTAGGGATATCATAAGAGTCTTTAGGGAGTTCAGGAAAGGAAGTGACAATGAAGGATGAAAGATATCAGACTCGATAGAGGAAGTGACATTTGAGCTTCGCTGTGGGGAAGAATATGTTACTCAATGGAGACTGACAACAAGGGAATTTCAGACAGAGGAATTCACCTGGGCACACGTAGGAAAGTTTCAAACTCATAAAACTGCAAGGAAATTAGTTAATCCAATTAGGAATATAACAGAAGGAGTAGCAGGGAGTGGTGTGAGCCAAGAAGTTGAGAGAATTTGGGTCCAGATTGTGAAAGTCCTGATATGCAAGGAAAGAATGGTGCATTGCTTTTTCCTGTGAGCAAGTGAAAGCCAATACAAAATATGCTTTTAGATGCTTTCACTAACCGACTCCTGCATCCCTCTTCCTTGACAAATATTTCAGCAAAAATTGTCAGACGCTGATCATTCTTTCTCCATGTTCAAAGAGAATATATTTAATACAGACAACAAAAATATCTTAAATGTTTTCTTGTATTAAGTGTTAAAAAATCTTTGCAGACAAAAGTAAAATTATGTTTTATAAATGACCATTAGAGAATTCAACCTATGTGGCTATAAGCATGTTAAATTCACAGTTTTAACTTTCTCCCCAGTAGAAAAAAAAGAAAAATGAATGATGGTTTTCCCAGCGGTAAATCATAGTAACTACAAGTCAAACTTCATCACTCTCAGTTCTAGGTTAGGAGAAGGGCCTTAGGCATATCACTTAAGAGATTTTCAGGATCATAGGTGGCTCTTTTGATGACTTCAGATCTTTGTGATATCTGGCCCAGAAGCTGTGTTCCAGTTGTCACCACAATTAGTCAATGGACCAGGATTAATCATGAGATTGTTTCAGTTGGTTTTATGATACCTCTGCTTCCAAATCGCTGTCAGAAATGGGGCTCTTGGACTCTGAAACCATACAAAGGCAGACAGTAGAAATGCATGAGGGCTGAGTGATACTGTCAGTCCCGGGCAGATGACTGAGGATAGTGCACAGACTTAGTAGTCTGCCATGGCTTTTTGTTGAGAAAACATTTCAAAACAAATAAACAAAAAATTAAAAATGCCTACTCATGTACATGACTCTACAAATTACTGAAAACTGGCAGAATTGCATTTGGCCAATCCATTTGGAATTACACACATTTCTTTTTTTATATGAGTAGTGTGAATACACTGTTGAAAGGATTCTGGATTAGCCATTAGTAGGTGTATTGTGATTTTCTTTTTCTTTTTTCATCATTGCTTTTCATCATTTTTCATCTTTTTTCATCATTGCATTTGGCAATTGATGAGCACAACTAGATTAACAGGTATAATGGTCAAATAATTGAAAAATCAATATAATCTTTGAGACTGACAAGCACAACTTTTCCTCACTTGATTTTGGAGCGCTGTTATTGTAGAAGTTTCAGTGACCTCTCCATACCCTCAGGCCTTCACATCTGCTAGCCTGAACACTGTTTAGTGCAAACATCATGAACTCTCTGCCTGAGAACATTTTTTTCTGACCAAGAGAGTGCATCAATTAGTGTACAGGGCAATTCACAAATGCCAAAGAGGTGATGCACCTAGAAGCAAACTTTAACCAATGGAAGACAAGGAGCTGGTATATAAAACCTCTGTTCCCTTGCCCTTCAGTTGACATAACTCTGAAGTAAATTTCACATAGTTTCTATGAGTTCGTCAGTGACATTGCACTCCAGTTGCCCACAGTGGTGACTATTTTAATAATAACGCAGCTTTTGTTGGGTTCGCACACTTTCTTATCTCTATTCACCTCTGCCCTATGGATGTTTCTTGAATCACTTTTCAAACAAACAATCTGCACTCAAATATTAGTCTCAAGGTTTGCTTCTGGAGTAACTCAGACCAAGACTTAGAATGCTGTGTGCCTTCAGTATAAATGTAACCACCTACACAGTTTGTGTATTTGCTTGAGAGCCTAGAGGTTTTCCTTATATTTTTCAGTTCATGATCCAAAAAATAGATAAATTCAGACCCACACAGCACATTAGATTGGCCATTCATGACCCCAAATGAAGGAAGCTTCCTCTTGGCCTCTTTAGGCTAGAGGACTATATATGATTACATGGGGCAGAAATTCAAGGTTTCAAGCTCAGTTTCAGCTTCATTATCTTCCTCTGTCCTTTGGACATGCCTTCTGCTCTCAGAGAGCATTAGAATCACATCCCCGCTACCAGGCCATATCCAGGACTAAAGCCCCATTGGGTTGCTGTATTAGTCCGTTTGCATGCTGCTGATAAATAACCCAAACTAGGCAATTTACAAAAGAAAGAGGTTTAATGAACTCACAATTCCACATCACTGGGGAGGCCTGACAATCATGCCAGAAGGCAAAGAAAAGTAAGTCAAATCTTACATGGATGGCATCAGGCAAAGAGAGAGCTTATACAGGGAAACTCCTGTTTTTCTTTTCTTTCTTTTTTCTTTGAGATGGTGTTTCATTCTGTCACCCAGGTTGGAGTGCAGTGGCATGATCTTGGCTCACTGCAACCTCCACCTCCTGGTTTCAAGCGATTCTCCTGCCTCAGCATCCCAAGTACCTGGGATTACAGGCACACACCACCACGCCCAGCTAATTTTTATATTTTCAGTAGAGATGGTGTTTCACCATGTCGGCCAGGCTGGTTTTGAACTCCTGACCTCAGGTGATCCACCCACCTCAGTCTCCCAAAGTGCTGGGATTACAGGCATGAGCCACCACACCCAGCCGGAAACTCCTGTTTTTAAAAACATCAGATCTCATGAGACTTATTCACTATCACAAGACCATCATGGGAAAGGCCTGCCGCCACAATTCAACCATCTGCCAACAGGTCCCTCCCACAACATATGGGAATTATAGGAGCTACAAGATGAGATTTGGGTGGGGACACATAACCAAACAATATCAGTTGCCAGGTCACCACCAGATCTCTCTGTTCATTTCTTAAATTTTAATATACCATTTGATTAAGTGTTCAGAAAAGTTACCAATATATTTTTCCTTTGTTTTAATTTATTACAAAACATTTAAAACACCCAATCAGTGTGAAGAACAATGTAATGAATATCTAAATATGAAATATAGATCTAGAAATAGATAGTAGATATAGATTAAAAATTATACAAGACAGTATAATATTTGAGATATGAGGTATATAAGATGATGTTACACATAGTTTAAGTTGATATTACATACAAATGTAGATTTATTGTTGCTGTTACTGTATTTTAGCCAACATGTCTGTGAGGTGGAGCAGGTAGGGTTGTCTACACCAGCCATATATGCCAGGTTGTGAGAGATACCTGCCATTTTTATACCATCTTTGTTTTCCTCTTTTATCCCCACTATGAAAAAAAAGAAACTGTTATGCTTTTGTTGGGCATTTTGGAGTTTCCGATTCATTCTTTTCAACTAAACATTATTTTGGCAGAATTTAGTTTTTTTATTGCTATCAGATTTCAAAATCAAGCATTCAGTCCCCTTTATTCCTCTCTGAAAAAATGTAGAAATATGTTTAGAAACTTCTAATAAGTGTGGTATAATATGAAGTTATTGACTTCCTGGGGTTATAGTAAGAAATGAATGAGTTGGTATATCCAAAGAACTTACACCATGTCTGGTGCACAGTGCTGAAACAGGAGAGTTCCCTGACCCCCCCTTGCAGGACATGTGACATGGGTGTAGCTCATTTGTTCAGCTGCCATGCTCAAACCCCTTAAGAGAGTAGGGGCACACAGATGGACAGGTGCAGGAGCCAGGGCTAGTGTTTTGGGGGCTCTGGCCCCATGGTAGCCATGGGGTTGGGTTGGGTGTCTTCAACTCCCAAAGCCCAAGTGGGCACATGTTAGAATGTGTTCTTTTAGCCTTGCCACCTGCAGGTGGTTTAAGTGTTAGACGGCTCAGTGGACCCCCTTGGGACCCAGTTCCTTGTCCAGCAACCAGGAAGAACCAGGTCACACAGGGACTTGAAGAATGAATGCAGGGTTTTATTGAGTGGTGGAGGTAGCTCTCAGCAGGATGAATGGGGAGCTGGAAGGGGGACAGAGTGGGAAAATGATCTTCCCCTAGGGTTTGGCGGTCCAGCAGCTGATCTCTCTGATTGTCCCCAGCTGTGCTCCTCTTGACATTCAGATGCTTCTTCTCTTCTTTTCTGCTCTGCCATTCTGCCGTTGTTCTGCTTGCTCATCTCCTTTTGGAGCCCAGGGTTCAGGGTTTATATGGGTACAGGATAGGGAAGTGTAGTGTACCAAAAGGCAACTTTTTGGGTACAAAAACAGAAACACTTTTTCTCACTGAGGGCTGTGGGTTTCCAGGCTGTGGATTTCCACGCTTGAGAGTGGGGCCTTTGCCAAGGAACTGCCCTCTCCTACCCAATGTCTCCCTGTCTCCTGTCCATATCAGTGTTATTGTTGCCATGGTTGTGGTTGTTATCATAGGAACAGAAGGCGGGGTCGAGTAAAAGTTCCACAGGTCACAAATAAGGGATACCTCACTGTTGCAGTTATTATTCAACTTTAAAGTTGGGCCTCCAAGTTTTTGCCCAGAACTCTCTGATGAGAAGAATGTGAGGGATCCACTGAGCTCAGTGAAAAGGGCACCATTCTTAGACAGCAAAACACACAGGTGAAGAAGGTTAAGAAGTCTGCTTTCAGACAATTACTCATTGGTAATAGGGATTTGAACCCAGTGCTGTCAGAGTCCAAAGCCCCAGATCCTAATAGCTGGTCAAATGGCTCCCCTTCATTTGCAGACAGAAGTGGTCCCTGAGAGATCAGATTTCACTGTGATCAGCTTATTTGGATTTCTTGATACCAAGACAGTCTCTGTGGGGTAACCAATCACTGTCAAATCAGTACTTCATTCTGGAAAGAAACTGTTGGTAACAGCTGGTTGACTGCTGCATCATTAAGTTGGAGTTCTCTGAAATCCCGTCCCTTATTTTTTCATTTCATTGTTTAGAATATTTGAAATATGCTAATTTAGCCTAAGATAAGGCAGAAGGGTGGTATATTACATAGAATTTAAGGTTGAATTATTTACTATCTTTCTTGTTCTCTTTTTCTTCCTCCTAGCAACAGGAGTAGGAGGAAATCCAGACTATGTATCTCAGAAAATGGTTTTAATTTACTTCACAAAAGGTGCTGTAGTATTGAATGTTCCTTAATTTGAAAGTAATTAAAAAGTAGTCTCAGTTTTCAAAATGCTCAGAAACTCAATTGACCCTAGAAAAAGACATATTTATACTCAATTGAAAATTTCACCAACATATACTTTCTTATTTCTTTTTTTGTTAAATGTATAACTTTTATCCACATGACCTTATTACCAGACATTCCAGTTCTTCCAAGCTATAAGTAAATATCCTAGCTTCTGGTGACATGCATTCAGCCAAATGTAAACATGTGAAGCACTGAATGAATGGATTTACGTATAGGAATTTTCAAAAACTAAAATACATTACAAATAGCAATAGAAATAGGAGTCATAATCATACATAAATCCATGCAGAAAAAAACAGAAAGGGTGTGAAATGGCTATTAGATAATCTAAGGGAACACATGAGTCTGGGAATCAAATTTGGTTATAAACACTAGCACATAAAACATTTGGGACTAGCTAGAAATTGAAGGGGAATATCCATAAGGATTTGAAGTGCAACAAAGTCAAATTCTGTTTCAATTGAAGTTAAAAAATTCCTCATAATGGAGAGTAAAACAAAAATTTAACATCAATTTCCTGAAACTTTTGAAGTTTTGAAGTTTCTCTCCTGGCTACATTTACCTAGGGGCCATATCCCAGGCTGGAATTTAAAATAGGCTCATGAGGCAGGCATGGTGGCTCACGCCTCTAATCCCAGCACTTTGGGAGGCCAAGGCAGGCAGATCACTTGAGCTCAGGAGTTCCAGACTAGCCTAGGCAACATGGCAAAACCCCGTCTGTAGAAAAAATACAAAAATTAGCCATGCATGGTGGCATTTGCCTGTAGTCTGAGCTACTCCAGGGGCTGAAGGGGATCACCTAAGCCCAGGAGGTGAAGGCTGCAGTGAGCCAAGATTGCATCACTGCACTCCAGCCTAGGAGACAGAGGGAGACCCTGTCTCAAATGTATATAAAATAAAATAAAATAGACTCATCTATACATTTTCTCCTCCCACCTCAAAATCTGGGTGGAAACCATACAGCTGATTCACAGAGAGGATTAAAACCATACCTTTACTCCACCAGAGAATGGGTACTCATTTAACATCGGAAGCTAGGCAGCCCAAAAGCAATTTGTACTCAGCTCTGTTCAGACTCTAATATGCCTAACAACTGTGCTGACTTGTATTATTATTTGGGGCATGTCTGCATGTATGTTTTCTCCACTAAATAGTTCTATAAGAGTAAGGAGTCCATTCTCATTCATTGTTATAACTTGCACATTTCCTCGCAATAATATTAATAAGTACTATTTATAAAATCCCTATTGTGTGATGTCTCATCTCTTTGCATATGTTATTTCAAGTCCTTACATCTCTGTAAGTCTATTATCCCCATGTTTGTCGATGGTATTAAATGAACATTCTGAGATAACAAACTTCCATGGTGAAAACACACAGTGAGATATTTCCAATTGGCATCACTTAGATGGAGGCCATCTACGAAAATCATGCAGTTGATTTTCACGATAACTGTTGCATGCTCCTAGTATCTTAGGGAGGGAAGCTATGGTGCTAACTGCCCTGAAATGTAAGACACAGCTTCTCTCAGTTAAGAACGGCCTTACCCAAAATGCCAACAGGGTCTAATTGGAAATCATTAGTAGGAAATCCTTTGTTCATTCTTCTTGAATGACCTCTCCCCTTTTCTGTATGAACTGCCTTAAAAGACCTGTATCTAGCTCTGGTTAAGCTGCCTGGGGTAATGCCACTTTAACAAAGCAAAACAAAACAAAAGAGCATTTAGGGGAAACATGGGAAATGGAGAGAGATTAGTTTCATCTGGATTTTGGCTTCTCATCTTCGGCACCATATCTTCACAGTAAGGTTATTTCCAGGCACTTAATTCAAGTGGCTTTTTTTCCCCAGTGACCCTATTAGTCAATTGATAATGCAAAAGATGTTAAACATAACCTGTCTTCCCCTTGACACCCCTCACACTGTGAACAAATTAAGAGTTCTCTTTACTCCATTGTTTACTGTGGGAATAACAACCATAGGAGCTCAAAATGCATTTTTATGCACTTTAAGAAATAAATCATTTGCAAATGATATTACGCATGGATCTATCTCCTCTGACAACTCAGTTGTTTGCAGTGCTGCCAACTGGAAATGACACTAAAAGCATGCAGTGATTTAAGAAGCTAGTTGACTCATGCACCAGCAAAGGCAGAGTTGATGGGTGGGGGAACTGCAAGAGCTTGCAGTATCTGCATATTTTCATTGTCATTGAAAATTAGGCAAAAAATGTTTTCAAAATAAACTTTTATGCATTCCACTCATTGTTGACTTTATACTGAGCTTAATGCATGATTAAACAATGAGTTCTTAGCCTCATCAATGAAAACCCATCCATTTTTCTTTCCATTTTGACAAAAAGCAGCAATATTGCCATGGGCTGCCATGGATAAATGATGGTAAGGTAGTAAACAGCACGCAATCAATAATAGAAATTCCCCAGAGGTAGCCTCAGCTTGGAGAAACAGAAGGTGGTGGGAAAGGAAGCAACATTTCCTAAATTTGTGTAAGGTTATCAATGCCTTTGCTCTATTGTCCCCTCTGCTGGCTGATCGAAGAAACAGCATCAGTTCCTTGCCTAGGCCTCACTGTGATTATTGGCAGCACATCATTGCTTAGAGCATTTGGCAATTAACGGGTCAAGTCTAAGACCAGCCTTGGGCAAAATGGTGTCAGAATTAGTCCTCAGCATCTTCTTCTCTTCTCCTTCAAGTTCACCCTGATCTTGACCCTCACTCTACACTTATCTCTAGTTTAAAGAGAAAATCAATTAGAAAGCTCATTGCTTACTGTTCTTCCTTCCTTCCTTCCTTCCCTTTCTTCCTTCTTTCCTTCCTCTTTGACATATTAGAAGCCACAGGAATTATGCTTTTACTCATCTAACCATTATTAATTGTGCAACATTCCTCAAGCATTCTGTGCTGATCCTGGAGAGAGTTTAGTGACATTTATCACATTTCAATTGCCTGATGTAAAATACAACCAACATTTAGTGAGGGCCAGCTGTGTGCCAAGATCTGTGTCAGACACACTTCATTATTTTATTTTTTCTGAGATGGAGTTTCGCTCTTGTTGCCCAGGCTGAAGTGCAATGGCACGATCTTGGCTCACTGCAACTTCTGCCTCCCAGGTTCAAGTGATTCTCCTGCCTCAGCCTCCTGAGTAGCTGGGATTACAGGTGCGCTCCACCACACCCAGCTGATTTTTTTGTATTTTTAGTAGGGATGGGGTTTCACCATGTTGGCCAGGCTGGTCTCGAACTCCTGACCTCAGGTGATCCACCTGCCTCAGGCTTCCATAGTGCTGGGATTACAGGCTTAAGCCACTGTGCCCAGCCCGCACTTCATTATTAATACAACACCCTGATTGCTGTAGAAGAGCTTGATTCTATAAGGCAGATAGATAAAGGAATTTAAAGCTGACCAATGAGTGGTGTAATAGACACATGCTCCCAGGACAGAGGAAGCCCAGCATACCCACAGGGAATGGGAGTATCCAGGTGAGCTTTCTGGAGAGTTTTTTGTCTAAATTTTGGTATGGAAAGCTAACGAAATGAACAAAGGGTGAGAGAGTCCAGGCAGAGGGAACAGTTTGCACAAATATAAAGAGATGAGAATAAGCATGATGTGAACCAGGGTTGGTATGAAGTTCAGGGTCGCTGGCACACTGCATTTGACATAAGGGGTGGTAGGGGAAAAGAAACCAGGTAAGTGGGAGCCCCTCTATTTTTGTATTTTTCTTTTCCTTTTTTTTTTTTTAGACAGAGTCTTCTTCTTGTTGTCCAGGCTGGAGTGCAGTGATGCAGTCACGGCTCACTGCAACATTCGCCTCCCAGGTTCAAGCGATTCTCCTGCCTCAGCCTCCTGAGTAGCGGGTTACAGATGCCAGCCACGATGCCCAGCTAAATTTTGTATTTTTAGTAGAGATGAATTTTCATCATGTTGGCCAGGCTGATCTCGAACTCCTGACCTCAGGTGATCTGCCCACCCGGGCCTCCCAAAGTGCTGGGATTACAGTGTGAGCCACTGCTCCCAGAGGGAGCCCTTTTGATCTGATCAAAGCTTGAGCTTCACCATGTAGGCCATGCAGAGTCAGCTAGAACACCCTGGAGATAGTGTGGAGGCAGGATTTGAGGAGGAAACAGAAAGAGTGAGGAATCTTTGCAATAACTCTAGCGAAAATGATGCAGGTCTAAATAAGGGGGAGAAGTGTTTAGATTCCACAGATATCTAGAGGTTGGTGATTGACTGGGCATGGGACTATTAAGGGGAGAGAAAGGACTCAAAGGCAACTTCAAATCTTTTTCCCTCGTCAAACAGTAGTTCCTTCCAGTGAGACACCAAATACAGAAAGGCGAGAAACTCTGGGAAGACCAAAGATGAATTCAGTGTTGTGTTTTTCCTTTACGGTAGAGATTCTCGTGTAGAATTTAGGTAAAAAGCAGAAAAGATAAGGGGTGGAAATATATATTTGGAGTTCATTCTGATTAAAAACGTCTAGTTAAAACCATATAAATGAATCATGTTGCTCAGAAATGTATTATAATAAAGCCACAGGCATTTGCCAATGTGATCATTTATTTAAAACTAGATAAATATATAGAGGAAAAGGACCACAGAAGGGAGAAAGGAGGTAAAAAGATGTAACATTTCGTAGACATCATAGAAGTTGCGCACTTCATGAAGCCAGGAATTAATGATCATATTTGGCAGAGAGACACAGATTAGATAAGCACTATAAATGTTGAACATGGGACATTGTTGGTGGTTAAGTGAGTATAATTAACGTGAGTGTGGGTAGTAGGTCAATGGGTATGAGTGAGGGGTGTGTGTGAGTGTGCGTGTATGAGGGGTTATGAGTAAATGTGAGGAGAAAATGAAAAATTAAGAATGGAAGAAAGCCAAATAAACCAGAAAGGAAAAGGATCTGCCATGAGTAGGTGACTCTATCTGGGATCTTAAATGAGAGAAAGATGTGACAATAGCAAAAGAAGACGTCACCTTAAAAGAGGTCGCAATTTTTTGGAGCCGAAGTGGCCAGAGAACGTTTAATGACTGAAGGAAGAGATTTAATCTGGAGGGAGCAGTTATGGCTATGGAGAGGAGTCCACTGGTGAAGGAGGTTCCCGAGAGATGCGAGTGCCAGGGAAATGAGCAGAGGTGAAGGAATTGGCTTCATTCAGGATGAAAAATACCTTCTGCAGTTGGAGATTACAAAGTAGACAAAGGTGTGTGAGGAAGAAATTTGAGGGAGGTCAGGTTACGAGATTGGTTGATTTACTTCCCAAAGATCTCCATTTTCTTGCCTATACTAATGCCAAGGTTTTCAGCATTCATGGTGGTAGAGGGACAGGATAGTGGTCTGAGGAGAGAAATTGAGGTTTTCAGTGCTCAGTAAATGAAGAATCAATAGAGTAAACCCTGCCTGGATCAGTAGTGTTGAGGGCCCAATGGCAAGTAGAATCTATCAATTTCCAATCCACCCAGCTGAGTCCTGGTTCACAGTCCTCCCAGAAATCCAATTTGAGTCAAATGGTAGATTGTTGTATTGATACCAGAAAGAGGTATTATTAGATGGAAAGGATCGAAGGTTGGTGATAGAGATTCTAAGGGAGTAAACTCATGTCCTCACACCAGAGTTCCAGACTGGAAGACAGAAGAGGAAAGCCATATACAGGCACTTTCAGACAGAGAAAATGGAGAGAGGAGTAGAGAGGCAGGCCATAGCCTAGGAAACTAGCAAGAGTTGATTGTGCACTTCTCTTTTCAACTGTTTAAATGACCTCATGTGGGTAGCTTGAAAAAAGCATTGTTGGGAATATCTGTGCCTTGGAAATCAGCAAGCACCACAAACTGGGGCCTTATTTTTTTCAGAGAGCCAGTCTACTGCCACACCACTGGATTAAAAGATAGAATATGAGCTGTCTTGGTCAGTGCAGGGTGCAAGACTGGAGGCCTTATAAACAACAGAAATATATTTCTCATGGCTCTGCCACCTAGAAAGTCCAAGATCAGGGTGCCAGTATGGTCAGGTTCTGGTGTGGGCCCTCTTCTGCGTTGCCACCTTCTCTTTGTATCTTTGCATGGCGGAAAGAGAACGAAAGAGCTCTCTGGGGTCTCTTTTATATAAGGGCACAAATCTCATCTATGAGGGCTCCACCTTAGTTAGGAAGCCTCATCTCTTAATATCGTCACATTGAGGGTTAGGATTTTAACATGAATTTGTGGAGGGATATAGACATGCAATCCATAGCATGAGCATTAGTAATTTTAGAAGAAGAGGAGGCCATCGTCAGAGTCTAAAATGTGGACATTTAATATTAGTGACATAGAAAATGAGGAAAAGTTTCAGGATGTTTTTGTTTCATTAGATTAGTTAATTAATTAGTTATTTCATTAGTTTTTAAAGCCTGAAGCTGAAGCACAGAGAGAAAACCATGTAAATGGAGTTCCAAGCTATTGTAGTAGATGATTTATAAACAAGAACATTAAATTTTCCTAGGTAGAGGGCAAGAATCTATTCAGGCAGTCAAATCTCCAATTAATTAGATGGAACAATTAGAAATTAGATAAGTGTCATCTATGAGGAAAAGGAGAGAAAATGACATCATGAACCTCAAGAGAAGAAGAGTAATGTTTCTTCCAGATTTTCCCAGACTTACTATATTTAATAAGATTCTATTCAACAGACTTTTATTGTTCACAATATTATGCTAGATGTTAATATGGAAAGGAGCACTTGATAATTAATAATTTAAACCTTCATATGAAACATTATTTCTCTTGTAAAACATTTAAAATTAAAGATTTAGTGGCAAAAAAAGGCTACTTTTTCTTAAAATTTTGTCCTGTGAACCCCGTTGGTAAAAGCTTGCTCATTTGAATGTTGCTAGGGAGTTGCTAAGGGATATTGTACAGAGAAATTTATTTTGCATTACCTGTGATGACCCATGATGAAAGGAAAAATGCTTATTTCTTTTTTGAAAGAGAGTTAAAAAAAATCAGACCATTCCTAGACGAATGCTTAATACCCAACAGGCATGCAAGAAATATTTGCTGCATTGTACAGCATCTCACTGAATGTCCTTCTCTTTGGAAGATATTCATTCATTAGCTTATATTAATTTTTATTAACTGGCTTTAATTTTTATTTGATTGTGATGCTACTAACTTGATTGTGATTATTCTTCTCCTGTTTCTTTTCTATAAGTAGAATGACAGGAAATTCCTGAGTAGGGAAGGGGAAAGTAGACAACTTCTATTGGCACTGGCAGAAAATTTTAAAATACCCCTCGAGCCAGGTGCATGACACATGCCTGTAATCTCAGCCACTTGGGAGGCTCAGGAGGGAGGATTGTTTGAACCCAGGAGTTGGAGGCCAGCCTGGGCAGCACAGTGAGACTCCAATCTCTAAAAAATAAAAAATTAAAAAATTAAAATACCCCTCAAATGTCAGCATGAAGGCCATTATCTTATTATGTCTACCCAGAGAGCTGCCCTTAGATTAAAAGTTCCTAAGCTGTTTTGGAATAAGCACCCTTTCAGGACATGATAAATACTGTTCGTCCAAAACCCAGTAAAAAATAATTGTTCATGTTATAGTACAGAACCTCCCCAGCTAATAATAACTGCTCTTAACCTTCCAACCTTGTTGCTTTAGTACTTTCTCTTAACTTCTGCATCCAATACTACTGCCACCCCTCTTGTAGCCCCTTGAAGGCACCACTCCACATCATGACTTATTTCCTGGCCACAGACTCTGTCCCTCAGGGCAACAGATCTTCTAGATGTTAACTCCCAGGAGCCCGCGTTGCAGAGAGGTCAGCCAGGATTGGGGATGCACAGACCCTCCCCACTCTCTCTCAGTTGCATGCTGTCACTAGAACAAAAACATACCTGGCTGTGGGTCTTTGTCTCAGAATTACCCAAGGCAACAGCTCCTTCCATTTCTGTTTTCACCACTCCTGTTCACAACACCATGGACCATTATCCAAGAGAAACACCAGGCTCTCCTTCACCCTATCTTTTTCCACGGCATCTCACAAAATATTTTACCTCTCGCCTTAAGCCCCAAAAGATTCTATTTACGAAAATATGATATGAAAAAGCCTAGAAAGACACTACAGAAGAAAAGCTTTACTGATGTCATAAAGAAAGATATGATTCTATGGAGATGAAAAGAAGAAATAAAAAGATGGGAGTTCTCGCTAAATTATTGTGTGAGTCTAATATTGGGGTGAGCAATGTCTAGCAAAATCTCAATGATACTTTATATTAACAAAATCATTCTAAATTTTACCTAGAACTTGAGGCATGAAGAAAAATGTAGGCAATGATAGAAAACAATTGGAAAAAAAGTTATTATGGAAGAAGGCATTCTATCATTTATATAAACATTTAAAAAATATATAGGTTAAAAATTATCTCAAAACAATATAGAAGAAATATATTATTATAAAATGTTTTGTCTTAGTTGTCTGAGTATTTTGAAAATAAAAGGTAACCATACCTCTACCATATCAATTATAGGTAAATTATAAAACTGAATATTAAAAAAACTAACTTAAAACATAAATATTCAACAGGTCTTTTCAAGAAGGAAGTTGTTAAATGTAATGAACAAAATATGAGAGAAAAAGAATGCATTATTTCAAAATGTTCCATTAAAATTCATAAAGAAATTAACAGGCCAGGCCTGATGGCTCATACCTGTAATCCTAGCATTTTGGGAGGCCGAGGCAGGAGGATCACTTGAGCTCAGGAGTTCAAAACCAGCCTAGGCAACATAGTGAGAACTCATCTATATATATGTATATGTTTAAAAAAAAGGAATAACCAGGTGGAAACTAAAAAGTTCATTGGTAGGAAAAATAATGACAGTAAATAAACTTGAAGTTAAAATGATTTCACTCATTGATGAGGGAAAAACTAAATTATCTTGTAAGAGAAACCTCGGCATTTTACCTTATCCTCTCAGCCAAAACCATTTCAGTGAAATTTGAACAATTCCAAAGGCCAGCACCTGCATCTCTTTGCCCAAGGGCTTTCTCCATTTCATCTGGTAAAAGTCACCTCTTCTTGCAACCCCCAGCCAAGGAATAACAAGAGTAAGTAATGAGCCCAGCTCTCTAGTCCTGCAGATGGGATAACTCTGAATTTCTCAGTTCTGTAATGGGATTAAAGTTCACCTGTCTGTGCTGACAATCTGTTCAAAATGCACACTTAGGGGATTTCTTCTGTCCTCGTTTCATTTCCCCATTCTCCTACCAGCGTTTGTCAGGATTAGCAACCAAATTAACTGCTTATTTTCATATCCTAGCCTCATAACAGCTTCGGGTGAACCCAAGACAGACATTCACAAAAAAGGTGGGTTGTGCAGAGACAAATCATAAAAGAAGAAACATTGTCAAAGGTAAATTTATTTTGCCTCACAGGTTTCAAGGAAATGAACATTAAAGGAATAACTAATTTTTTTAATTAATCAGATTGTCTAAGATTTAAAACTAATCCTCAATGTTATAGAAGCACTATTCAGGGAATCCTTTTATACTCTACTGATGAGAATACAAATCTATAAAAACCATGTAAAAAGGGAATTTAGCAAAATCTATCTTTCCAAAATGTTTACACTCTTTTGCTCATTGGGTCCACTTTTATTATTTCTTTATTCATTTATTCACTAAATTACATTAAATTAAATGTGCTTTGATGCAAGGCATACTTTATGCTAAGTATAAAATCAGAGACTAAGGAACCCTAAGTGCAAACTCTCAGAGTGTTAGTTATGTTAGAGGAAACTAGTAAATGTGGAGGAGGCAGGGTTAATGAAGGAATAGACAAAATTTCCTTAGATTCCCTTATTTGTCTCCATTCCTCTTGGTCTGATATTGCACTGCCCTCAAGGTCCTGGCTCTGATACATGCCCTTGCTTAAGTGTTGATGTCTCCTGCTGGCCTGATTCTGGACCTTGACCCTTCCTAAGTTATGAAATTGTATTACTGGCATTGGCCTACCTATTTTTTCCTGGGTGCCTGACTTGGATCTCTTTCAGTTTTTAATATCTCTTCTCCCATAACTCAATGTTAACCACTTCCATCTTGTAACATATTATCACCCAAACTATTGCTCCATTTGCTAGCATGCACTATCAGGGTCTATGTTTTACAATCCATGTAAACAGTGATTGGAAAAAAAGATAAGACTAATAGACTTTAACATATACATCCCAGAGTCTAGGAATTCTCTTTAAAAAAAAAGATTCGGTAAAAAAAAATGTTAAACCATGAAAATCACCAACAAATGATAGGCACACTGTGTGTGTGTGTGTGTGTGTGTGTGTGTGTTTCTGTGTATGTGTGTGTTTAACTAAGAACATTTTTTTTCACAAGGGAATCTTTTCTGTTGGAATATTTTACATACAATGAATGATATTAACAAATAAAGATCTGAGGACTATGATCCTCAGGATATTAACTATGGGAACTTTAAAAAAATACCTCAAGTTTTTCCTAAACTCTTAACATAGGAAGATAAAATATTTCACAGTTCTAGGTTTTGAAATAGCCCCACACCCCAGGGATTCACTAGTGCTTAATCAATTGGCCACTGGCCAAGATGTTCTGGCATCGGCAAGAAGGTGCAGAGCTGTTGCCAAACCATGATTTACAGAAGTAACCACAGCTGATGATCAGGTCAGAGCTGCTGCTGAAGTTCTGTTCAAATAAATGCCAGGGAGTTGGGCTCCAACCTTAAGACTTGCATCTTGGTGACAGAAATGTACATATCAATCTCAAAGAGCATTACCTACCTATTTCTAGGAAGGTAAAAGATGAAATAAATGCATTGTGAAATTAAATAGGTACTTGAATTTACTGCCAGCATTTAAAAATGAAATTTATTTTTCATTCTATATAAAATCATCTGTCATATTTAACACTACATAAATTATATGGTGAAGTGTATTGAACTTCCTGGTCCAAATATATTTAAATGATCTCTCTGGCTTAGTGATGGATTTGTGAGACAAAACTTTAGGTGATTTCCACTATACAAGTGGGTTGTGCTGACCTACAAAAATCTCATTGTGCCTAACAACTACATGTCTCAATATATGCAACTCAGACTTGTAATATCAGTGCTTTAGGATGCCAGGTGGAAGGATCACTTGAGACTAGGAGTTCAAGACCAGCCTAGACAAGCTAGCAAGACCCCATCTCTACATAAAAAAATTAATAAATAAAACATCAACCAGCATAGTGGCACGTGCCTATGGTACCAACTACTCGAAAGGCTGAGATGGGAGAATCCCTTCAGTCCAGGAGTTCAAGGTTACACTGAGCTATGATCATGCCACTACATTCTAGCCTGGGTGACAGAGCACAACTCTAAAATATGTATGTGTATATATTCACAAATATGTATATATTCATATATATATACACATATATATGAAGTTAAGTGTATGCAGACCTAGGTATCTTCCATTAACCTGTGATAGGACTGTATTAGTCCGTTTTCACCCTGCTATAAAAATACTACCTGACACTGGGTAATTTATAAAGGAAAGAGGTTTAATTGACTCACAGCTCAGCATGGCTGAGGAGTCCTCAGGAAACTTACAATCACAGCAAAAGGTGAAAAGAAGCAAGGCACCTTATTCACAAGGTGGCAGGAAGGAGAAGTACCTAGCAAAGAGGGAAGAACCCCTTATAAAACCATCACATCTTAAGAGAACTCACTCACTATCATGAGAACAGTGTGGGAGAAACTGCCCTCATGATTCAATTACCTCCACCTGGTCTCTCCCTTGACACATCAGGATTATGGGGACTATAATTCAAGATGAGATTTGGGTGGGGACGCAAAACCTAACCATATCAAGGACCTTCTTATTTGTGTGGCTTTCATAGGGTGAAAATACTTGAGAAGTATTTAATGTTACACATCAAATAAAATATTTGAAAACTGCTAGAAATCATAAAACATGAATACCTAATATTTACAGAGATTTTATGTTTCCCCGCTATTTTCATTGAGCTATTTGCACTTTATGCTTACAATATGCTTATAAAGCAAAAGGAGTCAGTGAATACAAAATTCTATTTTCCAAATGGGACAGAGCGAAGTCAGGAATTTGCCAGAGGTCAAAAACCTTGGCTAACAAAGACCTGAATAAGTGTATCTTTGCTGCCTCATCTTTGTGCTCTTCCAAACAAGTGACCTTGAAAGGGGTAATCTTCCACTGGCAGAATTTTGTGTTTAATATGTATAATGAATATTTATTGGCTTTCCAGATAGTATTTTAACAAATCAGCTCTGAGTGAGACACTTATTTACTTTACAGTGGAGATAACCTCTGCATGTGATTAATTATGACTTATAATTACAGTCTGCATATGAGTTCATTTTAGCCATGTGTCATTGAGTTATTTATTAGTAATATTGTTTTAGCCCAGCATTTCAATTAACTATACATATCATTGGTGATTTCTAATGATTCCCCAGTTTTAAAAATGAAAAATTGTGGTTTTTTGTGTATTTTAATTTACCAGATAAAACAAAAATGTTTACCAAATGATATTAGTTTATTTTGTGCAAAAGACCAATAATATCAAATACATTCATAAAAATTTGAAAAATAAGTGAAAATTCTGCACTTTGTTCAGCATTTTGAAAAGTTGTTCAGTCTCTAGCTGGAAAATGGAATCACAATGCTGGAGTCTATAACATACAAAACATAATAATAAAACATCCATTGATGTTTTGATCCAAAGTTTGCAAACACTTTTGTACATATGATGTCACTGAATCCAGACAACAATGAATAGTAGCTAATGAATGGAAAGGATCAATCTGCCCTGGTACAGTCAATTTGGGCCCCTACCATTTATGGGTGATTTTCATGGTTTAGAATGAATTTATGCAGAAATGTGAAGCCAGTATCCAGTGTTTTTAAGAAAATCTACTTCTTACATTCTGGAAAATATGTGCATAAAGTCCTTTTAATTTTCTGTCACCACTACACATCCCTTCCCACCATCACTTATGGCATTAATTGTAAAATAGCAAAATCAGTTCATGCTATTCAAACATAGAGCATAATAGTGCATTCTATCAAATGGTACAATAGTCCAGGTGATAATGTGCTAAAAAATGGAATGAGTCACTATTGAATGTTGGGAGGAATGACATTGAAAACTGGATGAGATCCAAGTCAGGCACCAGGGAAAGAACAGGTAGGCCAATGCCAGACTAATGCTAGACATGCAATATATAGCTCAGAACAAGTGAAGATCTGGAAACAGGCCAAGAGAAGGTGCTTCCAAGACTTAAGCAATGGTGAGCATCAGAGCCAGAGTCTTGAGGGCAGTGTAACATCAGAGTCAAGATGAATACATGAAGGAGAAAGGTAAAGGAATTCACAAAACTTTTGTCTATTCTCTCATAAACCTTGCCTCCTCCACTCTTCCCAGTTTCCCTTATAGTAACTAATATTCTGAGAGCTTGAATGTAGGTTTTTCTCATTCATTTTTCCAGCCCAGGCTGGCACGATCTCGGCTCACTGCAACCTCCACCTCCTGGGTTCAAGCGATTCTCCTGCCTCAGCCTCCCAAATAGCTGAGATTACAAGCATGCGCCAACATGCCCAGCTAATTTTGTATTTTTAGTAGAGACAGGGTTTCTCCATGTTGGTCAGGCTAGTCTTGAACTCCTGACCTCAGGTGATCCGCCCACCTCGGCCTCCCAAAGTGCTGGGATTACAAGCATGAACCACCATGCCCAGCCAGTATTTTCTAATTAATTAGATATAATTTCTAACAGATCTACAAATACCTATTAAAAGTAGACATACTGAGTTGAAAAACAAATGTTTTTAAAATATATTCGTAAGTATTTTTGCTAAATCACCTTCACATTATGGGAAGATTTCCTGAATATACCCTTTATAACACACTGAGTTTTATCTCTTAATTTTGGACAATCTTGACAAAATAAAAATAGGATCTCCCTATTTGTTTAATAACTACAAAGTAGAAGTTTTTTTCACTTTTATTCTGTGGGTTTTCTGTGAATAAATATTCATGTTTATTCTGTAGTGGTTTGTTTACTCACTTTTTACAAATTTTAATTGGCAAAATTGTATTTATTTATAGGGTACAATGTGATGTTTTGGTATATGTTTACTATATGGAATGGTTTCATCAGGTGAATTAATAAATCCATGACCTTAAATTATGCTCTTTTTTTGTGATAAAAACATCTCAAAATTTGAGCAATTTTGAAAACTTAAAAAATTGATGTGGAAGTGTCTGGGTTCTTATAGGAACTTTCCCTGACAGTGGTATTTGAGTGAAAGTAGTGGGTTGAGTTGGTAATCCTGGAAAACCCTGATCACAGAGAAGGGAAATCAGAGAAGAGAAGGGGCTGATAAAGGCTCTGTGTTTTAGAGGGTTTCCATCCAAAATCATCCCACCCATGGACTAGAAAGCTAGGGTATTTCCACAACAGCTCCTGTCCGTCTATAGCTAGGAACTGTTAGGGGATTGGGCATTAACTCTCTAGCACTTTCAGCCTGCCACAGGCCACCAGGGGTAAGGAGAAGTGAGTACTGGCTTCCTGCCAATATTATGAGCCAAGAAGAGTAAGTGAGTCATCCACAGTGTCTGCTACAAGGTGGATTGTTGCCTTCGTTGTTGTGAAGAAATCTTTTAATCTTGAAGGATGCTAATTCTTCATCATTTTTCTAGCAACTATTTTTCCTAACTTATATTTGTCTTTTAATTTTTATGGATATTTTCATGTACAATTTTAAAATGTCACCCTTTTCACTTACATTTTGTCCATTGTTCTTATTCTTAAATCTATTTCCCACTAGGAGATCCAATAAATATTCACCAATATTTTAACTTAGATCTCATTTTTCATATTTAGAGTTCCAAATACTATAAGAAAACATAAAACAACTGGTGTCTGTAATATTCTCACTGTAAACATTGAATACATTTGAATATATACTCATACATTTGACATTTGTTGGTTGCATAATCTA
Source organism: Homo sapiens (assembly GCF_000001405.40). Lineage (NCBI taxonomy): Eukaryota > Metazoa > Chordata > Mammalia > Primates > Hominidae > Homo > Homo sapiens. The sequence continues at coordinate 225,270,551 of NC_000002.12, read as the reverse complement.
AAAGTACTCTCTCTTCTCTCTTCCTAACAGAAACTAGAATTTTCTTTGGAGAATTTTTCATCCATCATTGTGCAGCATTGGATGAACCCTAATTGTACAATCTTTACCATGGATACTGCCATGGATACTGGACCAGATAATGGTCCTTTCCAAATTGGTATATGGCATTTTCTGTGCTCACAGGGTCTGAACTGGGAGTCCCTCAATCAAGGGGAATCACAGGCATTTGTTTGATTTTCTGGTGCAACAATGCCCTCTCCACATGGGTGAAAATGAGGAAGCCATAGCTATAGTTGCTGCTTGCACCTGTCTGACAGTTACATGGTAAAGCAGCCTGAGAACTAAGCCAACACAGAGAAGAATGCCAGAATGGCAGATGAATGGATGTGGAGTCCTAACTAGATTGAGGCTGTTAGGTTTTTTCAATGTCATCATCCAATAATTCCACTTCATTGTTTAAAGCAGTTTTTGTTTCACTTCATTTACTTACAAGATACAGTTCTGATTTAATTAAATATATGTACTTTTTGTTAAGATCATATTTGATTCATTTTTAGATGGAAAGGAAAATTATTAAAGATGTTTATAACCCAATAACACATACATTATTTATGATAATAAAAGAAAACAATTACCTGATGTTAAATGTGAATGCCCTTAGTTTTCTATAGAAAGTCCTAGCAACATTTGTTCTTGTCTGTGTACAACTCCAAAGTGTTTATTTTCTGATATGGTCAGGCTTTGTGTCCCCACCCAAATCTCATCTTGAATTGTAACCCCCATAATCCCATGTGTTAATGGAGAGACAAGGTAGAGGTAATTGAAGCATGGGGGCGGTTCCCCCATGCAGTTCTTGTGATAGTGAGTGAGTTCTCACAAGATCTGATGGTTTTATAAGGGCCTCTTCTCCCTTCGCTAGGCACTTCTTGCTGCCACCTTGTGAAAAAGATGCCTTGCTTCCTCTTCGCCTTCTGCCATGCTTGTAAGTTTCCTGAGGCCTCCCCAGCCATGCTGAACTGTGAGTCAATTAAACCTCTTTCCTTTATAAATTACCCAGTCTCGGCAGTTCTTTATCATGGTATGAAAATGGAGTAATACATTTTCCTTGCAAAGATCCATCTACATATAATGGACCTTGGTAAATAAGATGATACTCTCAACTTTAATAATTATTGTGTTTTAATGAGCCATACAGATATTCAGTCAAACTGATTCATTTTACAAATAGAGAAACTGAGGCCCACTGAGGTTAAGCTATCTGTTTGCAGAACTACTCATTAAAAAAGAAAAATGATAAACCAGGCCTCTGGCTTTTCTTTTTTTTCTTTGAGTATTTTTATTTGAAAATGTTAATTCCTTGTGGACAACAAAAGTTTATGAATATTACATTATCCCTGTTGATTTAAATCTTTATTCTCAAAATATTTGTAGCTTAATCATCAATTTACTATTTTTGATATTTTTTGATATGATAGGAAATTATTCTCTATTTGGAGAATGTTGATATACAGCAATTAAGTATACCCACACTTGTCCCTGGGATTTTTTTTGTACTATAAGAAGTTTCATGACTTTTTAGTAAAGATTGCTTAAAGTTTAACAGGGAAAAAATATAATCAACTGAAAATTGAATGAATTGAATAACGAATAGATGAAAAACATTTATGATCAAAGTTCCATCCACGTGGTGCTTTGAGGACTCTGTTTAAATTAAGTACATTTTATATGTGAAATCTTAGTGTGTTCATGCAAATGTGTATACTTTAAAAATTATTCATTTGCATTTTCTGAATTGTTTCAGAAACACTCAGATTATAAGGCTACAGAAAAATTCTAGTTCTAGTACACAATGTTAGTGTCAGACTTCTAACTATTGTGACCAACAACATTACTCTTCCACTAATTTCACTGATGAGTTCAGAAGTAAAATAAATGCCATCACTGGTATGTTTTACTTATTATATTCTTGTTTTCAAAACAATTACAATAGAGAATGCTTTTCATCTCTTTATATTTTGTATCAGACTAAGTTCCACTGAAATGAGAATGGCATAGGCCTATTGCTTTCAAGAATGTTTCTGTAAAGCAAAACATTTTTATCAACTAAACTAACATGGCTCTTATGAATCTGATAACAAAGGTAACAGTTGAAATCCAGCAATGGAGAAAAGAAAAATATCTACGACAAACCCACAGCCAATATCATACTGAATGGGCAAAAACTGGAAGCATTCCCTTTGAAAACTGGCACAAGACAGGGATGCCCTCTCTCACCACTCCTATTCAACATAGTGTTGGAAGTTCTGGCCAGGGCAATTAGGCAGGAGAAGGAAATAAAGGGTATTCAATTAGGAAAAGAGGAAGTAAAATTGTCCCGGTTTGCAGATGACATGATTGTACATCTAGAAAACCCCATCCTCTCAGCCCAAAATCTCCTTAAGCTGATAAGCAACTTCAGCAAAGTCTCAGGATACAAAATCAATGTACAAAAGTCACAAGCATTCTTATACACCAATAACAGACAAACAGAGAGGCAAATCATGAGTGAACTCCCATTCACAATTGCTTCAAAGAGAATAAAATACCTAGGAATCCAACTTACAAGGGATGTGAAGGACCTCTTCAAGGAGAACTACAAACCACTGCTCAAGGAAATAAAAGAGGATACAAACAAATGGAAGAACATTCCATGCTCATGGGTAGGAAGAATCAATATCATGAAAATGGCCATACTGCTCAAGGTAATTTACAGATTCAATGCCATCCCCATCAAGCTACCAATGACTTTCTTCACAGAATTGGAAAAAACTACTTTAAAGTTCATATGGAACCAAAAAAGAGCCCACATCGCCAAGTCAATCCTAAGCCAAAAGAACAAAGCTGGAGGCATCACACTACCTGACTTCAAACTATACTACAAGGCTATAGTAACCAAAACAGCATGGTGCTGGTACCAAAACAGAGATATAGATCAATGGAACAGAACAGAGCCCTCAGAAATAACGCCGCATATCTACAACTATCTGATCTTTGACAAACCTGAGAAAAACAAGCAATGGGGAAAGGATTCCCTATTTAATAAATGGTGCTGGGAAAACTGGCTAGCCATATGTAGAAAGCTGAAACTGGATCCCTTCCTTACACCTTATACAAAAATCAATTCAAGATGGATTAAAGACTTAAATGTTAGACCTAAAACCATAAAAACCCTAGAAGAAAACCTAGGCATTACCATTCAGGACATAGGCATGGGCAAGGACTTCATGTCTAAAACACCAAAAGCAATGGCAATCAAAGCCAAAATTGACAAATGGGATCTAATTAAACTAAAGAGCTTCTGCACAGCAAAAGAAACTACCACCAGAGTGAACAGATAACCTACAAAATGGGAGAAAATTTTCGCAACCTACTCATCTGACAAAGGGCTAATATCCAGAATCTACAATGAACTCAAACAAATTAACAAATTTACAAGAAAAAAAAACAAACAACCCCATCAAAAAGTGGGTGAAGGACATGAACAGACACTTCTCAAAAGAAGACATTTATGCAGCCAAAAAACACATGAAAAAATGCTCACCATCACTGGCCATCAGAGAAATGCAAATCAAAACTACAATGAGATACCATCTCACACCAGTTAGAATGGCAATCATTAAAAAGTCAGGAAACAACAGGTGCTGGAGAGGATGTGGAGAAATAGGAACACTTTTACACTGTTGGTGGGACTGTAAACTAGTTCAACCATTGTGGAAGTCAGTGTGGCGATTCCTCAGGGATCTCGAACTAGAAATACCATTTGATCCAGCCATCCCATTACTGGGTATATACCCAAAGGACTATAAATCATGCTGCTATAAAGACACATGCACACGTATGTTTATTGCAGCATTATTCACAATAGCAAAGACTTGGAACCAACCCAAACGTCCAACAATGATAGACTGGATTTAGAAAATGTGGCACATATACACCATGGAATACTATGCAGCCATAAAAAATGATGAGTTCATGTCCTTTGTAGGGACATGGATGAAATTGGGAATCATCATTCTCAGTAAACTATCGCAAGAACAAAAAACCAAACACCGCATATTCTCACTCATAGGTGGGAATTGAACAATCAGAACACATGGACACAGGAAGAGGAACATCACACTCTGGGGACTGTTGTGGGGTGGGGGGAGAGGGGAGGGATAGCATTGGGAGATATACCTAATGCTAGATGACGAGTTAGTGGGTGCAGCGCACCAGCATGGCACATGTATACATATGTAACTAACATGCACATTGTGCACATGTACCCTAAAACTTAAAGTATAATAATAATAAATAAAGAAAAAAAAAACTAAATCATAGACTCAAAATCATTAACTCAACAGATAACATGAGATATGTATATCATATATAATTTGGGACTGTTAAAATCCAGTATATTTTGCTTTCCAAAAAAATGTAATGCCATTGGTGAGAAAAAAATCAATATTCTAATAACATCTACCCTGGATTCAGTTTCATTTTTCCCTGAAAATATCAGTTTCTTAAAAAAAGTACTCAATTTTTATAGTTTATAATAACTTCTGTTAATTTTATGATTACAATGGGTCAAATACTATTTTAAGGGTTTTATAGAAATGATCTCATTTGATATTCACATCAACCATTTGGGAGAATTGTTTTAATGACCTCTCATTTATAGATGAGGAAATGAGGATTCAGAGTGGTTAAATAATTTCTCCAAGATCTCAGACTTTTTACACAGCTGAGATGAGATTAAACCCAGGTCAGTTTTTAATTTAAATATCATATTCTTAATGCTACACGATGCAGCATTCCTGCCTGTCAATTTTTTTCTCCTGAATTATTTTATGTTTCTTTGGTCTGCTGTTTTCCATACTGGCATTTGGGATCTCTTGGGTATGTGCAATGAACACATTTCAGATACCATGACATTTACATGGTAAATAATCTTGTCAAAAATAAAACTGATTACCATAAATTCTGCTCTTTGTACTGTTCCTACTTTAATTCAATATGTTTGAGAACCTACTGTGCTCCAAAGACTAGATTGAATTTTTTAAACCTAAAGATGAATATAATACAGTTCATACTCTTTAAGATTTCTCAAAGTGCCTTAATGTATCTTGAAAAGTCGTAACTCTAGCAAAGGAAGGCATATTAAAAGAGAGAAAAAAATAAATTTCTAACATTTCTGGTTGTTTTTTACATTTTTTTAATTTTTAATTTTTGTGGGTACACAGTAGATGTATATATTTATGGGGTAGATCAGACATTTTGATACAGGCATTCAATGTGAAATAATCACATCATGGAGAATAGGGTATCCATCCCCTTGGGCATTTATTCTTTGTGTTACAAAAAATCCAATTTCATTATTATAGTTATTTTTAAATGTACAGTTAAGTTATTATTGGCTATAGGCACGCTGTTGTGCAATCAAATAGTAGGTCTTATTCTTTCCATTTTTTGTACCCATTAACTATCTCCTCTTCCTGCTCCACCCCCCACTACCCTTCCCAGGCTCTGGTAGTCATCCTTCTACTCTTTATGTCCATGAGTTCAATTGTTTTGATTTTTTGATCCCACAAATAAGTGAGAATACGCAACATTTGTCTTTCTGTGCCTGGCTTATTTCACTTAATGATCTCCATTTCCACTCAGGTTGGTGAAAATGACAGGATCTCATTCTTTTTTATGGTTGACTAGTATTCCACTGTGCATATGTACCACATTTTTCATCCATTTATCTGTTGATGGATACTTAGGTTGCTTCCAAATCTTAGCTATTGTGAACAGTGCGCTGCAACAAACATGGGGAGTGCCGACTATTTCTTTGATATACTAATTTCCTTTTTTTTTTTTTTTTTTTTTTTGAGATGGAGTCTTGCTCTGTCGCCCAGGCTGGAGTCCAGTGGCGCGACCTTGGCTCACTGCAAGCTCCGCCTCCCGGGTTCACGCCATTCCCCTGCCTCAACATCCGGAGTAGCTGGGACTACAGGCGCCCGCCACCACGCCCGGCTATTTTTTTGTTTGTTTTTTTGTATTTTTAGTAAAGACGGCGTTTCACCGTGTTAGCCAGGATGGTCTCGATCTGCTGACCTTGTGATCCGCCCGCCTAGGCCTCCCAAAGTGCTGGGATTACAGGCGTGCGCCACCGTGCCCAGCCTACTAATTTCCTTTCTTATGGGTATATGCCAGCCAGTGGGATTGCTCAGTTTTTCGTTTTTGGATCATATGGTAATTCTATTTTTGGTTTTTTGAGCAACCTCCAAACTGTTCTCCATAGTGGTTGTACTAACTTACATTCCCACCAACAGTGCACAAGGGTTCCCTTTTCTCCACATTCTCACCAGCATTTGCTATTGCCTGTCTTTTAAATATAAGCTATTTTGACTGGGGGGTGATGACATCTCAGCGTAGTTTTGATTTACATTTATCTGATGATTGATGAAGCTGACTACGTTTTCATATGCCTGTTTGCCATTTGTATATCTTCTTTTGAGAAATGTCTATTTATTTATTTTGCCATTTTTGGTGGAATTATTACATTTTTTCCTATAGATTTGTTTGAGCTCCTTATATATTCTGGTTATTAATCCCTTGTGAGATGGGTAGTTTGCAAATATTCCCTCCCATTCTATGGGTTGTGTCTTCACTTTGTTGATTGTATCCTTTGCTGTGCAGAAGCTTTTTAACTTGATATGATCCCATTTGTCTATTTTTGCTTTGGTTGCCTGTGTTTCTGGGGTATCACTCAAGAAACTTTTGTCCAGATCAATATCCTGGAGAGTTTCTCCAATGTTTTCTTGTAGTAGTTTCATAGCGTGAGGTCTTAGATTTAAGTCTTTAATCTATTTTGGTTTGATTTTTGTATATGGTGAGAGGTAGGGGTCTAGCTTCACTCATTCTTCTGCATATGGATGTTCAGTTTTCCCAGCATCATTTATTGAAGAAAATATCTTTTCCCCAGTGTATATTCTTCACAGCTTGGTCAAAAATGAGTTCATTGTTGGTGTGTGGATGTGTTTCTGGGTTCTCTTTTTCTGTTCTATTGGTCTATATGTCTGTTTTTTATGCCAGTACCATGCTATTTTGGTTCTATATCACGGTAGTATAGTTTGAAGTCAGGTAATGTGATTCCTCTAGTTTTGTTCTTTTTGCTTAGGATAGTTTTGCCTACCTTGGGTATTTGGAGGTTCCATATAAATTTTAAGATTGTCCTACTTCTTTGATGAATGTCATTGGTATTTTGGTAGGGACTGCATTGAATCTGTAGATTGCTTTAGGTAGTATAAACATTTTAACAATATTGATTCTTCCAATCCATAAACACGGAATATTTTTCGATTTTTTGGTGTCCTCTTCAACTTCTCTCGTCAGCGTTTCATAGTTTTCATTATAGAAGTCTTTCACTTCTTTGGCTAATTCCTAGGTATTTAACTTTGTGGCTATTATAAATGGAATTACTTTTTAATTTCCTTTTCAGATTTTTCACTTTTGGCATATAGAAATGCTACTAATTTTTGTATGTTGATTTTGTATCTTGCAACTTTACTGAATTTATCAGTTCAAGTAGGTTGTTTTTTTGTAGAGTCTTTAGGTTTTTCCAAATATAAGATTATATCATCTGTAAACAAGGACAATTTGACTTCTTCCATTCCAATTTGGATGACCCTTATTTATTTCTCTTGTCTGATTGTTCTAGTGAGGATTTCTGACACTATGTTGAATAACAGCGGCGGAAGTGGACATCCTTATTGTGTTTCAGATCTTAGAGGAAAGGTTTTCAGTTTTTCCCCATTCAGTATGATGCTAGCTGTGGGTCTGTCATACATGGCTTTTCTTATGTTGAACTATGTTCCTTCTATACCTGGTTTTTTTAGAGTTTTTATCATCAAGGGATGTGAAATTTTATCGAATGCCTTTTCAGCATTAATTGAAATCATATGTTTTTTGTTCTTCATTTTGTTGATATGATGTATCCCATTGATTGATTGGCACATAATGAACCATCCTTGCATCCCAGGGATAAATTCTACTTGGTCATGATGAATGATCCTTCTAATGTATTACTGAATTCAGTTTGCTAATATTTTATTGGTGATTTTTGCATCAACATCCACCAGAGATATTGGTCTTTAGTTTTCTTTTTATGATGTGTCTTTGCCTGGTTTTGATATCAGGGTAATATTGGCCTCATAAAATGAGTTTAGAGATATCCCCTACTCCTCTATTTTTCAGAATAGTTTGAGTAGGATTCGTATTAGTTCTTTAAATGTTCGGTAGAATTTAGCAATGAAATCATCAGGTCCTGAGCTTTTTTTTTGCTCGGAATTTTTTTATTACGGCTTCCATCTCATTACTTGTTATTGGTTTGTTCAGATTTTGGATTTCTTCCTGATTCAATCTTGGTAGGTTGTATGTGTGCAGGAATTTTTCCATTTCTTCTGGATTTTCCAGTTTATTGCCATATAGTAGCTCACATTAGCCACTAATGATCCTTTGAAATACTGTGATGTATGAATCAGTTGTAATGTCTCCTTTTTCATTTCTGATTTTATTTATTTTTATCTTCTCTCCCTTTTTTCTTAGTCTTGCTAAATGTTCGTCAATTTTATTTAACTTCTCAAGAAACCAACTCTGTGTTTCTTTGATCTGTTGTATTTTTTGTTTTAATTTCATTTATTTCTGCTCTGATATTTATTATTTCTTTTCTTCTCCTAATTTTGGGTTTGATTTGCTCTTGCTTTTCTAGTTCTTTAAGATGCATCATTAGATTGTTTATTTGAAGTTTTTCCTCTTTTTTGATGTAGGCACTTATAGCTATAAGCTTCCCTCTTAGTACTGCTTTTGCTGTATCCCATAGATTTTGGTATGTTGTGTTTCCATTATCATTTGTTTTAAGAAATTTTTTAATTTCCTTCTTATTCATTGACCTACTGGTCGCTCAGGAGTATATTGTTTAATATTTACATATTTGCTTAGTTTCCAAAATTCTTCTCATTATTAATTTATAGCTTTATTCCATTGTGGTCAGAGAAGATGCTTCATATTATTTTGATTTTTTGAATGTTTTAAGACTTGTTCTGTGACCTAACATATGATATATCCTTGAGAATAATCCATGTGCTGAAGAAAATAATGTGTATTCTAAAGCCATTGGATGAAAAGTCTGTAAATATCTATTAGATTCATTTGGTCTATAGTGCAGATGAAGTCCAGTGTTTCTTTGTTGATTTTCTTTCTGGAAGATCTGTCCAATGCTGAAATTGGGGTGTTGAAGTCTCCAGCTATTATTGTATTGGGGCCCATCTCTCTCTCTTTTTAGTTTTACCAATATTTGCATTACATATCTGGGTGCTCCAGTGTTGAACGCATATATGTTTAGAATTGTTATATTCTGTTGCAGAATTGACATCTTTATCATTGTATAGTGGCCTTGTCTCTTCTTACAGTCTTTGTCTTAAACTCTATTTTGTCTGATATAAGTATAGATTCTCCTGCTCTTTTTTGGTTTCCATTGGCATGTGATATCTTTTTCCATTCCTTTGTTTTCAATTTATTCGTGTCCTCATAGGTGAAGTGTGTTTCTTTTAGGCAACAGAACATTGGGTCTTTTTGTGTGTGTGTGTGTGTGTGTGTGTGCGCATGTGCGCGTGCCACTCTCTGTCTTTTGATTGGAGAGTTTCGTCCATTTACATTCAGTGTTATTGTTGATAGGTGAGGACTTAATCTTGCCACGCTATTATTTGTTTTCTGGTTGTTCTGTGGTCTTCTCTTCCATCTTTCTTTCATTCCTGTCTTTGTTTACTGAAGGACATTTTCTCTGGTGATACTATTTAGTTTCTTGCTTTTTATTTTTTGTGTGTCCATTGCATGATTTTTGGTTTGAGGTTACCATGAAGCTGGCAAATAGTATCTTATCACCTATTATTTTAACCTAATAACAATTTAACACTGTTTGCATAAACAAACAAAAAGAAAAGTAGTAAAAACTCTATGCCTTAACTTCATCCCCTCACTGTTTAACTTTGGTTGTGTCTGTGTATGTCTTACTGTACCATGTCTATCTTGAAAAGTTGTTGTCATCGTTTTTTATTGGTTCATAAGTTAGTCTTTCTACTTAGGATAAGAGTAGTTTATAAAACCACAGTTACAGTGTCATAACATTGTATGTTTTTCTGTGTTTACTTACTATTGCCAGTGAGTTTTGTAACTTCAGGTGATTATTTATTGCTCATTAATGTCCTTTTCTTTCTGATTGAAGTACTTCCTTTAGAATTTCTGGTAGTACAGGTCTGGCGATGAAATCCCTCAGCTTTTGCTTATCTGGGAAAATCTTTCTTTCTCCTTCCTGTCTGAAGTATATTTTTGCTGAATATACTATTCTAGAGTAAAAGTTTTTTTTTTCTTTCAGCACTTTAAATATGTTGTGCCATTCTTTTCTTGCCTGTAAAGTTTCCACTGAAAAGTCTGCAGCCAGACAAATTGGAGCTCCATTGTATGTTGTTTCTTTTCTCTTGCTGTGTTTAGGATCCTTGTTTATCCTTGACCTTTGTGAGTTTGATTATTAATTGCCTTAAGGTAGTCTTCTTTGGGTTAAGTCTGCTTGATGTTTTATAACCCTTTTGTATTGCTATCTTTCTCTAGGTTTGGGAAGTTCTCTCTTACTATTCCTTTAAGTAAACTTTCTACCCCATATCTCTTTCTCTACCTCCTCTTTAAGGCCAATAACTCTTAGATTTGGCCTTCGGAGGCTACTTTTTAGATCCTATAGGCATGCTTCCTTGTTTTTTATTCTCTTTTCTCTTGTCTCCTCTGATTGTGTATTTTCAAATAGCTGTCTTCTAGCTCACTATTTCTTCTGCTTAATCAACTCTACTATTTAAAAACTCCAACGTATTCTTCAATATGCTAATTGCATTTTTCAGCTCCAGGCTGTTTGATTCTTTTTAATTTTTTCAATCTCTTTGTCTGAGAGAATTTATCCAAAATTTAACTGATAGAATTCTGAATTCGTTCCCTGTGTCATCCTGAATTTCTTTGAGCTTCCTCAAGCAGCTATTCTGAGTTCTCTGTCTGAAAGGTCACATATCTCTGTTTCTCCAGGATTGGTCCCTAGTGCCTTATTTAGTTCATTTAGTGAGGTCATGTTTTCCTGGGTGGTGTTGATGCTATCAGATGTTCTTCAGTGTCTATGCATTGAAGAGTCAAGTATTTTTTGTAGTCTTCCCTTTCTTTTGTACCTGTCTGTCTTGAGAAGGCTTTGCAGATATTTGAAAGGACTTGAGGGTTGTGATTTAAGCTGTATCTTCTTTAGGGGTCACCACAAGCCAATAATGATGTGGTTTTTGCAGACTTCTAGAGGTACTGCCTTGATGGTCTTGAACAAGATCCAGGAGAATTCTCTGTATTACCAGTCAGAGACTCTTTGCTGTCTTCCCTTACTTTCTCCCAAACAGAGTCTCTCTCTGAGTGTGTTCTGGGCCACCTAAAGCTAGAGGTAGGGTGACACAAGCACCCCTGTGGCCACCACTGTTCTGACTGCACTGGGTCAGACCTGAAGCCAGCACAGTACTTGGTCTTGCCCAAGGCCCACTGTGACCACTCCCTGGCCACCACCTATGTTCACTCAAGGCCCTGGGGCTCTACACTCAGCAGATGGCAAAACCAGACAGGTCTGTGTCCTCCCTTCAGGGCTGGCACAACAATCCAGGCATATCTTCTTCCCTTCAGGGATTTCTCCCAGACCCAAGTGGGTCCAGAAGTGACTCAGGGACTAAAGTCAAAAAACATCTGAAGTCTGCCTGATGTTCTATTATACTGCAGCTAACCTGGCACTCAAACTACAAGATGAAGTCCCTCCCATTCTTCTGTCCACTTTCCAAAGGCAATGGAGCCTCATCCTATAGCCACCACCACCATAAGCCATGGGGAGTACTGCCAGACTAGTGGTGATGTTCCCTTACAGCCCAAGGGACCTGACCTAGGCCAGAGGGGAGCCCAATGACCTGAAGAGTAAGTCTCAGGCCAGCGGCCCAGGGCAGGTCCAGAAATGTGTCCAAGAGTCAAGTCCTGGAATCAGGGACCCCAAGAGCCCACTCGATGCTCTACCTTCCTGTGGCTGTGCTGGTATCTCAGGTGAAAGACAAAGTCTCCTTTACATTTCCCTCTGCTTTTCTCAAGCAGAAGAAGTTTTGCCCTATGGCCACCACAGCCATTTATTTGCTGAGTCTCACCTGAAGCCAGCACATCTCAGAGGCTCACCAAGGCCCTCAATGTAGTACCTGAGTATCACTGCTGGTTATTCAGGGCCCAAGGGCCCTTCAGTTAACAGGTGATGAATGCTGCCAGGATTTGATCCCTCCCCTCAAGGCAGCTGGTTCCCTTCTGGCCCAGGGTTTGTCTATAAATGTCCATCTGGGAGGTAGGGCCTAAAACAAGAGCTTCACAACTCTGACTGGTGCCCTCTCCTGCTGTGGCTGAGCTGGTATCAAGATGCAAGACAAATTGCTCCCCACTATTCCCTCTCCTCTCCTCAGGTGGAAGGAAGGAATCTCTTTTGAAGCTATGAGCTGTGCAGCCTGGGGTTGGGGAAGGGGTGATGCCAGCGCTCACTTAGTTGCCCTTGGCTGGTGTCCCAGTAGGTCATGTGCCTCACCCCCACCCCCAAGTCCACTATCTCTGGGCCCAGTCAGCACTAGGACTCACCTAAGAGTTGCAGTTCTTGTGGCTTAAACTGCTTTTGAAATTTACTTGAAGACACACAGCACTGTAGCCCTTGGTGGTAAGATTTGCTGGAATTCAAGTTCTGTCCATTGGGACATGCAATTTCTCTCTGGCTAGGTCTGCTTTAAATGCTTCCTCCATGGGCAGGCAACAGCTGGATTTGGTCTGGTTTTCCTTTATTCTGTAACAGGACAGCACTGAGTTCAATGCCTCACCACTGTCTCCCTCCCCTAGCACCTAGAGAAGCTCCATGCACCATACGCCTCTGTAAAGGGGGTGGGAGAGTGGTGGCTTCAGCAATTCAGGTCTCTTTTTTTTTTCTATCTCTTTAGTGCCTCTTTCAAGGACACAAAGATAAAACCAATATTATGAGGGCTTGCCTGATTTTTGATTCTTACGAAGGTGTTTTTTTTATGTGTAGATAGTGGTTAAACTGGTGTCCTTGTAGGAAGGATGATTGGTGGAGCCTACTATTTCACCTCTTGCTCCTGTACTCTATTTCTGGTTTTTTAGACCTGTAAATATCATTCCTTAGTTGATATGGTTTAAGTTTGTGTCCTCACCAAAACTGATGTTGAAATGTAATCCCCAGTGTTGGAGGTGGGGCCTGGTGGGAGGTGAATGGATCATGGGGGTGGATCTCTCATGAATGGTTTGGCACAATCCCCCTCCCCCTTGGTGCTGTCCTTGCAATAATGAGTGAGTTCTCCTGAGATCTGATCATTTAAAAGTGTTTGGCACACCCCCCACCCCACAATTGTATCTTGTTCCTGCTCTTGCCATGTGATGTGCAAGCTCTCACTTCACCTTCCACCATGATTCTACGTTTCCAGAGGCCTCCTCAGAAGCAGATTCCAGTGCTATGCTTCCTGTACAGTCTGCAGAACCATGAGCCAAATTAACTTCATTTCTTTATAAATTACCCAATCTTAGGTTTTCTCTATAGCAATGCAAGAAGGGCCTAACACACTAGTGTAAGATTGCTGGCTTTGGAATTAGCTATTTGCATGCTACTCAATTCACAGATATTCAACAGCAATTATGTAAGGAGAAGTATGAAAAACGACAGAGATGGGAACACAGGTTTTGAGAAAGTCTGTGCACAGCACTTTGGCCTGGCAAATATATCTTGTCCCATCCCATTTTCCAGTGGTCAGTTCCTGTTAGTTTATATTACTGTGTAACAAGTTACCACAAATCTAGCAGCTTAAACCAGCACCCTTTTATCAGCTCACAGTTCTGTAGGTCAGGAGTCCGAGATGGTGTGCTTGGGTTTTCTGCTTATGGTTTCACAAGGTTGAAATCAAGGTATCTGCAGAACTGAGTCTTCATTTAGATGTTGTGAGGAAAAATCTGCTTCAAAGCCCATTCCCATGTGGGAGAATTTAGTTCCTTGCCATTGTAGAGCTGAGGCTGTGTTTCCTGGAAGGCTGCTAGTTGGGGTTTTCTCTTACTTAGACACCCATATTCTGTGTCTATCCTCCATCTCCAAGCCAACAAAAGTTCTTCAAAAACCTATTATGCTTTAAATTATTCTGACTTCCTTTTATGCTACTAGCCTGAGAAAGTTGCCTTTTTTACAGGATTCTCATAGCCCCTTAAGGATTAAGCCCATCTAAGAAATCTCCCAGGGACATGGTCACAGACTCTGAGCATTAGGGTAGGACACAGCTACTTCCAATGGATATTCAGAAAGTGTTGGGCCCATCTTGCATCCCTTATGAGAGGTTTTTTTTTTTTTTCAAGTTTGTGTCGTTATCTCAGTGACCACCCCACTCATATCAGTGCTTAGTATCTCCATTTCCTTTGCAGTCGGTCATGCCATGTCCCAGAATTCTTGGCCACAGTGCCTTCAATGGGCTGCTGTTGCTCTGTCTTCCAAGGAAAGAAGAGAAACTGGAATGTGAGAAAAACCACCCTTCTCTGGATTCCTTTTCTTCACGCCTCCCAAGCACACTTCATGGGTATGCTAGACTTCCCTGAGGGATGAGGACATGTTCAAGAATTACAATTGAAAAGGGAATCACACTCAGGATAGTGTTTTGAAAGACAGAGCCTGGACTAGGGTGAGGAAAAGAAGATATTGAATTTGCAAAACTTAAGAAATCACTCTTGGATCTGTAGAAATGCTAGTTCTACCCTCACTGATCCTGCACTTCCAAAGACCTGAGAGCCAGTTCTCTCTTTCATGTAGTACCCTTGGCACCTGATCCTGAAGGAAACATTCACCTTCCAGTTTGTGCCTTGCAAGACCCTAGTTCCAGCTCTGTTCAAATCATAAAATAAGATGCATGAGACTACTAAGGAAACTGAATATATTGAAATATGATTATTAAAGTAATTAAAATCAAATACGTGATACCTTAATACATGAGCTTATGAATGCAGAAAATAAAAATATCCAGGCATGAGCCCAGTAATTTTGAAACAGTGGTAAACATGAATGATATTTCAAAATATCTGAAAAATGTAATGTGATTTGAAAATATCCCTGATTTTTTGTTGTCAGTAAAAGTTCAGAAATACTGCTAGCATTACAATGCTGAGGTGGGGGTGGGTGCATTGCTTATATTCACAATAGAAGGAAATGCTGACTTCTAATTAAATATTCCTCATGGGAAAGATCCATTTTTCCTCCCAAGTTCACAGACTCCTTTAATTCTATCCATTAACTCCAGTTTAGAACTCCAGTGTAAAACCATCATTCAACATTCTGAATATTTAGAGGAATTTGGAAGGAAAAACAAAGAGAAAAAGCAGTTCTGATTCCCCAAGAAAGAATAGATTTAAATTCGATTTGTAGGTTATTCCTGAATATCTACTATGTGCAGGGTGTTTGTCAAAAAAAGTGACAAAGGAAACAAAAACACTTTATTCGAAAAAACATAAATAAAACTAAATTACAAAAGAATGTTCTCTGCAGTCATTGTGCTGACTTTACAACAGGATTTCTACTGCTCCCAGAGGGAGCTGAGTTTCAATTATTGAGACATACGTTTGATCTAGTTTAACTAACCTACTTTCCGTGGGCCTGGTCTTGGAAGGGAAAGATGCAAAAAATAAGATTGTTCTGTAGGGCATTTTTGTGATAAGTCAAAACACTTCACTGATTCATCGAAGATTACCAAACTGCAAGATTCCTAAGCGGCAGTAAATATTTAAAACTCAAATGGAAACAGAATTAGAAGCAAGAATTAAGTCACCTAATCCTTTCACCTACTCAGAGGCAATGGGAAGGCTTAATGAGAGAAACCTTTGGATATTTGCTGATGGTGCACTTGTGAGCTTCCCTTCCGTTACTGAACACATGGAGAGAGTAATTCTTCAAATTGACATTCACTTTTGAAAATGGTTTAATATGTTAAAATAAATCCAACAAATGTAAAGAACCCATTATTTTAAATGAGATGAACAGCAATAAGCTGATTCATGTCATGAGAATAATTTTATGTTAGTAAATGTCTTCTGCATATCATCTGCAAAGCTTTTTCTAAAAATAAACCCTTGAGAAACTAAACCAAACTGCTTTTTTTGCAGTATGTAGAAATCTTCAAAATACTACAATTTAAAAGCAAATTTGACCAGAGTTGGTTTACTTTCACTTTGTTTGTTTACAGGTCAAATTGCCATTAATTTCACAAATAGTTTCCCAAAACAAGCCTGATATTTATAACAATAGGGCATAGGGTAGATGCAACTAGCAGGAAATGCAGGATTAATAACTCACCAACAGAGCTCAACTTCAGTGTCTCCATTAGAAGGAAGACAGTAAAATGCTCATGCCTTTCAGCCTTAATTCTGACACTGACCTCCAGGATGCATTTTAACTATGGTGCCAGGTACTGGTGAAGAGCAGAGTTGGAAGAACTGAATTTGGCTCTTTCGTATACCAGCTGGATGGTCTTGAGCAAGAGCCTTATCCTTACTAAGTCCCAGTTTATGTATCTGTAGAGTGGAGCTAGTACCCTCACTTAAAGGGCTATCAATGAGTATTGAATGAAATAATACATTTGAAAGAACTTGCAAACTATAAAATATATGAGGTTTTTTTAGCATGTACTTTTTAATTTGTTCCGACTCCATTTTAGTTTTCTTTAACAGGATTATTGGCTGTAATTAATATATAAAACCTCGCATGTATTTAATGCATATAATTTGATGCATATGTTTGGACATATGTATACAGCCATGAAGCCATTATCACAATCAAAGTAGCAAACATAGAAGTTGATTGTTATTTCATAAATTATTTTAACTTTCATTTAATTTTTTCTTTCAAATTGGTGGTTCAGGTAAAACAAAATTTAGCAGCTTAGAAAGGACAAACCCCTCTCTTAAGTATCATATGCTATAATTGAAGGAATTTACAAAGCTCTTCATGTGTGCTTCTGAGGACAAAGGAAAAGAAAGGCGATCATATGCTAATGACAAGGAGAACACTCATCCTAGCAACAATCCTAAAATTCATAAGGCTAGGTTGATGATATGGCGGAATGGCCCATTAAAGCAATCCAGCTAAAAGCACAGGTATCGGACAAAATACCAATCTCCAGGAAAAATAAGAAACCTTTAGGACTCAATAATAAGATACACATCAAATATAAAAAATGGACAAAAGTTTCCAACAGATTTTTCACCAAAGAAGATATACAAAATGAAAGTAAACACAAGGAAAGGTATTCAATATAATTAGTCATCGGGGACACGAAAATATGACTAAGGAAAACATGAAATAACACTACATACTCACTTAAATGGCTAAAATTTAAAAACTACTGATAGCACCAAATATTGGTGAGAATATGAAGCAACTGGAACTCTCATACATTGTTAGGAGGGATGCCAAAGTGTAGAATCATCATGAGACAGACATTCTGAAACTGGAAACACCCCAAATGTCATCAACAGAAAAATGGATAAAACGTAGTATTTATGCAATGGAATACTGCTCAATAATTTTAAAAGCTGGCTACTGATACATGCAATAACAGGGACGAGTCTCAGAAACATCAGGCTGAGTGAAAGAAACCTTACAAAAAAAAAGAATACATACTGTATGATTCCATTCATGCAATGGTCCAGAGCTAAACCATAGTAAATAATAATCAAAACAGTGGGTTTTGTTTTCTTGTTTTTGTTTTTGTTTTCGCCAGGGGGTGAGTTGGGGATTGTCAGGAAAGAGGCATGAGGGAACTTTTTAAGGTGATGATGGAGTATAAGTTACACGGATGCATGCATTTTTCAAAATTCAGCAAATGTACGCTGAAGATTTGTGCACTTCATTGTATCTAAATTTTACATCGAAATTGTTTAAAACAATAAATATTGAACTCTAGTTACTATAGGCACACTGAAGTACTTAGGGAAAAGTATATTGATACCTATAATTTATGAAAGGCATAAAAAATAAGATTGATGGATCAATAGACAGATGAATAGATACGTGACAAAACTAGTATAGATAAAATGTAGAATCTAGGAGCTGGGTAGATAAAGGTGCACCGTAAACATTTTTTCAAATTTGCTACTGACATACTTGAAATTATTATGATACAATTCTGAAAGAAATTGTGGAAACACATCCAATTGTGCTATCATCTGCGACTACTATTCTAAGAAACCTGAAGTCCTGAATAGCAGGATGTGGTATGTCCCTTACCTCCATAAAAGCAGCCATAAGGCAGTGTCTCCAGCACCTAATTATGACTCCCTTTAATTTTTTTAACAGCCCTGTTACACTGAATGTTCTCACTTGGAGAATTTAATAGTCATGGAAGAGTGCTTACTTCTCTAGGAGCCATAATAATATTTGCATGACACTGAAAGTTGAGACTACTACCCAGTGCTCCTGGGAATCAACTAAAAATGTAGAGTGATGTTGGCTCAAAGACTGAGCCTTCATCATGGGCATAGGGTTGCCATCCTAGAGTAGAGCCCTTGGGACTCTTCAGAGCAGGGATGAAAGATAAAAGAAAACTACAATAGTCCTAAACAAGCAGGACAGCCTACTCAACGAATAGACCTCTTGGAAATGAAAGTGTAGGTAATTCCTGGTTTTAGAAACCTGACCAAGGCAAGAATAGGGAATGAACAAAGGAAGAAAACTGCAGAGGAAATGTCCTCTGGATATGTGATCACTTGGAGAATGGTGAGTTAGACTTCCCCTGTATCTTAGCTTTCTTTTCTGGATTTCCTCAGGACATTCAGTACAATGAATTCAGAATGACAGCCAGTGGGCTGAATCCAGCAGAAGGTGGCCCATGCAGTGTTTGGTGTCACTTTTTAATTTTAATTTTAATCTCTTTCACTAGGACACACACTCTCCTGTTCAAGCCAGCTGTATTTGTCACACTGTCTTACAACTATCCAGATTTACGTATTTGTATTACCTCCATGACCTCTACAGGAAATTGAATTTACCACCACTTCTTTGGAGAGATATTTTCATGCCTTTTTCTGTTATTTTTTTCTTTCCACTTTACAATAGGAGTTGATCCAGTAGTTGTTGCTTAAAATGATCTGTGTGTTGTTGTTGTTGTTTAATTATTGGTAGGTTTACACGTGCTGTTTATTTCAAACATAGTAGAACCCACAGGCTGTGAGTACTGAGATGGATCCAGCTACTGTGGTAATGTCTCCTCCAATTGCAGAAGTTGGTGTTGTACGTGTACCATCCTGCCAGAGTGAAATGTGTATGTGTGGCATTGAATGTGTGATTGCTGGATTATGCGGGGGCTGGATAGGTATTGCTGTGGCTTAATATACCAGGTGACACCTTAAAAGCAGAACATAATGAACCCAAATCTCTATGCAGTTTCTTAGCACAAAATATGCTAAATATTTTGTGTTCTCTGTTGGATGGTGATAAACCAATCCCGCTAGAACTTTTCCCTTGGAAAATGTAAGTAAGTGACCCTAGAAAAGGTGGAGCTCTAGAGCTTGGATTTTATCCTAAAAAGTGCTGGTGGGTTCTTTTGTGTTCCTTAATAGACTTCTTGCATAGTCCAGTCCTAGAAAAACTGAGACTAGAGTAAGTTCTTGACTGCTGAGACAACCTTCCCTGCTCCCTCATCTCCCGATATGTCCATGCAACAGAATGCCACCAGCAAAGATAATCTGCATGTGCCTCTTTCTTGACTCCTGAACAAGGACCCATACACAGGTAGTTCATGTATCCATATCTGTGCATCAATTTAGTATTATATCAAATGGTCTTCCTTGTATCATCAGATCCAGTCAAGTGCCCAGCACTTTATAGATGCCCATTGATTCACTGATTCAGCAAATGCTCACAGACGTTCTCCTCTAGACGGCACTGGCCTAGGTGCCAAGGACACCAATAATCCCAATAAATAATGAATGAATGACTTTCTATAAGTGATGTTAGGTTCCATGTAGATGTTACCCTGGACTGTGCTATATAGATCTCTTAAGAACCCAACGGGCAAGCAATTAGAGTCACATAATTCTACAAGAAAAGTAGCTGGGCACATGGAGATTATTCACCCAAATCTCCTGGCTTTACAAGTGGTAACTACCCAATAAAGGCAAGATACCCCAGAACAGGTATTTTATACATTTAAGAAGGTTAAGTTGCCAATTCTGTCATAATGAAAACATTTGGTAGGCATCCAGGGTAATGCACATCTTTTCTCAATTTAGACTAGTTGCAAAAAATCTGTTACAGAAGAAATATCTCCATAAATGTTTTCTTGAAATCTAATATAATGTGTGCAAGGGTGTTATCTTGCTTATTGCCAAACCAGGAAAAACGTTGCTGTTTAACAATTTAGTTCAAAATAATTAGCCTCAAAGAGGTTTGTGATTTAGAAATGCTGCCCGTAACTCACGTTAACTTTAATTGAGTTTATAGTACATGCAGGAAGGAAAGAGACAGAGAGAAAGACAGAGAGAGAGAGAGAGAGAGAAAGCACATAGAACTCCCTTTTAAAATTAAATTTAGGGTAAATTCAAGAACTATAGCTTCTTGTTGACCTGGTTCTTCTGTTGAAATTATTCCCACAATTGGTTTATGACCATTTTCACATCATTAACGTTTATAGTTGTTTTTTGTTTGTTTTAAACCACTCCATGCTTATCCTTTCAGAGCTCCTCATTTGTAGACCTCTAAAATTATTTTTGAATGGCAAGTTATTTCCCAGTCGTCCCATTTCTTCCAAAGTCAGCCTTTGTTATTACCATTTTGAAGCTGTTTCTCCCAGTTCATTCTCCTTCTCCTGGAGCCTCACTGTTCATACTTCCTGATTCTTCCCCCCAGTGAGACATTTGCCACATAGTAATATCTGAGTTGCATCACCTATTGCTTTTCTAGCTTTTCCAAAGAAAGATTTGCATTTTTTTCCACATAAAATATATGTTGTGTCCTTGAAAATCTAAACTGCGACCTAGACTTAGGGGAATTATCAAGGAAAACAATCCTGGTCAAAGTGCTAATGGAAATGGAGGCAGAATGAAGGGAGTCTGGGAGACGGGAATCTACCCTCACCTTTCATGCTATATGCACCTCTTCACCCCAAATCTCATGGACCCCTTGAGTCCTCTACTAACGTAGTTATCATTTTCCCTCAATATTACAACTTCCTTTCCTTTAAAATCATAAAATATTTTCAGTACATAGAAAAGTATAGAAAAAGAATGATTTGGCCGGCGTGGTGGCTTACACCTGTAATCCCAGCACTTTGGGAGGCCAAGGTGGGCGGATCACAAGGTCAGGAGATGGAGAACATCTTGGCCAACATGGTGAAACCCCATCTCTACTAAAAATACAAAAATTAGCCTGGTGTGGTGGTGTGCACCTGTAGTCCCAGCTACTCTGGAGGCTGAGGCAGGAGAATTGCTTGAACCTGGGAGGCAGAGGTTGCAGTGAGCTGAGATTGTGCCACTGCACTCCAGCCTGGGCAACAAGAGCAAAACTCTGAAAAAAAAAAAAAAAAAAGAAAGAAAGAAAGAAGAAAGAGAAAGAAAGGAAGGAAGGAAGGAAAGGAAGGAAGGAAGGAAGGAAGGAAGGAAGGAAGGAAGGAAGGAAGGAAGGAAGGAAGGAAGGAAGGAAGGAAGGAAGGAAAAGAAAGAAAGAAAGAAAGAAAGAAAGAAAGAAAGAAAGAAAGAAAGAAAGATGAAAAGAAAAGAATGATTCCATTTCTCAGTAAATTAAATTTTAACATTTTGCCATTACTGCTTCCATTCATTTTCTATTGCTGTGTAACAAACTACCACAAGCCTTGTGGCTTAAAACAACAGAAATTTATTATCTCACCGTTTCTTTTTTTTTTTTACACTTTAAGTTTTAGGGTAAATGTGCACAATGTGCAGGTTAGTTACATATGTATACATGTGCCATGTTGGTGTGCTGAACCCAGTAACTCGTCATTTAACATTAGGTATATCTCCAAATGCTATCCCTCCCCACTCCCCCCACCCCACAACAGGCCCCAGTGTGTGATGTCCCTTCCTGTGTCCATGTGTTCTCATTGTTCAGTTCTCACCTATGAGTGAGACCATGCAGTGTTTGGTTTTTTGTCCTTGCAATAGTTTGCTGAGAATGATGGTTTCCAGCTTCACCCATGTCCCTACAAAGGACATGAACTCATCATTTTTTATGCTCATCATCACTGGCTATCTCACCATTTCTGTGGAAGTCTGTTACCCTACGACTCGCCCTCTGGAGTAGCCCAAGGCTGACACCAAGGTGAGGGCTGGGCTGCATTTTCATCCAGAGGCTACAGGTAAAAACAATCTGCTTCCATGCTCATTCTTGTTAAAAAAAAAAAAAACTTTCAGTTCCTCGCAGTACCAGGACTGAAGTCCCTGTTTGCTCTCTGACTGTGAGTCAGGGGCTACTCTCAGCTGCATTTCTTGCCATGTGGCCCCTCCATTTTCAAGCTAGCAATGGCATATCAGATCCTTCTTGTACTTTAAGTCACTGACTTCTATCCCTGACCTCTAGGCCCAGATTTAAAGGGCTCATGTGATTAAGTCTGGTCCACCATATATATATATATATATATTTTTTTTTTTTTTTTTTTGAGACAGTAACTTGCTCTGTCACCCAGGCTGGAGTGCAGTGGCTCGATCTCAGCTCATGGCAACCTCTGCCTCCCAGATTCAAGCCGTTCTCCTGCCTCAGCCTCCCGAGTAGCTGGGACTACAGGTGCGCACCACCACGCCCAGCTAATTTTTGTACTTTTAGTAGAGACGGGGTTTCACCATGTTGGCCAGGCTAGTCTCAAACTCCTGACCTCAAATGATCTGCTAGCCTAGGCCTCCCCCAAAGTGCTGGGATTACAGGTGTGAGCCACAGTGCCAAGCCAACCATTTTTTTAAAGTTAATCTGTGCCATATAAATTAATCTAATTTCAGACATAAAATTAATTATGTTCATTATCTGGGATTATGCATGACATATATACAGGGGCCAGGATTCTTAGGGATCATCTTAGAATTCTGCCTACTACACCACTCCAGCAACTTCTTTCCTTTTTTTTTAATATAAAGTTTTACTCTGTCACCCAGGCTGGAGTGCAAAGGTGTGATCGTGACTCACTGCAGCCTTGACTCCCTTGGCTTAAGCAATCCTCCTGTTTCAGCCTCATGAGTAGCTAGAGCTATAGGTACATACTACCACACCTGCTAATTTTGTTATTTTTTTGTAGAGATGGTGTCTCACTATGTTGCCCAGGCCAGTCTCTTAACTCCAGGGCTCAAGAAATCCTCCCACCTCAGCCTCCCAAAGTGTTGGCATAATAGGTGTGAGGCACTACGCCCAGCCAATTTCTTAATTAATATACTGCAAACATGCAATAGCATACTACATTGCTGTTGAAATAAACAAAGAAGTTCTATATTGATCCACATGGATAAATCACTTAAAAATAATTGGAAAAAGGAAATTTAAGATGGTATAGACAATGATATACTATTCAAGTAAATTTTATAAATGAAGATTATTTTTTTCTCTCTCTCAGTGCATTTGGTATTTAAATATTGCTGAACACAATCCTATTACTGGGTATATACCCAAAGGAATATAAATCATTCCAGCATAAAAATACATGCACGTGAATGTTTATTGCAGCAATATTCACAATAGCAAAGATGTGGAATTAACCTAAATGCCCAACAATGGTAGACTGGATAAAGAAATTGTGGCACATATACACCATGGAATACTACACGGCATAAAAAAGAACAAGATCATGTCCTTTGCAGCAACATGGATGGAGCTGGAGGCCATTATCCTTAATAAACTAATGCAGCAACAGAAAGCCAAATTCCACATGTTCTCACTGATAGGTGGGAACTAAACATTGAGTAGACATGGACACAAAGAAGAGAACAATAGATACCAGGGCCTTCTTCAGGATGAAGGGTGGCAGGAGGGTGAATATAAAAAAACTACCTATCTGGTACTATGCTTATCACCAAGTGACAAACTAGCCTGCACATCAAACCCCTGTGACATACAATTTACCTCTATAACAAACCTGCACTTGTACTCTTGAACCTAAAATAAAAGTAAAAATAAAATATATATTGCCGAACACAGTTTCTCTATTACACATTCTAGTACAGTGCCCAGAGCTCTTATCAGCTGCTAGATCCATTAGTCGCTGATCCCTCACCTTCTTCTCATTCTTCTTCATGATCACAACTTCTGGAAGGAAGCTGCCATGCTAACTCTGGAGGGGCAACAGGTAGGAAGTGCAGTGATTTTGGGTCCTGATTTTTCTGTCCTTGAGTGAATGCCTTTCCAGCAAACCTTTCATTTATACCCTTTCATTGACCACCATTAAAATGAATTCCTCCCCAATTACTGATCTGAATAGGTCAAGGTTGATGCTATTGTCTTTCGGATAGATCTCATCCAGCTTCCTTCTGAATTTGTTGTCGCCTCTCCAGTATCACTTCTCTCAGGTGCTGCCAGAATCTTTACTCTCTTGAAAGCTTCACCTCCTTACCATGGCTCTGGGAAAGCTCCTCTAAGAGTCTAGTGTCCCTCAGTACCCACCATTACTTTTAATTTATTCGAGCTGTAGTTCTCATTCCCTACTATCTGCCAAACATTCTTCTAGGACTGGACAATACTTCCATATATATGTGTATGTATATATATGTTTGTGTGTGTATACATCTCTACACACATACATACAAATATATATATACATATGTGTATACATACATGCACACATATGAATACACACAAACATAAATATGCACACTGTATACATGCACACATACCCAGAGAGAAAGAGAGAGAGAAACAGAGCAGATAAGTAAAATATATGAAAAACATAGCATGTTAGGTAGTATTATATGGTTATGGACCAAAAATAGGAGTAGGGAATAGAGTAGATGTGTTGGGTGGTGGGTAAAGTATAGTTATCTTCATTATCATTGCACTCATTTTTACTAAAAAAAAAAGTCTGCTCATCTATCTCTTTTCATATGTTATAAACTCTTTGAACCCAGGGACCATATCTTACACTAATGCCACAAATAAGTGGAATGTTCATTATGTACTACGTGGTGAAGAATACAATAGTGAATAAGTATACAGGGGCCCCCACCATCTCAGAGCCTAGAGGTTTGTGGAGAATGCTGGCATTAAACAGTTAATTCTAAGGGCAGTGAGCAGACATTCACAAAACGATTGTTGCGTAATGGGACTACTGGGTTCCTAAAGCATTTTCCAGCAGGCTACTTTTTAATCTCTTTTTTCTTGTCTATGAAAAATGGCCTGGGTCTTCAGATTTAATCTTCCTGTAACACGTGCTCTGAGCATCCTGATGTCTGAGCTAAACATGACCTGAGATTCAGTGAATAATTATTTGGTATTCCTTTGTTGCTTGCCACAGATTAGAGGCTCAATAAATAAATTAGAGACCTTATATTAATTACAGTTTCTTAAGACTGCAACTCTAGCTTTGTGTTACCTAAATAGCATTGTCTGTACTGTCATTGTTTTTAAATTAAATTAAGGTAATAATTTTCTCACCAAGATTGGCCTGCTCTTTCAATAGAAGGAAAGCTACACTTTGACAATTATCTTTAAAGGCTGTTGGTAACATAAAAGTAGAGCAGTTTTTGAGATCAATCACTTGGCCAGGAAAATCTGAATTATTTTGTTTTTCATTCACTTATCTCAGATTATTCCTTCAGGTATAGGGCATCTCAAAAGTTTGAGATCATAATTTTATATTTGAAATATGATGTACAATTGCACACCGTAAATTACTACTACTGCACCTGGGTGCCTAGTAGGACAACTGGCATAGTACAGGCACTTAATAAATTGGTTGAACTGAGTAATATATAAGGTCACATCATGTTTTTTGTTTGTTTGTTTATTTGTTTTTTAGACAGAATCTTGCTCTATCACCAGGCTGGAGTGCAGTGACGCAATCTCATCTTGCTGCAACCTCCACCTCTCGGGTTCAAGTGATTCTCCTGCTTCAGCCTCCTGAGTAGCTAGGAGTACAGGCACAAGCCACCATGCCCAGCTAATTTTTGTATTTTTAATAGAGATGGGGTTTCACCATGTTGGCCAGGATGGTCTCAATCTCTTGACCTCGTGATCCGCCTGCCTCTGCCTATCAAAGTGCTGGGATTACAGGCGTGAGCCACCGCACCCAGCCCACATTATGTTTTTTAATGGTTTACTTGATTTTATATTTTTGAGGATAAGACAAGTATCACTAAATATGCTTTCCATATAATAAATAATAGAAAAGAAACATGTTTTTAAAATACAAGGTATTGTATATGAAGTCTATAAAGCTTATAGTATGTGTAAATATATAATACAGTGCTTGACACTCAATGTGTCCTTAGTAAATATTAGTTCTAGTCCCTTCATCCTAATTAAAAATATTTCATACATCAAAAACATAATTTCTCTCATTTCCCATTTTAACTCCATTTTCCCTAATTAAAATAATTTATTTTCCTTTATGGGTTATAGTTTGTCTACTTTCTTTTATTTTGAAATCCCGTATATGCTTTCCAAAGCAAAGCCATCAAATTATAATAACTCATTTGCAAGCTGGGTAATTAACTTGGTTCATGTTTTCAAAATGATTTCTGATATTTATGTCAATTTGCTAGTCCTATTCAAATTGAATCCAACTTTTATTTACAAAATGGCTATATAGAGAATTGGATTAAAGTTTAAGTTACTACAAATAGTGGAGGCAGCAAAACATATATTAAATAATGTAGTAAAATTAAAAATACATAATTGTATGACTGAAGAGTATTATGCTGTTCTTTATACCTTCCACTTACATTTGGGCAACAAATCATTTTATTCAAGGACACTCAGTGGGAGTATCTGACCTAAAACTAAAGATTTTTACATTGGGCAAAAAAATCATGGTATTTATGGGAAACTTTGTTTTTCTGTGCACTTGTCCAATTGATCAAGCTAATAAGCAGTGGGAATAACTATCAATTGAAAGAAATATGTACTTCTTGATTACAACATGGTGCTTCTGTTATATTTATGTCAAGGCATCATCATCATCATTCATGTTCTTCTTTTCTGGGATTCAGCATTTCCATTTTAAGATCCTATTCAGCCACTAATACTTCATTATGAAGCAGCCTATTGGCTAAAGTTGGTATTTATACAAGCAATAAGCTTAGCAGCATATTTTCTACATGATGATCAAATTTAGTTTCTGTGAATGATATCTTTTGATGGCTTTATTCTGCCTATTTTGCTGTAGAGTCTTTCTATTATGCATGATTACTTTGGCAGGCAAATGCAAATACATTTTCAAGTCTTTATAAATGCACTTATTAATGAGGATTGCTGCCACTCTTCTGCTCTCACACCTAGGAATTTATATTATAGTCATGTACCTTAACTCACTCTCTTATTGGTCACCTCTCAATATGACACAGTGTTTACTTGTAAAGAAATCAACTGAAATATTAAGAAGCCATTACCTGATATAGAAAGCAGTGGCCCATTCTCAAAGGACAATGCTTTATTAGTATCTAATCGATTGCTTGAAATAAACTTGAGCCTGTTACCAGAATGTGATTGAAGAGATGAAGCCAAAAATCAAAGAAAAGTAAACAATGGGATAAACTGAAGGCATCTTCATCTGTTGTTCAAGACTTAAGTCTCCCCTGCATCAATCACAGGATGGAGTAGGGGTGACCTGGGAAACATCTCACCTGTTAGTTTCTATAAGGTCGGAGGTTAGTAAGATGGAATCTGTGAAACACAGGAGAAAAAGAAACATTCCACTTAAACAAATGAAGTGATATGTAACTGTGCTGGCTTAGTAAACAACTTCTAATCATCGATTTGTATTTTCAGGAGGTTGAAATCGGTCACTATAGATCATTCATGTAATAGATATTTTCTAGCAACTAGTATACACTAGGAATTGTATAAAACACTAGAGATAAATTTATGAATAAATATCCACCGCCACCACCACAATAATAATGCAATGTCATATGTTTAACTCATAATTGTCAAGTACTTTGCCATATCCTCTTCTTGCCTCTCAAAACCATGCAAATACCAAAGAAGGAGATACTAAGATTAACTGCATTTTGCTAATGAGAGAACTGAGTTCTGTGTGATCCTGTCTGTGCCTCAGTCTGCTCATCTGTGAAGCAGGAATAATTACAGTGTCAAACTAACTCCTAGGGCTGTTATAATGATTACATAAGCAAATATAAGAGAAGTTTTGGAACAGTGTCCAGCGTATAGTTAGGCATCAAGTTAGGGTTTCAGTGTTATGATGATATAGTATAAAGTGAACAGGTGTTAGAATCTTGTTCAAAATATGAACATAATTTATTTACTATTATTTACTATATCCTTATAACAAAAAGCCACGCAGATGTAGAAGTGGAGATTTTTTTGTGCATTCTAAATTTCTAAATAAAGTAAATCTTATATGTAAATTTTATTGAATATATGTAAAGTATAAATATGTATATATGTCAATTTTATAAAATTAACATGAACTCTTTTACTAATTAAAAATGAAAACTTGTAAGAGAATAAACTGAAGTTGGCAATAATTTTCTTTATTTCTTGATCTGGAATTAAATAAAGTTGCTTTTAAAGAATATTCTAAATACAAGAAGTGTTATAACAAGTTTTTCAAGTCAACTATTCCTCTAAGTGCTTGAGTTTATTTTTATAACATAATATGTGAAATGGTATTTTTACATTATCAGGTATATTGCAAAATGAAATTACATGTATTTCCAAAGTAAACCTTTTCCTTCTGAAATTAATTTTGAAAATAAATATATGCTCTTTGTTACAACTCATTTCCCCTCAAGAAATGCAAAGATAAAGAAAGATCTATTATTTCCTGCCTGCAAGATTAATATCTCAGCAACTACAAATATTCCAAGAATAACTGTAATAAACCAAAATGAAAAAGCATAGCTGATAGCATCTTCAGTTCACCTCTGAAGTGCATGCCAAGCCAAGATGAGTTCATAACCAAGGTATCGTCTCTGCCAAACATGTTGGAGCACCCAAGAGACCAAATGAACCTGAATTTAACAAACATACATAAACTGTTGGACTAGATATAAAGATTAATTTTCTCAATCCATATCATTCTGCAAGGCACTGTTTCAGACTCTGTAGGGAATTCAAAGAGATGGACAACCAGCTTCCATTTCCATGAACCCTGTAATCTGTTTGGGAAATTCAGATTCAAGACTTTAACAACAAAACTAGCAATAAGAAGTAGGTACAGAGTTGGCCAGGTGCGGCTGTTCACGCCTGTAATCCCAGCACTTTGGGAGGCCAAGGTGGGTGGATCGCTCAAGGTCAGGAGTTCAAGACCAGCCTGGCCAACATGGCAAAACCCCATCTCTACTAAAAAAAAAAAAAAAAAAAAAAAATACAAAAATTAACCAGGCATGGTGGTGTGCACCTGTAGTCCCAGCTACTCGGAGGCTGAGGCAGGAGAATCTTTTGAACCCGGGAAGCAGAGGTTGCAGTGAGCCGAGATCATGCCACTGTACTCCAGTCTGGGCAACAGAGAAAGACACCATCAAAAAAAAAAAAAAAAAAAGAAGAAGAGGAAGAAGAAGCAGAGGTACCAGGTTGCTTTCCAGGGAAAGGAGGTGGCTCTGAGAATGTGAACAAACTAGACTAGCCTGGTAATTTATCCAATACTAAATGAATTCCATGACACTAGATGTAACTTCTTGTCACGACATTATTCTTCATAGATATTGCACATCATATGATTTGTATGTGTGCTATTATACTATCCAACACTCCTTCAAGAATTAGGACACTCTTTTTCTATAAAATATGATCTATGGCTGGAGCAATTGTGTTGAAAGCCAGTGAACGACAGCTTACTTAGAAAATTTCTCTTTTACGACATCACTTCAACTCCCACTTTAGTAAATTAGCTTTAGGTACATAGGCTCAATTCTCTGAACCTGAACAGATGGAGCACAATACATTTTTCACATGAAATTTTCTACTGGAGCTGGTAGAACATAGTCTAGGTAGACAGATTAGAAATTTTTATTTGGCAATGCTCTCTAAATTTGTAATAATATGGCATGCGCTGTTTATGAATTTAGAATTCATGATACACTTCTGCCTATATTAATTCATTTGACCCACACATTAACTGTGTGGGGTGGGAATTATCATATTATCCCATTTCCAGATGAGAAGAAGATTACACTAGGAAGTCACCAGATTTGCTGATGCTCACAAATCAAGACATGATGCCAACTGTTAGGATTCTAGTCATGATTACTGGGCAGGAAACTAAAGGACTACATTTATTGACATATTAAGAATGTAACTTCTTAACAAAAAAATACAACAACAAAAATACCCTGAGTATGTTTTGATAAACACAAATTATAATGGCACTAATATTAAATACTGAGATACAACTGTTTCACAACTCCCCAAGTTTTTCCTCAAGCTAATCTTGTGTTGACTTCTAACCAAGAAATTCTCTAACTCAAGATGTTAGAAATTCCTAACTGAAGATGTTTCACTTAATAAACCCCAAGAAATTCTCTAACTCAAGATGTTAGAAATTCCGAACTGAAGATGTTTCACTTAATAAACCCCTTAGTCAGAAAACATTGTACTAGTCACATGTTGCAAATATCCTTCCCTCACTATAAATAGTAAGCATAGACCTTGATTATAACCAATATTTAAAAGCCTTATTCACAGTGCTCTTTGGTCTCTATGATGCCTTTAACATGCCCTTATGATTTATCATCAGCAAAGTTATATTAGCTCCCTAGATTTCATTGAATACACCATGTTACCTCGAAGCTTTGAGCCTTTGCACAAGCTACCTCATCTCCCTCCATATTCTTCCCTCTATTGCTGTTGATGAACTCCTTATCCTTAAACCTTTGGTTCAGGCATGAACGACATGTGACTAGTACAATGTTTTCTGACTAAGGGGTTTATTTATTTCTCAGACTAAACCCTCACCATTGTGGCCTGGGTTGTTACTGCCCTTGAATGTTCCTATGCAACCCCTACTTCCTTATTCATCATGAGCTTTATTCATTTATTTACACATCCTCTTATTCGATATTTACTTAAATGTCTTCTCCATGCCAGACACTGTCCTAAATACAGAAAATACAATACAGCAGAACAAAGAAGAGTATTATCCCCAGAAAACTTACATTCTAAGTGGAAAAAGACACTGAATAAAGAAGAAAAATAATTAATGAGTAATATTATTAAAATTATAATCGTTATTAAAAGGGAAATGAACAGGGCAATGGCATGGAATATATGATAGAATACAAGTGGATGAAAAATTACACAAATGATGTTATCTGGAGAGGCTAGTCAAGTTATAAATTGAGTACTACTCAAGAATAAATTTGAACTAAGAGATGTGAAGGATGAGGTCCAGCCAGACATTTGAAAAGCTGGACTAAGAGCTGACAACTGAGAGTGGTACAAAAGCTTTCAGGTAAAAATGGATTGGCATGGCTGAGAATTCAAAAGCATTCTGATAGCTGCAGCTCAATGACCAAGTGGGAACGTGGTATTAGATAAGTCTGGGGCACATGTAGAAACTGGAATGTGCAAGACCTGCTGGAATTTTAATTTTATTCTAAAAGAAGTGGGAAGGCTTTGAATAAAGAGGGGAATGACATGATTTTATTTTAAAAAGTTATGTCAAGAGTTTCCAGTTCAATTTTCTACACAAATATATGATTATCAATTGACAACTTTTCTTTTCCTGTTTTCCTTCTTCCCAGAGTTCTTCATCCTCCAGCTCCAATCTGAATAATGTTCGCCTCCACATCAAAGGTAAAATTATTAGCCTTGGAATGTCTCTTCACTACTGACTTAGAAACCAACTTTTTGCTTTCCTATATTAGATATGACACATATTTTTATTTTCAGTCTCTATTTCCTGAATCCCCAGCTATACTGTTGTGGCTTTTACACTTAACAGCTACTTTTTCTCTCCCCATCCTCACCATACTTCATGCAGGAAAAGTATGTTTCTTCAAAGTATGTTTCTTCACTCCAGTGACTTTGGGATTTTTTGGCCAATGGGATATAAGCAGAGATTGTACAACGTCCAAGCGGAAGTTTTAGATGCACTTTCATGGTTTGACTCTCTTCCATTCTAGAAACTTTTCTTGTATTATTTCTTTGCTAGTTTCCTGTTTTCATTTTTTTCTATTTTTTTTCCTTCTGCAACTCCTGTTAGTGGGATCATTGATTTTCTGCACTGATTCTCTACTTTAACTCATATTTTTCAACCAACTGCCTTAGTTCCTTTCACTGAGAATTTACTCGATTTTATGTTACAATCCCTTTATTGACTTAAAATCTTGGTATGAACAGCTAGGTAAAATGCATTGTCACTTACTGAAATTCCTAAGGCTGGTAGAGGAACAGTTTTGCAAGAGAGGGAGGTAAGAGTTCTATTTCAGACATATTAAATTTGACCACTCTTAGAGATGAAAGAATTTGGACTTAGATTCAATGTCTTAGAAAGAGATATAAATTTGGCTCTTATGAGCATCTACATGGGATTAAAGTCAATGGAATGGATGAGATCACTAAATGAAAAAAAAAATATGGTTAGAAAGAAGTCCTACAACCAAGCTATTAGGAGCTCCAAGAGTTGGAACTTGAGTAGAAGATTATGAGATAGCAAGAAATTGAGAAGGAGTTATGATTAAGATAGAAGTGAATGTTGCAGAAACCGAGAGATTATTAATTGCTATCATAAATGTTGTTAAATGTGCTTTTTTTACCACAGAGAAGAGAACAATCAGTTTTCCCTAAGTGGGTTAGGGAAATTTTCACAACATTTTGACACACATTGAAGGATTAGTATTATTTCACTAGAGAGATAAATAGGGGTGGAAGGGAAAACATTTCAAGTAAGAAAAAATAGCATAAGCAAAGTTCCAAGAGTGTGAAAGGCAAGATATGCATGTGGAAGAGTCCATGGAGACTAGGGCATGATGGAGAAATAAGAGAAATATTAGGTGACATAGAGAGTAAGGCTGGAAATTAGATTGGAAAAGAAAGGTGGTGTCTAATTAAGAAGGACCTTCTATGTCCTACTAATATACCTATCAGTATGAGAGCAGTATCCTGTGATACCAATAGTTGGTGTTTACAGAGCCTTTGCAATGTTTCTGACATCATGACAAGCAATATCACGTATTATCTGACTGAATTATTAAAAAATTTCTGAGAGGTAAATATGTCTGTGTTTCATTTTAAGAACAAAAACGTATAACAAGACTAAGAGAGTGATTTAACCTACTTTCATAGTATTAGTCAGTAAAAGCTTACTGCTGTAATAAATAACCCTAGTATTTCAATGACTTAACCTAGGGAAGTTTATTTCTTACTCAGATAAAGCCTAATAGCATGTGCATTAAAAAGCATTCCATACAGTGATTTGGGGATCCAGGCTTCCTCTATGTTGTGGTTCTAACCCCCAGTGCGTTCTCTGAGCCCTGTAAATTTATCCGGAAAACGAGAAAAAGAATATGGAGAAGATTACCACCCACCATTACATGCTTAGCCACTTGAAGCATTTTCTGCTTATTTCCTGCTTCCTTTCATTTTCATGAAGTATCAAATGTTTGGTAAATGGTTGAACATGTACTTGGGAGGGTGTCATAAGTGAGAAATTTTTTTGTTATATGCATCACAGATTTTTAGAAATATATAAGAGCAATTCTTAGTCACTGAAAAGCCACTCTATCTCTTAAGGACAGCAATATCACCAGGGCTGTGTAACTCAAGTCCTCAGCTCTCCTTGAAGTTTAGTCCACCACGGGCATCTCCTCTGGGCATGTTGAGATGGTCAGAAATTTCTATGGGCAGAAGATTTCACCTGCTTCCTCCTTTTGTCTCCACAATTTCTACCTTGAACATTTCTAGATCTTCCATTTGCAAAATTGGGTGGTGATGGCCTGGTGATGAAGGGAGCAATGTGGGTTATGAGCCACTGATATCCCTCCTGTCGTGGGTCACATAGTGGCCTTAGAAAGATCATGTCCACTCAGAACCTCAGAATGTGTCCTTATTTGTAAATAGGGTATTTGCAGTTAATGATCTCCATATGAAACCATTATGGGCTTCGGATGGGCTTTCAACTCAATTACTGGTATCTCTATCAGAAGAGAAGAGGACAGGGAAAGATTGAAAAAGAAGGCCATTGAAGACAGAGGAAGTGAGAGTTATGTTTCCACAAGCTAAGTGAAACTGGAAGAAGGAAAGAAGGATTCTCTCCTGGGGTCTTCAGAATGAGAATGGCTCTGCCAACACCTTGATTTCAAGCTTGTGGACTCTGGATTGCCAGATAATGAATTTCTGCTGTTCTAACCTACTCAGTTTTTAGTAATGTGGTTCAGCATCCTTGGTAAACTAACACACTCTGATCTACACCTAGTTTTCACTTTGAACAGACTAGAAACTGCTGAGTTATTTTTCAATTTGCTTTCTCTCAGCATTTCCTAAAATTAATCAGGCACCATTTTCTATAAATTTTACTATGAAATCTTTTGGGTTTATTACTGTCTACATTCACTGTCTGTCCTCCTCCAGCTTATGTTTCAGAGTTTAGGGATTCATTATCACTAGCCTAGAATTGCAATATCTTCCCTGTTTTTAGTCTCTCTTTCAATCCCCATTGCAAGCATATTTTTTTTTCCTTGAAATCATATACGATCAGACTGTCCTTTCCCCAGGAGCCGGGAAATGATTGAGTCTATTATATATCAAAGCTAAGCTAGTAAAATAATGCTTTGTAGTCTAGAACTCTAGGCCTCTTTCAGCATAACAAAATACAAAGGTTATCCGCCAATTCCCTAAAATTAGATTTCAAAGTATACATAGAAACAGTCCTCCTCTTTTCTTCTTTCAAGACTTCCAAAGCGACAGGAAAAGATCAGAATGGTGGACAGTGTGTGTATTCAGGGTTTCTTTAGGGCTGCTGTGACAAATTACTACAGATTTTGTGGCTTAAAACAAAATAAATTTATTCTCTCACAGTTTTGGTGAGAGATTCTGGGCATGGATCAGGTAGATCTGCCTCCAAGGGCTGCCTCCATTTACTCCTTCTGGAACATTGAGCGGTGCACTTGAACTCTGGGGCCCCCAGTCCGCTTATCTGGGAAACAGGAATAGTATATTCTCAATTCATATATTGGTTAAAGGAATTAAAGGAAACAATTCAGATAAACAACGTAGCTTAATGGGTTGCAAACATTGTGAACACTAGTTATTGGTAATATTTAGCAAAGCAAGATTTCCATGAGTATCAGCTATCATATTAACAGACATAAAGTATCTGTTCTCATTTTTGTACCACATCAGGCATCAGTATGGGCAGAAGATGCATGACATTCAAAATGAAATCATAGGACCTGGAATCAGGCAGAGCTGATTTGAATCTCAACTCCACTAGAAGTGCCTTGAACTCTTCTCTTAACTTTTTGTAAGTATTAGCATCCTCATATCTAAAATTGGATTACTAATGGCACCTACTTCATAGGATGGCTTTGAATATCAAAAAAGAGAAGGTAAGTAAAGTACTTCACACAGACTTTGCACATAATAAACAATTGCAAAATGATAGCTACATTATTATTAAAATAATACCATCATTTACTCTGATTCTACTAAGCACCAGACCCTATAACAAGTCCTTCTGCAGATTATTTCCTTGAAGTCTGGGGACAATTTGATGAGTTAAATACTGCCATTGTCTTCACTTCACAGTTGAGAAAGCACAACTCTAGTGACTGCTACAAAGTTCCAGAGTTAGTAAGTAGAGGATGGAGCTAGAGCTCAAACCCACAGAGTCTAGCACCAGAACAGCCTCTTAAACATCTAACATTATATAAAGCATTTAATAAACTTTAACAGGATACACTGTCTGCCCCTGAGCACTCATTAGTGAACTCTTTTGGGCACCAAAGGCCCCATACTAAGCGAGGGGTCAGTAATGCAGAGTGAGGGCTTCTCAGTTAAGACCTTAGAACTCATATCTGGCACTCCAGGGCTTTGCAGAGCTTGAGGATGGGGCAGAAAACTGCTTTGCTTTGAGCTACAAAATCTACAAACTAGATGTTGGGGAGAACAACACAAGGACTCAGTGTCCCCAAAACAAAGAAGCTTTATAGATCCAGTAAGCATTAATAAAGCCACCAGACCATTTGCAATAAATCATATTTCACTTTCCCAAACACATGAACTGATCTCTCCCCTCAAGAAAATTCTTTTTGAATTTATACATTATCGAATTTGAATACTTTATTGTCTTATAAAAATCAAAAGAATATATAGTGCATTTCTAAATAAAATACCAAAACTTCCAGAGAAGTTTTGGCATATTACAATATTTTAATTATAGATTTAAAATTTTGTTATTTATTTATCTGAAAATTAAATATAATAGGAGACAAAATAAATGTTTATAGTTTGAAATTGTCTTAAAAAATGATAATCAAATTGTGTTTATGGATATTAAGTG
Organism: Homo sapiens; assembly: GCF_000001405.40. Taxonomy (NCBI): domain Eukaryota; kingdom Metazoa; phylum Chordata; class Mammalia; order Primates; family Hominidae; genus Homo; species Homo sapiens. Next base: position 225,233,763 of record NC_000002.12, on the reverse strand, counting down.
ATGGGACATCAGCTTATTATCACATATAGCAAAATATAAATCATATAAATCCCTCCTTGCTGCTTTCCTACATCCCTATATTCCAATTTCAAATTGTACATTTACAATAGGAAAACCAGATCCTATTTATTCACAAACTAGCATTTTCTGTCATCTGATTTCAAACTTTTAATCACTATTCCTCTGCTGAAGAAGCCCTGAGAATATTCCCTCTGTTAGTTCCCTGTTTCTAAAGGCAGGAACGAGGCACTGAATACTATTTGGAACCAGCTGAGTCACCTCCAAGTACCTTCAGGCAGTTGATTCCAGAGGCTTCTAATCATGAAAACCACTGAGGCCACCATGCAACTGTAGCCTGGGAGGTTGCCATGGCAACATGTGAACATGACCCCACAAATGCAGATGCAAGTGTGGTCACATCCAGCACAGTCGACAAAAAGACACCCCACAACACCCAGCTGCACCCAGGGTATAAAATCATCAATATGTGAGCGTGGACAAGACATCGAAGTAGAGCAATATTATATATACACCCGCTTGAGCACTGGTTCCGGTAGCTTGAGATTACATTTGAATCCCCATTTTCTTCCTCGCCCTCAATATCCAACCTTTATTATCAATTTCCATATGGAAAACGTGTCCTTTTATCTCCATCTCTCCATTACCATCACCTTGGACTAGATCATCGCAATCTTTCACTCAGATGAATGCAACAGTCTCTGGTGAATTATCTTCTCTCCTGCAATATTCCATGCTCCTCACGCCACTCCAAGGATGAACTTCACCTAGATGTTACTTTCTAAACACCACTCTCCAGTAAAAGAGCCAGGTTTGGAAGGGGGAAACAAGATGTACCTGGAATCATTATGACAAACAAATAAGGAAGTACCCCAAAACTGATGGGAATACGTTGAAGGAAAAAATGACCCAGGTTAAATGAGCAGCCACTGGCGAAGTAAAGACAATTTGTGCTGCAAAATGAATAATGCAGGGATAGATTTTAAACCATAGATAAAACAAGAATCTATGAGTTCGTACTGAGAATAAATGAGTAAATACCTAAGCAAGTAAACAATTTTAAGTAAGAAATAAGTAAATAAGAATGACAACTAATGTAAAAAGAACGGAAGAGTTATAAAATTCAACCATCGTAATAATAATTGATTCAGGTAAGAATTACCAGTAGTGCTAAATACCACTAAGTAAAGTTTAATAAAAAAACTGCATGTTTACATATTCTCAAAGTATCCCCCGAGAAAGGGAAAAATAATAAACTTTCTAGTGTAGAAACCTAGCAGATTTTTCCACCCTAAACAATTAGTCAAAGTTAATACCACTAATTAATGGGACAAAGTGAATATTATCTAATGTAATGAAGTAAGAGAGTCATAATTTCTGTATTATTCCTGTAAAAGGACATCGCTTCAGTGGTATTCCTGCCAAAAATGCATTACCTGAATGTAATCATGATGGAGCATGGGACAACTTCAAATTAAAGGGCTGTGAGTTTGTACCTCAATTGGCCTATACTCTTCAAAATGTCAGTGTCAGGAAAGACAAAGGCTGAGACCTCTTCCGGACCAAGAAGACAAAGAAATCATGGCAACTAGATGCAGTGTGTGATCCTGGAATGAATCCTGGACCCAGACAATGGAGCTAATTGCGTGTAAAGAATTTACAGAGACAGTTGGAAAATTTATTTATTTTTTTTTTAAGACAGCGTCTCACTCTGTCACCCACACTGGACTGCAGTGGTGCAATCTCAGCTCACTGCACCCTCCACCTCCCGGGTTCAAGCGATTCTCCTGCTCAGCTGGGAGTATGGGCGCCCACCACCATGCCTGGCTAATTTTTGTATTTTTAGTAGAGATGGGGTTTCACCATGTTAGCCAAGCTGATCTCAAATGCCAGACCTCAGGTGATCCACCCGCCTCAGCTTCCCAAAGTGCTGGAATTACAGCTGTGAGCCACCACACCCGGCCTAAATATTCTTTATATATTAGATAGTACAACAATTTTATAATTAATAAATTTGGTGATTGCATTGGAGTTACATAAGAGGAAGTCATTTTTCCTTCGAGATACTGAAATACTTTTGGGTAAAGGGCCATGATGTCTATAACCCACATTCGAATGGCTCAGTAGTAATAACAATAATAATAATAGTTCTTTTCTATATAAAGAGAGGATACATGATAAGTCACAAATTTAGAGTGTAAAGAAATTCATTATACTATTTTTGCAAATTTTCTATTAGTTTTGTTTCAAAATAGTGGAACATTTCAAAACCAATTCTTAAATATATATTTTTTCTGATTGCTTGTCTTAAATCTCTTCAATAGTTTCCCATTTCTGTTATAGTAAAATTAAATTCCTAAAATGTCCCAACCATCACTATAGCCTCACACAGATCAAATCTAATGATCTCATGGGTTTCTGTCATTTCCAAGAAAACGCCATGAGCTTTCACTACTTGCTGATGCTTTCCTTTCCCTATTTGCATATTTGGCTTTCTATCTATCTATCTATCTATCTATTTATCCATCCATCCATCTATCAATCATCTATCTCGTCTTTTCTTTTCTTTATTTTATAAAGCACCCAGATTAATAAAGGACAGCTCCTTACAGAAGTCTTCTCTGCCTTATCCACTCTTATTCCCAGTTTTCTCTATCAATCCTTCACCTACTTCCTTCATAGCACTTTCAAAACTGATATTATTCAATTTCATCACCTGTTTTCTTACTTGTCAGTAACAGTCATTTGAGTTTACCTTGACGCTTCAAAAGTCAGGAAATACAAATACCTTGTCCACTGCACTATTTCCACCCCAGTGCCTTAGCAGAGTAGGGCCACCTGAAAGAATGGATACGCTTAGATGCCTGTTTGCCAACCATTCGTGCAATGACGGGCTAGGCAAATACATGTGGTCTCCCTCCAGTTCCTTTCTACCTCCACCTCTTTAATAGCTCAGTAGTTGCAAGGGGACTTCTCTCTCCCTCCATTTCTCCCTGGCCCCTTACTCCAATGGTCCCCATAGGGTCATTCAGGGAGTTTCCTGCTCTGTACTACAGGTGAGCTTGATACATACAGGTCTAATGCAGCCAACGTGTTCTCTATGTAAACAGAGTGATTCTCCAGCCTCTGTCATTTGAAACTAATGCATCCTGAGTTGTTGATCCATTCCACTTTTGAGTGCCTTTCAGGTTTAAAAAGTTTTTCTCTTAGTTCTCTTTCATTTGTCATTGCACTAACCACAGTTCCTGGCCCACTCAGAACAAACTTAATCCCTTTTCTATATGACAATGTTTCCAATATTTGTAGGTAGCTACATGTCTAAGGTTTCTTTATTTTTTATTCCTAGCTTTTCTCCGTTGGTATTTTCTCCTTTGGTCTAATGAAAAACATCTCTCTCCCTTTTTGAGAAAATAAATGCATGTTTCTTTTGTATTGGAATATTTTCTCAGTGTCTTAGTTGGGGAGGGGAGCATTTTCCTCATGTCTCTGCTGTAAATTAAAGCAAAAATGAATGAAAAGAATATGATACCTGGTTTCATTCTTTTAAGCCAGTCAAATGTGCTGTTTCTAAAAGCACTGAGACTATATTCCCTTTCTGAGCTTTTTTGAAGGTTTTCTTCAGATACATTCTCTCTCAAATTAAGCTTTCTTTTATTGCAATTTAGTGTACATAAAGTAAATGGCCACATCTACGTGAAGAACATTAGCATTTGAGGACTTACTTTATGCCAGTGAGAGGTGACAGCGTGCTGGCAGTCCTCACAGCCCTCACTCGCTCTCGGTGCCTCCTCTGCCTGGGCTCCCACTTTGGCGGCACTTGAGGAGTCCTTCAGCCCACCGCTGCACTATGGGAACCCCTTTCTGGGCTGGCCAAGGCCAGAGCCGGCTCCCTCAGCTTGCAGGGAGGTGTGGAGGGAGAGGCGCGAGCGGGAACCGGGGCTGCGCGCGGCGCTTGCAGGCCAGCTGGAGTTCCGGGAGGGTGTGGGCTTGGCGGGCCCCGCACTCGGAGCAGCAGGCCGGCCCTGCCGGCCCCGGGCAATGAGGGGCTTAGCACCCGGGCCAGCGGCTGCGGAGGGTGTACTGGGTCCCCCAGCAGTGCCGGCCCACCGGCGCTGCGCTCGATTTCTCGCCAGGCCTTAGCTGCCTCCCCTCGGGGCAGGGCTCAGGACTGCAGGCCGCCATGCCTGAGCCTTCCCCCGCCTCCGTGGGTTCCTGTGCAGCCCGAGCCTCCCCGACGAGCGCCCGCCCCCTGCTCCACGGCGCCCAGTCCCATCTACCACCCAAGGGCTGAGGAGTGCGAGCGCATGGCGCGGGACTGGCAGGCAGCTCCACCTGCAGCCCCGATGCGGGATCCACTGGGTGAAGCCAGCTGGGCTCCTGAGTCTGGTGGGGACGTGGAGAATCTTATGTCTACCTCAGGGATTGTAAATGCACCAGTGGGTACTCTGTATCTAGCTGCTCTGGTGGGGCCTTGGAGAACCTTTATGTCTAGCTCAGGGATTGTAAATGCACCAATCGGCACTCTGTGTCTAGCTCAGGGTTTGTGAGTGCACCAATCCACACTCTGTATCTAGCTACTCTGGTGGGGCCTTGCAGAACCTTTGTGTCAACACTCTGTATGTAGTTAATCTAGTGGGGACGTGGAGAACCTTTGTGTCTAGCTCAAGGATTGTAAACGCACCAATCAGCGCCCTGTCAAAACAGACCACTGGGCTCTACCAATCAGCAGGATGTGGGTGGGGCCAGATAAGAGAATAAATGCAGGCTGCTGAGCCAGCAGTGGCAACCCGATGGGGTCCCCTTCCACACTGTGGAAGCTTTGTTCTTTAACTCTTTGCAATAAATCTTGCTACTGGTCACTCTTTGGGTCCACGCTGCTTTTATGAGCTGTAACACTCACCGTGAAGGTCTGTAGCTTCACTCCTGAAGCCAGCGAGACCACGAGCCCACCAGAAGGAACAAACAACTCCAGATGTGCTGCCTTAAGAGCTGTAACACTCAGCACGAAGGTCTGCAGCTTCACTCCTGAGCCAGCGAGACCACGAACCCATCAGAAGGAAGAGACTCCGAACACATCCGAATATGAGAAGGAACAAACTCCAGACGCGCCACCTTAAGAGCTGTAACACTCACCACGAGGGTCCGCGGCTTCATTCTTGAAGTCAGTGAGACCAAGAACCCACCAATTCCGGACACATCAGTGCTTACTTTATGTTACTATGTCATTTGTTTTCCACATTTTACTTATCATCTGGGTATAATTATCCTCATTTTTTACATTAGGAAATGAGGGAGTTAAGTAATTTGTCCTAGGCACACAACTCATAAATGAGTGAGACTGAATTTCTACCTTCATTTTATATCAAGTTGTTCAATGAAACAAAAAGAAGAACTTAAAGAAAAAAACACTGTAAATAAATTAGCCAGATGCTGGTACTAAGATTGCAAAACAGAATAGATATGCAACACACCACTAAAGAAGATTACTAAATGAAATTAAGGAAAAAAAAATCTGAAGCAGTGTTTGATCACAAGTGAAATATTAGTACATACCTTTCTAGTGGTTGGCACAGAAGTGATGTTGGCAATAGGATTTGAAGAACAGAAGTGATATAATAATATAACATTAAAGTGAAAGAGTGAGTAATCCTTTCAGCAAGTGAGATCCTTATTATAATAATGCCTAATATTGATCATCAGCCTTTAAAAAATTCTAGAATAATTGGAGAGAGTTCAAGAAATACAAACAGAAATAATGAAATTGGCAAAAAATAGTATAATAAGGCACCCAAATTACTTGCTAAAAATGAATATACAAACTAATGAATGAAATTGGCTCTTTATACTAGAACAAAAAAAAATACGAAATGGTGACCTGATTACAATCTTGAAGGATTGAATGGGGTTGTTCTCTGCATCTGTAGAGATTTTTAAAGCGATATTTAAAAGGGGATCTTTTCATGAGATTTTAAGAATAACTCCTCTATCATCAAAATGACACAATAGTGAAATAGAGTGTCATAAGTGGTGGACAGATGTTCATAAATAATTAAGAACAGAATAGAAAATGATTTGTTAGAAATGATTTTGGCTTTTGGGGTCAGAATGCATGGGTCTAGACCATTACTGCCATTGTAACCCTTTCCCCTCACTCAAGGACATCCCGGTTTAATCCACTCATTGTCATAAAAATAAAAATCTATCTCCCATTAAATATCTCAACAGAAGTCCCACTGAATACATCCCTAAGTTTAAAAATTATTGCCCACAGAAATAGTAAATTAATATCAACAACAGTGACAAGTAGCTTCTGTATTTGTCAACGTTCTCTGAGAAACAGAGGTCAAGACTGAATCCAATGTGAAAGAAAATCTTAAGGAAAACACCTGTGACTGAAAATGGGAACAATATTGAAAGAGGCTGGGAGTGCCATCAGATCTCCATGCATTTCTGATCTCAAGTGAAGGAGAGAAGGGAGAAAGGAAGCTTGGGTAGAAACATCTTAGACTGCAGAGCAGTTTTAAAGGAAATTCAGCCAGACTGTTGAGGAGTCCTTCACCCAAAGTCACCTGTCAGAAAGAATCTACCCATCACCTAATCTCCCAGGAACTGTCTGTCTCGGTGTCTTTGCCACAGTCATTAGCACTTACACAGCAATAAATTTCAGAATCACCAGCTTCTACCCTAAATCAGTTTCACTTTCTTCAATGATCTGAAAGGCACTTTCCCATGTCCACCAAAGCCACAGTTACTTATGTCCTAATTTTGTGCCACTCACTGTGTCTAATACTCTGAGACGTGTTGAATTTTTACAAAACTGTTGAATATTCCATCTCTTTGACTCAAAAGCTTTTGCTCCTAACCTCCACTATCTGCCTCCTACAAGACTATTCCACCTCCCTCTATGCCATACCACCCTGATCGCCCTTTAAAAATATCCAGAAGTCATAATTTAGGCTATGATTTAGAGCTATTTGTGTGTGGTTTTCACTGTGATAAAAACAGAAAGAATAGATCAATCTAACCCTTCAAATGCTTAAAAAGTGTACTTTGATGAACAGCACAAATTCCCTTAATAGGTTTGTACAGAATTTGTGACTCAGCATTTTCATGATCGCTACTTACCGGTAGCTATATGTTCATGAAGACCTCTCAATATGTATTACACTCATATTGCTTATATATTCTTGTTGTAGATTTATCTTATTTCTGAAAGTCTTGAACACAACCAGCATTTACCTCCTGTGGATACATGCCTCCTACGTCTTTAAATGTATTTTCCTTTTATCCTTTTCCAATGCTACTTCAATTTCTCATCTTGTATTTTGGTGATTGTTACTTTTATCACTTGCTTTTCAACTTGATCTCATTGAGAAGTTTTACGAATATGCTTTGTGTTCCCTCTGAGCTTTTAAGCAACAAACACTAGGTCTAAGCACCAAATTTGCAAATGAAAATTCCACCAATTATTTGCTTTTTCTGAATATGCCTTTGATTCTCTTCTGGAACATGATTTCATCAACTATCTAATTAACAACAATTGGGTGCTTTGTTTTTTTCAATTTTAAAAATTATTTTTATTAAGGTATACCTTGCATGCAATGAATCAAGCTATTTAAAGTATACTCTGTCATTCTCGCACACAAATGAAGTCATGTAAACACCAGCACAATCAAGGTGTAGAATAGTTTCATCGCCTCCCAAAATTCCCCCATGGATCTGTTGTTAGCTCCTACCCCCACCATCAGCTTCTAATAAACATTTACCTTTCTCCATCTCTGTAGTTTTGGCTTTTCCAGGATAGTATACCAATGGAAGCATATGATATGTAACCTTCATATCTGGCCTCTTTCACTTAGTATAATGAGATTCATATATGTGAACAGCTAGAGATAGGAGAAAATTATATCTGTTGCAGAAAGATTAATTTGGTAAATTTGTTTCATTTAACACATAATCCCCATGATTTATCGAGTTCCTATCCAGGTGTCACACCATGGACTTGCTGCTTTCCATATATCATCCCATTCCATCCTTAGTACAATCCAACAACGACAGTATTATGACATCCATTTACAGATAAAATTGAGGGTCAGAAGATTTAAGTAACTTATTTGGTATCACAGTTAGTAAATAAGTGATGTACAACTCTTAGTCGGAGATGTCCACATTCAAAGTCTATGCATTTTCAATTACATCATTGCTTCAACCTTAACTTTGGCTTAAAATATAATCTAAAGTAACTTTTTTAATGCTACTATATATAAACTTTCATCTGTAAAGCCAAACAGTGTATGTTCCATCTGTAAAAATCACATAGAAATGGCTTTTCTTCTACTGTATCTATTGTAAAACCCAGCTGGTTATAAAAACATTTTTATTCTGTTCTATACTATCTTGTTTCACTATACTAGATGGTCCAAATTTTTATGTTTCAGTTTTAAAATATTCTTGCTATTATTAATAGATCTACTTTTTGGGCAAATTGGCACAAAATCTTTACTTATTTGTTTTGCATCTATTTTAATTATATAAGCATAAGAATGAAACATATTAGGATATTGGATGCATATACCAAAATGGTCTAATGTTCCAGCATTTCAATAACATAATATGTTGATTTCGATTGTGAAGTACTATGTTTAAATCACATAAAGAAAACTCATAGATACTTATGAAATCCAGAAGTTGTTTTATAGACAGTTTGTATAAAATTAACATTGAATCATAAAATTGAACATGATTTTTGTAAAGAACAAAAATTCAGGAAAAATTATTTTAAATTCAGAAAAAAAAGGGAGAAAACCTTTGCACTTTTACATCAGTGCACCTTAGCAATTCACACGGAAGCTCCTTCATTTTTTCCACCCCACCTCATAATCTCTCATACAGAAGTAACTTTAAACAAATTATGTCTGTAGTCTCCATTGATATTATAGCATTGACTTTGGGAGGTATGAATTTAAATCCCAGCTCTGCCTTTATTTTGTGCTTTTGTTTTTTAGTCATGTTCTTTATCTTTTTGAATCTTATTTTCTGCCTAAACTTATTTTCTCTTTCCTTATCTTTATTACTTAAAATATTAATAAACTATCACTGGTAATTTATCATTGTAACTCTATCATTGGTAATAATCAACTCTGTCATTGGTAATTTCAAAGATACAAAATGTTCCACCATTTTGAAACAAAATAGAGAATTTTAAAATATACATCTACATGCATACATATGTAGCCTGAATTTTCCTCTACCTCACAAGCTTCTGGGTATAACATTTAATATGAAGAGTTAAAAGCAAATTTCTTGAAGTGTAGGCCTATTTACACCTCCTCATTCTCCATTTCTCAGGATTTCATGGCTGTCTCCAACAGCTCCATGAATTCTTCAAGACAGTCTTACCTGCACTCATGGATCAATGTGGCCTCTGCGATTCCAAGATCTGCCATACAGTTCATTTAGACCCTTCAGCTCTGTGTTTCTCCATTGCCATGGTTCTCTGCTACTCCAGAGTTTGACATTAATTCTAATGGATTCTAATGGTGCTGTCATAGCTTGGCTGTTTTCTGACTAAGCCATTCAAGTAATAAGTTGAATATGTCTGACCCTATATGAACATTGATCTGTGAGGGTCTCAATGCTGAGCCACTGGGTTTTCCCTACATATATTCATGTCATCATGAATAGGGTGATGAGATGAATTGAGATATCACTGGCTTCCCTATGACCACAACCACTAATTCCTTACAGCCATGAGAACTTATTGCTGAAGCTACTTGCCATGAAACAATTCCTTATTAATTTAAAGCAAGGCCTCAAGCCAGAAAATGGCAGGATTCTATGTGTGCTCTCCCACATCTACCACTACAACCACAAAGCTTTTTCAGACGTAGCTGGGGTGCCTCAACTCAGATTAAGGACATAGTTTTTTAGTTTTTATTTTGTATTGTTTTACCTTCAGTCTCGCATCCATCCATGTAAATTAACAGACACAAGCAGGAGTTTAGTAAGTGTCTCCACAAACTAGATCTATCTGAGTCTCAGCTCCATCCCCATTTAGATCTCTTCTACAGAAATAAGGGCTAAGAATTGATAGTCTATGTAAGATGCTGGGCATTATAGCTATAATATAGTGGGTATTCAGTACATCTGATTTTCCTTTCCTTGCTTGTAGGAGGCAAAGATCCTTCTCATAAAGCACCTTTTCTCATTTTTTAGTGTTCCTTCAGTGATCTTTATCACATTGCTATGCTAAAAATAGTTTATAGGTATTTACTGAGTGAACAAATAAAAGCTTAAGTAAGAATGACAAATAATGTTTAATAGAAAGACAAACAAAATTATTCCTGTGTGAAAATCTTACCACTTAACTGCCTTGTGTCCCATTTTCTAAGATGTATAATGAAATATCAAGATAAAATGATTCATTTCTGGATTCCTTATATTTCATAAAACATTGACTCAATTAGATGAATATAGGTAAAACTTCAAAGCTATAGTCTAAGCAAAGACTTTCAAAGCCTAATCAAAACTCAGAAAAAGATTAAAAGCACATTTTGCAAATAATGATTAACACTATAATTAAAAAGGTGAAATTGTCAATTACACTAAAATCTGTACACAGTACACTAACATTTTTTAAAGTGTTTTGACTATAAAATGAATTTAATTATTCTTGCTTCACCAAATGAAACATTACATTTGCTTTGAAATAGCTTATCTTTTTGTTTTAAATTATTCAGAAAGGTAAGATATATCTCTGGCATATTTTCATTATAAATGTCCAAATAACTTTGTCTTATAAGAAATGTCATCTTAAAATGAACAATTATAAAAGATGAAGGGATTTAATATTTCCATCTCAAAGATGGTTTAAATAGGCTATTTTTATCAAGACTTTGATATTATTATATCAACTTTCTTATGTGATGATCTCTTCATTTAGGCTAATCACACTCTCACAATAAGAGTAAATTTCATCAATCTCCTAAAGAGAAATGTAATAAATATTATAACAACAAGAAAATGTCTTCTTATTCACAGTAACGAGACTCATTCTGGCCTTTGGGTGACGTTGGGTCTTACTCCCTCATATTTGCCTGTGATAGTGTCTGAAATTGATCTGATTCATTCTCTGCCATTCCATGATCAAATTAATCTACATACTTTATAGATCTATTTGGATCACTAGGTTTAAAATTATAAAGAAGATTTATACAGAGAAACCAAATTATCCTGTTTAGAAAACACCTGTGTGTTTATTGATATTGCTTGGTGGTTTGAGGTGATTTACATCAGTATGAATATTGCCTGCTATTCAAATGCAGTCAAATATTTTAGAGGTATATTTCATATTGGTTTCTCCATTTCTATAAATCTTCAGGAAACTGCAGTGTTATTATGGTATTTTAGTTGTTTTAAATTTTTCACAAAATTACTACTTATGGTTTTATTCAATTTCAGACACTCATTCATTGATCTAAGATGGTTAGCATGATTCCTAGGGGCAATTATTTACTAAAAGATAACAGTTAGCTGGTAATTAAGTCCTATTGAATAAGCAGTTCCTAGTGCTAGCTAACTGAGAAATATAAGCTTCTTTTACTAAAGTTCTTGGATAGCCTCTCTTCACAACCCTGTACAAATGATTTATTGGATGTCAAGGACCCTCCTTAGTAGAAACCTAGACATTGGTCCGGGAACAGTTCTAGTTATGTTTTTAAATGTTTTTAAGACTTTGAATTATGATACCTAGATTTCTCTTCTCTCTTTCATCTTATGGACCTCTTTCTCAAGACCCTTTTTCACGGAAGAAACCCCTGTAAATCTAAGTAATGTATACTTTCCTCTAAAGGAGAGACTTAAATCACACTGGTTTCTGCGTAGAAGATGGAAGTACTGTTTGTTTTGTTACAGTCTACCTGGTGTCCAATATTCAGCATCCAAGATGAGTGGATAGGCAAAGGAAATGAAGGACTACATGTCCCTGATTTCAAGCGGGAACATGTTTTCAAGCATAAAAAAGCAATAAAAAACATAGATAGGTCCATGAATTAGTGTTTTCATGTAAATTATGTTCACAAAAATAATAAATTATTTTCAAATTAAAAATTAGAACCATTAGGCACGGTGGCTCACACCTGTAATCCCAGCACTTTGGAAAGCCGAGGTGGGCAGATTACCTGAGGTCAGGAGTTTAAGACTAGCCTGGCCAGCATGGTGAAACCCCATGTCTACTAAAAATACAAAACTTAGCCTGGTATGGTGGCGCACGTCGCTGATCCCAGCTACTTGAGAGGCTGAGGCACAAGAATTGCTTGAACCTGGGAGTTGGAGGTTGCAGCAAGTTGAGATAGTGCCACTGCACTCCAGCCTGGGAGACAGAGTGAGACTCTGTCTCAAACACAAATTAGGACCACTGTAGGCCTTAAAAATAAGCTCTATATACCTATAAATTATCTTCATTTCAAATTAGGAATTCAAATTTATTATTCATAAAAACGAAGATAAATGTGAGCTATTTTAAAAGGATCGTAGGGCATCGTAAAAGGGCAGTAAGGCAGTATCAAAAAATTAATGTCTAATTTTAAATGTTTTTACAGAAAAATGTCTAAAAAGCTATTTTATAGTTATTGATTACTTTCTAAGCTATTAAAATGATAGTTTTTAAGCTGCTAGTGATTTTCACATAAAAATAAATACATACTTATATTTACGTTTTAAATATTTTAACATATTTTAAATATTATCACTTTTGACTAAGGATTAATGTCAGGAGCCAGGATAACTGTGCCTTTTGAGCTTTCAATTCTCAGTTTTTCATTGTCAACCATTATCCATAACTCTGTGAGTAAATAAGATACAACCATGAAACAAAAACAAGTTATTTGTGTAAGACTTGTCCACAAGGCCAACCATTGAAAAATGGAAGGGCTGAATAACAGGGCTTTTTGTTTCAACGTTATTCAGTGTTCATCCATTTTATATGGAAGCATCTACCATACCAAGCAATATCTAGATGCTGAAGATTCAATAGTGAACAAGACAGAAAGCCCATCCTGACATATCACATCTGGGGGCTTAAAAGCATCAAAATACAATGTGATGAATGATGTTCAGAGGTATGTTTAAACAGGCATGAGATAGATCAGAGTGGATGGAGCCATACATAATTCTAGGGAAAGGTTTCACAGAGGAAGACGCACTTGGGCTGAATCTTTTTTTTTTTAAGTAAATTTTGTAAAAATTTTCTCCCACTCTGTAAACCCAGCAATCCCATTATTGGGTATATACCAAAAGGAATATAAATCATTCCATTACAAAGATATATGCACACCTATGTTCATTACACTATTCACTATAGCAAAGACATGGCATAAACTCATATGCCCATTAATGATAAACTGGATAAAGAAAATGTGGTACATATGCACCATGGAATACTATACAGTAATAAAAAGGAACAATATCATGTCCTTTGCAGGGACATGGATGCAGCTGGAAACCATTATCCTCAGCAAACTAATGCAGGAACAGAAAACCAAACACAGCATGTTCTTACTTAAAAGTGGGAGCTGAACAATGAGAACACACGGTCACAGAGAGGGGAACAACACACACTGGGGCCTGTTGGGGAGTGGGGTGGAGGGAGGGAGAGCACTAGGAAAAAAAGCTAATGCATGCTGGGTTTATTACCTAGGTGATGGGTTGGATAGGTGCAGCAAACCACCATGCCACATGTTTATCTATGTAACAAATCTGCACATCCTGCACATGTATCCCATAACTTAAAATAAAAATTTAAAACTAAAAAAAATGTAAATTTTTTGTTTTTCAAATCATAAAAATAATCAAAACTCATTAAAAAATTGGAAAATATAGAAATGTAAGAAGAAATAAGAAAATACAATCTTTATTAACATTTTGGTTCAATGTTTTTAGTGCAAAGGGGGGGCTTATATTTTATGTAGCAAAATTCAAGGTGTGTATAAAATGTTTCAAAATAGCACTATGCCATAAGTAAGTGCTTATCTTATCATATAGTATTGTAAGCATCATTTTTTTTCAGAAACTTCTTTTTAATCAAAGAGCAATCCATACATGTCACAGAAAATACTAAAAGCATATTAGAAAAATTTAAATCATCTGAAGTGTTTCCAATGTTCCCATGACCTGTTTTTCCTTGTTTCTGTTTCTACATTTAATTTGGCATGTTGGGACATAATTTACATAAACATCCTCCCATAATTTGTTGATTTTTAATATTTGGCTATTTTAAATACTTCAGAGAGGAACATCTTTGTTCAGAATTTTTTTCACATTTGGGATTATTTCTCAAAAGTATATTATGAAATATAGAATTGCTGAGTGATATGGTTTTGCTGTGTCCCCACTCAAATCTCATCTTGAATTCTAGCTCCCATAATCCCACATATTGTGGGAGGGACCCAGTGGGAGTTAATTGAATCCAGGGAGTGGGCTTTTCCCATGCTGTTCCATGATAGTGAATAAGTCTCACAAGACCTGATGGTTTGATAAAGGGCAGTTCCCCTGAACACTCTCTTGTCTGCAGTCATGTAAGACATGCCTTTGCTCCTTCTTTGCCTTCAGCCATGATTTTAAGGCTTCCCCAGCCATGTGGAACTGTGAGTCCATTAAATCTCTTTTTCTTTATAAGTTACCCAGTCTTGGGTATATAGCAGCATGAAAATGGACTAATACACTGGGCTACAGAGAAACTGGCATTTGCAGGATACATAGACTTGTCAGTGGATTTGGGTGCAGGGATGGGAAGAAGAATATAAACTTCCCAGGCAGAGGAACAAACATCCCCAATTCATGAAGATTCAGGTCTGTAGCTGCCAAACAAGCTTGGCTGGGCTGATGTACAGCTCACTCTTTGATTTAAGGTCTCAGAATGAGCCCTCCTCCAGTGTCTCAAGTTGTTCCATGCTGTTCAGGTGTATAAAATCATATTACAAATGCTGAGAACTTCCTCATCTTGTAGAGATGTTAACATTGTAATTACTGAAAGTTATTAGTAGGCCAAGCCACTGAAAATGACCTATAAGACCAGCTGTGGTTAAGTGGAAAACATAAAAGGCCTGCTGATTATAGAAGGCAAAATTTTCTCAGGGCCTCAAATAATGATGAATAGTCAGATTGCCTAATTAAGGTCACAAAAAATAATATAATCTGTAAGGTCTCACCAATTCTAAAATTCCATGTGGCAAAAATAACATTTAATGGTTTCCCTCACTATAATTCTGCTAGATACCTGGCCAGTATAATTACTTCTACTGCAAATTCTTTCATGAAATGAGGTTTGTTGCATATAAATAAATGAATAGATAGATAAGCCTATCAGCAGACGGGGTTTTAAAAATATTCTATATAATTTGCATCTCATTGAAAGACAAGGGAAATTGTTATTCAGAGCAATCTATGTAGAGTACCAGTATAAAAATTCTAAAATCATGCTGTTTTTATATCCTTTCAATTTTTGTGTGAATCGGTGTCTTCCAAGCAGCCTGCAGCTGTGATAAAGGACCCATTAAATTTTTTTATGAAGTCCACACTTTATTTGCTAAATGGGAAACTGGGGAATAGTAACTACATTGAAGCAAGTAGTACTCATCTTACCCTGTAGACCATTTTTTCCCAATTTCCTTAGAACAGATTTGTATTAAGGAGTTTAATGAACAGAAGCTACTATATTATAGCATTAGTTTTCAGGGAGTACACAGACTGCATATGAACTGTTAGAATTACCAGGAAGCCTCAATCCCTAAATGCCCACAAAGTAACCTTTCCATCAAATTTCCCAGTTTCCCCGTTTTTCCTGCAATTCCAATGAGTAGACCAATTAAGACTTCCTCTCAAACCTATTCTCTTTGAATGTTTTAATATATTCATTTCCATAGAATGAGAATGACCGTTTACCCTGACCAACAGTTCTATTGTCCCAGTATAATTATTAATAGTGCCCAGCTTCCCTCAAAAATTTGGATGAGAAATGATATGCTCATCCTGCATATAAATGACCCTTACAAATATCTGGGGAGGAAGTTAGACAAAACAATACATTTGGAAATTTAACCACTCTCCACTCTATATGCAAAAAAAATGCTCAGTAAAATGAATCTAAAGAACTAAAATCCTATCTGAGCAAAAAGGCAAGAAAGCAAAATATCTAAGTGCCAGAAGGAGAAAAAGAAAACCCACAGACTTAAAGGTAATATTTGAAACCCTGTGGCTACCTGCCAAGGTCTTTGAACCATATATAAATCCAAGAACTGGAGTTTTGATGTCAGCGATGGGATAAAATTTGGTATCAGAAAGCCAGGATGGGATCCTTTCATTAAAATAAAACCTGGAAAAAAGTTAACTTGCCCACAAATAGTCATGGGAAATTTTCTACCAGCTGGTACAGATCTTTGGCATGAAGGCCATCTGTGGAAACTGAATGACTGAATAGAAATCCGAGCACAGCATTTTTTAGAATACATGTATTTGAACCACATTTACAAAACCCAGGTTGGATAGAAACCCCAAGAAACAACTCTCTAAAACTGCCCCCAACCAGAGATCTCCACAATGTGAAGAACTTGTCATTTTCACAGGATATTTTTCATAGAAACCCAGGTCATAAACAAATGTCATAAAAATTGGAGCAAGTCTAACACCAAGAAAGATTGATTAGAGACCCGAAAAGAAGATAATTGAACTGAGAAACTCAAAAGAGAAATCAGACAGAATCTTTAGAAGTATATGTAAATTGTTCAGAGAGATAAAGTTATGCCAAACACAAAATAAGATCATGATACAGAAACAACTAGATTTGGGAATGAAACAAGTATGAATCTTTGAATTATTTTAAAAGTTGTGGAAATTTTTTAAAAAAATTAAAAATTATAAGTTGATTAGACAGGGTGAAAAGGTAATTAATGAAGACAAATAGAAAAAAAGTCAGAAAGACTTGTAAAGGTATAAAAGAAATAACGGGATTCACAGTGAAACATTTGAATTTGAATCTTGACTCCACCATTTACTACCTATGACCTTGAGAAAGTCACTTAATTTGTATTTCATTTCTTCATCTATGTATTTAGAATAATAATGTACCTATTATGCTGTTTCTATGAAGATGAAATGAAACATGTATAAGCCATACAATGCATTGCCTGCATTGGCTATTTAGCTAACCAAAGAGTATTCTTTTCCCTTTCTCTCTTCTCTTAACAACTGTTTGCTGAGTTCTTATTTAAATACTAATAAAGAAAATATTTACGATGTAATGAATGTCTACTATACATACCATTCTTTACATTCATTTGCACAATAACAAACCAGATAATTTATATGATTAATAAATCATTTTATAGAATAAAAACTGAGACAGGTAAAATAATTTAAAAGCCTCAGGTGACAATAGATAGCATACACAGATATTTGACCCAGGAGAATTATATATCAAACCTTACTATATTAACCCCTGATTCTTTTACAGTTATCTTTCAGGAACCAGAAAAAATGATCAATTATTCAGTCAATTTCCCCTGGTATAGGCCTGGCAGACAGAGGATCAGGAAGTGTCAGGCTCTAAAACAGCCTAGTGCTTAAGGGTAGATCTCATAAATCCCACCAGAGCTCTCCTTTGTTACCTCACTAGCTTAGCTGACATCCTTTTCTTGGAGACATAGAGGCTGAGATATAATTAGAGATGGTTCTAATTAAACGTGGATTTTTTTTCTTCAGAACCAGTTTACAGGGTTGGACATACAATTTGGTGACTTTATTTCAGCTTCATAAGCTCTTTTTAAACATGTGATAAGATTTTATATTTTATGTTTAGAAAGGGCATCATTTTACAAAATAAAGTGAAATAGCACTTTATCACATCAGCTATTTTCAAGGAAACAGTAAGGCGTTGCTTCTTCAGTTAAAAAACAAAATTCCTAAGCATGACATTTTTTATATAATGGTTTCTAGGAAAAACCAGATGAGGGCATTTTAACTCATTTTTTCAAAATTCAAGAGAAAAATAAGAAAATAGTGTAATTATGAGAAAACACGATTTATATGTCTTTTTAGATCCAAGCCCCTAACAGTGCTTTGTACATGAGTTGTGTTCAATAAATATTTGTTGAATTGTTTCAAAGTAAGATTTTTTTTTCAATTTGCTTTGGGGTCTTTAAATTAAATTTCCCCCAAATAATTAAAATAGAAATATAATCTTTCTGTTCTAATACTGGTATTACCGCTTAGTAACATGAGAACATATATTCTGTCTGCTTTATATACAGTTCTGATATATAAAATTGTCAATTCATTTTGCCAGATAACAATAGCACGAGTAGGCCGGGCGCGGTGGCTCACGCCTGTCATCCCAGCACTTTGCGAGGCCGAGGCGGGTGGATCACGAGGTCAGGAGATCGAGACCATCCTGGCTAACATGGTGAAACCCCGTCTCTATTAAAAATACAAAAAATTAGCCGGGCGAGGTGGCGGGCGCCTGTAGTCCCAGCTGCTCAGGAGGCTGAGGCAGGAGAATGGCGTGAACCCGGCAGGCGGAGCCTGCAGTGAGCCGAGATCTCGCCACTGCACTCCAGCCTGAGCGACAGCGAGACTCTGTCTCAAAAAAAAAAAAAAAAAAAAAAAATAGCACGAGTAAGTGTTTGGAGTGATTTGCAAACATCATTGCTGTGCTTTGAATGTTTGTATCCTTTCCAAAATTCATGTTGAAACTTAAATCCCCAGTGCAGCAGTGTTAAGAAGTGGGGCCTTTAGAAGGTGACTAGGCCGTGAGGGCTCCGCTCTTACGAATGAGATTAGTGCCTTTTTAAAGGGCTGGAGGGAACTAGCTGGGTCCTTTGTGCCCTTCTGAGCCTTCTGAACCTTTCGCCATGGGGACACAGTATTCATTCCCTCTGGAGGATGCAGCAACAAGGCATCATCCTGAAAGCAGAGACCTTGCCAGACATGGAACTTGCCAGCACCTTGATCTTGGACTTCCAGCCTACAGAAATGTGAGAGGTAAATTTCTGTTATTTATAAATTACCAAGTCTCAGGTATTTTGTCATAGCAACACAAACTAAGACATATATCTGAATTGCAATAATGCTAACATTTATATATCTGCTATTCATTGCCTTCTAAGGGAGCACTAGATTGATCTAGTTCTTCAGATCTATAAAAATGATTTTTATAATTTTCTTTATTAACTGATCAATATTGTATCTCCTACTGTGAGTATGATCAAGGCTTGTTATAATTGGAAGTTACCCTGACACAAGTACAAAATATCAGCTCAAACTGGGAAATATAATCATTTGATATAACTTGTATGCTTTTAATTCTGGACATTAACTTGTATGATTCATTTACTCCATCAATGAATAAATATCTAATGAATTTTAACTATATATGAGACTCTAAGTTAGGCACTACAAATACATCTAGAGATAAGATGTAGACTGTAATCATATAGTTTTACTGTTGAATTGTGAGACAAGTAAGGAAACAAGGTATTAAAATACAATAGGATGAGTCCCACCTACTTGGGAGGCTGAGGCAGGAGAATCACTTGAACCCAGGAGGTAGAGATTGCAGTGAGCTGAGGTGGCGCCACCACACTCCAGCCTGGGCTACAGAGCAAGACTCCATCTCAAAGTAAATAAATACAATTGGATGAACACTATTATAGGGACTAGCACAAAGTTTTGTAGGAGTCCTGGAGGCACAGTACACACAAAGGCATCCTGAGAAGTGACACTTAAATCTAAAAGGACACTAGGAGATAAACAATGGGAATAGGGAAGGGTAAAGACACTCCAAGTGGAAAAGAAAAAGGAGTTCCTATAAAGAAAAGGAAGCACAAACAAGATGCATGAGTTGAAGTTCAATTTTGGCTGTGATAGATGCTCAAGAGGGAAGCACTGGCTGTGGTGGGAAGATCATTTCCATGACACTATAATAAGGCTTTGGCCATTGTATTTTCAGGGCAACTAGAAAACTTTAAAAGTATCGGGTGGTGTGATGGTCAGTTTTATGTGTCAACTTTGCTAGTCTATAGTCTTTGATCATTCAGTCAAACATTAATCTAGGTGTTGCTGTGAAGGCATTTTACAGTTGTCAGTAAAGTCTATAATCTGTTACTTTGTGTAAGGAAGATTATCCTATATAATACAGGTGGGACTGCTTTAATCAGCTGAAAGGCCTTAGGAGAAAAACTGAAACTTCCCCAAATAAGAACAAATTCCACTTTTGAACAGCAGCTTTGGCTTATGCCTCAGTAAATGAGAGGTTAATGTAAAGACAGGGGGATGATGGGAGAAAGATCAGAAAGCAACTCAGCAGCCACAGCAAGGTCTCAGGGAGAGCTGGAATATTGTTTAGCATGCAAGGGAGCTCTGGCACTCTGATTTTCTGGGTTTTTTTGTTGTTGTTGTTATTGGTTTTTGTTTGTTTGTTTGTTTGAGAAGGAGTTTCGCTCTTGTTGCCCAGACTGGAGTGCAATGGCGCGATCTCAGCTCACTACAACCTCTGCCTCCCGGGTTCAAGCAATTCTCCTGCCTCAGCCTCCCAAGTAGCTGGGATTACAGGCACGTGCCACCACGCCCAGCTAATTTTTATATTTTTAGTAGAGACGGGGTTTCACTGTGTTGGTCAGGTTGCTCTGGAACCCCTGGCCTCAAGTGATCTGCCCGCCTTGGCCTCCCAAAGTGCTGGGATTACAGGTGTGAGCCACTGCGCCCAGCCCTGATTTTTCTAATACCACTTCATCACACCCCACCCGGAAAGCTGGCAATTCTAATGTTCTGCCATAACGATAGCCCAGTCACTGGGTTGTGCTTCTTATGTTAATGACCGCCTCTCCTATTAAGCTCTTCAAGAGAGCATTACCATCAGTGCTGTGGCCTTCCAGGCAGCTAGAGGTTTCTTTGTGCTCCTTACTTCCCCTCCTGTTGGCCTCCCCTCACTCCAGCCCCTCTTACATCAAAGCTAGGAAAAGGAGGAAGAACCGGAAGGGCCTGATTTGAAGAGAAGTTCTGTCTACTTTCTGTATGTGAAACACTTTTTTTTAAACTAAAATATTAGCTTAGTGTGTTGTGGCTCACAGTGTTCCTCCATCCATGGGACTGATGATGTAGCAAGGCCGGTTTTCTCCTTCAGAGTCTCTCTCTCTCTCTTCCCCACCTCCATCTCTTTCTCCCTCTCTCTCTCTTTTACCCCATCTTCTTCATTTCTTCTCCTATTAATAGCTCTTTTTTCACCATTGTGCATGAGAGGTAAGAGGGTTAGAATTCTTTCATGTAATGTAAGTTTTTTGTCTTCTGGCCACTTTTGAAGGGCCTCTCCTCTACCATGTGGCCATGAAGCTTGCAGCTACTAGTCTGGGAAGGTCTGGGTGACCTAGGCCACCTGTGGTGTAGAAGCTGGAGTAAGCAGGCTCTTCCTCTGTAAATGCCTAACACTGTGGAGCAACCACTATGTGGCAGGCATTAGGGCTCTGGGCTAAATGCTTTACTTGCATCTTCTTATTTAATTCCCATAGCAACCCCATGACGTCGACAGTTTGATTATTCACATGGCATGTAAAGGACACTGCTTGGTTTGAGGCTACGTGAGCTTTCTTAGGAGTGGGAAAATATAAACTTCCATGTAGTCTATGCTAGCTCCTTCCAGATATTTAGAATAAAATCTCTGGATAATCAGATATAGTGATTTACTTTGATTTGACCTTTCTTATCTTATATATGTTTCAGAACTTCACAAGGAAAAATAACCACTGAAGGACTCTATTTGAGTATACACTATATAGTAATATAGTATGCACACTATATAGTGTATATTATAAACTGTTATACTATATTACACTGTATAGTAATATATACACACTATATAGTGTATACTATAAACTATTACACTATATTACTATGTAGTGTATATGGTGTATTTTACTATATTACTATATAGTGTATATTATAATTTTATATACATGTATATACACAATTTTATATACATGTATATTTACATCTATACACATATTACATTTACAATACTGTATACATATGTATATACATGTAGTATATAGTGTACACTCCAATATTATGTACATGTATTTACATATGTATATATGTATATAATATGTATGTACATATGTATATTCATATTATATACATATATGCATACCTAGTATATACATATGTATATATGCATATGTATATAATAAAGATGTACACATACTTATTATATGTGTGTTATACTGTATACTATATACTAGTATATTTTACAATATACTATACTATATACTACTACATACTATATATATTATATTCTCTACATATCTATATAGTATATACTAATACTATATACTACATACACTATATAGTGCATGAGACTATATCCTATATTACTAGTACATATACTATATATGATATTACTAGTATATATACTATATATAAATATATGGTATATACTATATATGTACTACATAGATGTATATGTATATACTACATATACACATATGTATTATATTATATATACTATATATGTACTACATATATAGTATGTATACTATAAGTTATAGTTTATATAGTTTATAGTATATATATATACTATATATAAAGACACAGTTTTACTATTTTCAGGATGATTTCCTGCATGTGTGTGTATGTGTATATATATATATACTACATATATATATATGTAGTAATATACTATATATAATAGAATATATAGTACATTACACTATATACTATATTACTAGTATATATATACTATATATACTGTACAATCTCTTCAGATTATTTTTATCTATTGTAGCTATAAGGTAGAAATGCAGTATATAATGGTGTGTCAAACCAGCTACCACCAGTGGTCCTCAAACTTTAATGTGCATCAAAGGTACCTGAAGAGTTTTGTTTCTTTTAAACACAGACTGCTTGCAAGGCCTCACACCCAGAGGATCTGATTTAGTAGGTCTTGATGGGGCTTGCAAACTGTCGATGTCAAGTGGACAGGTATTATGATGTTGTGGGTCATCATGTTGTGGATCAGGTGCTATGATGTTGTGGCCCAGGTGCTAAAAGTGTGAGATGACACTTTTAGAGTGACAAGTGTAAACCAGCTCAGGAAATAATTGTTATTGTCTAAATTTAAAGATAAGTGTATTAGTCTGTTTTCACACTACTATAAATACATACCCAAGGCTGGGTAATCTATAAATAAAAGAGGTTTAACTGACTCACAGTTCTGCATGCCTAGGGAGGCCTCAGGAAACTCACAATCATGGCAGAAGGGGAAGAGGCACGTCTTACATGGCAGCAGGTGAGAGCGAGCAAGCAAGAGTAAGGAAAACTGCCTTATAAAACCATCAGAGCTCGTGAGAACTCACTCACAATCAGGAGATCAGCATGGGGGAAAACATCCCCATGATCCAATCATTTCCCACCTGGTCCCTCCCTCAACATGGAGAGGATTATGGGGATTACAATTCAAGATGAGATTTGGGAGGGGACATAGAGCCAAACCACATCAATAAGGAAACTGATTTAGAGAGTTCAGGCTTCATATTCATTCTCACCTAGTAGATACACATACTAATTATTTACGTCTCAAACACATATTTTCATATCACAGCTATTTCGTGACCACAATAAGTCTTGACATAGAAAACTGAAGTTACTGCATGCAGCAAATCATCCTGAGAATAGTAAAACGTTAGTGTGTCATTTTTAATGACAGAGATACACAATTCATATGTCTATTTGTAAATAACATTCTTAGCCATTTAATTTGTCATTTATAGAGTCATCTACATTAGAGAATTTATGCTTATTATAATAGCTATGAAATTCCTCTATTTCTTTTCTTTACAAATGAAGAAGCTCATACAAGCTCATAGATAATCATGATTGCCCAAATCATGTTTATATGATTACTATTGCAAGATTAAAAATTATTTTACATTGATCTGCCACAAAGCATAACTTGTTTTATCACAAAATACTTCCAAATACAGAAGTAAGTTCTAATACAGAATAAAGTACATGATAAATAAGTGAGAAGGACTTCCATTTTCTCAAACCACTGTTAGCCTTAAAGCAAGAGTAACTGGCCTCTGGCTTCTTCCATGGAATCATCACGTAATTTCTCAGTCATTTTTTTAATGTCTGTGAATTCTCTTCTTACAATCATGCTAGTCGGTTTTATGGCAGTTCTCAACAATGAAGCATCAGTATAATCAAGCATTATTTAAATTTCTTGGGGGAAAAAAGTGTGACATAAAATTCAATTTCTTTTTTTACCACTCAGGCTAATAATATCTCAACCTTCAATCAGACCCCAGATATCAGAGACCAAAAGTACATGTGGGTGGTTTTTTCTTTTCAAAAGGGAAAGGCTTAAAAGGGCAAGTCACAGAAACAGCAAGAAAAATGAGAACAGTCTCTAAAATGGAGATAGTTTTAGTTTTATACATTACTAATTAGATCAGGGCAATATTAATTTGTTAGGTGGTTCTGCATTAAGTACCATGGTAGACACTGAAGAGAGATAAACAAACGATGGCCCATGGGAAGCCACAATATTGTAGGACTGACTTAAAACAGGTCTCTAACTGAATATAATCCATGTCGGATTCAGATTCAGATACATGGAGAAAGAGATATAAAAATTAAAATAGTTTTACCAAGTTAGTAATATTGTGAGGGAGGGGTTTATTTATTTTATACTCTTATTGCTCAGCTTTCTCTTAAGTGATAAGAAAGAGGAAAATGATGTGTATGCCAGTAGAGAAGTTACTGAGCCAGTCTATGTGGATCTCAGAAGATCCTCAGAAAGGATTCCTGAGATATTTGAATTGAAGTCTTTAGAAAGGACTCTAGGGACATTTCAAAATGGACCGGAAGTTCACTAAGTGGAGAAGCCCAACTGTTTCATCCACAGGAACTAGGAAGAAGTGGCACACAGAGATGGAAAAGTGTGAGTCCAGAGATGGGAGAGGAGCCTTATTTCATCAGAGCAGTGACCTCAAAACTTTCATCATGCCACTTCCACATTTCTGCCTTATCTGTTACTACCTGTGCTCACATTTATGAAATATATTCTATATTGCTACTTAATTTTAAAAATATTTAAAAGGAGACACTGTGTCACTAAAATGAATTGGGTAACAGTATCTCTCAACATGAATAGAAAATCACTTAATAAATAAACGCAATAAAATTTTGACCCTTCATCTTGATGGAATGGAATGATTCCAAGAAGGCTTCCTCATCCTGGGCTCCGGTGGTGCTCAAGGT
This sequence comes from Homo sapiens, assembly GCF_000001405.40. Classification (NCBI taxonomy): domain Eukaryota; kingdom Metazoa; phylum Chordata; class Mammalia; order Primates; family Hominidae; genus Homo; species Homo sapiens. Next base: position 225,208,440 of record NC_000002.12, on the reverse strand, counting down.
CATGCCCTTCTCTAATTCTTCTAATTCACTTCTTTGTTTTGTGTAAGCTAAAGGACTGCATTTGAAATTACGTTCCAGGTCAAACACTGTTTCTTGCTAGTCTGGCTGCTTAAAACTAAGCATTCCCTCCTGAAATCCCTCTGCAATTCGATGAGCTGCCTAAACATTTCTTCCTACCACCACCAAGTCCACATTTCAGAAGCACTGAGCTGGATTGTTTGGTACATGAATAAAAACCAGAAATCTTGAAAATGAAGTATGGGCCAAATTGTCCATGACCTTCAATATCTTTTAAAGATAAAGCCATCAGATGTTTGTGTATAAATATTCTCAAGCAATCCCTTTTCCATTCATATTACACATTTTTTAACCATTCATTTTTTCTAGGAAATACTACATGGATTTGAAAATATAGGTATTTGAGTGTTGGGTATTTTTGAAAAATCACTAAAATGCCATCGATGGTTGTTTTTTTAAAAAAAAAACTTCTTGTTTGTTCATTTGTTTCAAATTTAAATCTAAATTTATGTGGGTACATCTCATGGGACCACTGAAATCCTTAGACATTCACTACTATCATCCTGGATCTTAACACATATGTAAATAATAAGTGCAAGAGAATGAGCAAATAGCTGTAAAGCATCTATTATGTAAAAATATAGTATCAATAGCTTGTCTTTTAACATGAGTACATAATCGCTAGTTAGTAAATGGTGAGACTGATTAGGTCATCATTTTTAAGAATGTTTGAGAAAAACTGCCCTCACACACAATACAAAAAAAAAATCCGTAAACTGATGTACTGATTAACCATGGCCATGTGAAAAAGAAAGTAGCTCATCATTTCTGTCCAAGAAAAGAGACCTCTGACTCCTTACATTGATTTACAAGAATTTTCCTCGTTTCTAAATCCAGTTTCTACATACAAGATACAAAAGCATGAAATAAGTCAGAAATCTGGCTTAAGTTTTCTTTCAATCACGATTTGGTGAATTTTTTTAAATGTCAAATGATTAAGTAATGCAGAAATAGCACAATATAATAAGGGTTCTTTAAGAAGTCATAATCAACCATGTGTTTGCACATGAACTTTACAGCTGACTACCCTCTACAGCCCATAGAATTTCAGATCTTTAGTTTTATTCAAATTTCCTATGGAGTGTTTAAGTGATGGATGTGTCTGGGACATTTCAACCAATCTTCCAAGGCTCCATCTGCCAGGCCATCTGGATTTTGCATCCACAGAGAACTACTTGGTGAATGATTATAGACTATGACTTAAAAAAAAGAAAGAAAAAGATAATAGTAAATTGTAACGTAAACACAAATGGAACAAAAATCATTTCTGTTCAGTCTTTTATAAAAGGAAAAGTTGGCAACTCAGGAAGAGAAAAGCACTTTATGTTTCCTTTCCCTCATCATCCACATAAATTACAGTAAGTGCTTGACCTTTTTCTGTAAGATGTTTAAATGGCAGCTGTTATGGCTGCAGTATACCATTTGGGCAAAAGCTTTTGAGGACAATCGTTTGTTTTGCAAAGGTCATATTTTTTATATACTTGTGAATGTGTTCAAAAGGCTTACTAACTAAATATAAAACATTTTTCATTGAGAATAAATTATATAACAACTTTAAAATTAAATGTAAGCCAAAAAAACTACAGTGGATACTTTAAGAGAACTTTGAAAGTCCATTTCAAAACTTGTATAGAATATTCTTTAAAACAAATTAACTGGGGTTCATAGAAAATATGTAGTAAATATATGCTTAATGATTTATTAAAATTCCTAATATAGAAACAAGATACTAGTTAAATCTCCTTATACATAACATAAAACATGTAGAAGTATTTAAATATAAGAATATGTATCTACTGGTAGAAAAAAGGAAAGAAGAGTTGGTGTTTTCTCATTATGCTTCCCATACCAGCCCCTTCTTCACTCCTATGTTAAAGAGGAAGCTGCAACTTAGACAATTTATGTCACTATCAGCCTAACAAAATCTAGAGTAACTGTGCAGATAATGCTAACTGATTGGTCTTTCAAAAAAATAGTTGTGTTTTGTTTTATTGTGTCAGGCTTATGGAGGTATAACTCTCATGCAATAAAATTCACCCTTTTGAAGTATGTAATTTGGAAAGCTTTGGCTAATATATATAATTGTGTAACCACCACAACGATCAGTATATAAATCATTTTCATCAACTAAGAAAGTTCCCTTCTGCCCCTTTGCAATCAATTCTCTCTCCCCACGCCAGCCATTTGGCTTTGTATTTGTGTTCTCTATAGTTTTGCCCTTTCTAGACTGTCGTATAAATGAAGCCCTTCAATATGTAATCCTCTGTGTCTAGCTTCTTTCCATTAGCATAGGCTTTTGAGATTCATTGATGCTGTTGCATGCATCATAGTTGATTCCTTTGTATTGGTAAGTACTATTCCCCAAATTGGGTACACCAATTATTTACCTATTCACCAGCTGAGGGACATTTGGATTCTTTCTAGTTTTGGGTGATTAATTTCCATAAACATTTGCGTACAAGTCTTTAATTATAATTACTGTATTAGCCCATTTTCATGCTGCTGATAAAGACATACCCAAGACTGGGCAATTTACAATTGAAAGAGGTTTAACAGGACTCACAGTTCCATGTGGCTGGGGAAGCCTCACAATCATCATGAAAGGCAAGGAGGATAAAGTCATATCTTGCATGGATGTTGGTAGGCAAAAAGAGAGAACTTGTGCAGAGGAACTTCTCTTTTTAAAACCATCAGATCTCATGAGACTTATTTACTATCACGAGAACAGCACAGGAAAAAACCTGCCCCCATGATTCAATTACCTCCCACTGGGTCTCTCCCACAACATGTGGGAATTCAGGATGAGATTTAGGTGAGGACACAGCCAAACCATATCAATTACCTACGAGTAAGATTGCTGCATCATTTGGTAAGTGTACATATAATATTATGAGAAATTGCCGAATTGTTTTACAATGTGGCTGTGTCATTTTGGGTTCTCATCTGCAATTCATTAGCGTTCCAGTTATTCTCACATCCTCATCAGGACTTGGTATTTGCATTATTTTAAAATTTTAGCCATTCTAGTAGATGTGTAATCTCAATCAAAATTTCAGGCTTTTTAAAATAGAAGTTGAAAAGTTTAATAGAAGTTGGAAAGTTGGCTGGGCGCAGTGGCTTATGCCTGTAATCCCAGCACTTTGGGAGGCTGAGGCAGGTGGATTGCCTGAGGTCAGGAGTTCGAGACCAGTCTGGCCAATATGGTCAAATCCCATCTCTACTAAAAATACAAAAAATTTAGCCAGACATGGTGGTGCATGCCTGTAATCCCAGCTACTCAGGAGGCTGAGGCAGGGGAATTGCTTGAACCAGGGAAGTGGAGGTTGCAGTGAGCCAAGATAGCGCCACTGCACTCCAGCCTGGGTGACAGAGTGAGACTCTGTCAAAAGAAAGAAAGAAGGAAGAAAAGAAAGAAAAGAAAGAAAGAAAGAAAGAAAGAAAGAAAGAAAGAAAGAAAGAAAGAAAGAAAGAAAGAAAGAAATTGCTGAAACAATTTTGAAAAAGAAGAAAAAGTTGGAGGACTCATATTTCTGATTTTGAGATTACAGAAATCATTACTGTGTGGTTTGGGCATCAGAAAGAACATATAGATCAGTGAAACAGAACAGAAAGTTGAGAAACAGACCTACAAAAGTATGTTCAATTGATCTTTGGCAAAGATACCAAGGGAATTCAATGAGGAAGAGATAGTCTTGTCATCATATGGTACTGGAACAATATTTTTTAAAATCCTTTTTTATTGCTGTGTAGTATTCCATGGTATATATATATACCACATTTTCTTTATCCAACCCACCATTGGCTGGCACAAAGCAGATTAAAACAGGAACAGAAAACAAAATACCACATGTTATCACTTATAAGTGGGAGCTAAACATTGAGCCCACATGGACATAAACATGGGAACAATAGACACTATGCACCATTAAAGGGAGAAGGAAGGAGGGTGGCATGGGTTGAAAAACTCCCTATTGGGTACAATATACCCAGGTAACAAACATGCACATGTACCCTCTGCATCAAAAATAAAGGCTTAAATTAAAAAATTCTTATCTCACATCATATATTAATTGACTTAATATGGATCGTAGCTCTAAACATAAAAGCTAAAATTGAAAAACTTCTAGGAGAAAACTTTATGCCATCAGATTAAGCGAAGGCATTTTAGATAGGACACAAAAATTGTGAAATATATAAGAAAAACAAAGATAGCTTGGAATTCATCAACAATTAAAAACTTCTGCCCTTCAAAAGAGATCATTAAGAAAATGAAAAGACAGTGATAGAGTGAAAGAACATATTTACAAAATGCATAGCTGATAAGAAATTGTGTACAAAATACATAAAGAATTCTTACAACTCATCAAGACAAACAAATTAGTAATAAATATGAGCAAAAGATGTGCACAGACACTTCAACAAAGAAGATACATGGATTGCAAATGAGCATAAGAAAACATGTTTAATATCATAGTCATTAGGGAAATTCAGGTTAAAACCACAGAAAGATACCATTGTAAATTATTTTTAAAATATTTTGTTTAGAGGATAAAGTAATTAAAATATTTTTGGGAGAATTTAGATCTGTACTTTTATTTTGTGCATTTGAAATGAAACATTGACTAGAAAATGATTTAGAAAAAAGACAGCTTTTTTCATTAATATATTGCATAATTATCTATAAACACAATTAAGACACCTATAGAATATTTTTAGTCCAGATTTCAAGAGGATGTTCTTGTTCTTTATGCTTTTTATTCTTATTTTCTTTTTTATTACATATAGTAAATGTCAAATTAGACTTCATATCTGTATTTCAAAATGACAAATTCTGAACTTAGTTTTAAATTCTGTACATAATTTTCACAGGGAAAAAGTATTGGTTCTTATTACTTAAAATAACTAAATAAAAGTTGCGTAAACATTTACAACAGAGAAATAGAATGAAAACAAAATAAAAGATATGGATAATAGATTAAATATAAACTAACAAAAATATAAAAATATTTTATTGGTAGTCTTAATTTGCATTTTCAATAATGAAGTTAAATATTTTTCTCATTGATGTACTTATTTATATATTCTCTTCCACAAAGTACCAACATTTTTTCTGATGTAATTTTGGCAAATATTTTTGCCAGTTCATTCTTTTCCACAATTTCCTTTGACAGATGATTTTAAAGCAAAAGAGTCCTTATATTCACCAGTATGGAACAGTAAATCTTCCCCCATAATTTTAGTCAGCCTACAGCTTTGGCTACATGATGCCAAAACATCTGGCTGATAAACAAAAACTAAGAGCAAGCTTAATGTGTTCTTTTAAGTACATTTGAAAACAAATGGACAATGGAACTGTGTGCTTTCAATGTACTATTGTAGTTTGTTTAAGGTTGAGTTTTCATAAACCAATTTTTTACTTTTTAATTCAATAGTTTTTTTGCCCAATACATAAAGAATTTCATTCATTGTTCATGGTAAATATGACGTTCTGTGGTCAAATTTATAGGAAGTTTGAAAATATTTTTAAAGTTGTAATTTTTGCAACCAAACATGTTGTGTGATTGTGTTGTATGTGCTTAGACAGATTATAGCATGGGTTTTATAAATCTAGAAGCTTCTGGTTTTATTAAATATATTAAATTGCCAATCCAACTTTTATACTTTCATTTCTAGCCAAGATAGACTGAAAGTGCTGAATTTATCCTTCCACCTTTGAAATAATGACATAGTGTTTGATTATCTTCAGATCACATGTCCAGAATGGGCAAATCCCAGAGAGAGACAGTAAATTAGGACCTGCAGGAAAGGAGGAATTAGTAGTGATTGCTAATTGGTATAGGTTTTCTTTTTGTAGTGAGTGAAGTATTTAATATATATTTAATATATAAATATTAAATGTATATTAACATGACTGAATTATACACTTAAAAATAAATTTTATGTATATGAAATTTTATGTGACTATAATAATATACATATGAACATAATAATGTTAATAAAACTGTTATAAAATTCATAAAGAAAAGTCTGATAGAAATTCAAAGAGAAATAGTCACATTCAAAATTTTGTTCAGAGATCACAATATTCCTCTATCAATAAGCAACAGAACAAGTAGACATAAGGATGTAGAAGAATTGAGTAACACTATTAATAATTTGACCTAATTGACATTTATGGAACTCTCCATAAAACCATATCCAGATACAGATTATTTTTAAGAGCACCTGATACAGCTGCCAATATAGGTCATATCTTGATCCATAAAGCAAATCTCAAAAGTTTAATAGCATTCAAATCACGCAAAGTATTTTTTATGACCACAACAGATGTAACATCCAAATCAATATTATAAATATATATAGATAATCCCAAACGTGTAGGAATTAAGTAACATACTTCTTAAAAACTAAAGGGTCAAAAAGAAATCAAACTGGAAATCAGAAATTATTTTGAATTAACTAAAAATAAAACAACATATCGAAGTTTATGGGATGCTATTATAGTAGATTTAGAAGGAAGTTTACAACCCCACATATCTATATAAGAAAAGAAAGATCTCAAATGATGAACTTAGTTTTCACTTAACAAAATTTTATAAAGAGGAACAAATTAAACTCAGAGTAAAGAGAATATCTGAAATAATAAAGATTGGAATGGACACCAATAAATTAGAAAACAGAAAATAGAGAAAAATCACTGAAAGCAAAAGCATTTTCTTGAGATCAATAAAATTAATAAATTTCTAGCCTAACTAAACAGCAAAAAAAGATAACATACAAGTTAACAATCTCAGGAGTGAGAGAGGTGTTATCATTATAGCTTCTGCACATATTAAAAGAATAATATGTCCATTTGAATGAAATGACCAGATTCACTGCAAGACACAAACTCGCAAATCTCACCTAAGAAGAATTAGATACCCTGAGTAGCCCTGTAGCTACTAAAGAAATTGTAATTGTATTATAGTTAAAGTGCTTCCCACAAAGAAACATTTAGGCCTCTATGTTTTTACTGAATTATACCAAACATTTAAATGGGAACAACACTAATTTTACACAAAATCGTGCAGAAAATCAAAGAGGAGGAAACACTTCTCAATGTACTCGATGAGGCCAGCATTATAATGATACCTAAACAAAACAAAATAAGGAAGACTTGGAAAGAAAAGCAAACTACAGATAAAAATCTGTCATGCACACTAATGCAAAAATCTCTAACAAAGGTTTAGCGAATTAAATCCAAAAATGTATTTTAAAAGGATTATACACTTTTTGACCTAGCAGGTTTTCTCCCAGATATACAAGATTTGCTTACCTTTTGAGTACAATTCAGCATATTAATAGAATAAAAAAGAATAAAAAATATGGCTATTTAAATACGTGCAGTAAACAATTTTTACAAATTTGAACTTCTCTCAAGACATATAACAAACTAAGATCTTCTCAATTTGATAAAGTATAGCTACAAAAAAACAAAACACAAAAATAAAAACTATAGCAAGTATCATGTCTAATACTGAAAGGCTAAATGCTTTCCCTCTAAGATGTTCTGTCACTATGTATTCAACAAGCAGGAGGTCTTAGCTACTGCATTATGGCAGGTGAAAGAAATAAAAGGCCTACAGATTTGAAAGTAGTAAAACTATCTTTATTTAAAGATGAGGAGATTGTCTAGGTAGTTGATACCATAAAATCTATTAAAAGCCCTAAAGCTAATTTATGAATTTATCAAAGTTGTATATAAGATCTATATAGAAGAAACAACCTTATTACTATAACAGAAATTGCAATTAAATATAATACTATTTGGGAAAATTCTCACAAAAGATGTGCAAGACTTCTTTAATGAAAAAGACAAAATATTGCTGAGAGAAATTAAAGACCTACATAAAGAAGAGATAAACTATGCTCTTAAATTAGAATTGCCCATGAATTCTTTCCTGGGAAAAGCCAAGAACCCTCACAGTCTCACTTTGTGGCTCGCCTGCCCTGCATCAAAACTAGAATCAAAATACATCAATAGAACAGGATAGGACATCAATAGAACAGGATGAGACACAGGCCTATGGATATAAGGTCAACCGACTTTGCCCAAAGGAGCAAAGCCAACTCAGTGGGGCAAAGGTAGTCCTTTCAACAAACAGTGCTGGAACAATTGGATATTGTATTAGTTTGCTAGGCATGTCATAACGAAGTACCAGACACTAAGTAGCTTAAACAGCAGAAGTTTATTTTCTCATAATTCTGGAAGCTAAAAATTTTAATACATTGGACTTCAACAAAATGGAGAATTTCTCTTTTTCAAAACGCATACTTTTATGACAACAGAATGGTCACAGACAGGGAAAAATATCTGTAAAACATACATTTAACTCAGAATTTATATGAAGACCATAAGTAGAATACATACAACTCAATAATAAAAAGTCAAACAACCCAGTTTTTAAAAATGGGGAAAAATTTGAACACACATCACAAAAGATAGGATACAGATGATAAATAAACATAAAACATGATCAACATCACTAGTCATTAGGAAAGTACAAATTAACACCATTGTGTATTACTAAACACCCAGGAAAATGGCTAAAAGTTAAAAAAAAAAATGATCCTGCCACTATTGGTAAAGATGTGAAGTAAGTGAAACTCTCAGATGCTGGTGATGAAAACAGAAAACAATACAAACGCTTTGGTAATTTGATAAAAATGTTGAGGATACGATCCATTCATTCCACTCCAGCATATTTATCTAAGAGAAATGAAAGCATATGTCCACACAAAACTTTGTACACAAACATTTATGTCAGCTTTCTTTGTATTAACAAAAATTAGGAAACAACTCAAATGTCAACTTGTGAAAAGATAAACAAATATGGCATATCATCACAATAGGAAACTACTCAGGAATAAAAAGGAATGAATTATTGTTATACATAACAACATGGATGAATCTCCAAAAACATTTGGAAAAAAAGCCAAGTAGAAAAGCACACAAACCATGTGATTACATTTATAAAAGCTTTAGAAACTACAAACTATTGTGACAGAAATCAGATCAATGATGTCTGTAGATGGTCAAGGAAGGAGGAAGGAGTAGTAAAGGGGCATGAGAAAATTTTGGGGGTCATGTGACCTGTTCATTTTCTCAAGAATCCCATTACCCCTGTTAATGTTTAATTTAGGGATTTAATTAAGCAACATGAATAACAGCCCCTTTTTGGTCTCCACATACTATCATGGGAATATAAAATTGGGCTGCTATAATCATAGGCCTGAGGGTTGCATCTCTGTACTAAGGATGGAAGAGCAGAAACACAAACATAACGCAATTTCAGGTAAAATCATTAAATTGCTGAATTAACCAACCCTAGAAACTCCCTCCATTCCTCTTATTATAAGATAAAATAATTTATTTAGAGTTTTAAAAGAGTTGACATGGGGTTTTGCTTTGTCCCTGTGGTAGTGAAGTCTGTCATCTTTGCCACCTATCAACCTTAGCTTCCTAGACTCTTTATTTCTTTTCCTCAAGATTATTGGTTTGTGTATTTGTATCTGTATATGTGTGCACACGCATATGTGTGTGCCAAGTCTGGGACTGGAAAGTAAGTGATATGTTTTTCTATGGTCATTATCATTCCCTATTTCTATTTGCCTGATCCTCCAGTAAAAATGTAAAATACTACTAGATCCACATGGCAGATCTCTGAACTGTTTAACATTTACAAATAAGCATATTACATTTTGGAAAAGAAATCAAATAACTCTAAACTGGTAGAAAGCCAATAGTCTGTACAGTTATGATGATTGGAGGTTGGTGGCAGGAGGTGAAATTTCGTTGTGGAAGCAATTACAAGTTCAAGGAGTCAGTTTTTAGCACTCACAGTGAATTAATGGAAATTTTGTAAACGTGATTGTTAGCTGTTTGTAACTTATTGAATAGGAAGAGGGTAGAGAAAATCATTTGGATAAGAGTTTGATAATTGTCAGAAGGAACAATTAAAGCTCACTTGAGACATTCCCCTTAATGACTACTGCCATCATGCTTCCTGATATAGTGGTTTGGTTTCAGATATTGTAGATTAGCAAGATGGATTAACTTCCCTTAGAGAGAGTAGAAACTATTGGTACCCATCCTCAGGCACTAAGGAATATAGTTCGATTTCTAATAATGTCTGATATATTTTGTATTTTTGCTGACATAGATTATCCAGCAACCCAAACATATAGCTTTCAAGACTGCCCATGGCATTAGGGGTTAATAACTGTGTCTAGTTTGTGCACAGAGAGAGCAAGACAAATAAATAGAGTGTTCTTCCCTAAAATAATATACACAGTTTTGACTGAGATTAGACTTCCCACCAGCATGGCTAGTACATAATCCTTATGTGCTCTTCTCTTTGGTAATCTCAACCATAACACATTTTAGACTTAACTAGGAGTTTATATTATTTGAAAAACAAAACACCATAATAAAAAAGTACTTGATAACATAGTGAAAAATGAAAATACTTAATAAAACAATAATTAGAATGAGTTTAATAAAATTTAATTATTCATTAATTTCAATATCCTGAAACATTTTACTCATGGTATTGTTAGCCATAATTATTTGTAATTACCAATATAATATAGGAATACAGTGAGTTTGACAGTATTCAAGTAATTTCATCCAATGCACCTCCATTTATTGGGAGTAACTGGGAAAATGGCTAAAATATAAGCAGAAGCTAAATGGGAAGAAAAATGCTTTTACAAGATGCCAGGGTTAATAAAAGACTTACCCTTGGTCCTAATCTAGCACCTTCAGAGAAGATAAAATACAGATCAGCACTAGTTAGTATTTTCTATGTCTAATTTCTTTAAACTTGTATACATTATATTCACAGAATTCCTAAATTTTTGAATTAAAATATAATATTCTTCTGGCCCCATAACTATATGTACAGATATGACAAAATTTCATGAAATAAAAGGTAGACTGAACTATCATGAAATCCACAAAAATGGATGAACTGTCATGCAACTTATGTACATTATCACGAACTAGCACTACATTGCATAAACAAAGCAGAATCTCAACAAGCTGAATTTTAACTCCATGTACAATTTTCTATGAGACCTAATTCACTTCCTTTGAAGTAGAACTTAATGTGTTCAACTTTCATCTACAATATAAATATTGATTAAAAGTAGGACTAACACACTTCCATCTCATCCAAAGCACCTAAATTTTCTCACCATTATTTGTGAGGCCATAATAAAGTTACACTCTTCATATTCTTGATTTATATTTTAAATTACTCCACATTATAGTTTTTCATTATAAGTATATACATATGTAAACACACACACATACATACACATACACACACACACGTATATATTTCCCCTGAGTGAGAAGACAGTAGACTACGATATAGTGCTATTATGAAAGTATATAATTTCATTTTCTAGAGGTTTTTAAATAATTAAAAGGGCATTTATTTGTGCAAGTTTCTAATGAAGTGCTATTAGAACATTAGCAAACATTTGGGGATGTTATAGCTTGAGTCTTAGAACTGTAAGCAGTAGGTAGATAAGAAAACTAATACAGGAAATACTTAAGTGGTTACACAGCAGCATGTCTTCAACAACAAAAAGGCCAAAACAAATACTATTTTTTTCCTAGCCCAACATAAATTTTTGCACAAGAAATGTTGTTATTGTAAAGTTGTTAATGTAAATGCTGCACTATATTCATGACTTAAAAATCAGTTTGGCAAGGTATAGCAGGGGGATTCTGCATGATATACTTCTACGTGAAGGACTTGGTACACATCCAAAATGGAAAGATACTCTTAATTCTAAAAATGAGAAGTGCATGTGATTCTTGACCTGCTGTGCTAAGAACACTAGAAATCAGTTCCAATGGCCATAAATCAGGACAAGAATCATCACATGAATAAAAAGGAGTTCCTGCTCTCTTTCCAATGTATTTGAGCCTTTTGTAACTATTCACAAATAACATTGGTGGGGATTTACCAATAGGGGAATACTCTTTGAAAATTAAAAGCCCTTAGGTCAGGAGTTACTACTGTGTAGGGATATGTTGGAAATACTACTACTAGCCCTGATTTCTAAAACGCGTACATGAAAACCACAGCTTAAAAGGTAAGTGTGTTTGATTATTGTACTGTGATGAAGGTCTCATCCTGGCTAATTCAATGTCTTGCTGAAATTTCTCTACATGACATTAGACAGTACAGTAGTTATCACTTTCAGAACTACTACTAATCGGGAAACTCTGAGTCCAGCCTGGTTCTCCTGCAACCAGTTGCATGAAGTTAAACTCATCCTTTAACCTTTGTAAGTCACCCTTTTCTCCTTGATAACAGGGTGACTACTTATTGATGTCATTGTGTGAAACTGAAGAGGTTACGTATCAAAAATATTAAAGCCCTGCTTAAGTGTAAGTATATAAATACTTTCCTAATTTCCCCTGAATCAAGTTTTAGTTTAAATAACTTTCTCATGTGTCTATGTTCTAAATCTACATGCTTATGGGGAGCTGTTTGGTCATGAGCATTAAGAGAACCTACCATTCCAAGTGCATTGCTATGCTTGCACATGATCACTTTAGGGGAGAATTTATTGCAAGGATGCTCCCCTTGCACAAAACATATTTTGAAATTCTCTTTTATAATTGCTTCAAAATTGGTTAGTTACCCAATTTTAACGATCATGCTTTGTAAGCAACGTAAATATTGTTAATGTTATCACACACTTCATTCACCACAACTGTATCAGAATGCCTTTGTGTTGCTGTGATTGTAAGTCATATGGAAATAAGATTGTCAGAATTTGGCAGCAGAATGAATTTTAAAAGCCCACAGATACCGAATCAGGAAAACTGAAGTAATTCCTATCCTTGGCATTTACTAAAATTTCTGTCTTATGAAAGTTGTTTGCTCCCTTTCATTCTATTTCTTCACTAAAACTGGACAATTATAGTGGTATGCCTACTTCATTACATTATTAGAGCAATGATATGATTGTGGACCACTATTTGTTCAAATGTTAAAATATGAGATGACGTTTGTTAGTCACTGAATTGTTAACTGATGGTAACAACTGTAGAACACTTGGGAGGTGGATTGGGAGAAGTGTTTGGCGTGCAATGGTTAATGCGAATTTATATAAGACAGCTGTACAGGGAAGTAAAGTTGGTAATGGAGACAGTAGGGAAGTGCAACCCACAAGTAAAAATTTATAAAGGAATTTACTAATGGAAGGTCAAAAGCAAGAATTTGAGTAACACCTATATTTAAGATATATTTATAGGAGGCTGAAGAAAACAATCCAGTGTTAACAGAGAACAAGAAAGAGGGTTTCTAGTTGTGAGACAGAAGGGTATTAAAAATGCAATGAAAAAGTTTTCGGCTGGCACCAGTGGCTAAGGCCTGTAATCCCAGCAATTTGGGAGGGCGAGGCGGGTAGATCACAAGGTCAGGAGTTTGAGACCAGCCTGGCCAACATAGTGAAACCCCGTCTCTACTAAAAATACAAAAATTAGCCAGGCGTGGTGGCAGGTGCCTGTAATCCCAGCTACTCGAGAGGCCGAGGCAGGAGAATCGCTTGAACCTGGGAGGTGGAGGTTGCAGTGAGCTGACATCATGCCACTGCACACCAGCCTGGGCGACAGTGAGACACTCCATCTCAAAAAAAAATAAAAAAGTTTTCAAGAAGAATATAAGTTAGGGGATTAAGATAACATTGATGACCTTTAAGAAAGCAGTTTCAGTAGTATGAGAAAAACAGACAAATATGTGTGTTTTTCCCACATTTGTCTGTTTTTCCAACACTACTGAAATTAGATGTGTATATGTGTGTGTGTGTACATATATGTATAATTATATATAATTTAATTTCCATAAAAGAAATTTAAATATATGTATCTATAAATTTGGCAGGAGTATGTTATGATGAAGGGAAAAGTTAAAAAATGATAAATTTTATCATTATTATGCATTTAAAACACTAAATATTCATTCTAAATAGAAGTATGATATGCTATGATTACCAAAAATACGGGTATTATAATGGAAAAGAGGAATTGCAACTCATGTTTAAACATTTACTTTAAGCATTAAGAACTTTAAGCACAAATGCCTAATTTAAGAATTTAGTTCTTTTGTTTACAATAAAAACCAAATCGGAAGTAAAAATAATAGTGCTTTAAATTTCAAACCTATATATCAAATCATGCCTCTCATCAGATATTTAATAAGCATCTTAAACTTAATGTATCCCCAAACAGACTTCATTTCCCCTAACCCTACTAAGCCTACCCCTCTCCCTGAGTCTCTTCCCTTAAAACAGAAGTTCCATGAGTGAAGAACATCATCTCTTTTATTTAATTAATGAAGAGAAAAACAATAAATAATCACTCAAAGTAAAGGGCAGTGTGTTTCAAAGTATTTGGTTTCTAGATCTCCTTATAGTACCAAAAATTATTGAGTACCCCAGGGTCTTTTTTATGTGGATTAGATGTACTAATATTTCTATAATAGATATTAAAAATTTAAAAAGTTATTAATGTATCTAAAAATACTAGTAATAAATTTATATCATATAAGGATAATAATTTTACTTTAAAAATTCCTATATTTTCTAAGACAAAAATTCAGTGAGAAGAGTGGCATCATCTTACATTTTTGCAAATCTCTTTAATTTCTGGCTTAATACAGGACAGCTGGATTCCCATATCTGATTCTGCACTCAATTAATTGGGATATGTTACTGGAAAGAAAAGAGTGCTTTCCATAGCCTTTAAAAATATTTGTGATTTTTCTTCACAATTCTACCAACACTCAACAACTACTAGGTTTTTAAAGATTGGCGCTAATGTAGAATCTAAATCCATATAAATAAATGTTCATATTCCACACACTAATATCCACATGAATATCCACTAGTCTATATTGCATACAAATGGAAATTTTACCCATGAATTTTGTAAAATCAAACATTAGTTACTTGGAAAATATTGGCCCACTGAGCTAAGCAGAACTTCTAAATTTTGGCACATCCATTATAAAATATTATTTTTAGAAGCACATTTGATAATATCAGTAAAAGACTCATCAAGAAAGTGCAAAATTCTAATTGATATGAAAGCCTGAATTACACCACTAGCAAAATGTACTCAATTGTTTTTCTTAAAAAGATAGCTCCTTCTTTTTCATTTCAGAGAAAATATTTGCTGAATACTCAACTCTGAATATGAATAATTTGTCTGTTAGTCATTGTTTAAGTAAAAATGGTGTTTCATCATAATTTCGGTATGCGGCAGCAATGCTTCATGCCTACTCTTCATTTTGTCACAGAGATCATTAAAAAGATGTATAATTAAGAGTCAAGAGTTAATAAAATTTATACTTATTTTACTTCATTAAGGACATTCTTAAATGAAACTGCATTTTTCTCCTATCTTACTAGTACTACATCGCTTTTACTAAGTTTCCAGAGTTTTACCCACCACTGATTTTGCACCAATTACAAATGTAAACCCAATGAAAAAGGCAAATAATATCTTACTGTTATTATGAAAACAATAGTTTGGCTTTACGCATCTCCTTACAGAGTTTCAAAGACTACACTTTGAAAACCATTGGTTTAGAGATAATTTTATGTAATATTATTTTCATAAAGATGATCTGGAAATACTGAATTTATATAAAGATTTGTACATTATTTCATCTCAATTATTGTTATTCTCCATTAAAAATATATCTAAAATTTTAATATATACCATCAAATTTGAACTCCATGAAACAAACTTTATAGTAACCTACAGTACTTACTTCAATGTAGTAACATTTTGTGAAATCCACATTTAGTATCGGTACCATCTATCCAAAAGTTAGATTTCCTCCTACTTGAAGGCAGTGATGAAATGGTGATTAAAAACTGCAGTTAACACAAATTCATGCCTGCTAATTCAGAAGAATGCTTGGAGCTGCCCAATGAAGCATGGTTCCAAAGCCAGCAGAGTGAATTGTTTGTAACTAAGACTATTGGCTTAAGAGTTTTATACAGGTGATTTTCCATGGTAATGTGGAAATCATTTCATTTTGTGTGTTGCAAATAGCAAAATAAAGGATTTTGTTAGCTATCTTTATAATCAGCTACAATCAAATGTGCCTGTGAAAAGTTAAAGTACAATAGTAGTTACAGTATAGCATAAAGACCAGAGATGCAGCCAAATGACCCAGGGTCCAATCCCACCACCTGCTACCTGTGAGAACACATCAGGAAAGGGGGGATCGCAACAGTGCTTCCTCTTATTAGTACTAGTGATTATTATTATTAATACAATAGTTTTGGAAACACAAAATGAGTATATGTAAAGTTCTCAGAACAGTGCAAGGAATAGTTAGTAATAAATGTTTTTATTTCATCTGTCAAAAAAAATTGTGAAAGACTTTGAAATGGGTGAAAAGATTAGTGAGTCCTGGCCAGTCCACTCCTTTGGGTTCACTCAACCATTGTTTATCTTTAAACCATTTTACAACTTTGTAAATTAATGAAAACTAATCATAATGCAAGTATTCTTGTAAGGTGGAAAACAACTGACTATTGCCCTGCGGATATTAACTAATTTTACAAATATGCATAAATTTATTTCAGCATTCCTGAACATCTCTGTGTATGTCTATTCTTGTTCTTTTTCCAGCAGGTTGAAATGTCTTACTGGTTCCCTCATTAATTAATAGACTGTAAAATAATTAACAAGGGTTCATTTTATATTTGTATAAGTATCATGATTTTAGAGTTTTAAAAAGTTTACTCCTCATCACATTGTTTCAAAGAAATCTGATATTGATTAAAGGGGAAATCATACTATGAGGAGAATTAATGTAATTTTGGAATATGCCAAGACCAGGTGGTATGGCTTACTGGCGACAGTACTGGAAGTCCTCAGAGATCATCAAGTTAATACCACTGAGCTCTCAAATCAAAGGTAATCAGGTTAGAATATTTTCACTATTGAAAAAAGATAGGGGAACAAATATACTCTTTCTTAAAGTTATTTTTAATAGACTATGGTTAGATATTTATTTTAGGCTTAGTCATCTAGGATATTTATGTAGAATATCTCATTTCCTAACAAAACGGCATATGCAAAATGTTATCCACAAAAACCAAAAGGCTTTTTTCTTTTGTCCTGTTCTGTCAGAGTAATTTAAGCTGATTCCCTTGGTGTTCTGTCCAAGGTTACAATTCTGGATCTGGAAGCAGCAAATCTTCAGTTGCTTTCATCCCACTTTTTCTACTGGCAGCCTAAAAATTCACAGAGCTACCAGATTGAGTTTTTAATGTATTATATGATTTTATATATTTTATATGATTTTATAATTTAAAAAGACATTTATTTTATTTCATACACAATTTAAAACCCAAATATATAGAATGTGTAAATATATTCACTTTTAATAGATATCTTCTATTTTTCCTTTCAATATAGCCCTATATTTAAAAAATATGAATACAATAAAACCAGGGAATTGGAGCTGAGTAAACGGGAGGTCACCATACTTCAGGCAGGAAGACACTAAATTTGCATTTACCATTATGTATCTTCTATTCATTTCAGAAAATTATTTACTGGGTATGTTTAGCATGAAATAGTGCAAAATGTCTGTTTTACTTATTAAAGAATAAAATAAGGGGTATAAGCATATATTTACACATAATCCTGAGACAATAACACATAATTGTTATTTACTGATTTAATGGATCTACTTTTGAGTTTAAAATAGTCTGAGGTTAAGTATACACTAAATATAGGTTAGTTTCTTTTCATAGCAATATTTTATAATTCAAAGTAGTTTTTCAGATAAAATATTGGGTGTTTCCTTTTATATATGAAATAGAAAAAATGTTTTTACCCTAAAAATATCTGAATACTACTTCCTTTGTGCAAATTCATTAAACACATTAAATTGTTTGTTTTACAACAAGTATGCAATGTCTGACTTTTCTTTTCTGCCACTGTTTTATTCCAAGAAATTCAATGATGCCCTTTCCTATATGAAAAGTGAAATCTTATATATCAACATGGTGGAATCAGGCTGCAGAGCAAAGTGGGGGGTTTAACTAACTATATTGCTCCAACTATCACAAAATGGGAAAGCTGTAATACAGATTTGCACCTTCATGTCAAATTTCTGGCATGCAATTATGTAAGTAGAAGTAAAACTAAAACCTTCTGGAAAACTAGTATTTAACCATCATAAAATTCTGCATTTTCATAATGAGGAGTAATTGCATTAGTACTTTTTATGGGTAGATTAACTTACTACATTCTGGCGTAGGTGTTCTTAAATATTCTCTAATCTTGGACCACTTGGATTTGTCCAAAGACTCCATAGATCAATCACACTCAACAACCCCTAATTCCTAAGTACCCTTCCCACCGAAAAAAAGAATGCAGAGAGAGGGAAGTTATACAGAATGGGGGGAAAGAAACCTCTGTTTATGATAAGACACTAATAAGACAATGTGAACTTTTTATTGAATTATACAATCATCCCCCAAACAAAAGCTTGGTTTTTATCACTCTGTAATCATGAATTATGCAAGCTTGATTCCAGTTAAGCATTCTTAACTATGTGGGAACTCTTAAACAGGCGACAGTAATTTACTTGAAGAAACACTGCAAAAGACAGAGAGTTGCTCCTGGCAGCCTTAGAGAGAGGGAGACCCTAAAACTGTGAACTGGGAATTAGAGATGAACGAGAGAAACGTGTGCTACTTCCATAAGCTTGCTCTGTGATTTTGGGTTACTGACTTCTTTCAGATACTTTTTCTCTCATTTCATCTTTTCATTAACAATGCTTTAGCCATTTGATTCAAATTTAATCAAATTTGAATTTGATGATATTTAGCATATTCTTATGAGTAAGCAAAATAATTCCTCCTTCTTTATAACTCTACTTGTAAAGACAAGGCTTTTCATTGCACAGATAACATTTGGAACCATTACAGAAGAAAAATTTGTCTTTCAAACTCATTTCAAGACTCATAGCAAGATAACTTTGTTCCATCGTATATGGTTATTACTTCCAGTAATAACCCTGTACTATATTTATAACTAAAACAAACCTCCTAAGTATTATGTACCTCTACAAAATAACAAATTGCCCCCTAAGGTTGTAATCAGAATGAAACCCAATAATTTGGTTAAATTTCTTATACTTGAAGTAAGGTAATTTTATAAATTCAAATAGTAATACTAGTTATTGTACTCGGTTTTTACATGAAGTTTGTATTTTAATACCTATATTTCTGTTTAAAATATACTGATGTTCAGCAAATAAAATATATTTTAAGAAGTTTTGAGTTTTGACTATGCTAAACTACCACTAAGAATGTTTTCTTAAATTCTATAAATTCAGTTTTACTTCCTTTCACCCAACTGCTAAATCCATGACACAGGAAATGCGAACAATAATAAGTAGACTTCTTAAATATGATGTTAATCCTGGCATGTTGTCTTCTAGCCCTTCACAAGTCACGTTTGGAAAGCAGAAATCTCATTCTGCCCCAGCAAAGTGCTTTATTCATGACTTTGAAAAATGCCAAGATCAAGAGGGGGTAGATCTAATTCAATTCAATTTGTTCAAGTGAACAGAAAAGATGTTCTTTTATTCCGATGACAAGGACATTTGATCCAGAAAAGCTGTAGTACTTCCTTCTAAAAGAAGGGCACACACCTTGCTTTATGAATTCTGTTTTGAAAATGTCTTTGCTGATCAGCGTATTAATAGATCCAAATAACAATCTAAAAATGAGGCAATTAACAGTTCTTCTGGCCAAAAAGGCAAAGAGAAGTATGTCATTATCAACAGCCCATAAGCATAAAGAACCACCTTGTGAGATTTTGTTCCTCTGAAAACCTTGGGCAGAGTTGAGGGATGCCACTTCTCAAGCTCTGTGAATTGAGAGAAAAAAATACTTCATATGGCATCAATAAATCTAAGCAGTTTATTTATCAAAAGGACAGAGGACTATCCTCACTAGCAACCCTTAGGGAATCAAACTTTAAGTTTTCCATAAAATGATTTCTTAAAGAGTACCTTTGCCACTGGTATTTTGCCAAAAACTGGGCAAATCTTATGGTCTTCCTTACTCAGAAATAAGCTCTTCAATGGTATATGTCACTGTTTGGTCATGTGATAAGGAAGCAAAACAGAGGGATCAAAGGATCTTGAAAACACAAATTACAATAAAAATTAAATTAAAGGATGTGGGAGGGTGTCATTCCACTAGAAAATGGGACATCTTGAGGATGTGGTATTTACTACAAATATAGGACTCCAAGAAAAATATGGATGCTCCACGGCAGCTTCCCCAAAACTTGGTAAATTACCAGCTCCCTGATTAGCCTTTTAAATGTTAGCACCTGAACGTCTAGCTTTCCAGAGTAGGGGGTGTTCATGAGGCTGAGCAGGGTTTTCACCTTCATCTGCACATCAGTATTACCCGGAAAGCTTTTATAAAATGTGGAAGTCTGGGTCTCTTTCCGATTAAATCTAGGTCCTCGGGCTCCAAGCACAGATAGTGTTTAAATGTCACCATAAGAGATTCTAACATACAGCCAGGGCTGCAAATCATTGATTTGGGGGATAAATATAGGATTTGCAAAGGGAAAAGGTAAATTTAGGAAAATATAAATTCGGGAAGCAGAAATGTAAATATATTGTATCCCAGGGCTTGACTGACATGTCCTGAGGTCTGGATACCACTCTGTGGATACCAACGCTAGATAGCTTTCACTGCAGTATTTCCTAATCAAAGGGAGGATGTGTACATTGCATTCATTCCTTGTTATCCTCTTTTTTTGTTGATCAGATCCAGGAAGTTAGAGCAACAACCACCAGCCATGATCTTCTCATAACCCTGGCAATAGTCTTACCAATTGCAACCCTTTTCTCAGGAGAGCAGGCGACAATGGTACTTTCAAGTGAAAACATGGGCAATAAGTAAACTTGACTTTGGTAGATCATTGCTTTGGAGCTACTGACTCTATAAGACTGGATTAACTGAAACTTATCTTTTGCCTTGCCGATTTCATCCCTAGAAATAGGAAGCTGGGTTTCACGGTAAGAATGTGAACTGGCAAAAATGCCCTGGTGGCTGTGCAAGCAAAGGCTGCTAGAAAGCAGAAGGCTGCTGGCCCGGCTCCAGAGGAAAAAAACACCTCTATGGCTGATAGTGGCAATGAATGTCCAATGGAGAGAGAAGTAACACAGTTTAATTCTCTCAATTCCTTCTCTTCCAAGTGCCAAGGTGTGGGCAGCAGACTCATGTTGTAAAAAGTGGTTTCTACCCCCTTCTACTGTTTCTCACCAAAGAATCACATCGGCAGCCTCAAGAGAAGCAGGTACATAGAGTTCGTAATGATGGTGGTGATTATGTAAAATTATAGTATTTCCGAGAAACACACAAAATGATTTCTGCACAGAATAGCTCGCAAGTTCATATACGTCATTTATGTCCAATATGTAAAACCTTTCAAATGAAGCCTTTTTATTAGTATCTCCATGTGAATTTAGAAGTAGTGGCAGAAGACTCCAAAACCTAAAAGGTCAGAAAGCTGCATGTTTAGCTTTTAAGAAACTCCAAAACTACTTTTTAGAGTTGTTCTAAAATTTTGCACTTCCACCAGCAATGTATAAGTGGCCCAGTTTCACAACATCCTCACTCCTGTTTGATGTTGCCGCTATTTTTTATTTTAGCCATTCTGATGGGTGTATGGTGATATTCCACTATAGTTTTAATTTGCATTTCCCAAATGGCTAAGGCTGCGAAAAATCCTTTTATGTGCTTATTTCCTATCTGTACATCATCTTTAGTGTGATGTCCGTTAATGTCTTTTGCCCGTTTTCTAATTGGATGATTTCTCTTTACTGTTGAGTTGTAAGAGTTTTTTTGTGTAATCTAGTTATTAGTTTTTTTCAGATATGTGGTTTGCAAACATTTTCTTCCAGTTTTTAGCTTGTCTTTTCATCCTTATTAGTCTTTTTTCAGATATGTGGTTTGCAAACATTTTCTTTCAGTCTTTAGACTGTCTTTTCCTCTTTTAAACAGAGCGTTTCACAGGACAAAAGTTTTCAATTATAGTGAAGCACAAATTATCACTTTTTTAATTTATAAATCATGCTTTTGGTGGCAAGCCTAAGATCCAAAGACCTTTGACTATTCCTAGATTCCAAGATTTTATCCAATTTTTTTCTAAAAGTTTTATAGTTTAATGTTTTACATTTAAGTCTGTGATCCATTTTGTTTTTTTGCAGAAGGTGTGAGGTTTAGGTAAAGATTAATATTTTGGTCTATGGATGTCTAACTACTCTAGTAATAATTGTTGAAAAGGCTATCTTTCTTTCATTAAATTGGTTTTTCATCTTTGTCAAAAATCAGCTGAGCTTATTTTTTTAATCTATTTCTAGTTTATCTATTCTTTTCTATAGCACAATGACTGTACTCACTAATAAACAAGACTTGATGAAAAATGCTTATCAATGTCTCTGGTGGAATTTAAAAAAATTGAAGGTGCCTCAAATGTCATTTATGGTGAAAATATTATAATCTTTTTTTTTCTCTTATTAAGCATTGCCTCACCACACAAGTGTCATTAGGCAAATCACAGCCCCTCTCCCCTACTGATATAAGCAGGATTAGTGAAATAGCAACAAATTCTGTTTCACCCTCATATCATCACTTCTCCAGATCCCTGTGCCTATGTATCCACTGAGTCCTGTCAGAAGGCAGTGACTAAAGCTTATGACTTGTGATGGATCAGAACATTACATAATTACTACTCTCTTCTAGTTTATCACTGAGCCCAGATATATTGTATAAACTCAATTACCAGATCACTTATACAGTCCAGACTGCTTAGCAGTATAACTAAAATGATGTGAGGCCAGCAGCACCAAACACTCTACCATGAACAATTCTAGATAGACAGATAGATAAAAGAATAGATAGATGGATGGCTAGAGAGAGAGAAAGAGAGAGAGAGAGATAGAAGAAATTCAATAGTGAATCTAACTTCAGTGAAGCCTGGTGCAAGGCCTTTAACAATACAAAAGTCAATCTCTCTCTCAGTCTCTTTCACTTTTTCAGTGTCTTTATAGCAAGTCAGCAACTTGATCAGTCTGGCTTGCTTCCTGTGCTCACTTCTGGGCCAATCTCAGCTTATAACGCGTGGAGTTCTATGCTTGTTCAGGCTCAGGATATGTATTGAGACTCTCAGACCCTCTAGAACTAGATAGAGAAAGCTTCTGAATTGGAACATGACTGGACAGGCAAAAATAAGAAGAGGCCACCCTTCTAAGCAAGATGAAAGGTCAAAACTAGCTCCCTGTCCCAATTCCACCCAGAGGAACCTCACTCAAGGGTGTTTGTGTCAATTACTTCTTCAGGCCTCATACACCAACTGCCCTTTACTGGGAGGGCTTTAGCTTCTGCAGCATCTCCAAAGATGGAGCATCACCCAGTGGGAAAGCTCTCATGGCTTTCATGGCTTTAAAGTTCCAAAAAGCTAATCGTTGAAGATTGTCACACACAACCAAGACACACACAAACATACAACAGTAGAAAATAGAAACAAATGCCAAGAACCCAAAGCAGCCATGATGTTGGCTTTTAGTCCACTCAATTCCCTCATGCAATATTTCCCCATACAAAAGCAAAGTTCTAGCACCCCAATTATATCACAGAGATTCACTGTGTCTGTGTCTGTCCACCTCCCTAAATAAGTCTTTAGGTATTAACAGAGTATGTTCCAGATTTTGGTCCTTATGATAAGCGTGGTTAGAAGACATTAAACCATTTTTAACACAGATGTCCTCACTACTTCCCCAACAAGAATCTTCTGGCTGCTGTTCTTAGAGGAATTTGAAGTGAGAAATACAGTCATTTCTCCATATCCATTGGGGATTGGTTCCAGGACCCTGCAAGGATACCAAAGTCTTCAAATGCTCAAGGTCCTTACATAAAGCGACATAGTATTTGCATTTAATCTATGCACATCTTCCCATATATAGTACTTTAAATCATCTCTAGATTATTTATAATACCTAATACAATGTAAATAGTTGTTATACTCTATTTTTAAAATGTATATTATTTTTATTGTCATATTGTTATTATTTTTTTCATAATTTCTATTCACAGTTGGTCGAAGCCACAGATATGGAACCCACAGATACAAAGGGCTAACTGTACAGGAATCTGCAAGGCCATTTAGGAAGTTATGGCAGAAGTCTCAGCAAGAAAAAATGGAAGCTTGGATGAAGGCACTACCAGATTAAATGGAAAGAAGTGATAACATCCAGAAAATTTTAGACTACAAAATCAATGAGAATTGATCAGGCAATCTAGATATCAGTAAGAATCACTTTTCCCCTGACATTTACATAAAATTGACATCATCTTTATGCCAACCTGTAGAAGTCCAGTGCTCCTCCCAAGATGTCTGCAAATCCTAGGAGCCTGAAGCTGTCAGAACTGCCTCTCGTGTTCTATTCCCCCTTAACTCTGAACTCCTCTCCCTCATATGTCAACTCCTATAGTTTTTCTTAGTCCTTAACTTTGCCCTTACCTTCAAGGAAACAGAGCCCCATTTTCTTGCTTTCTCCAAAACACCAACCCACTTGGCATCTGTACAACTAACTGTTGGAGGCTAAGGAGGATGTGAAGAGGGTGTATAACAGATTTATGCAGTATTTTTAAAGTGCAACAAAGCTACCCATTTCAAAACGGAATAACCTCTCCTTTGAATATCCTGCAGATACCAGGAATTTTTCATTGTCAGGTATTTCTCCCCATATCTCCTGTCTTCTATGTATTGTCTCTTACTTATCTTTTTCCCAACCATCCATATTGTCTTATCCTCCCCAAAAGCCCTATTTGCTTTCTCTTTGTCCACCTAAATATATCCAGGTTATCACTAGATAGCTTCAATTTCAAAACTAAACATGCCAGTGAAGGTGGTTTTACAAAAAAGCCTCACTTTTCCTTGAGTGGAGTTCTGTGGCCAACTCTCAAACTAGTTTTGTTTTGTTTTGTTTTGTTTTGTTTTGTTTTGTTTTTTTCCTTGCTACCATTAAAAATGGAAGGATTAAGGATAGCATCCTAATTCTAGCACTTTCACAGCTGTATGTATGTGTGGTGCCGGGAGGTAAATTATGATGCTGTTTCTTACATTCGGGAGGAAAAATCTATTTGCCTCTGTCTCTAAAACAATCTTGTTTTCTTGCAAACTGCAAAAATTTGCAGTCATTGCACCTAAAGTTCTCAAGTTTTCTTGGACTTTCCTTCCTTTTCCTTGGTGTCAATCCTGTGTTTAAATTTCATTTCTCTTTTGACCTAGAGTGTGTGGCATCTTAACACGGGTATCTTGAGTTCATAACAGGAAACTCTCCAAAGTTCACAGCCAATATGTCCTCGGTCACATGCTACTCCTCCAAAATTTCACCTATACTCAGAATTTGGCTTTTTCCAGGACTTGTATAAATTAAGACTTATTGAACAGTAGCAGAAACACTCCTTTCTACTGTATTTTTTCTGCAGCAGATGGATATGTCTGTATATCCTCCAGATCACCATTTCTGTTTCCTCTTCTTATATTTCCATCTCCTTTCAAGCAGATCTTAGCTGAGCTTTATAAAGTTCAACCTACTTCTTCAATTAGATCCCATTTCTCTTCCATTCGTAAGGCTGAGCTTTTACTGGATAAGAATGTCATCATTTCTTTTTCTTTCTTTTCCCTCAGTTTCTACTTTTACAGCAAAACAAGACTCTTTTTTTTTTTTTTTGGTAATTCAGTTAATGTCACTACTAATGTTCTTAATGTGCCTTTTCCAATGCCTAAGTAGTACTCTCTTCACATATTGGATAGACAATGCTAGCGGCTGCAAGAGACAAGCCCTGGAATCCCAGTGAATTACCAAGACAAAAGATCCCTGACTGCTCACATCACAGCCAGGGTTTGGTTAAGTGGCCAGTGTCCATCTTGTAGCAATGCCATCTGGACCACACAGCTTCCAAATCACCATGGCAGGAAAACAGAGAGCTAGAAAACTGCATGGGATGTCTTTAAGGACTAGGTATGGAAGATGTTTACATAACTTCCTTCCACATATATTAGCTACAAATTAGTCACATCATCTCTAACTTCAAGGGAGTCTGAGATGGAGGAATGGACAAATGCAGGTATAGATAGGATGTATGATAAGTGCTAACGGTCTCTGCTACATGTTCTCAATTCTCCTTTTATGATATATATACATGTTTTTATGTTTTTAGTTTTTATATGTGTTTTCATATAAATATTATATTATATATTTTATATATCATATATTATATATATTATATATTTATATATATAATATATATTTATATATTATATTATATATATAAATTTTATATATAATATATATTATATATATTTTATATATATAATATATATTATATATATATTTTATATATATAATATATATTATATATATGTTATATATTTATATATTTTATATATATATTTATATATTGTATATATTTATATATATATTAGAGAGAGAGAGAGAGAGAGAGAGACTTGCTACGCTATGTTGCCCAGGCTGGTCTTAAACTCCTAGCCTCAATCAATCCCCCTGCCTCAGCCTCCCAAAGTGCTGGGATTCCACATTCTCAATTCTCATCCTCACAGTTTTTTTCTCTATCTCACAGCAACTTGCAATGTGACTAGTTTGACTAGAGATGTGCTATATGTATAAAACATAAAATATACACTGAATTTTGAAAACTTTGCACAAAAAAGAATGTAAAAATATCTCATTAATAATTTTCATATTAATATAATATTGAAATAACATTTTGGATATATTTGGTTAAGTTAAATATATTACAAAAATAATTCCATCTGTTACTTTTTGCTTTTTAATCAATATGACTACTAGAAATTTTTAAATTATATGTGTGGCTAATATTGTATCTCTATTGAATGAAGCTGCTGTAGAGATATAATGCTCCATACATAAGTCTTTCTTTAATTATATTTAATTATGGTCTTGCAATGACTTCCTTGAGGTTTTCTACCTTGGCACTCAAGAGAATGACATACCTTCTTATAATAAATATCCCCATTCTTCTTATTCATTCATTAATGATTTCCTCCCTTACTGTAGGTAGATCCACTTTCTAGATTTCTGAAATCCATAATCTCCCCCTCCCTTAAATCAACAACAATCATGTATTTGCTCACAATACTGAAACTTTGGCAGAGTTTAGTGGGGATGGCTCCAGTCTGCTCCACTGTTGCCCTGGGGAACTGTTGACAGGTATTTCAACTGGGCCTGGAAAGTCCAAATGGCTTCACCCACTTGGCTGGTGCCTAAGGAGAGGTGATGGATGCAGGAGCACAGGGGCTGGCTGGGCTCTTCCCCCTCTCCCTCTAGAGTCCCTCAGCCACCTAGGCCTCTCTCTCTCCGCATAGGCTTTTTTGGCAGTAAGGTTATTGGACTTGTTTAGTGGCTGGCTTTACATGACACAAGGCCCCTTAAGGCCTGAGCCTGGAATAGGCACAATGACATTTCTGTCACATTTCATAGATAAAAACAAGCCACAGGGGTAGTCCAGATTCAAGTATAGTCATGTAATTCATAAAAACATTTCATTCAACAATGGACCACATATATGACAGTGGTCCCATAAGATTATAATAGGTATGGTAATGTCCTAGACCTTCACATTCCTTCATCCCTCACTTACTAACTCATCCAGAGCAACTTACAGTCCTGCAAGCTCCATTAATTCTACATGTTCTATACAAATGCACCATTTTTTATTGTTTATATCATATTTTTACTGCACCTTTTCTATGTTAAGGTATGTTTAGGTATATAAATACTTAGCATTGTGTTACAATTGCCTCAATATTCGGCATAGTAACATGCTGTACAGCTTTGTAGCCTAGGAGCAATAGATTATACCATATAGTCTAGGTATGTAGTAGGCTATACCATCTAGGTTTGTGTAAGTCTCCTCTATCATGTTCACACAAAAATAAAATCACCCAGCAATGGATTTCTCAGAACATATTCCTGTCATTTCCTTACACAACATGACTGCATAAGGAAAACAATGCCACCATTTGATGAGAGAAATGTTTAACAATCTTATTTGCAGACCATCCTTCTCATTCAGCAAGGAGTTTAGATTTTTTCATAAAGTGAATTAGGAAGCCATTTTATCTAGCAATGAAATGACGTGATTTAATTGCAGTTTTGAAAAAAACTGGATGAGGAAATGTTAAGACATAGGATATTCTTGTAGTGACCTTTTTCCTATGCCTTAGCAAGCTCACCAGAAACATGAGCAGAAACTCATGAGAACCCAAAATCCAATGAAGAAGTAACAAGTGTCATAAAACACAGCCTAAAATTCTCCCTCTGAGAAAGATCCCAACCTCCCCCAATAGTCTGCATAAACTGCATCCATACCATTAGGGCTATGGAGTTGATTGTTTCATTCACCAGCTTGTTTAATTTTATTGCATAATTACGGACTACACTCATGGCCGTGGCTACTTATCTCACAAATCTGCTAATTTAATCACAAAGTAGATAAACTTAGCATGAAACAGTGATTGGTTTGACTCATAACCATAAAACCACTAGAAAAACTGTCAAAGTCCATGTCCTACCGTCAAAAGGTTATTAAAAACAAAATGATCTTGTACATTTACTATGCTTTTAAATTATCAGCTTTCTGTATCCTAACATTAAAGTAATAGGTATACTAGAAATCAAAATGCCAATTGTCATGCTTATAAAATACTCATAAATGCAAAAATCAGTTGCATACAGTATTAGCTCTCTCAATTACCTTTTCATATAAACTTTGATAGTCACTCAGCCATTTTATATTTTTATTCTTAAATAGGTTTTTAATTATTGATATGGCATTATACAGTAAATACTCTCTATATTCACTTATTGTATTCCTCTGCTGGATGCATAAAAGTCAATTTGACTTCGGTCCACTTTAACTGTACTATGAACTTTTATTTATTGATTATTTATTTATGCCTCTTTAAAAAAAAACACATGCCTCAAGGGAAATTTACAGTGAATGACAAAGAAACTTAGTCTTAGTACTAGATGTGTTTTCTAAAATAAAAATTAAAGGCACCAGGCATCAAATCATTAGAAGAGTCATTAATGATAATGGAAAGCATGCAATGGCCTTATTTCTCTGTCATTGAAAACAAGGCAAAGAAATGTTCTAGGAGAATGATTTGAGAATAGTCTTAAAGTCAAAACTAGCTAATCAGCTATTTTTCCCTAGGTAGTAGAAGTAATAATACAATTTCTTTCCTGTCATAGTATCAGGGGAATAGAATAAATGTGTTTCAAGCATCACCTGAAAGAGAAAATAGGAATAATTTTAAAACATTCTCATTAAGTTTAGCATGATTTTATTGTCCTTCAATAAAATGCATTTTCTATCAGGGAACTCTATTTCACTATTCCCTTGAAACCGGTTTGAAGAGGAAGGCATGAACATCTTGAATAATTTCCTGCCAGCTATATGCTATTTTCTTACTGTTGCTTTTCAGGTTATTCCATAAAGTAGACTTGGCCTTACCTAAAACTTAAAGCGCAGATATTATGTCTGTGAATTAAATCACAATCAGCAGTGAACAAGCTTTAAGAGAACCATATTAAATTTTCTTGTATGAGAAAGAATTTTTCGTAATGCAAAAAAGGAGCACTTGATTTATTTACTTTGGACTTGGGGAAAGGCAGAGAAACAGAAGCATTAGGGAGAAGGAACTGATGAAGGACTGCTGTGAAGAAACGGAATGAGAAGGGAAAAGGGGATGAGGGTGGCCAGAGGAGTTACAAGAGTGGGGAATTAGGACACTAACAATGCTTAAAGAACATCCCATTCTAGCTCTTATTAAACCCTGTGAAGCTGTATCTTTGCTCTAACAGGGCTGCAGGTAAAACCCAAATGAGTTATTTTCATTCAGTGATTCACAGACACCATCTCTTCAGTGTCCAGGTTCAAACTTTTCTCCTAGTTCCAATGGAAAGAAGATAAACAAATGATAGAAAGAAGTTCAAAGGGAAAGAAGGCAAAAAAAAAAAAATGGCATGGACTACGCAATGGTTTGAATGTTTGTCCCCCTGAAAACTCACGTTGAGGCAGGGCGTGGTGGCCCATGCCTGTAATCCTAGCACTTTGGGAGGCCAAGGCAGGCAGAATATTTGAGGTCCGGAGTTCAAGATTAGCCTGGCCAACATGGTGAAACCCCATCTCTACAAAAAATACAAAAATTAGACACAGTGGCGCACACCTGTAATCTCAGCTACTGGGGAGGCTGAGGCTGGAGAATTGTTTTAACCTGGGAGGCGGAGGTTGCAGTCAGCCGAGATCATGCCACTGCACTCCAGCCTGAGTGACAGAGAGAGACTCCTCAAAAAAAAAAAGAAAGAAAGAAAAAAGAAGTTGAAATTTAATTGCCAAAATAATGGTATTGGGAGGTGGGGCCTTTAAGAGGTGATTAGACTTTTCAGGCTCCACCCTCATGGATGGGTTTAATGACTTAATGAAAGGGCTTTCAAGAATGAGTTTTCTCTCTTGGCTCTTCTTCTCTTCTGCCGTATGAGGAATAGCACTTCTCCCCTGCAGAGGATCCAGCATTCAGGCCACCATCTTGGAAGAGGACACCAGGCCCTCACCAGACACCAAAACTGCCAGCCTTGATCTTGGACCAACAGTCCAATCTTGCTCTTGAACTTCCTAGCCTCCAGAACTGTGAGAAATAAATTTCTATTTTTTATAAACTACTCAGGCTGTGGTGTTCTGTGATAGCAGTACAAAACAGACTAACACTGACTGTTTCATAATTTTGGCTTAATGAAGTCATTGTATAATGAAGTGCACTCTGGCTCTCAAAGGCCTTGGCATTCATTAGCACCACAGACAACTGTGAGGCATTCCCAGAAGAATGCAGCATTGCTCCAGATGGCAGTGTAAGGTTGAACACCAGAGGCAATCACAGGAAGTGCCTTTGCCCATCCTCCATGTAGCTAATGGGAGAGGAAGAAAATGATGCATGAGGAAGCAAGCAGGACGGGCTCCTCAGTATATCCAGCAGTGCATATATTAACCAGAAGTAATTGAGAGGTTAATTTAAAGAGTAGTTAAATGTATCTAAGAGGGCAACTGATGTGTTTCTAGTTATCTAGCATCCATTTCTCCCTTAACAAATAGCAGTATGATCTTCTGGAAGTTACATCTCTCCCCACTGTGTATTGTCTTGTTTACATGGTAAACTAAGATGCCCTCCCATGAAGAAAACCATGGAGAACCCCAGGTACTATGGCAGATCATACCTCTTCCTTCTACTAAAGGCCATAATGCAGAAACGTGATGTAAGCAATAGTAATTGACATCTCTGCCAATGCACTTTGAAATTTGAACATAATGAATTAAAAACTGAAGAAATAGGGGGAATTAATTTCTCCAGTGAAGGTAGTAGAGCTATGCTATCAAATGGTTTCTATGTTGAGATCTGTCAAATTTACAATTGCTAGTTCCTGTTATTTCCAATCATTATTCTGCTTTTCCTTCATTCCTGTGGGTTCCTATATACTGACCAATAAATTCACTTTGTGCTTAAGAGAGATACTCTCTACTGTTTGTAACATGAGCAAATAGAGTAAGCTTTTTATGTAAAAAACAGTTATAATTATCGCATCTTTAGAAAGGCAGTATAATACATCATGTCCCACTTTATGCAATATGGTATTATTAAAAATTGAATTTTAGATAGACCATTGCTCTATCAGGTCAACAGTTTCTGGATAATGTGTTACGTGATAGGACCATGGTGATGCATTACAGTTGCACCTCATTTGCTGTAGACTTGGGTCCTTCAGCCCGAAATGACTTTATGCAGTATTCTGTGTCAAAGACTGCCAGTGCGTCCTGCCAGTGTAAGCCCTCAAATAATGGTGCCGGTAAAAGCAGGAAAGACACATTCATACCAGGAATATGTATGATTTCCAGTCAAAAAAAACTGTTTATTCCCAAGCAAAAGCAGTCCAATATAACCAGTTTGTCAACAAGTGGTTGACTTGTCTCTTTGAGGGATGATGCCATATTGGGGAGGCTGTTACACATTGCCACTGTCTATCTATTGGACCTTCAGTAGAGGCAGTAGCCAAATCAGTTTTGACTTTCTGTTGTTCTCAATTTCCTTATTATCCATCCTCCATTTCTTTTCACTCCATGTATTAAGTAAGACTCTTGTCCACCCATCTATTTTGTCTTAGGCAAAGCCATGTTCTGTTAACCATCTCCACAGTTCTCTGCAGGACAAGCCAGCCTGGCAGCCACTTTGATCTTAGTGTTCATTATAATAATCGTGCATACTTCACTTCTGAGGGTTAAGTGTCATTGCTTGCCTCTATTTTGGGGACTGCCTTGCCCTGTTTTTATCAGGGAATCTAGTTCTGTTAAGCATCTCCTACTACCTTCCCTACTTACAGGAGACAGTTATCACTGAGATTCTTGCTAATAGTGGTGTTACTCTGAACAGTGCATTTTTATTTGGTAAATGGAGGGTTCCCTAGGTCCTCCCACAGAATGAAGTTGATTTTTTTGCCCTTGAGTAGTATACGCACTTTAGCATGCCCATTCTCTGAACCTTGCATTTCCTCCTCCATTGCTTGCATAGCAGTTCTAGTATTTCTCCTTCACATAGTGCAAGCCTTCATTTTCTCCAACTTGCAAGAGCCAACATAGAAGCAAGTTTGCATTGTTTCCCAGGGTCCTTGCCAGGGTGTAAAATTCTGTATCAAAAAGAATGCTCCAATAATAATAAACACTTCCTTATCCAACTTGACTTTCTGCCTCTTCCACTCACCACCATGATCTAGCACCCCTCAGGATCCAGGAGGTGGAGTTTGCAGTGAGCCAAGATGGTGCCAGCCTGGGTGACAGACCTAGACTCCCTAGGCTCCATCTAAACAAACAACCAAACCAAGATAATGTTGATAAAGAAGAAAAATAAGTATCTTATTTTCCATGAGAGAGAAAACCCAAAATAAGACAAGTTAAACATCTTGCCCAGTTATTTGTCTTGTCACAGGTAGAGTCAAGATACAAACCAAGACTTTTAAAGCAAAACTCCTATAAATCTGCTGCTCTCCCTTAGTGTGATGTGTACAAATGCAGCAGATGCTGTGAGGGCTCCCAAATCACCCTTCAGGACTGAGCCCCTAGCTGAGGGGCATGCTGGACTGAGTAAGCTGCTTCACAAAGGTTGTACCCTTTTCCCAGGGGCAGCCCACATCCATGACCAGTTAACGTAAGGGTGCGGAGCGCCGGCCCTTGCCTCAATCTTAGACAACTCTGAAAGGTCTAACTCTGAACATAAGTTCCTGGCTCCTGCTTTTATATTTGACTAGGCCCTGCAGCAACTCTTTCAGGAAATAGCCCTTCTCCTCCTTTAGCAAAATACACTAGAGTATACTGGCCAGGTTATCTTGTGACAACAACAGTGATTAGTCTGGCATCCAGAAGGAGAGGTGGAGACAGATCCTGACTTGCAAGGCAGCATCCTCTATATCTTCAAGCAGGTCCCAGGGAGTTTAATTGACAGCAATCAGCCATTTCTGCAGACCCAGTGGATATAGGGCTATCTTAAGGTTTCAAGGTTCTGGTATCATTAATTCACATGTCCCCATTCCAATTCTCAGGTTCCAGACCTTGCCAACCATGACCCTGACCTTGGTAATTGCACATTTGCTATGAATGAGAATTCAACCTCCTCTGGAGCTCTGCTACACTTATAATTATATCCTGGCCTGATCCTCAGCTTTTTCTGCCCTCCAGCTGCAAAGCCTGGGACTCTTTTTATATGCTGCCAAATAGGCCTTCTGATTTTCACATTTTACCTTAAATTGTTGATTAATCACCATCAGCTTTTTATGGTCTTTGTCTAATGCATCAATAGGACTCTGATTCTATTGTCTTTATAATTGCTCCTTCCTCAAACCTCTCTAACCTATGAACTATTGCAGTAGTCATTGCATTACCTTCCCCAGCATGGCATTCCAGTTCATCCCCAGGGACCACTTTAACAATTGTTCTGTTACAGCTTGTCAGAGGCAATCAGTACTCCACCGACCAGTGAAGTGATCGCATTGCCAGCTGGCCAGGAGTGATACAGCTCCAAATTCCTGTTTCTGAATCTGCTTCCTAGGGCTACTCTGGGCATCAGACATGTGTCTGAGTTCCCAGGACATGAGCTCTGAGACAGATTTGCATGCAGGAAGTTTACTGGGGAGTACCTGTAGGAAAACACCTATAACGGAATAAGGAAAGAAGAGTTGGGCAGATGAAGTTGAAGGCAATGCATCTGCAAAAGGACTTCAGGTGATCCTACAGGGGGTACTCTGGCTAGGATGACCTTTCAGAGTTGTCTAAGATTGAGGCAAGGGCCGGCGCTCCGCACCCTTACGTTAACTGGTCATGGATGTGGGCTGCCCCTGGGAAAAGGGTACAACCTTTGTGAAGCAGCTTACTCAGTCCAGCATGCCCCTCAGCTAGGGGCTCAGTCCTGAAGGGTGATTTGGGAGCCCTCACAGCATCTGCTGCATTTGTACACATCACACTAAGGGAGAGCAGCAGATTTATAGGAGTTTTGCTTTAAAAGTCTTGGTTTGTATCTTGACTCTACCTGTGACAAGACAAATAACTGGGCAAGATGTTTAACTTGTCTTATTTTGGGTTTTCTCTCTCATGGAAAATAAGATACTTATTTTTCTTCTTTATCAACATTATCTTGGTTTGGTTGTTTGTTTAGATGGAGCCTAGGGAGTCTAGGTCTGTCACCCAGGCTGGCACCATCTTGGCTCACTGCAATCTCCACCTCCTGGGTTCAAACAATTCTCCTGCCTCAGCCTCTTGAGTAGCTAAGATTACAGGTATGCACCACCACCACAGTGGCTAATTTTTTTTTTTTTTAGTAGAGACGGAATTTCACCATATTGGTCATAACGGTCTCGAACTCCTGACCTCCAGTGATCCACTGACCTTGGCCTTCCAAAGTGCTGGGATTACAGGTGTGAGCCACTGCGCCTGGCCTATCTTGGTTATTTTTACATAACTATTACTCAGATGTACTGTAGGTTTACCTATCAAAATCCCATTAATATAAAAATTGCATTCTCATTTTAAATGAAATTGAAATAAATATATGGATTTGGGAAGTTTTTCTTTAATTCTTGGATTAATGACTTATTAACTTTTTCTTTCTCTTCTTTATTTCCTGCCCGCCAAACTCTCTGCCCCCTCTCCACCATGTGAGTTGTCACTCTTGCTCTCTATTTCCATCTTTCTGATAGTGTTTTAGTTCCAGCTGCTATAACAAAGTACCATAGACTACGTGGCTTATAATCAATAGAAATTTCTGTCTTGGAGTTCTAGAAGCTGGAAATCTGAGATCAGGGTGCCAGCATGGTCTGGATCTGGTGACCTCATAAACCTCTTTTGGGTTGCCAACTTCTCTTATACTCTCCTATGGTGGAAAGAGAGTAAGAGAGCTTTTGAGGTCCCTTTTATAAGGCACTAATCCCTTTTGTGAAGACTCCACCTTCACGACATAATCACTTCCCAAGAGTCCAACCTCCTAGTACTATCACATTGGTTAGGATTTCAACATATGGATTTTGGCAAACATAAACATTCAGACCATTACAAACAAGCTTCAGTAAAGTTTTGGTGTAAAAAATAAAGATATCTAAAGATTTCTTTTAAATGCTCTAGGTATATGTATTATCTTTTAAATTTTAATTTTTAATTTGCCAACATAGTAAGCTATTTTGGGATGGGACAAAGAATTTGTTCACATTTTCTAGGAAGAAAATTGTATTTATTTCATTTATAATTAATGATACCTCATCTTTTCAAATTATTAACAGTGACATTATATTTTCTCATATTTAAAAACTTCAAACTTGTATTTAAATCCTTCTGAATTCTAATTATATTTCATTTTGATTTTTTTAATTTTTCTCACTAGACTTTAAAATTTGCTTTTTAAAAGTTTTTATTTCAAAAACAAGCATTTTTACTTATTTATATATTCAATTTTTTGTATTTTCAAATTCTATAATTTCTGGGTTTTTTTAATGATTCTGTTAGTTTTCTTTCCTCTTAATAAGTTGAAATTTTAGTTTACTGTTGTTAATTTTTTTCTTGTTTAATAATGAAGATCATTAATTTTCCTTGGAGTTTAGCTCAATGTTCTGTTTTGAGATGCAGTAACATCATTTTTATTATTTATTTACCAAAAGGGACCATTTTGTTTGAATGTTTAATTTCCAAAAAGGTAAGACTTTTTTAATGTTTTGAACTTTTACATTAGTTTAAATAAAATATGTTTCTTAAAATGTTTAATTAAATCTTTTCTTTCAATAATTATTGCTAATATTTATTCTGATAGTCCATATCTTCATTAAAAAGAATATAAATAAAAAGCAGAGGAGAGTTTACTTCCGGCAAAGATGGAGTAACAGGGACCCACCTTAAACAAACAGCAAGGCAGACAAAATAAATCATTTTCAGATAGCGAGCAACAAGCAGCTTCTATTGGTGATCCCTAGGAGACAGAGGGGAAGCAAACAAGGACAGCCTATTCCCTGTGATTGCCCCAGATTATATACCAGAGTGCTTGTACAGTGAAGCACAAGGAAGCGAAACCAAATCAAAGCCTTAAGTTCTCCATTTTGAGCAAATGGACTCGAGAATTGAATAAGGTCAGGAAAGCTAGAATTTGTGAGGCAGATTACTCGAGTGGAGACACCTCCGTGGAAAGCAGAGAGCTGTGCAGAGAAAGAGTTCTGGAGTCCTGCAGAGGGTTTCCTTTAGTCTTCAACACAATATTGATCAGCTCATGCATGTAAGAAAACTGTGAGAAGAAAAGGTAAGAACCACTAGATATACAACAGCTGATAGAATTGATCACCAGCAGAACTGTACTGCAAGACATGCTAAAGGAAGTGCTTCAGGAGGAGGGAAAATGACACCAGTGCTCAGATCTTGGTTTATAAATACCACTCTCCAATCAAAGGAACCAAGAGTTCCTTACATAGATGGCTGATTCTAGGATAGGGTGAAGAAAGTAGAAGATGAACCTTGAACATCTTGTAGTACCAGAGACTGAGGAAGTACTCAAAAAACAGAAGGATTTCATAGGAACACAGGAGCCAGCCTGAATAAACTTCCAAAGGGAAAAATTGGAATAATTCATGCAACACAATAATGTAGCACTGGGCTATAATCCAAAGTATAAAATAAACATAACTAAGTCCATGACTATTAAATAATTGACTAAATTAATAAATGGGAGGAAAGAGGCAAATCTTCCTTACAGAAGGATTGCAAATGACATAAAATTTTATATAATTTAAGGGTTGTCTTAGGAGTATACACATAGTCTATAAGAAACTTTGGGTCATTTATAATACCCCATGGTTAGAAAAGATTATGCCTATATCCAAGGGCCCATGACAAATCCATGATATATGGATTTGCAAAGCTCCTTAGTTACCCAAGCTTAATGAAGCCAGGGAAGAAATAAAAATTATCTTTGCAGTTCCTGGGCAGGAGGATGGGAAAATGACAGCTCACCTGCATCAGCCCTCCTCAGGGTATAATATCAAAGAACAGAAGAAAAAGCAGTGCAATATAATATTAAATGGCTTCCTATATGACTGTTTCCTTCGGTTCACTTCAGTTCAACTTGAGTGTTGTGAGGTGGCTTTTCTTTGCATGAACAGCTTCCTGGAGACATCTCAGCAAGGCACCATCATAGTTGCCCCCCAAGGGTGGCTGAAAGAGTAACACCAACCTAACAGTCAATGATTGTGCAATCTCTCCTGTGAAGGGAGAAGTAATTGGGAATATGTAAAACTACTGACAAGACTTTCTGACTATCTAACATTTAAAAAGAAGCCCTTGGAGCCACTGCTCTTAGAAATTATTGCAAAAAAATGAGTCTTCATGACCCTGAGAAGTTAACACTGAACTTGGAACTGGTTGCTGGGAATTATTACCATCCTTAGTGGCTGTGAGCAATGTGCAACTGTCAAGAGGCACTGGATACCCACAGGAGCCCTCCTAGAACAAATAGTGTGACCAAGTGTGTTGACTGCTCAGGATCCTCAAAAAGTACTTCAAAGTCACCTCTAATTCAGAAAATCCAAAGTCACAACCTACCCCTAAACCAGCTACCCTGCCCCAAACTGGCTGTCTTCCAGTATTTCCCACCTTAATGACTGACAACAAATCAGTAACCTTCATAATTGTACCATCCCCAAACCCAGTGCACCAACACGTCCAGTTACTCTTATGTCCTGGTAACTCTTAACTCTGTCACTTCTTGAAATCCTCCGTACTCCACCCTAGTGGAGTACAGCCATCATCTTTTTCTTGGACAAACTCTATGTGTTTTCCTAACTGATTTTCTTGACATCCCAAGCTCTAAGCTTTAGACAAGGATTAGAAAATGCAAATAGAATCATATCACACCCCTTCTTAGAAACTATCAACATCTTCCCCTTCTTCTTGGAATTAAAACAAAAATGGTTAAAATCTCATGCAAAGCCTTTCACATTCCAGATTTTGCTCATTATTCCAGATGGACTCGTAATATCTCAACATCACTACCATCCCCTTCCAAGAATTTGCCTGGGATGAGGAGGAGAATCCGAGAACTGCATTTCTCGGAATTCTTTTCCCTATTTAGAATTTGTCAATGACACAGTCATGCAAAATTCTGAAAGCGGAAGAGAGGAAAGTTCTTTGTTCTCTTGAGGTATTGATAGTAGAAAGCACGGGCAGTCATGGAAGTCACAGCAGCTTCTAAAAAGCTCTTGAAAAGCACATGCTTTGCTGAAAGCCTTTAGAGCAGCTATCTTTTTTCGTGCTCTTATGTAATGTTTTCCATAGCACTTCACTAGCAGTTCCTGACTATCAGTGGTGGCATCTGTGATCTTTACATTCTCAGGTTTTACAGGTGTTGCATGTGCCCCTTTATTTCTGACCCATGATATACACAGAGTAATATCTGTTTCCCTGACCAAATCCTCACTGGTTTTGATCTTGGAATTGGTTAAGGGAGACTGAATTAGTCAGGGTTCTCTAGAGGGACAGAACTAATAGGATAGATGTATATATAAAGGGGGGTTTATTAAGGAATATTGACTCACACCATCACATGGTGAGGTCTCATAATAGGCCATCTGCAGGCTGAGGAGCAAGGAAGCCAGACCAATTCCCAAAGTTGAAGAACTTGGAGTCCGATGTTCAAGGGAAAGAAGCATCCAGTGCGTGAGAAAGATCTAGGATGGGAGGCTAAACTAGTCTAGTCTTTTCATGTTCTTCTGCCTGCTTTTATTCTGGCCACACTAGCAGCTGATTAGATTGTGCCCACGCAGATTGAGGGTGGGTCTGCCTTTCCCAGTCCACTGACTCAAATGCTAACCTCCTTTGGCAACACCCTACAGACACCCAAGAACAATACTTTGCATCCTTCAATTCAATCAAGTTGACACTCAATATTAATCATCACAGAGACCAACCTTAAAGATGAGAATCTGGAATTAGTTTATAGATCTAATCAGATTTAAGGCATTAATTACTTCATTGCCAGTGGAACTTAGATGTCTTGGTTTCACCCAGAAGCAGATCCTGAGACAAGAATTTGAATGCAAGTAGCTAAACTGAGAGGTGATCCCTGGAAATGCTATTAATAAAGTGGGAAAATGAGAGAGCCAGGAGAGGGAAGGCACCTTAAATTCTTGATCAACACTATGCTGAGCAACTGGAACTCAACAGTGCTGGACAACAGTGGTGCTGTCGACAGGGTATATGATCATACAGGGTAAGCCCAACTAAGGGATAAAGCGAGAGTTTCTAGCCACTAACTGTCCATCATTGTTGGTTGAAAGCTGCTTCCAGGAGTGTGGATCCTCCATTCCATTTGCCTTGCCGAGCACTCAGGTTGAGCATGCTCCTGCGTCAGGAAGAAAAATAGAAAAGTTATTCAGCAGAGAGCCAGAAATGATAACAATAAACAGCCTACAGCATATAGAAGAGAATGCCTAGGAAATACGAATGGAGCACCAAGATATGGTGTCTGCTCCAGTGAGACATGGGCAGTCCCTCACAATAAGTGGTAAAAGAGCTGCTTGTATCATAACCTTTAGTTGCCTGAAGTCAAATGCCTGCATAAGGCAAGGCTTTAGAAGTCAAAGTAGCTGTTGCAATGGATGTCACTTCTTATAAGTACACTGGAGAATTTGGAGAAAGAAAATGACAAGTTCAAGGTTTTAATTCCCAGTTCAAGTCACAGAGTAGAGGACCACAGTGGTTCTTTGACTTCTCTAACACATGCTTTTTTGAATCTACATCATGAGGTTTGGGAAAACTAAAATTTGACCCTGTAGGTGGTTGAGTTACAATGCAAACTGAATTCATAGCCTTTGTATGGTTCTTAATGTAAAGTTAAGGGATTGGCGGAAAAAGAGTGGGATGTAATAATTGGAATGAGCATACTTCAATGAATCTAGTAACCTTAGCCTCACCCTAGATTTTTCTGGGCTTCTCTTACCAACAAAAGCAGCTTCTTCTTCCCTCCTCTATGTGAAATTATCAGCCTCCACTTGCTTGAAGACCATATAATTACCATGCCTAGTGATTGCTTTGAAGGTTTATGCTGAACCCATACCACCTCTTATTGTTTCCAGACTCATGAGTATTCTTAAATTCTGGAAGATGCCAAGAGGCCCACCACAAAAATCTGACCTAAAACGATATACCATACATAGCAATTCAATGTCATGATTTTTCCAATTTATATTGATAGATACTTAGAGAATATGCATGAAAATGGATTCTGAAGGTATCAGACCTAGGAGAAGTGACTCTTTTGTTTTTTTTTTTTTTTTTGCTAGACTTAGCTGAATTTATTGTATGTGAACATTGAACAGAGATTATGGATATAGAGTGTTAGTTCAAAGTATTGTGAGTAGCTTTAAAAGTTTGCATGGTTGGTTGACTGAAATCTGATTCAACAGTGCACTAAATAAAAGTGAGATGCTAGAACTTCCTTGGTATGCTACATATCAAGCAATCTGAGCGATTAGGGAAATAAAAAGGCTGGGGCGGATTTCTCATGTCTTAGTGCTTCCCTATCTTTTATGTGTCCCAAGAGGATTCAGAGGGCACTCTCCTCACAAAGCCTTCAATAAATGCATTGGTAGAGAGGTCACTAGCATCCTGAAAGTTTCTATAGTGGCTGTTCCATGCACGCCAGAGATTAGAGTGGGAAATGCCACCATTAAAAAGGACCTCCTGGAATTCAACGGGGATGATGAAATCCCAGAGGGAGAAAAATAAAGTAGTATATTTTGCCTTTATAAGTCTTAGGTGTGCTAAGAAGAGTTAACTCTATAATTTAGTGCTTAAGTTTCAGAATATCAAATGTGCATTGTGGCAGAGCTAGCAGAGAAATGAATATCACCAAAGATCAGGTAGGCATCAGTATTGCCGGGAGTTGCGAAGCCAGAAAACCACTGAAAATACTTGAACCCACAGAGCTTTTTTGGCAATGGTTAATATTTCACAAAGTCACTAAGACTGAAGTTGATGTGAAGTCTACTAGAGAGTTATAGGTTATGCATAAGCAAAGGAATCTAAAGCTCATGGTTTTTGACTTAAATCGTCATAATAAAGAGTCATGCCTTTCACCAAATTCCCAGACCCTATATGGAGCCTCTTGAATGAAAAGGAAGATGAATTCCCTTGGATAATTATTTGCTTTACTGCCTAAAATATGTACTGGCAGTCTTCCTCCTACAGCCAAGAGGCAGAAAATGAAATGATGTGAAAATTCAGATGCCGCCTACTTGGTGAATTTTCCAGGGGTCCATTGGTCTGACACATGCCCAGACATCCCCACAAGGTGAAGAATAAGTTGCTGTACCTTGCAAAATCCACCACTAAGAAAGAGGCACAGTCTTTTGGTTTGTGAAGGGAATATAGAACTCCCTTGAGTATGCTGCTGCTTGAATTTACTCATGAGCAACCTATAAGCTTACAAGTTGTAAGTGGGGCTCATAGCTAGAGACAATTCTTCACCAGATCCATTCTCCGGAAAGCTGCTTTGACATTTGGTTCATACATTCCAGCAGATCCAATCCATGTTTGTGTTTGAAATCACCATGGCGCATAGAAGTGCTGTACAAAGACCCTTGGAGGTTGACATTTTAGACCTCCCTAAGAGAGCATCAACATCGCACTAGAAAATTTCAGAATATCAGAGACACATAAACTCTGGAACATTCAAGATAATTAGAAAGATTTTAAACTAGACCCCAACCTTCCAAACAGGGAGAGTATCACTGAGGGGAAAGAGTTAGGTGAGTCTATTTTTTTCTTCACAATGTTATAGGCCTCTAGATCTCAAATTGCAGTCCTTAGAGATTCAGAAAGGAGACAGGAGTGTACAGTAGTACAATAAAAAGAAAAACCTAAATATGCCATAGGAGACAAGTGTTTAAGTATTTTTTAAAGGGATATTGGTTGCTTCTACTTTTTTAGGTACATAGCAGATAATTTTCAGAGATCATTCCCCAAA
This sequence comes from Homo sapiens, assembly GCF_000001405.40. NCBI lineage: Eukaryota > Metazoa > Chordata > Mammalia > Primates > Hominidae > Homo > Homo sapiens. The sequence goes on along the minus strand of NC_000002.12, from coordinate 225,165,590 downwards.
TCTGACAAAAAGAGTTTCCAATCTGAAATACTGTTTAAGCAAGAATAAAGAAAATGTAACAATATACTCCTAACTTAATAGTATATAATCATGTATATAAAACCATATACATATGCCCAACCAACCCCAACTTTTGTGTTTCTACAGCCCAAACCTTGAAAATCATATTCTCTCCAAAACTGAGAACAGATTCATTAGATTACAAACACAATTTCACAACTCTTGTCAGGGGAAAAGAAAAAGCCCTATTTATTCTAGATGACTCTCTAAAGAACTTAATTGGAATGCCTATGCTACTAGCTTTTCTCTTCTGATTCACCCAGATTTCTCCAATGACTAATGTTTCGATGATAGTTATTCTAAATAATGAGTTTAGTCACCATCTCACAAAGTTCTCATCAAGGAAAACAAGCCCTAATGATACAGTAACTGCATGATAATTGAACTCCAACTCGTGGCAATGCAAAATTGCTACAAGGCTTGGTTTTCATTGTTGTTTCTGTCACTCAAAGTGTAACTGTTCTAGGTTATGGGTGGAAACGGGAAGACAGTGCTGCATGAACAGGCACTGAGGATATAGCTTGCGGGAAAAGCACATGAATCGATACAGGTTCCCGATAGTAGCTGAATAGGAAGTCTCATAAATTAGAGAAAGACAGAAGCCACGGGTCCTGAGAAAGAAGCAGGCCAGAGGCATCCAGGGACCTTCCGCAATCTGCAGACTGTCAAGACTTAAAGAAAAACAGGAAGGCAGGGGCAGAAGGTTGCAGTGTCAAGCAACGGTAAGTAGCCAGTCAGCCAAACTGCTGAGAGCCCAGGGACAAAGCAGGCAAAAGTCAAAATTCTGCACAGCAGCAGCAGCAGCAGCAAGGGCAGAATCTGGTTCAGCGGCAGCCTGTCTCTGTTTCCCTCTCACCCTGGAGAGCCACTCCTGAGTGGACCCCACCTGCAGGCTGCAAGAGATGATAACAGAGAACAGCTGGCAGCATAACAAATGTGAGTGTGGGGAGCGGATACAATTCTCTGGCAAGGAATCATTTCCCTAAAATGCAGAGCTTCCTTGTAACGTTATCCTCAAGGTCCACATTCTTGGTCCATGCTACAAACAAGACCATATTATCATGAATACCTTTGTGCCCGCCTCCAAGAACTCAAAACCTCCTTGGAGGAAATCCAAGATGGGCCCAGTGCTCGTTTCTAGCCCTGCGGATTTCATGTTATGGTGTAGTTCCACCCTATAAATATGGAATTCTCAGTGAAACCATATGCGATCATATGGCAGTGTGTACATGACACAAAAGCTGTGTTTATCTGACACAAACAATGTGGGGAAAATGACGATCCTGTCTGCCACCTGGGTATATGAGTTCCAAGAAAAACGTGTATGTTTGGGATTACGTGAAGAATATCTGAATGATAGACTCCTTTTCACTTCAGTACATAACCTAGATGTAACCTTAAGCTAAGGCATGGAAATTCGTGTTTTGAAAGGAATTATTCTCAAAAGCCTCTAAATAATTAATCTGGCCAGGCGCGGCGGCTCACGCCTATAATCTCAGCACTTTGGGAGGCCAAGGTGGGCAGATCACCTGAGGTCAGGAGTTGGAGACCAGCCTGACCAACATGGAGAAACCCCATCTCTACTAAATATACAAAAAATTAGCCAGGCATGGTGGCACACACCTGTAATCCCAGCTACTCAGGAGGCTGAGGTAAGAGAATCGCTTGAACCTGGGATGCAGAGGTGGTGGTGAGCTGAGATTGTACCATTGCACTCCAGCCTGGGCGACAAGAGCAAAAGTCCATCTCAAATAATAATAATGATAATTAATCTACTATAATTGGGGTGGGAAAAAGCTTAATTCTATAGTGAGAGAAGAAGGGGTTTTAAATGCCTTCACCTGGCCTCAGGTTTCTTCTGCTCATCAACTTCTCATCAAATGGTATTGGTCATAATAGATGAATGCATGCTAAAAACATATCTTGCCTTGAACAGATTCTATTCGATCATCCTTCTAACCCAAGCTAGCTTAAAGAGATTTGGGAGAAGGAAGCGGGAAAGGGTGGTGAAACCTGGACAATCATGGATGTTAGTGAAAATGAAACCATCCCATGATGCCGCATCAAGAGTCTTCAGTCAGAGACAACGCACCTTTTGTGCTCATATAAGTCCAATGCTTTTATGTATTGAAATTGTTCCCACCTGTATACCCTTTAGACTGCAAACTTCATATCGGCACTTGTCACTGTCCCCAAAACAAGAACATTCTCTAAAACATCATTAAACTGATTACATTTGAATAGTCACCATCTTTGTAATGCACAGTCAAAACTATGGCTTTATCCCAATTTGTTTGCAGCTATCAAGACTACTGATGTTATTTCCAGAACAATTGCCAACAATGTTGTCAAGAAAGTATTGTCACCAAGAAAGTATTACAAAGTGTCCAGTCAGGGGCATGCCAACCCAAAAAGAAATTTCCCAGGATTGCCCCTGAGCACAAACCTTATCCTCAATATTGAACTTAATTCATACAGATTTCCATATGACAGCTGCTAAATCCTCACAAGAATGCTGTCATGGCCCAGGGTTTTAGCAAAGTTCTAATCACCTGACTTGAGTCTTCCTCACCTATGAGGTTTACAGTGTAGCTTTATCTATGGCAGGCAACCTTGTGTAACATAAGGGAAGTACTTAGAATATATGACTTTGAGGAGAAAACATCTAGAAAATTATTTTTCCTAAAATAATTCTATTTTCAGGTTGAGTATTTTCTTAAATTATACACAATACAGATAGGATGCTTCTCTGAGATACAGATTAGGTATTTTCCAAATAGCATCAGCAGGGAACCCAGTCAGTGGAAGGAAGGTTTTGCAGCCTTCAGTGGCCTCACATGCTATTTGGAAATCAGTAGAGCACTGATTGCCCGGTGTAGCTGTGGTTGCTATAGGGATGGACTCCTGAGAGTATTCCATCTGCTACAAGAGGGACACTTTGGAAACCCCTCACAGATCTTTAGAAGAAATGAAGCAAAGAAATACTCATCCGGTTGGGAAGGCCAGTTTGACTAAGTAGCTATTTCAATGGATTTCAAGCACATGCATACCACAAATCTTGGGTTGATGTAGAAAAATCTTAAATTTCAAAATTAGTTGAGAAAATAATCCAAATTTCAGTCACTTTAAACATGTGCATGTTATACAAGCACAACATGTTGCAACTCCTTCATGTTTAATTTAGCCAATGCGCTTTTATTTAAGTGTTTAATCCACATTTTCCAGAACAATTAATATTAGCTTATAAACAAAATTAAGGGCTCATTTAACAGCCTTATTTTTGGAAACACAACAAAAGCAGACTTGAATGATAGGTACATATGAAATGTGGGGGTCTCACCTATGCCAAAGTTCACTGTAACTATATTTTTACCATTATCCCTCATTACTAACCAGAAAGATTGAGAGATAAACTGGACATAGGTTAATGTTACTTTGAAACTCATACATCAGTCCAAACTTAAAAAATTAAATGAGATACAATGTGATGCATTTTGAAAAAGAAGAAAATTTTATGTTTCTTAACCAAAAAGAATACAAATCTCCTAAAGGTAAACTAGCCTGTTGGGTAATGATGTTTTGAAAATTAGAAAATATTTGAAGATAGGAGTGGGAGAGTTCACTATAGTGTGATTTTACAGACCTATTAAAATAAGATTTTGCCTACTTATTTGGTGGTGAAAGTTTAACAGCTGCTGACTAATGCAGTTCTCATTCTATATAAATTACATGATGTAGCTAAGGCACCAGAACCTGGTTTGGATAAGCTGGATTCTTGAAGAGTTTCCTAAGGAAAGGGTGTATCTGAGTGAAAAGCAACTTTTTAGAAGTTGTCGCTTGAGCAGTCTAACTATTCAAACGTGTGACTATACAGCACTTAAATGTTGTAGAGTCCTGTTACTCAAAACAGTTCCTCCATATGTCTGCCCTACCAAACCTGTCCCTAGCAAAATGATCCTGTGACTTAGGGATTGAAGAGGCATGTGGGAATGTGTGTCTACAGCCTAACATTTTTGTTAAATCAAAGAAAAGAAGAAATAGAAGAGAGATAAATTTCCATATAAAACTGATAGCCCAATCAGACAGCAGCTCACTAATCCCTGCACTTCCTCAGGGGGACCTGCGTCCTCTCTTTCTACTGCAGCTCACCTTGGGGGTTCCACCTTTGCCATTGCTTGCATGTCCACACCTTCCCCAGCTCCTGACTACCATCGAAGTTAGCCATCATCCTTCTCACTTTCTCATGGTCTTCTCATGTTATCTAATTTCTGCTAAGTTGCTAATGCTTAATAGTGATATGCCTATAGCATTTGTCCCCTATGATATATTTGAAGGTTTGACCAGAAGCCTTACCTTTTACGTGCTAATAACTAACAAATGATATATTCAAGGTATCATGCAGAAGAGATTGAAAGGAACTGTGGACCTAGGCAAGAGGGCAAGAAACATTTTCAGTCCCTCAAATGTTGCCACATGTAAGGTGATCTGTTGCACATCAATGCAGGATTAGATCTTTGCTTTCCTTTCATACAATGTATAATTAACATATTAAATGGTAATTTATAGACTGAGGTCATTTTAGAATCATTTAAGAAATATTTCCTATGCAGATTTAACTAAATATTTTATACTTTCCATTTTATATTTTTCATTCTCTGAAAATTCACAATCCACTTATGACTTAATGGAGTTTAACCTATTTAATGGGTAAGAACATCAGAAAGACAAGGCTTAAGATAAACAGAGACTGGTAAGAGATGGCCAAGTCATTGGTTTGACAGCTTTGCAGACATGGAAGGGAGAGATTAAAGAAAGAGGAAATAGGCTAACTAGGAAGCAAATGAAGAAACAGATTTTGTGAGATTTTATTTTGGACAGTTATATTTGCCCTCTTTAAAAGTTAAAAGAACAACAGCAAAACAACCTTAAAAGAGGCTTGACACACCAAAGCAGATTAAGCAGAAATTCAGCTGTCACCAGTTCCTAGAATCAGAGTTAAAGCTAGGTGACCAGCTGGATATAAAACCTTCCGCAGGGCTGGGTGCAGTGGTTCATGCTGATAATCTCAACACTTTGGGAGGCCCAGGTGGGAGGATCACTTGAGCCTAGGAGTTCATGACAAGCCTGGGCCAACATAGCAAAACCTCATCTCCATATATATGATGTATGTATATATATATATATATATAAATTAACCGGGCTTAGTGGCTTATGCCAGTAGTCCTAGATACTTGGGAAGGTGATGCAGCAAGATCACTTGAGTTCAAGAATTCAATGCTTCAGCGAGCTGAAATTGTACCACTACACTCTAGCCTGGGTGACGGAGATTCTGTCTCTGAAAAAATAAAATAAAATTGTAAAAGTCCAGCACCAGTAAAGTGAGCAAGAAAACAGTAACTAGGGATGAGGTAATCAAATGCCAAATCAGGAAGACTTTCAGGCCAATAGGTGAATTTTTACTTATTTTGTGTGTGTGTGTGGAGGGGTGGGGGGAAAATAGTTTTGAGCAGAGGAAAATCATGAACTGATTTACATTTTAAGGGAAATTTTTAAATTTAGCTAACATTATCTATCAGGTCCCCAAATACATTTATCTAATGAGTTATAGAAAAATGTTAATTAAAATAATTACTTTATTGAAACAGATATGAAATAGTTATGAATGTCACAATTTGCTTGTGTCACAATTTGCTCTTCAGAAAGAGTTCTGAAGAATTTTTTTTTAATCAGGTTGTCAACATAAATTATCAGCCAAACTCAGATCAGTTTAGGGTTTTTGATGTTGCCAGGGCCGAGCAAGGGGGAAGCTATGGATTATCTAGACTAATGCTTCCATTTCACAGAGGAGCAAACTGAGTCCTAGAGATGCTTGTTCGGTAACACGAGAGATAAAGGTAGAACTCAGACAGGCCTGTAAATCTCCTCATTCCTAACACATTTCCCTTTCCCAAGCATTGTCATACTTTGAATACCCCGAACACATAAGTTGGAAAACATAAAGTGGATACAAATTAACTTGAAAGCCAAACTAAATAATATTTTGAAGGAGATCCATCAAGCAGGACCTTAAAGAGTTCCATTAGAAGCCGGATGCGGTGGCTCACGCCTGTAATCCCAGCACTTTGGGAGGCCAAGGCGGGTGGATCACAAGGTCAAGAGTTCGAGACCAGCCTAGCCAACATGGTGAAACCCTGTCACTACTAAAAATACAAAAATTAGCCGGGCATGGTGGCGGACACCTGTAGTCCCAGCTACTCGGGAGGCTGAGGCAGGAGAATTGCTTGAACCTGGGAGGCGGAGGCTGCAGTGAGCTGAGATGGAACCACTGCACTCCAGCTTGGGCGACAGAGCAAGACTCTATCTCAAAAAAAAAAAAAAAAAAAAAGAAAGAAAGAAAAATAAAAAAGAGTTCTATTAGAATCCAGATATTTGTAGAGGATTTTTTATTTGTTTGTTTCAAATAGAATAAATCAATAGAAGCCTGGAAACCAAAACTTTGGCTTCAAAGCCTCTCTTGGCAACTTTGACTTATTAATTAATATCTGCCACCTTTATTTTTGAGCTGTCAATTAGAGAAAACATTCAAGAATCTGTGTGAAAAATAGCCAAAAGTGAAATGCATGAAAGCATTTTCCAAGCGTCATATCAAAACTAAAAGAAAAAAAAATTGAAGAAAAAAGACAATGGAGTATAGTATAGAAATTATTTTATTTATTAAAAAATAATAAAATTTATTTAGACAGCATGATTTTATTTATTTGTATTTAAAAGAAAAATACTGACTACATTGATAGGCAATATTTTAAAACCCTATTAAAGAAATAAATAAGCTAAAAACAGATGTTAACAAATCACCAACTATATCATAATAAATGAGCACAATTTTGTAAGGTTTTTTATAAGGCAAAATGTATATTACAAGTAAAGTATTGGTTGTCACAATAAATGGTCATGTCCTAATCTAAATGCATACTCAGCATTTCAGCACAGGACAGCCTAGAGAGCATCCAATTACAGAGATGAGCCAAAACTTCAAGTTTATGATCAATATTTTATTTGATATTTGTAATTAGATATGATGATTAATTTACTGACTACAAGAATGTTCACAACTGGTCTTACAAATATTTTAAAGCATATAATTTTCTCATAATGTGGATTTAAAGAAAGGTCATCTAGATTTGCAAGATTTCCAAGGTATATTAATCTTATAATGATACATGGAGTATACTTTTTCTGTTAATCTATTTTTTCTGTTGTTAATTATGAAAATGAAAATAGAATTAGAAATGTTTACACAATATTTAGCATGTTTCTAAATGTCAGGGGAAAGTTCATTGTTTGTATAATGATATGGTTTGGCTCTGTGTCCCCACCCAAATCTCATCTTGTAGCTCCCATGATTCCCATAGGTTGTGGGAGAGATCCATGGGAGATAATTGAATCATGGGAGTGGGTCTTCCCCATGCTGTTCTCGTGATAGTGAATAAGTTTCACAAGATCTGATGCTTTTAAAAATGAGAGTTTCCTGCACAAGCTCTCTCTTTGCCTGCCACTATTCACGTAAGATGTGACTTGCTCCTCCTTGCCTTCCACCATGATTGTGAGGCCTCTCCAGCCATGTGGAAATATAAATTCATTAAAACTCTCTCTTTTGTAAATTGCCCAGCCTTGGGTGTGTCTTTATCAGCAGCATGGAAATACGCTAATACATAGGCCAAGGACTTACTCAATTACAGCCTTCTGTTTCAAGGATGAAATGTTCAAGCATTTAAGGTTTTCCAGTAAAGACTGACATAACTAAAATTACATGGCATGAGCATTCAATAACTTTCAGTCTTATTGTTTTTATTAATTATTTTAATATGTATAGCCTACTGATGTGAAGAGAGAAAGGAAATTACTTACAGAGATTATGGCAAAGAAGAATGATATAATGTATTTTCTGTACCATCAGGATTTCAGTGTCGTTTATGGTCTCAACTGATAGTATTTGCATTAGTATTATTACTATTATTACACTGCTAGTATTATATTAAATAAACTTATATAACTCTTTACAGGTCTTTAAGCACTTTTGTGTATTGTATTAGTCAGGATTCTCTAGAGAAACAGAACCAAGAGGCTATACGTGGATCTACTTGAGATTTACTATGGTACTTGGCTCAGTACTATGGAGGCTGAGAATGTTCTACAACATGTTATCTGCAAGCTGGAGAACCAGGAAATCCAATGGTGTAATTTTGTCTAGTCTAAAGGCCTGAGAATGAAGGCAGCCTATGGTGTAAGTTCTGGCCCAAGTTCAAAAGCCTGTGAGCCAGGAGCACCAATGTCCAAAGGCAGGAGAAGATAAATTTCCCAGCTCAAACAGAAAGAGCAAATTTGCCTTTCTCCTTCTTTTTGTGCTATTTGGGTTAAGAAGGATTGGATGATAACAGCTCACATGGATATTGGCAGATCTTCTTTACTCAGTTGACTCATTCACATGCCAATTTCCAGAAAGACTGTCAGAGATACACTCAGAAGTAATGTTTCACCAGCTTTCTGGGCCTCTGGGCGTCCCTTAGGCCAGTCAAGTTGACAAATAAAATTAACCATCGCGTTCATATATAGTCTGTTATTTGATCCTTAAAACAGCACTTTGGAATAGACATTATTATCTTTTCACACATGAGGATACTGAAGTTGGGTGAGTAATTGGTATAATGAGGATTAAAATTGAGGTTCATAAAACTGCCATTTTTCTGATTGTTTAATGGGAGATTTGTGATGGCTGTAATAGATGGGGGAATGCAGATATATAATCCACAGCACTTACATTTAAATAATTCATAATGATAGCTGGATAGAATGCACTGGAAAGCCATTTGACAAATAAAGTATACTCAATTTATCAATTTAAAACTTTGGTTAATAAGTTATAACAAAGTCGTAGGATACAAGATTAATATATAAAAATTACTTTCCTATATGCCAACAATAAACAATTGGAATCTGAAATTTGAAACATAATACCAGGCCAGGCACAGTGGCTCACACCTGTAATCCCAACACTGGGAGGCCAAGGCAGGGGGATCACTTGAGCCCAGGAGTTTGAGACCAGCCTGGGCAACATAGTGAGACCCCATCTCTACAAATAATAATTTTAAAAAACCTAGCCGAGCTTGTTGATGCATACCTGTGGTCCCAGCTACTCAGGAGGCTGAGGTGGGAGGATCACTTGAGCCAGGGCAGTTGAGGCTGCAGTGAGTGGAGATCATATCACTGCATTTCAGCCTGGGTGAGAGAGCGAGATCCTGTCTAAAAAAAAATTATAATAAAACATAATACCATTTACAATGGCACCAAAAAATGAAATATCTAAGTATAAATTTAACCAAAAAATATAGAATTTATTTTAAACTCTAAACCTGACTAAAGAAATCAAAGGAAAGCTAAATAAATGGAGAGCCTGTTTGTGTTCGTGTATTGGATGACTCAATATTAGTAAGATGTCAAATCTTCTGAAATTGATGCATAGATTTAATGCAATTTTAATCAAAATCCCAGTAGACAATTTCATGTATACAAACAAAATGAGCCTAAAGTTTATATAAAAATGGGAAGGTCTAGAATAGCCAAAACAGTACTGAAAAAAAAAAAAAACCTTAGATGAAGGACACTATCTTTTTTACTATAAAGCTACAAAAATCATGAAAGCCTGGTATTAGTGAGAGAATGAATACATATATCAATGGAACAAAATACACAGTCCAGGAACAAACTCACAAATATAGTCAGCTAATCTTTCAGGAGGCAAAATAAATTCAATGGAGAAAACATAGTGTTTTCAATAAATAGTGCTGAAATAATTCAATGTCCATACAAAAAATAAATCCATAACAGATCTTCCATCTTTCACCAAAATTAACTCAAAATGGATCATAAACCTAAATATAAAGTGCAATATTATGAAACTTATAGAAAAAAAAACAAAAGGGAAAATCTCTGTGACCTTAAGTTTGGTCATGAGTTTTTAAATACAATATCAAAAATATAATTCAATGAAGAGAAAAATTGATAAATTAGACTTTATTCAAATAAAAAACTTCTGCTCTGTGAAAGGCCTTGTTAACAGAATGAAGTGTCCAAGTCACAGACTGGCAAAAATATTTGCAAAATCCATTAAATGATAAACAACTTGCATCCAAAATACATAAAGTAGATAAACTCAATAATAAGGAAACGAACAACACAATTAGATAGTGGACAGACATACGGAACAGACACCTCACAGAAAATATGCAGATAGAAAATAACCACATGAAAACATGCTCAAAATCAGATGTCATCAGAGAATAGCAAATCTAAAAACTACGTAACATGCATGCATATTGGGATGGCTAAAATTAAAAAGAAACTGGAAATATAAAATGCTGGCGAGATTGTGGAGCAACAGGAACTCTTCTATGTTGCTAGTGGGAATGCAAAATAGTACAGCCACTTTGACAGTTTTTCAGTGTTTTACGAAGGTAAATATAGTTTTAATATATGAACCAGCAATTAAATTCCTAGGTCTTTATCCAGTTGATATACAAACCTATGTTCACAGAAAAACCTGCACACAAATATTTATAGCAGCTTTATTAATAATCTCCTCAAAGTGGAAGTAACCAAGATGCCTTTCAGTTGCTGAGTGAAAAAACTATGGTACATCTATATCACACTATTATTCATCAATTAATAAAAGGAGGTATCAAGCCATAAATAGACATGGAGAAAACTTAAAGGCATACTGCTAAATGAAATAATTCGATATGAAAAGGCTACATATTATATGATTCCAACTCTATGACATTCCGGAAAACACAAAACTGTAGAGACAGCAAGATGATCAGGTTTTGCCAGGAGTACAAGGAGGCTGGGATAAATAGGTGAAGCACAGAGGACTTTTAGGACGGTAAAATTGTATATTATATACATTGGTATCGCCTGAAGAGTATTTAAGAAAAGAGTAATTAGAGTCTAAAGGAGTGAAGTCTTGGCACTGATCTGGTTCTACTCACTTAACAAATTTATTTCTGTTTATTAATTTATTTAAATTCCTTTGACAAATATTCATTGAGGGACAAATTCTTGATAGGCAGTGTATGAGGGCTGAGCAGTCAATGCTGAACAAGGTAGACCTAGTTTATGTCCTCATGGAGTCTCCAGATTTTCACAACTGTTCTAAGAGAAATATTTCTCTCTTAGATTTTAGGGTATCTGAAGTAGTACAAGAGACAGATTTTGGTGACCAGGAGTGTCCAGACCCCAGTACTCAGCCTGCACTAAGGGTGTATGTATGACATAAAAGACATGTTGTACTCTCACAACCTAGGACCCTAGGAAAGACAAAGAATAAAACCAACTTTAATATGTTGTAATGAGTAATATAACAATGGCCACTTACAAAGTTTTATGGAATTCACAGCAGATAAAATGCTTGAGGTTACTGGGGAAAGGTTGCAGAGAAGGTAAAACTTATGAAATATGCCAAGGGGAGAAGATAAGAAAGAGAATTTCAAGTAGGAAAAGGAGCAAAACTGATGAAATGCATAATGACCCATGCAAACAACCTACAGAAAATGTTTTACACAAAATTCTGTCATGACACATACATTACTGGTACACCTGCCTGAAGAAAAAGGGACTATTGTCCAGGCGCGGTGGCTCACGCCTGTAATCCCAGCACTTTGGGAGGCCGAAACGAGCGGATCACGAGGTCAGGAAATCGAGACAATCCTGGCTAACACGGTGAAACCTCGTCTCTACTAAAAAAAATACAAAAAAATTAGCCAGGCGTGGTGGCGGGTGCCTGTAGTCCCAGCTACTTGGGAGGCTGAGGCAGGAGAATGGCGTGAACCCGGGAGGCGGAGCTTGCAGTGAGCTGAGATCGCGCCACTGCACTCCAGCCTGGGCGACTGAGCGAGACTCCGTCTCAAAAAAAAAAAAGAAAAAGAAAAAGATAAAGGGACTATTTCTGCTGTGTCATTGGCTAATAGATGAACTACTGAAGAGAGAACACACATTGAATCGTGACATATCCACCTGATTGTTATTATACGTACTCTTTGGGGGTGGGGGATTGGGAGGTTACAATTGAACACAGAAAATATTTGAATGTATTCAGATTCTCAAAGCTGCACATACTATGCACCTTTGTACAAAATGAGGGTACATTGGATTTGTATAAATTCAGCAAGATCAATAATAAATAGCATGTTCAGATTACCTTTAAATAAGAGTCTTATAAGAAGGAAATTAATAGGAAAACAGCGAGAAAGTGTGGGACAAAGCAAGGTGTCCGTCAAGAAGATGTAAAGTTTTTTAATGGAAAGGTTACTATAGGTGGAATAAAGATAATTTATACATAATCAAAAGGGAACAAAATATATTTTAAAAACATTTTATGTGTCTTACAATCTAGTTTTAATAAATGAAAGACTATATAGAATATTATATTATTGAAAGATAGCATTTTTCCTCTTAATAAATCATTGTACAAGTGAATTAAAGTCACTTGGCAAGCTGGTAGTTGTGCCCACATTAAAAATCACTATTTTTCACAAAGAATGCAGACGAATTTGACCATAGAAAAAACATCATGACTCTAATCATCATGTAACCTTTCTACCTTTCTTTTTTTTTTTTTTTTTCTGAGAAGGAGTCTTGCTCTGTCGTCCAGGCTGGATGGAGTGCAGCGGCGCAATCTCGGCTCACTGCAAGCTCCGCCTCTCGGGTTCACGCCATTCTCCTGCCTCAGCCTCCCAGATAGCTGGGACTACAGGCGCCCGCCACCACGCCCGGCTAATTTTTGTATTTTCAGTAGAGACGGGGTTTCACTGTGTTAGCTAGGATGGTCTCAATCTCCTGACCTTGTGATCCTCCCACCTCGGCCTCCCAAAGCGCTGGGATTACAAGCGTTAGCCACCATGCGCGGCCACTTTTCTACCTTTCTAAAGCATGTTTTGCTTTGTGAGTCCCTTTCTAATGGCAATGATAGTTCATTTCTGTCCAGGAATTGTTTTCATTTTTTTGTTTGTTTTGCTTTTGTGGTTTTTTTGTTTTTGTTTTTGTTTTTTTTTGTTTGTTTTTTGCTTAACCCAGTTTGAGTTTCATTTCTGTCACTTGCAACTAAAATTATCCTGATTAAAACAAGAGTTTTCCTTGAAAATAGGACTTCAAAATAAATAGTAATATGGCAAGATATTAACAACTACTTATAAAATAATTATAGAAAAAAAATCAGGGCTAATTCTGTATAGCTATATAGGCATTAGGGCCAACATTTATTCTAATGGATAACTAATTATATTTAAATGTTTTGAATATCATCTCTAAATATAAACTTGAAGAAAAAGAAGCCAGAGAAGCAAGGTATATAAATGTGAGAAAGCTTTGTAAAATACAAAATGCTCTAGAAATATTAATTATTGATGATTTATATCAGATAATCCACTGGACTTTGTACTTTTTCTTTCATTGAAAGTTTGATAAGGAAATGCATTTCCAAGAGGGATCAAGTCTCACTTACAAAGTTCAACTTTTCCAATTCATCAACCAGATGAGTGGGTTCTCTGGTCATTGGTGTGAGTCCAAAAAAAAAAAAAAAAGGCTAATTAATGCAAGGCAGAAATAGTGATAGCTTGTAGCCAGAATAGTCTATTGAATTATTCTATGTACTCCTCTTTGAAACACATCCCAATAACTTGTTTATCACTATCTCACTTGTATCAAGGAAATTAACACTTCCCATGAAGTCAGACATTAACCCTATAATTTTTAATAAGCTGTTCATGAGGTCAATCTACTTTCTCTTTCTGGATTAAGTGCTCTACTAGCATATTTATTTCATTTTTATATTTTTAATCTAGAAAATATTACCAAATTTGCCTAATGATTTCTCTCTGTATATAATCTTTATGCATTCATACATGCATGTGTAATCTTTATAGTCTTAAACCGTAAGGTAAAACCACCTCCTATTTTTCCTCAACCTGACATATACACTATCTCATTACCTTGTCTAAAACTTTTATATTCTTCTTTATATTTCATTTATACCTTGTATTTACATATGAACATGTCCTTGTATTTTGCTTTTTGAGAGTCTTTTCATCACACTTAGTTTCTACTTCTATATTTCCATAATTTCTGACATATATTCTGCAATTCAACCTTCAAATTGATACATAGGTTTCAATAACTTATACAGGATAAACATAATGTAAAGCCTTCTTATAACATTGCTTGCTAACATAGTCTTCTCTTTCTAAAGTGCAGAGATCTAATCTGGTTCCCTAAGCTTTTATCCATGAAGACAAATGCCAACTTTAAGGAATTCAATGTACTTTCTTCTACAAACCGTGTACCATTCTAAAGATATTTCTAATATGTACCTGAATCCTTGGGGGTCCCTCTATTCAACTTGGAAGACTGACAATAATACCACCTGAGCCCTGTCTCATTAATGATCAATACTCAGCCGGATTTTCAAGCTTAAAGAAACTGAAAATCAAACCTATAGCCTCCAATATTGTGTCTATGACACCTGACACTAAAGATACCAAATAAATCCCTCATCACACATAAAGGCAAAATCAAATAAAATGAATAGAGGAGTTTTCAAAAAAAGTTTTTAAGTCAGAGCAACATAATGATCTCAAAAGGAGTTCAGATTATTATAAACACATGGAAGAAAGTTCATGGTGGGCTTTTGTATATGAATTTATATTTTGCCTACACATGCAAGCAGTGGAGTCGAGTTCTCTTTCCACTGCAGTTCATGCTGTTTCTCCCTGCAGAGACAGAAAGCAAAAATTGGACCGTGGGTGATTTATGTTTCCAGGCCTTCCAATCGAAGATGCCCCAAGCTACTTTTAAGTCAAACAGCAGAAAAACAAATGAGGTCTCTGATGTTTTGTCTATAGAATATTGAAACAATTCATTGAAAAAATGAAATACTTGCTCACATCAATTGTTCTGTATTGGAAAATATAGACAAGCACTTGCATAGGGACCTCTTTTACAGCACATATGTTTGTTTCCACTACGAAACTAACCTTTTCAAGGAAAAGGCCTATGTCTGATATTTATTTCTAATGTCTATATACCTAGCAGGGAGCCTGGTTTCTAGTAAGTGCTCTATAATTTTCTATTTGATAAATGGATGGATGAATGAATGAATGAATGAACAAGTGGGTAAAATGTTGCTGTCATGAATCTTATTGTTAAACTAAATACTGTTCATATTTTTCTACCTAGTCTCAGTCAATAATTTTTGTAACGTGACAGTCTGCACAGAGATCAACATGCTAATGAGTATGGGTAAACATTTTAAAGAGCTTCAGAATATAAATATCATGATGAAGAAAAAAATTAAACGCATCAAGCAGCAGAGTCTAGGGTATACAGCATATACAGCATATAGCTTTTTTACCTTAGTAATGAAGGAAAAGGGAGAGGAAAGTATAAAAGGCTCATCTTCAAACAAATCAAATATGAGATGCTTGCAAGGATCTATTTAAAAAGGAAATTGTCTTCTGTGACCTTTGCAAAGTCCATGAAAGATAATACACTCAAGTTATCACAAAGATTAAAGGTGTGTTTACTAAGAATTAAGACTAGTGGCAAAGCATAATTTTACTTTCAAACTTCGTTTTGTAAAGAGACCATTTCACTCTGACTTATGAAACATTGAATTATAGGATACTATACCTGTCTTTGACCAACACAGAGGTCACACAATGCAAAGGATAACACCATATAAATATGCCATATTTTAGAGACAAGAGAGTATTTAAAAGACAATCAGCAAATTCTGACCTTTTGAAATACCCATTCATTTTTTAACAGTTTCAAAGTACTGATGTACACTTCTGTTTTTATTCAGATAGAATCTTTTTAGTAATTAGGAGAGAAAAGAGCACTTCCTGCACCTTCCAATACTGACAGGCTTTGTCCTATAATTCTACATGTTAATACACATAGACACAGACAGACAGACAAACACACACACACACACACACACACACAAACTAGCAAGGATTAAAAAGTTTAAATTCTCTGAACTAAAAATTGCTAAACCAAACCTCCTTGAAAGGTAGATTACACTCGTTTTCTCACTTCATATGTCCTCCATAACTCATTCACTGAACAATATTTATTTCGAACCTAATCTATGCCAGGAATTGTTGTATGTGGTGGAAATTCAGCATTAAACATAACAGACAAAAATCCTTAGACATAAGTATTGTACATTCTAGTGCAGAGGAGTTAGACAATAAACATTGTGACTAAGTAAAGCATGTTGTACATCACTTCTTTGAATGAAAAAAAATGAATCATAGTAAGTAGATTGAAGTTCCGAGTGAGAGAGAACTTTTAATGAAATGGTTAGAAGGTGAGCAAAGGCTTGATGAAGGAAGGGATTTAGCCAAAAGGACAGCTGCTAGTAGAATGCTCTAAGCAGAGAGAAGAGCCAGGGTAAAGGCCTTAAAGTGGAATGTGTCTGCTGAGTTTGAGAACAAGAGGACACCAGTATGGCTAGAGGATCTGAGCAAGGGGAAGACTAAAAGGCGATGGGGTCAGAGGGGGAAGAGGGCCCCACAACATGTACAATTTTATAGGCTACTATAAGGACACTGGCTTTACAGGGTTTTGAGCAGAGGAATGATAGGATCTAACTTAAAACAAAATTTTCAACAATTTACATTGTCTGCTTTGTTAATGTTTCAGGTAGCATTTACTGCATTTCAAACCACCTAAATTTAGTGGCTTAAACCAATAAACATTTATTTAGGTCAATATTCTGAGGGTCAGCAACTTGGGCAGAGCTAGACTGAGCTAAATTGTTCCTCCGTTAAGTCTCCTTAGGTCCGTTCATGTGTCTGTGGTCAGCGGCTGGTTAGGTATGTGGTCTTACTTTTGGAGTTTAGATGGTTGTCGGACTGGAAGACGGAGGCTACTGGACCGTGTGTGTTCCATCATCCATTAGGCTAGACTGGAATTCTTCATCTTATTGGGATTCCAAAGGTTTTCAAGAACAGAAACAGGACAAGTCCAAATGCACACATACTTTTCACACCTCTACTCGTATCTTATCATTAATAGTTTATGTCTCATTGGCCAAAGCATGTTCATAGGCTTCACGTCTTGATAGAAGAGAAAGAATATTTGGCCATTTTTGGCAGTCCACTGAAGCTGATCTTAGACTACAGAGGAACAGGAATGAAAGCAGTGCAGGAATATGAGGGTTTTGCAATAATCCAGTGAGAGGTGAAGTCTTAGACAAAGACTGTAGCAGTAGGGCCTATAAGAAGTGTTTTTGTTTCCTAAATATATTTTGAAGTTTGAGCCAAAAAGATATTCTGGCGAATTGGAACTGTGGAATGGGATAAAAAGAGGAGTCAGAGATAAACACAAAATTTTGACCTGAGCAGCTAGATAGATGAAGTTGTTATTAATTGGTAATAGCAAGTTTTAAGGGAAGTTTTGAAGTTGACTTTGTGACCAGTTAAGTTGAAGATGTTCATTAAATAGCATAGGGAAAAGTTGAATTGAAGGGTATAATTTATACCAGCGTTCAGTGGTGAGCTCATCTGCAAATATAAATTTAGAAGTTGTCAAAAAACAGGTGAGACTAGATAAGAACATCAAAGGAATCACTATCCATAAATTAGAGTGAAGACCAAGGACTGAGCCATAGGACACTCTAAAATTAAGAGTTCTGGAAAGAGAAGAGATCAGCAAATGAGACTATAAAGGAGC
This sequence comes from Homo sapiens, assembly GCF_000001405.40. Lineage (NCBI taxonomy): Eukaryota > Metazoa > Chordata > Mammalia > Primates > Hominidae > Homo > Homo sapiens. Next base: position 225,147,740 of record NC_000002.12, on the reverse strand, counting down.
TGTCAGTGTGATAGAAAGTAAGCCAGAAGTGTCTGTTGGTGTGGAATTTAAGTAAAGTTTTCAAGGATGACAGAGTGTTCAACTGTATGTCCAATGCTTTTGACAGGTCAAATAAAATGGGCACTTATAATTTCCTTTGGAGTTTTCAACATGGGTCAGATGGCCCATGACCTTGAAAGAGCAGTTTCAGCAGAGTGATGGATTCAAGAAAAAATGTTTTGACAAAGGAGCAAAGGCAATAAAATACAGAAAAGATAGTCATTTTAACAGATAGTGCTGAAACTACTGGATAGCTATATGCAAAAACAAACTAACAAAAACAGAATCTAGACACAAACCATATATCCTTCACAAAAATTAACTTAAAATGGATTATAGATCTAACTGTAAAACACGAAACTACAAAACTTCTAGAAGATAACATAGGAGATAATCTAGATGTCCTTAGATTTAGCAGTGACTTTTTAGTCACTGCTCTTACATTTAAGTCTTGGTTCCATTTCATGTTGATTTTGTTTATGGTATGATATAAGGGTTTAATTTCATTCTTCTGCATGTGGATGTCCAGTTTTTTCCCAATACCAGTTATTGAAGAGACTGTCCTGTCCCCACTTTGTGTTATTGGCACCATTGTTGAAAAACAGTTGGCTGTAAATGCATGAATTTATTTTTGGCTCTCTGTTCTATTGGTCTATGTGTCTGTATTTATGCCAGTACCATGCCATTTTGGTTACTGTCACTTTATGGTATATTATAAAGTCAGGTCGTGTGATGCCTCTAGCTTTGTTCTTTTTGCCTAAGATTGCTTTGACTTTTCAGAGTCTTTTGTGGACTCTGAAGTTTTAAGACTATTTGTTCTACTTCTGTGAAGAAAGTTATTAGTATTTTGATAGGGATTGTATTGAATTCACAAATCACTCTGGGTGGGATGGACATTTTAACAATGTTAATTCTTCCAAACCATGAATGTGGGATAGCTTTACACTTATTTACTTATTTAAGTCTTCTTCAACTTTTTTTTAATCACTGTTTCACAGATTTTTAGTGTAGAGATCTTTTTTATCCTTTTTTTTTTTTTTTTTTTGAGATGGAGTTTTGCTCTGTCACCCAGCCTGGACTGCAGTGGCATGATTTCGGCTCACTGCAACTTCCAACTCCCGGGTTCAAGCGATTCTCCTGTCTCAGCCTCCTGAGTAGCTAGGACTACTGGCACATGCCACCACGCCTGGCTAATTTTTGTATTTTTAGTAAAGATGGGGTTTTGCCATGTTGGCCAGGCTGGTCTCGAACTCCTGACCTCAGGTGATCCACCCACCTTAGCGTCTCAAAGTGCTGGGATTACAGGCATGAGCCACCGTGCCTGGCACTTGTTTAATTAAATTTACTCTCACGTATGTATCTTTTTTGTAGCTATCATAAACAAACTGTTTTCGTGATTCCTCCTTCAGATAGTTTGCTATGTATAGAAATGCTACTGATTTTCGTATCCTACAGTTCTACTGAATTTACTTATTACTTTGAATAGGTTTTTTTTGGTAGAGATGTTGGGGTTTTCTATATAAGATCATGTCAGATGCAAACCAGGATAATTTGACTACCTTCTTTCCAATTTGAATACCTTTATTTCTTTCTCTGGCCTAATTGCTCTGGCTAGGACTTCCAGTAATATGTTGTATTGAAGTGGCAAGAATGAACATCCTTGTCTTTTTCTGGATCTTAGAGAAAACGCTTTCCTTTTTTTCTGATATGATCTGTGGGTTTGTCCTACATGGCCCTTATTATGTTAAGATATATCTTTTATATGCCTAATTTGTTGAGAGTTTTCAGTGTGAAATAATGTTTGCTGTTGTCAAATTCTTTTCTACATCTATTGAAATAAACATGTGGTTTTTGTCCTTCATTCTGTTAATGTGATATACCCCATTATTGACTTGCATATATTGAGCCATCCTTCCATCCCTGGGATGAATCCCAGTTGATCGTGATGAATGATCTTCTTAAAGTGCTGTTAAGTTTAGTTTTCTATTATTTTGTTGAGGATATTTGCACCTAGGTTCATCAGGGATCTTGGCCTGTAGATTTTGGGTTTCGTTGTATCCAGTTTTGGCCTCACAAAATGAGTTAGGAAGTATTCATTCCTCTTTAGTTTTTTGGAAGAGTTTGAGAAGAATTTGTGTTAGTACTTCTTTAAAAGTTTGGTAGAATTCAGCTGTAAAGCCATCTGGTTCTGGGCTTTTCTTTTTGATGGGAAAACATTTATTACTAATTCAATTGCTTTATTTGTTATTTTTCTGTTCAGATAAGATATTCTAGTCTTTGTAATTCAACTTAGTAAGTTGTATGTGTCAAGGAAGTTATCCATTTCTTCTAGCTTATTAAATTTGTTGGTTTATAATAGTCTCATAATCTTTTGGATTTATGTGGTATCTGTTGTAATGGCTTGGTTGTCATTTATGATTTTATTTATTTGAATGTTTTTCTTAGTTTAGGTAAAGGTTTGTTCATTTTGTCTTTTCAAAAAATAAGTTCTTAATTTTGTTGATATTTTCTATCATTTTTCTAGTCTCTATTTTATTTATTTCTGCTCTAATCTTTATTATTTCCTTTCTTCTACCAATTTTGGGCTTCAGTTTGTTCTTGTTCATCTAGTTGCTTGAGGTGCAACATACTTTTTTGTTGAATTGTTCTTCTTCTTTAGTATAGACATTTATTGCTATAAACTTCCCTCTTAGAACTGCTTTTGTTGCATTCCATAAGTTTCAGTATGTTGTGTTTTCATGTTTATTTCTCCCAGTATATTTTTTAATTTCACTTTTAACTTATTCATTGACCCATTGGGTTGTTCTAGAGCATGTTACTTAACTTCCATATATTTGTAAATTTTCCAAAGCTTCTCCTGTTATTGATTTCTAGTTTTACACCTTGTAGTCAGAAAAGATATTTGACATGATCTCAATCTTCTTAAATTTGATAAGACCTGTTTGTGAGCTAACATATGATCTGGCCTAGAGAATGTCCCATATCCACTTAAGAAGAATGTGTATTCTGCAGCTGTTGGATGAAATGTTCTATAAATGTCAGTTAAGTCCATTTTGTCTACAGTATAGTTTAAGTCTGATGTTTCTTCATTGATTTTCTGTCTGCATGATCTGTCCATTACTAAAAGTGGGGTATTGAAGTCCCCTACTATTATTGTATTGCAAACAATATCTCCCTTCAGGTCAATTAATATCTGCTTTACATATTTAGGTGTTCCAGTGTCGAGTGCATATATATTTAAAATTGTCATATCCTCTAGCTAGGTTGACCCCTTTATCACTATATAATGACCTTGTCTGCCCTTTTTACAGTTTTTGACTTAAAGTCTATTTTCTTTAATATAAATATAGCTACTCCTGCTTTCTACTGGTTTCTATTTCATGAAAAATCTTTTTTCATCCCTTTACTTTTAGTCTATGTGTGTTCTTACAGGTGAAATGGGTCTCTTTTAGGCAGAATATAGTTGGGCATTGTTGATCTATTCATTCAACCATTCTGTGTCTTTTGATCAGAGAATTTAATCCACTTACTCTGAAAGTAATTATCGATAAGTAAAGATTTACTATGGCAATAGCGTTGCTTGTTTTCTAGTTGTTTTGTAGATCTCTTTTTCCTTTCTTTCTCTCTTGCTAACTTCCTTTGTAATTAAGTGATTTTTCTCTAGTGGTATGTTTTAATTCTCAGATTTTTATTTTTAGTGTGTCTACTATAGGTTTTTGCTTTGTGGTTACCATAAAGATTACAAAAGTTTATTTCACTCCCCCAACATTTTGAATTTTTGATGTTACAATTTACATAGTTTATATTTCATATCTCTTAATACATCATTGTAGTTATTACTATTTTAATAATTTTGCCTTTTAATCTTCAACTGACATAAGTGATTTGTATGCCACCATTACAGTATCAACGTTTTTCCCATTTGCCTGAAGAATATTCACCAGCAGCACTTGCAGCTTCAGCGTTTACCCTGATATAACTTTGCCATGATATATCTAGCTTTTATTATTATTTTTTCATTGCTCTAGTATATTGACTTTGAAAACAAAAGACATCATTTTATTTATAGCATTCTGTTTTTAGTACTGGTATTTCCATTTACAAAATATAGTAATTCTCAATTGCTAAAAATATCAAATCCTAGAAAATGTAGCATCCTACATGTGATGTTAACATCCTTCTTGAACAGTTGTTGGCCAAAGATTCATCTGATGAATCCGATTTTTCTGAAACAATTTTCTGAGACGATTCTGATGATTCAGACATTCTGATGTTAGTTCTGTTTAGAAATAACTCCAAGAACAGTTTTTATATTATATTTTCACACTGAAAATCAGTCAGATTTGCTTCAGCCTCAAAGAGTGTGTTTTATGTAAGATTAAATGATTGCTGGCGATGAGCTGCACTTTTTTTTCTGTACAGGAAAAGCATTAAGTATTCTGAATTTGATTGTGTACTTACTTTTACCGTGGAGTTATATACTTTCAGATGTTTTTGTGTTACTCATTAGTGTTCTCTTCTTTCAGCTTGAAGAACTCCCTATAGCATTTCTTGTAAAACTGTCACAATGATAATAAAATCACTTAGCTTTGTGTATCTGAGAAAGTTTTTTTGTTTGTTTTTGTTTTTGTTTTGTTTTGTTTTGTTTTGTTTTATTTTATTTTAAATTCTGGGTTATATGTGCAGGATGTGCAGGTTTGTTACATAGGTAAATGTGTGCCATGGTGGTTTGCTGCACCTATCAACCCATCACCTAGGTATTAAGTCCAGCATGCATTAGCTATTTGTCCTGATGTGCTCCCTTCTCCTGCCCACCCCCCAACACACACAACCCCACCGACAGGCCCCAGTGTGTGTAGTTCCCCTCCACGTGTCTGTATGTTCTCATTGTTCAGCTTCAACTTATAAATGAAAATATGTAGTGTTTGGTTTTCTTTTTTCTTTCTTTTTTTAAATTTTACTTTAAGTTCCAGGATACATGTGCAGAATGTGCAGGTTTGTTACATAGGTATATACGTGCATGGTGGTTTGCTGTACCTATCAACCTGTCATCTAGGATTTAAGCCCTGCAAGCATGAGGTATCCATCCTAATGCTCTCCCTCTCCTTGGCCCCCACTCCCCGAAAGGCCCCGGTGTGTGTTGTTCCCCACCCTGTCTGTGTCCATGAGTTCTCATTGTTCAACTACCACTTATGAGTGAGAATATGCGGTGTTTGGTTTTCTGTTCCTGTGTTAGTTTGCTGAGGATGATGGCTTCCAGCTTCCTCTATGTCCCTGCAAAGGACATGATCTCATTCTTTTTTTTATGACTGCATAGTATTCCATGGTGTATATGTACCACATTTTCTTTATCCACCTGACAAGGTCTAATATCCAGAATCTACAAGGAACTTAAACAAATTTACAGGAAACAAACAAACAACCCCATCAAAAAGTGGGCAAAGGATATGAACAGACACTTCTCAAATGAAGACATTTATGCAGGCAACAAACATATGAAAAAAACTCATCATCACTGATCATTAGAGAAATGCAAATCAAAGCCACAATGAGATACTATCTCATGCCAGTCAGAATGGCAATTATTAAAAAGTCAAGAAACATTAGATGCTGGTGAGGCTATGGCGAAATAAGAATGCTTTTACATTGTTGGTGGGACTATAAATTAGTTCAACCATCATGGAAGACAGTGCGGTGATTCCTCAAGGATCTAGAACCAGAAATACCACTTTACCTAGCAATTCCATTACTGGGTACATACCCAAGGGAAAATAAGCCATTCTACTATAAAGACACATGCACACACAGGTTTATTGCAGCATTATTTACTGGAATAAATACTGGATACTGGAATAGTATCTGGAATATTCCAGATACTGGAATAGTATCTGAAAAAGTTCTTATCTCTCCTTTCCTAAGGACAGCTTTTTGGGGTAACATGTTCTTGGTTGGCAGTTTTTTCCCCTTCAGCACTTTGACTATAACATCCCATTCTCTCCTGACTATAAGATTTCTGCTGAGAAATACGCCAGGTGTACTGGAACTCCCTTATATTTTATTTGCTTCTTTTTTCTTTCTGCTTTCAGGGTCCTCTCTTTGTCTTTGATTTTTGACAGTTTGATTATAATATTTCTTGCGGTAGTCTTATTTGGATTGAATGTGATTTGGACTAAGTGATAGTTAACCTTCCCGTACCTGGATATTTATATATTTCTTCAGGTTTGGAAAATGTTCTGCTCTTATTTCTTTCAATAAGTTTTCTACCCTTTTATTTTGCTATTATCCTTCTCAAACTCCTTTGACTCAGATATTTCCTCTTTTGATGCTGTTCCATAAATCCTGTAAGCTTTCTTCGTTCTTTGCTTTTTTTTTTCTCTCCTCTGACTGTATATTTTCAAGGTATTTTTCTTTGAGTTTACAGATTCTTTTTTCTTTTTGATTAATTCTTCTGTTGATGTTCTCTACTGCATTTTTCATTTCATTAATTGTATTTATCAGCCCTTGAATTTCTGGGTTTTCTTATTATTACTTCAATCCTAAATTTCTCATCCTAGCCATTTATTATTTTTTCTTGTGTTTAATTGTTTCTCTATATTTTATTGAAGTTTGATGAGCCACCTTAAAATAGTAATTTTGAATTATTTGCCAGGCTGTTCATACATCTGCATTTAATTAGAGTCAATCACTGGCACTTTCTTTTTTCCATTTGGTGATGTCATGTTTCCCTGATTATTTTTGATTCCTATGGACATACTTTCATGTCTGCACACTTGAAGTTGTTGGCACTTATTCCAGTCTTTGCATATTGGCTTTGTCTGGGAACACCCTTCAACAGTTAACCTGTTCAGAGATTCTGGCCATCTGGCATAATCTCTAAGTTCAGGACTGCTGTGGCTGATACAGTGCCAGGCTAGACTCTTGTAGCAATTGAGGCTGACATGGAGCTGGGGTGTGCCCAAAGGCCAAGCTAATTGAAGACCGTCTGCCACTAAGGACATTCCAGAGCCAAAGGTCATTGTAGTTAGCTGGTGGAATGTGGACTGGAGATCAAGTCTACCTCATAGGGCCTATAGTTTTCCACCTAGTGCTGGGGCTGGTCTGGAGGTTCAGTCTACATGTACCAGGCAAGATTCAGGGTCCATATGTGTCTGCTCAGTGCTGGGTTTTACTGCAGTGATCCCAGCACTATGGTCCAAATTAAACTCCCATCCTCACTTTTCTCCTTTCTTCTAATACTACTGTATCTCTCTCCATGCTGTGCTGCCTAGGGTTAGCAAAAGAGTGATAGAGGTAATGTAAAACTGTCATTCCTACTCTCCTCAATCAATGTCTTTTCAAATTATTGTGCTATAACCAGGTACTGTAATCTCTGACCTACTTTCTTTCATTCTTGCAAAAATATTTTTGCATGTGGATAGTTGTTGAAATTGATGTTTCTGCAGGGAACAATCACTGAAGAGTCCTATTCTACTATCTTGCTCTGCCTTCCAATATTATTGCAGTTTTAATTTATATTGTTTTAATGACACTTGATGAGAAACATCTTTCTATATCCTTATTTGTCATTTGTACATAGTCTTTAATAAGGTATCTATTTAAATTTTTTGACCAGTTTATTTACACTATTTTCTTCATATACGTGCTATGTCCCCAATATCATGATTAGATGAGTCCGGAAACAAGGAAAAATGCAGGAATGACCTCATTTACTTTTATTCCCAAACTGGGAAACATTTTTTCCTATATCCACAACTTTGGACTATATGGAAAGGTCCTGGTCCCCAAAGGAGCAGGGGGCACTCTTATCACGGGACACAGCAAGAGCACACTGAACAACAAGCTACTGTAGCCATGCATCACTTCTTTTTCATTGTGTCCCAGGGCTAGTAGGCAAGAAGAAGAGTCATCATCTTGGGAGAGCAATTGACCCTGATCAGCAGAAGGAGACAAAGCTGCTGTTACACAGTAGGGCAGGAAGAAATAAATGTGGAATAGAGGGGTTCCACCTGCTTGCCTGCAAATACTCAATTGCCCAGCTGTGGCTATAAGGACAAGAGCAGCAGCACCAGCCTTAGAAACATATGGTTCCAGGGTCTCGGAATTCTCAGGTAAACCATCAAGATGTGCAACGATGGTGGCTGAGGACAAAGGGAATGTATAGTGAGGAGAGACAAAATGAGTACCACTTGGAGACTTAAGATCAACTGTAGTTGGGGGAAAGGAGTTCTAGTTCATCCCACTAATTTCCTATAAAATGTTCTTCCCACTGGAATTCTGGAGAGCTGCTTCCATTCCATTTCTGAAAGGAAAATTGGATCTGTGCAGATAAGGCCTACACTGGCAACCATGGAGGGACATAGCTAGGATACCCCTTGAATAAACTATAACATTCCGCTACAGGAATGGAGTTAGCTGACAAACACCATTTTCAGAGCCTTCAAAGTTAACCTTAGTTTCAAGTTATTCCCAAGTAGTAACCAGACAATGACTGAGCATAGCCTGTATCCTGGGACCATTTCAGTCAAATGCAGGACCATCCAATAGAAAGCCATGTTGGGAGCAGGCCCCCCAAAATCTGGCCATAAACTGGCCCCAAAACTGGCCATAAACAAAATCTCTGCAGCACTGTAACATGTTCATAATGGCCCTAACGCCCACGCTGGAAGGTTGTAGGTTTATGGGAATGAGGGCAAGGAACACCTGGCCCGCCCAGGGTGGAAAACCGCTTAAATGCATTCTTAAGCCACAGACAATAGCATGAACGATCTGTGCCTTAAGGACATGCTCCTGCTGCAGTTAACTAGCCCAACCTATTCCTTTAATTTGGCCCATCCCTTCATTTCCCATAAGGGATACTTTTAGTTAATTTAATATCTATAGAAACAATGCTAATGACTGGTTTGCTGTTAATAAATATGTGGGCAAATCTCTGTTTGGGGATCTCAGCTCTGAAGGCTGTGAGACCCCTGATTTCCCACTTCACACCTCTATATTTCTGTGTGTGTGTCTTTAATTCCTCTAGCGCCACTGGGTTAGGGTCTCCCCGACTGAGGTGGTCTCGGCAAGGTCATTGTTCCAGGGTTTTCTTTTGTGTGAGCTGAGACTTTGTCAGAACTACTTCACCATCCTTGAGGCTCTCCTACCCAATTCTGCTTCCTCTTTTCTCTTTTCACATATATTAGATTTGCATTGCTTTCTGAAGGTTTTAGCTGTTCAGTTCTACTCCATTCTCCATTATGTTTTATAAATACTATTCTACAACAAACCTCTTGCCTTCTAGATCTGTCTCAGCTTCTGCTTCTACAAGAGACAAACTGAAAAATCAACCCATCAATAGAACACCCAAACATATATAATAATAATTAAAATGAATCATCTTTAATGTTTTGTTAACTTTTAGTCATAAAGATATCTTTACATTAAAAATAATTTCTTGTTGAAGGCCGAAAGAATGAGGGTTGTGATCAACTCAGTATACCACTGAAGACTATATGAGTAACAGCAAACAGTGTCTCATAAATGCAGAATGTTGGCAAACTGACAAACTGCATGTGCCATCCAGAAGGAGTTCTGAGGGCAGTCACGACCCAGACACAAGTGTTTCTTCTGATTAGGAACATCTGAAGCCTGTTAACAATAATGTGATCAATTAGGCAGCTGACCAATCATTACCTCCTTCTCCTTGTTCTTGTTACCCAATAAATAGGAAGAGCTGTAAAAGCTCAGGGGTTGCCTTTGCTCACTAGAAGCAGGGAGCCCTTTTCTTCTTCTCTTCTTCTTCTCTCCTTTTTCTCTTTCTTCTTCTCTCTTCTTCTTCCCTTGGCCCTTTCCTCACAACAGTTGCTTTTTTTTTTTGTTATTTCTACGCTCATCCCTTTGTTAAGTCTCATAATGATGGTCTCAAGTAGTAACAGTAGTAACTATCACAGTGACAGTCTCAAGTAGTAGCAGTACAAGTCTGCCACAATTTCTTTCTGTAAATATCTGTCAAAGTATAAGAATAAACCATAATATATTTAACTATGTTGTAGCTTGATTTATTATTTCTAAATATGTAGGCAACTAGTATATATGTATCCCTGTTGTACTATTGCTCCTTACCCCATAAATACGAGATGTGAATGGGATTAGGAGAGAGAAGGGGTGGCAATATTAACATTACATTACAAACAGAAAGAAAATGTTCGCCAAAGTCCGTTGTCATATTTTATAGATTGGTTTACCTTCTACCAGCCATACTCAATCCATGGAAGTACTCAGACAGTCACATCAGAAATAACCTTCTGTGAGATTTCAGGCAAAGAAAGATCTATACATGATTGAATCAGGGATGCCTATTCCTATTAATGAATCTGAACTTACTGGGAAATCACTTTGTGCCTTATACTACAGCAGGTGTTGTGAGCCTCCATAAAATGTATGAATCAGTACTTATACAAAAAAAAAGCTTAAAATCCGGCTGGAAAAAGAAGCTAAAGAAAAGTCACCCAATTAATGAATGATGAGAGAGAGAGTTGGGACTCCAGTACTGAGTGTCATTATACAAACAAATGTGAAAATTTATCTGTTGAATTAAAGTGACACCTGTGCATAAATCAGCATAATGCACCAATGTGATGATGTGCACACCGTCAGATGTGACACACACCCTCCGTCTCCTTGAGGAATATGGTGGTCAGCCCTGACAAGCTTTGGTAACCATCCAACAATGCCCTCTTTATTTCCAAATCCAATATATGGCCACACCCTTATCCTCAGGAGAAGTAGGATTCAGGCAGCATGCACGAAACCTGCCTTCACCCTGACATTAGTCTTCATATTCATCATCTCAGGAATGAAAATGGATTTGCCTCCAAATGATTCAAGCCCCCTATAGGAAAGGTTACTGGTAATGGCATCTTTTTGCTGACTGCAGTAGAACTATTTCCAGATGTGAGCACTTAGTTATCTCACAGTAAGTGAATTAAATTTGAAATCCCTTTTATTAAAGCAACCAAATAGCTTCAGTGTCCAGTCAGTACCAAGCCCTGTTTCTAGCAGCTCCTTTGCCAATGCCCCCCACCACCACTCTACAGGGAACATGAGCAGAAGACTCTTATCAGGAATCCCTGGCAGCCCTTTTGCCCAAGCTCCACTGGCTCCCTGTACAGCTTATAAACATTTCCCAAATATGCATCCAAATCTGAAATTATGTAACCATCTATTTTGGTTCACAAAATATCCAATGAATATTTCTCTGCTAACAAAGGGGGCACTGAATGATGCAAACTTTAAATGCTGCAAGTATACTATATATCACTGATCTTCTTTTCTTCATCTGTTGAATTCATAGGAGGGACAGAGACCACTGTAGGTGTTTTTTGAAGTGTTGGTTGCATTTTCTTTGAAGAACTCTCTCTTAAGTCCTGCTGCTGTGTATAATCATTCAGAGAAACGGTAAGGAGCAGAAAGGCTTTAGAGTTTTACTACACAAAATAGTTTACTATTTTTTTTAATTTTTAAATTATTATTATACTTAAAGTTTTAGGGTACATGTGCACAATGTGCAGGTTTGTTACATATGTATACATGTGCCATGTTGGTGTGCTGCACCCATTAACTCGTCATTTAACATTAGGTATATCTCCTAATGCTATCTCTCCCCTCTCCCACCACCCCACAACAGGCCCCAGATTGTGATGTTCCCCTTCCTGTGTCCATGTGTTCTCATTGTTCAATTCCCACCTATGAGTGAGAACATGCGGTGTTTGGTTTTTTGTCCTTGCGATAGTTTGCTGAGAATGATGGTTTCCAGTTTCATCCATGTCCCTACAAAGGACATGAACTCATCATTTTTATGGCTGCATAGTATTCCATGGTGTATATGTCCCACATTTTCTTAATCCAGTCTATCGTTGTTGGACATTTGGGTTGATTCCAAGTCTTTGCTATTGTGAATAGTGCCGCAATAAACATACGTGTGCATGTGTCTTTATAGCAGCATGATTTATGATCCTTTGGGTATATACCCAGTAATGGGATGGCTGGGTCAAATGGTATTTCTAGTTCTAGATCCCTGAGGAATCACCACACTGTCTTCCACAATGGTTGAACTAGTTTCCAGTCCCACCAACAGTGTAAAAGTGTTCCTATTTCTCCACATCCTCTCCAGCACCTGTTGTTTCCTGACTTTTTAATGATTGCCATTCTAACTGGTGTGAGATGGTATCTCACTGTGGTTTTGATTTGCATTTCTCTGATGGCCAGTGATGATGAGCATTTTTTCATGTGTTTTTTGGCTGCATAAATGTCTTCTTTTGAGAAGTGTCTGTTCATATCTTTCGACCACTTTTTGATAGGGTTGTTTGTTTTTTTCTTGTAAATTTGTTTGAGTTCATTGTAGATTCTGGATATTAGCCCTTTGTCAGATGAGTAGGTTGCAAAAATTTTCTCCCATTTTGTAGGTTGCCTGTTCACTCTGTATATTCCAATTAGCTGTAAGACTCCACACACTTTTGTGAAGTTCAGTCTTTTTGGCTAAAATCTAAAGCAAGCCAATGTGATATACTATAATGACTGTAGCTCCTGAACTCAGACAGAGGCTAGCTGTACAAATTTCAAACTTTCTAATCCATGTTTACCTATTGTAAATTGGCGCTGTTAACCCTAAACCAGGAGAATTATTGTTAAGTTTAATATATGATCTTAAAATGCCAACACAATGTCTAATATTAAATGGTGTTGCAATTAGAAATAATAATAACTGGTACATATTAAGTGATAGGCATCATGTTAAATGTTTTTCTCATTTCAACACATTTAACCTATTAAGAACTTTAGAATGTAGATACACCTATTATCTTAGGGTTGCCAGATTACATACAGGATGCCTTGTTAAATTTGAATTCAGATAAACTGTGAATTTTTTAGTATAATATATCCCAAATATTGCATGGTATATACTTTTATTTCTTAGAAGACCATTGTTTATCTGAAATGCAAATTTAACTGAGTGTTCTGTTTTTTATTTGCTAAATCTGGCAACCTTTATTATTTCCATTTACGATAACTAGACATGGAGTGCTGAAGAGACTTGCCCAGGGTCACAGAGCTAGCAAGCTGCTAAAAAGAGATTCAACTCCATGAGAGTATCTTCAGAACCAAGGCAATGAAACTTATACAGTATTACTATAATTTCCATTACTATACTATACTATAGTAAAAAAGTCAGGCTGCCCAGATTTTTCTGTACCTTTACTCGGGATGCCAAAAGTACAAGTCTCTGCCTCTTCCCAGTATGGGATTCCTGATATATGGGATTCCCTTCTGGGTAATGACACCAGTGAAAAAAACAGGAGAGATCAGCAAGTCAAAATTTCTGTAGCATATATTATATGTGCCAAATTGACCAAAGCCAATAGGATAAGCAGGAGGCCATTCATATAAGGAAACTCTCCTTGATCTGCTTTTCCAATATTCTACCACAGCCCCACGTTCATGGGGCCAAACACACCCAACACTATTATTGGCTAAGTTACTAAATAGTAGTGCTGATATGGTTTGGCTGTGTTCCCACCCAAATCTTATCTTAAAGTGTAGTTCCCATCATCCCCACGTGTTGTGGGAGAAACCTTATGGGAGGTAATTTAATCCTGGGGGTGATTACCCTTATGCTGTTCTCATGATAATGAGTGAGTTCTCATGAGATCTGATGGTTTTATAAGGGCTTTTCCCCTTCTGCTTGGCACTTATCCTTCCTGCTGCCCTATGAAGAAGGATGTGTTTGCTTCCCCTTCCACCATGATTGTAAGTTTCCTGAGGCTTACCCACCCATGCTGAACTGTGAGTCAATTAAATCTTTTTCCTTTATGAATTACCCAGTCTCAGGTGTGTCTTTATCAGCAGCATGAGAATGGATTAATACAAGTGCTGAGCCCCAAACAATTCTGTATATTTATCAATGAGCATTGAGTGGTCTGGAATATCCTTCTTCAGTTTGAAGAAATGCAGCAAGAGCCAAAAACATTTAGCAACTATTTTTAATTTGTGATACTGGGTTTCATACTAATCCTTGACAATGCTAATAACTATATAATAGATATATCTGGAATTCTTTCTCAGTAGCAAAATTGGGTCAACTGAGAGATGCAGTGTGTATTCTCTTGGTTCAATATTTCTGTTATATCTCAAATAAGCAATCATTGAGGAGGAGAAAAATTTTAAGAACAGTGTGTTGGTAAATGTGATACTTCCTACAACTGTTGAGGCTGTAGTAAATTGCTCCTTAGCCCTTCTTTTTGCATTTAACTTTGTTTGGTACAGCAGCCTGTCAGAGTAGCTCTTCCCACATTGCTACAAGCATCTTGTAGTTATAGACTCTCTCTATAATGAAGAAGGTGAGTCATTAACGTGGGTTGTTTCTTTGACCTTGGAAAAAATATGAAATCACTGGCATAAGGAAACAACATAAAAATTTCATCCACAGGAGGTCTGCTGGTTCTGCCAATTGTGATTAACTACAAACAGGCAGAAAGAGAGTAGAATATGCCAAGAAATATTCAAATCCCATTCTGTGACTTGTTCAGTCACAAAAGAGAAATGACCATTTGTTCTAGCCTCCTATGTTATATTTTCTTTTGCTAGAGGCAAAAACCACAAACTAAAGCCAACACAGATATTTCTGTCTCTCTTCTTTGCTCTTATAGATAATATTCATTAAGCAACTTTATCTAAAGAATTCGATGACATTGAGATAGTCCTTTAACCTCATGAAGAGCTTCATAGGCATTGAGTAGACTTTACTATGTTTGAGAAGCGAATTATGTGCCAAGACACACTGATTATTCATTTCCAGCCATTAGCAAGAAGTCCTTGACTGGGCATCCTAGGGTCTGAGCTCTTTTTCTACTCCTACCTGAGACTTTTTGCTTAATTTTGGACAAATCATTTACAAGAGTTTTTCTGGAGTGTATTTAGGCAGACACAACAGACATATCTTTTCTAATCATATGCATTGTAGGTGGAATCCTGTCCCACAAAAAGATGTCGTGAAGTCTTAACCCCTGATACCTGTGCATGAGAACTTATTTGGAAATAAGATCTTATTTGGAAATAATCAAGTCAAAATGAGGTCACATTGGATTAAAGTGGGCCCTAAATCCAACGACTGGTGTCCTTATTAGGAGAAAGATGCAGAGACACATGAGAAGAAAGACAGCCACGTGAAGACAGAGCCAGGAATTAGAGTTAGTCTACCAGAAGGCCTGAAATGCCAAGAATTGCCAGCAACCACCAGAAGCTAAAAGAGGTAAAGAAGCATTTTTCTTCCAAGGTCTTATGAGAGAGCTTGGCCCCACTGACACCTTGATTTCAAATTTTAGGCATCCAGAACCCTCAGAAAATACATTTAAGTCACCCACTTATGATAATTTCTTACATGAGCCCTAGGAAACTAAAATAATATACATACACATATATTAAATGTAGGTGAAATATAAATTTTTTAAATGTGGAGACGTCATTAAAAAGAAACTGTCTTCTAGTTTTACAATCTAACTGAGAGGCTAGGTTAACATTAGCTAAATTGCCAGCAAATGACTGTAAGGCAAAGCAGTGTGTGCCAGGTTTTATGAGACAAATTAGAGCCATAAACTATGAAATTCAATGTTTAAATAGAATAACTAGGTTAGTATATTGTAAACCCTAAAACTTTCAGTGATTCTTTGACATCTTTGAGCCTCACCAGGCCCTAAGGGCCTAACCGAGGGTTCCCCTGCTCTCGCCAGATACGTTCCTCACCTGCAAGACAGACTCCAGACAGCTAGTCCCCCTGTCCCCCAGACAAGCTCCACTAGATATGTTCCTCACCTGCAGGACAGACTCCAGACAGCTAGTTCCCCTGTCCCCCAGACAAGCTCCACTCTACCTGGGCCTCAACCTAAAAGGTCTCACTTCCCTGCCAGCCTACAAGCAAATCACATCCCCTCATGGGAATGGGGCAGGCAACAGGGGTACCTAATCCTCTTGGCCTTACAAAGTTTCCTCCCATGGCCTCTGGTATCCTTCTCCCTGTGGCTTTAGGTGTGTGTTGCTAATAACCTGCTGCCAATCTCATCTGTCCAGTGCTGGGTGCCCTCTGGCCAGCAATGAATGCCCAGAACCCCCAGGAGGGAAGCTCTCCTTTACCAGTGGGGTGAAGAGAAGAAAACAGTCAGTGAAGATCATTCACTAGGAAAACAAAAACCTCTAGGTTAGCTACCCTACAAGGTAAAAAATAGTAAATGGCAAATCGTGATGAAAATATGGGAAATAAAAGCATAAACGTGTGAGCAAAAGAAAGCATTAACAAGTTGAAAACTGAGGTGCTCAACCCATCATTGACATGAGCTCAAGGACCACCTCTACAACTAGGAGTGATAAGGGTGAAATAGCATTGCTGAGCCCGTTAATACCAACCGGAGATAGAAGGTGAAACAGAGCCCCGAGACCAACAGGATTATTTTCAAGTAAAATTTCCAAAATAAAGATTTAGTACCCAACCTAGCTCTGTCATCCAGAATTTGTGACTATCTTATATAACTGTAAAATATTATATAGTGTACATTTCCATTATGTATATCATATGTAATATAAATTATATATATATATATACATCCCATGTGTTGATTTTACAAGTTGGAAAACATATTATTTTTAAAATATTAATACAGTTACTCATGTATAAGATATATTATATACTAATATAATGCTATATACATGAATATGTATGTGTATGTGCATGTGTGTGTGTGCATGTATGTGTGTATAAGATGTATAGATAAAGATACATACATAGACATATATACCTAATGTACCTAAGCATAGAATCCAATCTGCTTGTGGGGATATTAATGACTGATGACAAATGAATTTCAACAAACATTTTGATGTGACAATACTAAACTCTGTGAAGGGTAAAGTGCAGTCTCCATTTAAGCACATTATCTCTTTAAATTTCCATCTATGACTCTAAGTGTCTAACATCACAGAGGTTACTCCACCTATTTTCACATCATCAAGTGAAGTAAACTTTTTAACACATTGGAAAAGTTATATCACTAGGTTTAAAGGAAGGAGAGACAATCCATAGATATTCAATCTATTTTTATTTCTATCTATTCAGTAAGGCAGCTTGTTTTTTTAAGTGCAATGGACACTCACGGCTAATTTGCACCATCAGCCTGATCAGTTGTAACCATATCTTCATAGAGATTATGGCCTAAACCTCATGGTATGTTCTAACCTTTTTTTATTCCTTATAATATCTCATACATTTTCCAATTGTCCCTACATTTTGGAGGCTACAATATTAATGGCATGCAAGGAGAGCCTTGATATTAATTTTTAATTGGTTTTAAAACCCAAGAAACTTTATATCTCCTTTATTTGCTGACATTTGCATAATGCCTTTCTTTTGTTCCTTTTATTCCCAGATAATTGAGTTAGCACATCTCTGTTAAACAAACAGTCTTTCAGAAAGACCCTTGGACCTAATTATAACCTTTGGTAAAATAAGGCTATGCATAACAAAGTAATGGAAAGTTTCTTTTCCCTTATCTAGAACATACATTTTAGAATTTTAGGTTTTGAAGCTTGGCATTGGAATAAATAAGCTTCATTGCACCCTATTTGGGAATTAAACAGATAAGAGATGAAGTGACAGTTGTCAGGTTGTGTCTGCTAACAAAGTTCACATAATTCTCCTACCTCACAGGGGTCATAGGTAGGAGAATGTTGGGGTGGGATGTGGGTGGATTTCACTGGAAAAACTTGTTCTACCTTTCTAAAATTCAAGTGGATCATACACACACATCCTGAAGTGACTAGCTATCTAAAAACACTCTAGTCCCTAAACCGGCAATGACTCTAATACTATTTTTATTACTTGATTAACCTCATTCTTAAAATTCTAAAGAGTATTTATAGTCAGGTAGCATGATGCCTCCAGCTTGGCACTTTTTGCTTAGGACTGTCTTGGCTATACAGGGTCTTCTTTGATTCCGTATGAAATTTAAAGTAGTTTTTTTTTTTCTAATTCTGTGAAGAATGTCAATGGTAGTTTGGTGGAAATAGCATTGAATCTACAAATTACTTTGGGCAGTATGGCCATTTTCACAATATTAATTATTCCTATCCGTGAGGATGGAATGTTTTTCCATTTGTTTGTGTCCTCTCTTATTTCCTTTAGCAGTGGTTACTAGTTCTCCTTGAAGAGGTCCTTCACATCTCTTGTTAGCTGTATTCCTAGGTATTTTATTCTCTTCATAGCAATTGTAAATGGGAGTTGATTCATGATTTGGCTCCCTGCTTGTCTACTGTTGGTGTAAAGGAATGCTTGTGATTTTTGCACATTGATTTTGTATCCTAAGACTTTGTTGAAGTTGCTTATCAGTTTAAGGAGTATTTGGGCTGAGATGATGGGGTTTTCTAACATAAAATCATGTCATCTGCAAACAGAGACAATTTGACTTCCTCTATTCCTATTTGAATACCCTTTATTTCTTTCTCTTGCCTGATTGCCCTGGCCAGAACTTCCAATACTATGTTGAATAGGAGTGGTGAGAGAACGCATCCTTGTCTTGTACCAGTTTCCAAAGGGAATGCTTCCAGCTTTTGCCCATTCAATATGATATTGGCTGTGGGTTTGTCATAAATAGCTCTTATTATTTTGAGATATGTTCCATCAATACCTAGTTTATTGAGTTTTTAACATGAAGGGATGTTGAATTTTATCAAAGGCCTTTTCTGCATCTATTGAGATAATCATGTGGTTTTTGTCTTTGGTTCTGTTTATATGATGGATTATGTTTATTGATTTGCATATATTGAACCAGCCTTGCATCCCAGGGATGAAACCGACTTGATCATGGTGGATAAGTTTTGGGATGTGCTGCTAGATTCCGTTTGCCAGTATTTTATTGAGGATTTGCTAATCGATATTCATCAGGGATATTGGCCTGAAGTTTCCTTTTTTTGTTGTGTCTCTTCCTGGTTTTGGTATCAGGATGATGCTGGCTTCATAAAATGAGTTAGGGAGGAGTTCCTTCTTTTCAATTGTTTGGAATAGTTTCACAAGGAATGGTACCAGCTCCTCTTTGTACCTCTGGTAGAATTCGGCTGTGAATCCGTCTGGTCCTGAGCTTTTTTTGGTTGGTAGGCTATTAATTACTGCCTCAATTTCAGAACTTGTTATTGGTCTATTCAAGGATTTGACTTCTTCCTGGTTTAGTCTTGGGAAGGTATATATGTCCAGGACTTTATCCAATTCTTCTAGATTTTCTAGTTTATTTGCCTAGAAGTGTTTATAGTATTCTCTGATGATAGTTTGTATTTCTGTGGGGTTAGTGGTGATATCCCCTTCATCATTTTTATTGTGTCTATTTGGTTTTTTTCTCTTTTTTTCTTTATTAGTCTAGCTAGCGGTCTATTTTGTTAATTTTTTCAAAGAAACAATTCCTGGATTCATTGATTTTTTGGAGGGTTTTTTTGTGTCTCCATCTCCTTCAGTTCTGCTCTGATCTTAGTTATTTCTTGTCTTCTGCTAGCTTTTGGATTAGTTTCCCTTGCCTTTCTAGCTCTTTTAATTGTGATGTTCGGGTGTCAATTTGGTATCTTTCTAGCTTTCTGATGTAGGAATTTAGTGCTATAAATTTTCCTCTTAACACTGTTTTAGCTGTGTCCCAGAGATTCTGGTACGCTGTCTCCTTGTTCTCATTGGTTTCAAAAAAACTTCTTGATTTCTGCCTTAATTTCATTATTTACCCAGGAGTCATTCAGGAACGGGTTGTTCAATTTTCATGTAATTGTGTGGTTTTGAGTGAGTTTCTTAATCCTGAATTCTAATTTGATTGCACTGTGGTCTGAGAGACTGTTTGTTATGATTTCAATTATTTCACATTTGCTGAGGAGTGTTTTACTGAGGGAGGCATCACACTACCTGACTTCAAACTATACTACAAGACTACAGTAATCAAAACACCATGGTACTGGTACCAAAACAAATATATAGACCCATGGAACAGAACCAAGACCTCAGAAATAACACCACTCATCTATAGCCATCTGATCTTTGACAAAAACAAGCAATAGGGAAAAGATCTCCTATTCCATAAATGATGCTGGGAAAACTGGCTAGACATATGCAGAAAACTGAAACTGGAACACTGGACCCCTTCCTTACACCTTATACAAAAATTAACTCAAGATGGATTAAAGACTTAAACATAAAACACAAAACCATAAAAACCCTAGAAGAAAACCTAGGCAATATCATTCAGGACATAGGCATGGGCAAAGACTTCAGGATAAAAATGCCAAAAACAATTGCAACAAAAGCCAAAATTGACAAATGGGATCTAATTAAACTAAAGAGCTTCAGCACAGCAAAAGAAATTATCATCAGAGTGAACAGGCAACCTACAACCTACAGTATGGGAGAAAATTTTTGCAATCTACTACCCATCTGACAAAGGTCTAATATCCAGAATCTACAAGGAACTTAAACAAATTTACAAGAAAAAACAAACAACCCCATCAAAAAGTTGGCAAAGAATATGAACGGACACTTCTCAAAAGAAGACATTTACACGACCAACAAACATATGAAAAAAGCTCAACATCACTGATCATTAGAGAAATGTAAATCAAAACCACGATGAGATACCATCTCATGCCAGTCAGAATAGCGATTATTAAAAGGTCAAGAAACAATAGATGCTGGTGAGGTTGTGGAGAAATAGGAACGCTTTTATATTGTTGGTGGGAATATAAATTAGTTCAACCATTGTGGAAAAGAGTATGGCAATTCCTCAATGGTCTAGAACCTGAAATACCATTTGACCCACAAACCCCATTACTGGGTATATACACAAAGGAATATAAATCATTCTACTATAAGGACACATGCACACGTATGTTTATTGCAGACCTATTTATAACAGCAAAGTCATGGAGCCAACCCAAATGCCCATCAACGATACACTGGATAAAGAAAATACGGTATATATACACCATGGAATACTATGCAGCCATTAAAAGGAATGAGATCATGTCCTTTGCAGAGATGGGCATGAAGCTAGAAGCCATCATCCTCAGTAAACTAACACAGGAACAGAAAATCAAACACCACATGTTCTCACTCATAACTAGGAGTTGAACAATGAGAATACATGGACACGGCGGGGGGCGAACATCACACACCAGGACCTGTTGTGGGATGGGGGACAAGACGAGGGAACTTAGAGGACAGGTCAATAAGTGCAGCAAACCACCATGGCACACGTATACCTATGTAACAAACCTACACTTCCTGCACATGTATGCTGGAACTTAGAGTAAAATTAAAAAAAAAAAAAAAAAAAGAGGCTGGGTGTGTTGGCTCACGACTATAATCCCAGAACTTTGGAAGGCTGAGGCAGGCAGATCACCTGAGGTCAGGAGTTCGAGACCAGCCTGGCCAATATGGCGAAACCCCGTCTCTACTAAAAGTACAAAAAATTTAGCTGGGCATGGTGGTGTGTGCCTGTAATCCCAGCTACTTGGGAGGCTGAGGCAGGAGAATCGCTTAAGCCCAGGAGCCAGAGGTTGCAGCGAGCTGAAATCATGCCACTGCACTCCAGCCTGAGCAACAGAGCAGGACTCCATCAAAAAAAAAAAAAAAAAAAAAAAAAAAAAAAGAGTGTTTATATACTTTTGGAATAAATCTAAGTCATCAGTAATCTAAGTGACAATGGTTGACATTGTCAGTTAGGTTTTTCCTCATTTTAGATTATCTTTTCTTTGTATTTTTTTTTGTTGATTTTCTCATTGAACATACCATATCCTTTACCTTCAGCATTTGTACTTTTTATGCAGTTTTGATTATTTTGTTTTGAAACTTTGCTCTTTTCTAGTATAAATTATTTTTACACATTTCTATATAGACCTATTATTCTTATTTTATTCCTCTACTTCTCAAAATATCATTTTCAAAATACTGCCAAATAAAGACGATCTCTTGCTGTTCGACTTTAATATGAGTAAATTTCTGTTTTAATTTTATTTTCATTTGTTTCTCTGCTTCCACTGTGCGCAGTTAATTTTTATAATTTATCGTTTCCTACAGATTCGTTTTATGTTTACAATACCTTAACTCACTGTCTGCTAATTTCATGCTATTTCTTCTCCTTTTTTCTATTAACAAAGATATTGAAACTACCTATTGCTATGCATTCTCCTAATTATCATTACTTTATCAGCATTTAGTCAGCTTCCATTCAAGTTAGTGTATTAATTCACTCTACTTATGAATTAAGAGTATGTAACTGAGAGTACTAAAAAAGCACCACAGAATCTCTACTTAAAACTGATATCAGCTATGGGTTTTGACACACTTAAAAAAAGAAAACTATAAAATTTTATTTATACAGGTGGAGGGAAAAGATATGCAAGATGGACTCTTTGAAAGTATAGTTTTTTTTTTTATCAAAATGTGATTTGTGATTTTTGTGTGCTTTTACAAACTATGTGGTCCAAAAAGAGACAAAGTCCTAACCTATAGGTTAACAGCCACAATATTTAAGATATGGAGTCTTTGCTCACATGAACAGTAGTGACCACACTTTTTCGGGCTTGCCATAATTAAAGACAAACGTGTTTCATACAATTCAAAATATGACTTTTTAAATGAAGCTGCTCTATCTTGTACCACTCACCACAATGATCATCCCATACAATAAATTAATGTGCTACATTACATCAGATTTTGCTTCATGCTCAGTTATAGTTTCTCCTATTTAATTACAAATTAAAGGCAATAATCAAACCTCACTCTAAACCACTGCCTGAGACTAATGAATTTCCCTATCTGTCACAAAGGAAAGCGACTCTAATTTATTTCCCCACCCCCAGGCCAGGTCAAGTGTTTTTCTTGTGCTTTCTCATAACACAGTGTCCTTTGCTTTCATAGCACTTAACATAATTGTAACTATTTTAAAGATCGATATAATTATCAGCTGAAGTCTTTCTTCCCTCCTGCCCATGCTAAGCTCCACAGTGAGCAAGGCCTAGTCTGTTTAATGCATGCCAAGAACATTGATAGTAGTTCAGTAAATATTTGTCAAATGAATGTGGAACGCACGGCAATGTTATATATCCAAACTATTACTAAGAAATTTTTATTACTGAACACTGCCAAAACTGACATTTTTGTGAATTAAACAATAAGCCTAAAACACTTCCCAGTTAACAATGAACACTCAACCTCAAATGCTGGAGAAAAAAGCACCCACCGTGTCTCATATATGAGCAATGTCCTTTGGGAGCCTTCGGGTAAGCGCTTAGAAGGAGATGAAGTGAATGAGAACATTGAAAGGGAGACAAATTTTGGCTTAGGAATCTGTTTTATCTCATCCCAGTGGCTGATACTGATGTTGTATAATTAAAGATATCAATGTTTCAAAGGGAAAGTAGTGTCATACCTTGAAGTAATCACTTTTTGAATGGTGATTTCATTATAGAATACAAGTCTATCTTACAGCTGGTCACTCTACAAAACCGTTCTGAGGGAGAGTTATTATTTCTTTTGTATGGTTTTGCAATGGGCCAAGCGGTATTCTTGATGCTTTTCTCTTGCTTTTATGTTATGTGTGTATGAAATCTCAATATAGATGCTTATATAGTTCACTCTACAAAGCACAGCTGTGAGATTATTGCTTACTATTACATTAAAGACAGAAGCACAATTGAGCGGCCTGGATACAGTGAATAACTAATGAGAGCTATGATTGAAATGCCTTTTTCCCTCTTCCACATTTCCAAATGCAGTTGCAAAAACAAGGCCATTTGCATATGCTATATGAGTGGAGTGTGATCCTAAGAGTTTGTATACATCACACCAAATCTGGGCTTTGCTATTGTTATCTTTGTTAGTCAAATTATAAGTTTATCTACTCTTATTGTTATTGATACTCTATTCTTCTATATAAGGTCTCCATCTTTAACTACAGTACTATTTTAAAAAAATCCTAAAAGGTAGACATCATTTTAAATATACACATACATAAACACTTTACTATTGAGTCAGCTCCTCCATTTACAGAATGTAATTGAGTATCATGTTCATATTGTAAGAAAAAGTAACGAGAAAGGAAGGAAAATAGAAGGAAGGAAGGAAGGGAGGAAGGAAAGGATAGAGGCAAGAAAGAGAGAGAGGAAAAAAACTGAGGAAAAGAAAGAAGGAAAAGAAAGGGAGGACGGGAGGAAATGAAGAAAGAGAAAGGAGGAAAGATGGGAGGAAGGGAGGGATGAGAAAAGAGAGAGAAAGAATAAAGGAATAAAGGAAACAAGGAAGAGAAGGAGGAAGAAAGAAGGAAGATACAAAGGACAGAAGGAAGGAAAGAAGAAGGATGGAAGGGGAGGAAAAAGAAGGAAAGAAGCGAGGGAGGGCAGGAGGGAGGGAGGGAGAGAGGAAGGAAGGAAGGAAGGAAGGAAGGAAGGGAGGGAGGGAGGGAGGGAGGGAGGGAGGGAGGGAGGGAGGGAGGGAGGAAAGGAGGAAAGGAGGAAGGAAGGGGAGGGAGGGAGGGAGAAATATTTTAATGCTCTTTAACATGCTAATTTAAAACTAAAGCCAGCCCTCTGCTGCAACCTGCTGACAGACTGGGGAACTACAAATGAGAAAATATTTAGTATTGGCAATAACAAATTTATTATAAATACTTCGTTTCTGAATCCTGCCGTCTTTATAATTTTATTTAAAATAATCTAATTAGAATATGCCTGAGACAAAGCATCCATGTTGGTTTACAATAAAAAAATTGACTAAATAACTGCAATAAAATGTATAAACGTTAATGCACTTCATTACGTAGGATATAGACGAATATTCCAAGTAAGAAGGTTATAACCTGGCTCCTAGCCAATTCCTCCATCCCCGCTTAGTTAACGGCACTTCAAAGAAGCGCATTTCCACACAGATAAAACCACGATGGGGATGGAGCACAGATGAAAATCGCTCTCTAAGGGAAGGCTGTCCTCCGCTTCCGCTTGACGATCCATATTTGACTGGAAGCTCTGAGACTATACCTATATGTTTAAAATAGCTAAAAGTAATGTAAAAAGGACAAAATGCTTTTAAAAAATGTGTTTTGTTGAGCTGTACATAGAAGCATGGATGAGGCTCTGGGGCAGAGTTTTCTGTGTTCTGGCAACTCTCCCTGGTGAATCCTTTCAGTCAAAACTCAAGAACCTACACACTGACCAGACATTGGTGAAGAAACCGTGGAATGTTAAATGTATGTTTAATAATACACAAAGCTTTTTTAATTGAGGGAGAATGGGTTCTTTCAGAGAAATATATATAATGTTGGTACGGTTTGGATCTGTGTCCCCACAAAATCTCAGGTCAAATCATAATCCCCACTGTTGGAGGCGGGGCCTGGTGGGAGGTGACTGGATCCTGAGGGCGGAGTTCTCATGAATGATTTAGCACCATCCTCTCTTGGTACTGTAGAGTGAGTGAGTCCTCGCGAGATCTGGTTGTTTCAAAGTGTGTATCACCTCTCTCTCTCTCTGGGTCCTTTTCCTGCCGTGTAAGACACCTGCTCCACCATGAGTAAAAGCTCCCTGAGGCCTCCCCAGAAGCAGATGCGGCCGTGCTTCCTGTACAACCTGTGGAACATTGTGCCAGTTAAATCTCTTTTCTTATAAATTACCCAGTCTCAGGCATTTCTTTATAGTAGTGGCAGGACAGACTAATACAAATTATATTATGTAATATTTTATAATACAGTGTTATATGTATTCTTTTAAGAGACTTTATGTTTTTGCTAGTAGGCTGGAGGGTGAGACTTTAGATCTTCTGGAACAGGATAAAAATAAGCATTGAAGAAGAAAAGCAAATCTCAGTTGGAAGGAGCCCCACAAAGATGAGGTGTTAGGCTCCTAGAGAAGAAAGGCTTCCAGGTAGTCCTATCTAGGGCTGTGGGAGCACGTGTTTAACACTGAGTTAAGTTTATTCTCTGAGTTGCAAGGCCCATGTGATATCTTTAATTTTCAATTCAGCTTTAATTTCTACATGTATTTTAAGTCTTGGTTTCCAGAACTTAGAAAACAAATCACTTAGAATAAAAATTTAGAAGAAAATGTTTGACATAATAGTTTGAGCAGTCTCCAAAATTACCCTTTTATTCTCTTAAAATGTAAAGCATGCAAGAACCCTATAAATGAAAGAGGGAGTTGTGAGCTAGAAGTTAGGTGCAATATGGCTCCATGACAAGTGGGGAAAAAGGAAGAGAGTCATCTTTGAGGTATGATAAAACAAAGACTCCTTTAGTGACAAAGGAGGAGTTCTTGGAGAGTTTGGAGACTAAAAATTCAACTGAGACTTTAAAATCCCCCTCTTAAGGAGAATTATAATAATAGTAATACAAATAATAATAATATCATTCAATGACTAAGTAATATGGCCATTTGTATGCAAAGCCTTAAAAATCCTCACCAAAATCCTATGAGATACCCTTATTATACCTATTTTACAGATGAAAAAATTAAGCCTTGGAAAGACAATTCTTATCCCATTACTCCAGCAACATTCCCTGTAGTAATACTTGGGCCATACTAGTTGGTTTCTTCCTACACACAGTGGAGTCATTCGGGACATTAGTATCTCAGGACCTTCAAAAAAAAAAAAAAGAGGGGAATGGGAAGTGTGTCCGTGTGTGTGCATGTGTGTGTGTGTGTGAGAGACAGAGAGAGAGAAATTTCTTCCAGTACTATTTGAAATAAGAAGGTGATCCATAAATGACCATAAAAATATAAACAACTTATGGCATATCAGTTGCAATGTTATACTGACTATAACTAAACTTAAGGAAATTATATAATCAATGGTAAAATAAATTAGAATAAAATGGTAAATAAAATTAACACTATTTTTAGACAACAATTAACAATTAGTGAAATATTGTCATTATATAAACATGGAAAACAAGAGGAGAGGAATGGACTGATGGTTTTTTCTCTTTCTCAAACTGATGTAATATATCATTATGCCTATATAATAAATAAGTATATGCATAGGCATCCGTTCAGATGCAGAAGCAGATGCCAAGACAGGATGAAATGCACAGAAATTTATTGAAAGAATGCCCAGAAAGGATGAAATTGAAGACCAGGGTAGGCAGGCAGAGGAAGGGGAAAGGAAGGAGGGTTGGTGGGAAGAGTCTCAGACTGCTGTGTTATTCTCCAAAAGTTTGAGTCATGCTAATGGAGAGTCTTGGAACCAAAGTCACCCATTAGAGTGCCTTGTGTTTGGCAGGAACAGGGCCGTATTATTGCTGGCATTATGCTTAGTCATTAGCAGGCAAACAGCCCCAGGGATTGTGGCTTCAGCATGAATATTGCAGATTTCACAGCACACCTGGAGCTCTCCCTCAACTGTGCCCCCCAGAAGATGGTCTGGGTCATGCACTTTCCTGGCTACTATGCTGCTGCTTCTAGTGTCATTTATTTTCTTTACATTTTAGATCTATTTCCACCATGATTATGCTCTGCCCCAATTCTTCTGGATTTATGTTTCTTTCTCCCACACTTAAATTATACAGAGTAAAAAACAGGCAATTAGTGTACTGTGTTGGTGATTTTCTATTCCCTCCCTTTTTTATCCTGTGAACTGGACTTATTAAAAATAAAAATATTCTATCTATAGAGATTTGGGAAAAGAACTGCTGAGTCTACTTGGAAAAAAAAAAAAAAAAAAGCAAAAGCAAAACCAGGCAATCAAATGGAAATAACCCCTGTCCAAAGCTTAGGCATCCCATAGGGTAGGGAGGAAACCATCAGTTTCTTATTATTCCCTAGCTCTCATAATGCCAGTTTACAGCAATCCTTTCTTTCACTCTTTTTTAGGTAAGGGGGAAATTTTGAGTTTTGTGTTCCTTGGATTCTGTAATAATCTCCTACCAGTAACAATGATTTCTGGAAAGTGACCTAGAAAGTACATTTCATATCACAAATTATTATTTCCTTAAATCTGATCAGGCTGCTCCTTCACACACACACCATTCCTCTTCTCCTCTCTGAATAGGGAATCATCTTTCACAGAGAGGGGGATCTGGCAAGCTTTTTAATATTAAAAAAACTTAAATACTTTCCATGTGTCTTAAAATACTCACCAGGGGAGGCAAAAATAATCATTCTCTCCTCTTTCTATTGTTATTCACTCAGGAGAAATATTTCCTGCTGAGAATAATCTTAACAGGTGATCAAAAACACGAGTGGTTTCTCTAAGTTGGATTGTACTGAATAGAGAATAGGAGATAGAGGCTCTGCAGTTCCAGACATTAGAAAACCAATCAAGAGAAACTAGCCAGGTTCTACGATCAAGGGAAGGGGCATGGGCCAAATTAGCCATACACCTGCCTGATCTGCAGACTTCTAAGTGTTTATAAACATATCTCAAAATATATAGCATGAGTCATAGGTCAATTTGTTGTTTCTCTCTTTCTTTTTTTACACTTTATTTCTTCTATCCCATTAGAAAACCTTCCCTCTTAATTAGGTAATCAGAACCTGCAAACAAAAGTTTAGTGGTTCACCCAGGCATAGTGGTTCACTACGCATTTTGGGAGGCCGAGGCAGTTGCAGATCACATGAGGCCAGGAGCTTCAGACTAGGCTGGCCAATATGGTGAAACCCCATCTCTACTAAAAAATACAAAAATTAGCTCAGCATGGTGGCATGCACCCGTAATCCTGGCTAATCAGGAGGCTGAGACATGAGAACCATTTGAACTCAGGAGGCAGAGGTTGCAGTAAGCTGAGATTGCGCCACTGCACTCCAGCCTGGGTGACAGGGCAAGACTCTGCCTCAGAAAAAAAAAAAAAAAAAGAAACCTGCAAAACACAAAAGTTTGGTGGCTCTAAAATAGCTTTGAGTATTTGAATTGAATTAAGCCTCTAAAATGAAGAAGGAATTTTTCACTGAAAACTATGTTCTCTTCCCTGTCTGAATAGGTACAGTAAATATACATATATACAGCTATATATATATGTATATATATTTTTATATACATATATTTATATATACATAAATATATATATTTTTATATACATATATTTATATATACAAATATATATATATTTTTATATACATATATTTATATATACATAAATATATATATATATATATGTCGCCCAGGCTGTAGTGCAGTGGTGTGATCTTGGCTCACTGCAAGCTCTGCCTCCCGGGTTCACACCATTCTCCTGCCTCAGCCTCCCAAGTAGCTGGTACTACAGGCGCCCGCTACCAAGCCCGGCTAATTTTTTGTATTTTTTAGTGGAGACGGGGTCTCACCATGTTAGCCAGGATGGTCTCAATCTCCTGACCTCGTGATCCACCCACCTCGGCCTCCCAAAGTGCTGGGATTACAGGCGTGAGCCACCATGCTCAGCCTAAGTAGAGTAACAATATTAAAAACAGCTAACATCATTGATGTGGGGAAATTTCTAAGCACTTCACATGTATAAGCTTATTTAATCTTCACAGAAACACTTTATCATAGGTACTATGATAGACTAAGACTTTACTCTGAACAGCTCCTCACCATACAGTCTGTCCTGTGAGCAGAACATGACCCCAAAGTGGGAGGATGAATGTTTCAATTTGTGAATAGCAGTGATTGGATTATGAGTCCATTTCTGGGTTTAACTTGATTCTGTAAAATATTGCTATTTTCTGTAGATCTGTTTGCAGGCAGTTTACTTATACCTATGTGCCATTGAGTCTTTCTCTAACAAGTGAAAACAAAATCACCCAGCATTAGAAAAGAGTCAAAGCCATTTGTGTTATGATTTCAGCTACTTAGACTTGCTATTTTAAAAAGTGATATGTATTCCCTGCATGCATCCTACACAGTATTCATGCTGTTCAAGATTACAAATTCAGAATGGAGATTTCCCACTTGAAATCACAGAAATGGATTTTACTTGTAATATTAGTGCCATGAAAAATAATTATGCTTCATCCAATGCTATAAATTTCTATCATGCTCCCTCTCCTTAATATGTAGTGAATTTCACTAGGACAAAATATGCTTTTATCACACAGTGCACTGTGACTACATGTCGATCCTGTCCGCAGTTGTCCACTTTCCTCAACCCTAACTCAAGATGAAGTCATATATTACTGACTGCCAAGGGTGCTCTCCAAATAAAGTGTGTGGCTTGGCACTCACAGCTAGTTGAAACTGATGCCAGTGCACTTCTTACAGAATATCAGGACTCACTAAACAATTGTTTTGGGGAAAAAAAATTTCACAGAGCCCTTCTTGCTCATATATGTAGTCTGCATTTGCCAAGGGTAAAAGCATTCTCTTCCAACTGATGATTTGGTGCACCACAAAAGGGAAATACCTGCTGGTATGCACAGGTGACTGTTGTCACCATTCCACTGCACACTGCCCAACAGGGCCATTTTCTCTCTAAGCATATTTGATATTTGTTGTTAACTTTGAAGGCAGTTGTATCAGCTTCCAGGCAATCATGTGACTTGTGCTTGGTTTTGCAAGGAGAAATGAAACCTTAAATGGTGTCACTTGACTTTTTGGCTTCTCTTTCTTAACAAAAATAAGTTAATTAGGTAATTATCATTTTTGGGCTTGATCTGGACAATTTTAATAGATTTGCCAGAGAGGTCACTATGCAGTTTTATGGAACTCATGCCACTGCTTGACCAAGTTCATACCAGAGAGAACAATGGTGATTAGAAGAAATGGAAGGAGTGTGCAAATCCTCCACATTTCAGTAGTTTGCTTTTTCTTTCTCAACTGCTTGTGCAAGGTCTTCACACTTGCATGTTCACTCGTCACAGCAGGCACACATTCACTGGGGTGCTCGTCACTCTGTATATCAGGGGTCCCTAAATCCCTGGCCATGGACTGGCATGGTACAGAAGGGGGTAAGCTGCAGGCCAGTGAACATTACTGCCTGAGCTCTGCCTCCTGTCAGATCAGCAGTGGCATTAGATTCTTGTAGGAGCAAGCAATAAAAGGTGGGTTTCAGAACTAAATGTTGAAAGAGTAGAAGCATTTTTGTTTACGTACTCCTGGAGAATATTTGGAATTAATTAAAGACTGGCCTCTGCAATTAGAAATAAAATAATCCTATACATGTTGGAAGGGAGGAGGCAAATTTCATTATCTGTAGCTGATATCATTGACTAACTAGAGCATTCAGATTAATACTCCAAGGATAAACTTGGCCCGAGCCATGCCTGACCTGAACAAAAGAATCCTCTTCTTTGCTCTTTGAGCGCTCTCTTTTCATCAACTTTTAGGCACTCATAGGAAGGCACTTTGAGAAACATGAAGAAATGGAATGGGTGAACGTTGTTATAGACCTACACAACCAGCTCTGAAGACAACAACTTTTGGGAAAGCTTCAGAGAGGCAAAGACGTTTAAGCAGATATTAATATGTTGGAGATTCTTGTTCTTGTTAGAGCAATGACCAAAGGGATAGCAAAAAAGATCGAATGGGAAAACGAACTAGGGATCTTTCTTGAATGTGAGGTTTTTCTAGTTTGTGTTGTCCCAAAAGTATACTCTAAGACAAAGATCAAGTGTAAGTATTTTATTTGGGAGGCACAGACACACTGTTAGATGAGTGGGGAAGTAAGACAAGGAAAGGAAGTCAGTCACTAATGGTGTGTTATCAAGCCAAATACTATAGTAGGTAGCCAGAGCTGACTCTCATGGGAAACTCTGGAAAACACACATTTCAGAATTATTCTACTGGAGGTATCAGGGATTGGAAGCATTTATACACGAGTCCCAAGTCTCCTTGGTTG
Source organism: Homo sapiens (assembly GCF_000001405.40). Lineage (NCBI taxonomy): Eukaryota > Metazoa > Chordata > Mammalia > Primates > Hominidae > Homo > Homo sapiens. The sequence continues at coordinate 225,115,863 of NC_000002.12, read as the reverse complement.
AGGATATTGGTTGGAGGCCCGGGGGAATTCATTTCTCAGGATTTGTAGCTACTTCAAGTCCGGGCAGAGTGGCTTTCTATGGAATGAAGCTTTTAGGCTTGGAGAGGCAGACACCAGCTGCTGGGAGTTGACTAAAGCATGCCGAAATGGTTGAAATAATAGAGATAGGAGTACAGGAGTCAATAAGGATTAGTGGTGGATTGAACCAGGAGTGAGGGGACAAGACAATTCAAGGGTTACTCCCTGGCTACGCTTTCAACCACTGGGTTGATTATGCTGAGGTTGGGAGGAACTGTGGATGACCTACAACGTAACAAGGAAATATGATGGAATAACAGGGACGGAACTACACACATGTGAGACAGCCCCTAAGAAACTCATAGAAATATCTTGTTGGTATTGTGAAGGGTGAAGATTTCTCGAGATCATGTGTGGCCTCCAGTTTTCATGATTTGAATATTATCGAAAATATGACCTTATTTCTAGCCACTGAAGAGTGATACCCAAAAATATAATTTATATACTACAAGAGTGTTTGCAGCTTATAATCTCCAGGATTCTTTAAACAGAATAGAATACAGAAGCTAAACATAAACATCTATAAAATAAATGGCACCATTCAAGGTATTTGCAAAACTGTAATCAAGCTATATCACGATGGCCTTCATATTTTGTTAGCTCCTCAGCAATGAAATATTAAATTTGGCTAACCAGATGGCCTAATATAGAATTAAATTAAATGATTAAATTTAACCATTTCAATTGACATTCCATTGGGTTCACCACTCTAGAAGAGAGAATCTTGAGGGAAGTGAGGCTGCTGTTTTATAACTTTTCAAATGAGGCAATAAAGCCCATGGGGTTGTCAACTACATATGAAATATGAACTGCTCATAGGCAGCAGAACACAAAACAAAGCTTCCTTATAATAAAAAGAAAAATCACACCCTTGGCTTCCCAGTCATTATTATTACAGCAATTCAATTCACGTAGAAAAAAAATTTTAAAAGAAATTAACAGAAATTTCTAGCCATATGTTTATCATAACATTGAACCACTGTTTCTACTTATTTTCTCTTTTTCTTCTTTTCAGTATATCAGCTGACAGCTAAAATTGGCCTACAAACCCCCTCCCATTTGACTCCTCTCTGACCCAATTCAAGCTCCCCAGTGAGAGAAGCACAGAAGCAAAGCCAGCATTTGGCATTTGTTTACTTCTTTGTGTCTCAGCACAAATGATGATACCACTAGAAAGAGTCCAGGGAATAATATTTCTTTGTTATGGTGCAGCCCGCACACCTGCAGGGTCAGTGCATGCATTGTTTTGTGGTTTTCTCATATGCCAGACCAGATGAGAAAGCAATTCTTGTTATTGCTTTGTGATTCAGTATACCAACCCATTCTAATCCACACACATACACACACACACACACACACACACACACACACACACACAAATGCCAGTTGGAATGTGTGTGCAACTAAGTGCATACTTCAGAACTCTAGGCAACTATTAATTTTTGTGTTTTACATTTTATAGCAGATGTTAATTAGGAAAATTTTTAACTGAGTCAAAAAATGTTAATTGAATTATCATGGGATTACATCGGTAAGTGCTGATTTCACCATTATGCTATGTAAAGTTGCATCCATGAGTAAATTATTCAGAGAATTTTAATGAATTTTCCACTATTCCACAGGACTTTTTCTCCCTAGTTTCTCCTTGTGTAGTTGACCAAATAGAAAAATTTAAGCTGTAACAAGATTATCTGGAAATCTATTAAAAATTAGATAGAAAAGTTGTTAATTTACTCTTCTCATGGTGCATTATATATTTTGGGCATATACAATCTTAGGTGAGTACAAAATTTATTATCCAAAAAACTGAAATTTATATTCAAGCTCAGTAGACATGAAGCAATTATAGTTAATATTCTAAACACATTATAGTAAATAATTTAAGATCCAGCATTTGTATATTTCTGCAGATGATGACATAGTGTTCCATGAGGCCATCGTGATTGTAACACAGGGTATAGTGTAGGATTCCAGAGGGATTTCACAAGCAGAATTCTCCCAATCTTAGCAGGAGTCAAAAATTAAGTTTGGCTCACCTAACAGACTTGAGTCTTATCCACCCATAGATTCTGAACATTTCCTTTATGGGTTTGACTTCTATACTATAAATTGCTTGCTTCTCAGGGATACTGAGAATTAACAGTTGTCGTATTTTTGGCAGTTTGGGAGAGGCACCATGGTATACAGTCTCCTCAAATCTGGCATTCACTGCCAGCACTTATACTGAGCATTTCGTAAACAATGAAACATCTATTTCATTTGCACCACTGTTGGATAATCTCAGGCCTTAGGGACTTCTGGATCACAGATGTGACAGATATCAGATTTCAACAGCCTTTGAAACAAAAATGTTCCTGTACATGGGTAGAAATTCCAACCATGTATTTCTATAATTTCATACAAACATTTTGAAAACGAAGTCACAATTATTTTATTTTGTTAAGAACATTCAATGCCTGTGACATTGTATTTTACTGGGTGTTACTCTATCTTTTCACCATTCTACAGAAAAAAATCATGAGATACAGTTTAGTGTAGCAGCAGGGCACAGGCTTGGCATCAGACTGAGCAAAATTAGTTCTGGGCTGTCACATGTAAGAGGTTTATTAGGGGGAAAGATGCTCAGACTTTCCAAACTGTTAACAATTTTTCTTTATTAATCTGTTTTCCATGCATAACACTTATAAGAGGATGGTTAAATAATATGAAAGCATGTAGCATACTGAAAGCCTATAGTCCACAAAATGTAACGAGTGACATGAATCCAAAAGGAGAATGTGCATGTGTGCATGCGTGCACGTGTCCATGCTGACAGCTACCATTTCTGCATTCAGAGGAGAGAGAGGATTTCCCAGGGAACAGGCACTGTGGCTATCGAAAGCAGGGCCTGCAGCCGAACCTGGAATGCAGAAGTGAGAACAGAGATGGCTAAACTGCTCTGTAGGATGAAGTTTAAAGAAAAGGGGAAGAGTAACCTTTTGTACTCACGCTGTTTATTTAAAATCATTTGTAAAAATGATTTGGCGTCTTCCTGTGAGTGGGCTGGAGGGTCGGGAGTCCCAGGCACTGAAAGAGGCAAGTAGATGAAACAGAAAAGGAAGGCAGCTCTGAATGAGGGCCTGCCCCAGCGACCAGAAGGAGGCCCTTGGCCAAGTGGGTGGAGACAAAATAAATTAATGGTCTTTCTGTGATGAAGTTCAGCAGTGGATTTCAGAAACAATGGTGTCTGATATCTAATTTTACTGATTTTCCCATTCAATAGTATAATGCCTTGCCCCTTATCACCCTCTGGTAGTCAGTAAAGGCTAATCTTCCACTAGTTTCACAGTGTTCTTACATTAATGTAACCTTAGGGTTTAAAGAGAAGTAGTTATGACCATACGGGGACAGGGAAAGGAGTCCAGAGAAGACTAGATCACCAGGAAGATATAGCAATGAGATGGCCAGATGCTACCAGGGAGAACAAGAGCACCTGGGAATACAACCTTCAGCATGACAGGCCACAAACATGATGTGAAAGCAACCTCTGAAATTTTCCAACAATAGTTGAAAAGAAACTGAATTTCTTATGTTTATATCAGAGCGAGACATCATTTTTACATTAAAAAGAAAGATAATCCCCAATTTCAGGAAAACTTCAGGATATTCTAGTTAAAGAAAGCGTTAGTAAATTTAAATTTCAAAAAAATAGCTTGAGTTAGTTCAAAAGTAAAAAACTAAAATTAAGTTGATTTATAAGCCTCATTGGTGTTTATTTAAATATTATTTTTCAAAGGTTAATGATCTACAGTAGCCTAATTGTCCATCAACAGATGAATGGATACAGAAAATGTGGTACATATGCATAATAGAATATTCAACCATACAAAAGAATAAAATTCTCTCATTTGCAACAACATGGATGGAACTCAAGGACATTAAGTTAAGTAAAATAAGCCAGGCACACAGACAAGTTTTGTATGTTCTCACTGATATGTGGGAGCTAAAAATTAAAACAACTGAACTCATGTAGATACAGATTAGAATGATGGTTACCAGCGGCTGGGAAGGGTACCCAGGAACAGGGGGAAAGTGGGGATGGTTAATGGGTATAAAAATATAGTTAGATAGAATGAATAAGATTTGCTATTTGATAGCACAATGGGGCGACTGTAGTCAACTATAATTTATTGACTATTTAAAAATAACTAAGGGAGTGGAACTGGAGTGTTCTTAACACAAAGAAATGATAAATGCTTGAGGTAATGGATGGTATTATTCTAAATTCCCTATAGTGCTACACATTCACTTCTTTTTTTTTTCTTTTTTCTTTTTATTTATTTATTTATTTTTTTTTGAGATGGAGTCTCGCTTTATCACCCAGGCTGGAGTGCAGTGGCATGATCTCGGCTCACTGCAAACTCTGCCTCCCAGGTTCACGCTGTTCTCCTGCCTCAGCCTCCCAAGTAGCTGGGACTACAGGCGCCAGCCACCACACCCAGCTAATTTTTTGTATTTTTAGTGGAGATGGGGTTTCACCGTGTTAGCCAGGATGGTCTCGATCTCCTGACCTCGTGATCCACCCGCCTCGGCCTCCCAAAGTGCTGAGATTACAGGCATGAGACACCACGCCCAGCCACACATTCACTTCTAACTGGGATACCACTTTAATAAAGGTTTGATGTAAAAGTCTTTTCTCAATATTTAACAAGTTAGCACTGAATTTTTGCTGCAAACACACTTTTCACATTTAAAACTTGAGTCCTGGAATATGTCTTGGGGGTCTGTGGGTCATGGAGTCTGACTCTTTTCATTGAGAGTTCATCAGGGAGTTGTTGAAGCTGATACAGTTTGCAGAGATTCCGCACATGCAATATAACACCACCAGTAGAATGACCACGAATGTGCACGAGAAATGCTAGATAATAACTAATCAAACTTCCAAACTGAACAAGCTTTACATTATTTTTTTTGCATCTTCTACATTTCTTACCATGTAACAATCCACACAGTGGGTAAAATATCCAGCAAGTAAAAGAATAAAAGGTACTCTTCAATTTACTGGATATTTTGTACCTTTTTAGAAAGAAAACAAGGTGAGAAAAAAAAATGCCCCAAGGACACTCTAATACTAGCGTAGTAGAGCCTACCAATTACTCGAAATTCACTCTCTTTTTTATCCAGAAGTCGATGGTGCCATTAAAGACATCTTTCAAAAGATCCTCCACACTAACACTTTTCTCTGAACTAATCTTATTGCATATTAATATAGCAAGGAGAAATTTTCTTAGGAAAAAAACAAACAGTAGTCAGCAATGAAATTAGTTTTTGCACTGAAGTCAAATCATTATTTTGTCCAAAAAAAGTGATATTGTTCTTAATCTTTAATGTTTGTGTTTAAAACATGTTTTAAATTAGCTATTTTATTGAATTAAAATTATTTGAACATCAATTATTCAGATTGAATCATGCGAAGATCTAAAAATAATACATGTAAATCAATAAATACACCTAGAAAGAGACTTGGGCAGGACAAAGAAATTTGTGCTATAACTTTCCAGTGCTGGCCTTATTAGCAGTAACAGTTGCTACTTTCTTGCCTATTCACTTAGGAGATTTTTTTTTGTAATTTTATACATTTAAAGAAAACAGATGGGCGTCATGGAAGTAACTAAGCCTAAACAATTTCAATATTAATATTATTCAAGGATAAATATTTCTCCAAGAAAGTAAAAACGTCTTGGTAATGTGATACCATCAAGGAGGGTACTTCAGTGTTAAAGGTGATTTCTGCATGAAAACTTCAAGGAAATAATAAGGCATGCTACACTCACAAACTCTATTGTCAACAAAGTACTAAGTTTTCCTCCAAAGTTTGGGGCAGAAAGCAAAAGAAAAATAACAGTGTTGCAGTCACCCCTAAAGGTGAAATGCTTGGGTGTGGGGGTGTCACTGACCAAAGGGAATGTTTCTAGAATGTTCTAGAATAGAGGATGCTTCACATCTGACCCAGAGTTCCAGAGGACTACACTATGGAGATAAAAGAAGACCACTATTCAGGGCAGAAGTAAATATTACTGTGGTTTCATTAGCAGTAAAGGTCAGTGCACCAGCCTCCCCCCAATTCCAGCTATAAACTGAGAAGCAGATAAAAATCACACTATCAGGAGAAAAGGAGCCAACTATGTGTAACCTCCTTGATCTCTCAGACACAAGTCTGTATGGACTTTTCCTTGTTTAATGATAGTAAAATGAAAATAGGGCATGTTATGAAAATAGGGATCTGGGGGAAAATGCTGTAAAAAAAAAAAAAAAAGGAACAAAGGCACTGAACAATCCATTAAAAGTTGATCTCCTCCACAGAATACCACAAGAAATTGTCCTTACAAGAAAAAATATCCAAGGGATAGAAAAGAAAACAAGGGATAGGAAAGCACAATTAGATAGATGGAAAGGATAAAGAAATATTTCAAGAATACTAAAAACAAACTATAGGAATGGCAAACTAAATTGAAGCAAAATTGATGCTGTTTTAAATGTAATCAATATTGTAGAGACCAGACAAGCAATTTTCCTAGAACCAAGATGAAAGAGCAGAGGAAAACAATGATATGAGAAAAGAGAAGAGAAAATGTAGAGAAAGACTCAAGAGTCAATAAAAGATGACAGGCAGTAAGTTGAAAGAAAAAAGAGAAAATTTGAAAGGAAAAAATAAACATTTGTAGATGAAAGGGATCTCTGTATCTCATACAAAATTAATGGGAAAAAAATGAAGAAGAAAAGACAGAGAAAAATATGCTTAGTCATTTTACAACATGGAAACATTTCTGAGCTAGTTAATATCCTTTAAGGATAAATTCAAATTCTAAAATCATTCTGGCAACAGTGTTAGTTTGGACTTACCACCATTACCTCCTTCAAAAACAATTCTTATTTATTGTCAAATAATAACATTGTTTATTGTAAAAAACAACAATGTTGTCTTATTCACTGCCAAAAGACAATGAAATGACATTGGTTTAGGCCAGTGGTTCTCAAAAACTTTGGTCTCAGGATCCCTGCTGTAGTCTGAATGTTTATGTCCCCCTAAAATTCATATGTTGAAACCTAATCTCCAATGTGTATTTGGAGATGAGGCCTCTGAGAATTGATTAGGTCACGAGGGCAAAGCCCTAATGAATGGAATTAATGACCTTTTAAAAGAGAACCCAAAGAACGACCTTGCCCCTTCCACCATGTGAGGACACAGCAGGAAGGTGCCATCTATGAACCAGAAAGTGGTTCCAAACCTGACAAAGCCTTGACCTTGGACTTCTTAGACTCCAGAACTGTGAGATGAATTCTGTTGTTTATAGCAACCTAGCTTATGGTATTTTGTTATGGCACCCTAAACAAACCAAGACAATCCCACAAATTCTTTTTTTTTTCTTTTTTTCTTTTTTTTTTTTTTTTTTTTTTGAGACGGAGTCTCGCTCTGTCACCCAGGCTGGAGTGCAGTGGCGTGATCTCAGCTCAGTGCAAGCTCTGCCTCCCAGGTTCACGCCATTCTCCTGACTCAGCCTACCGAGTAGCTGGGACTACAGGCGCCCGCCACCACGCCCGGCTAATTTTTTGTATTTTTAGTAGAGACGAGGTTTCACCGTGAAAGCCAGGATAGTCTCGATCTCCTGACCTCGTGATCCGCCCGCCTCGGCTTCCTGACGTGCTGGGATTATAGGCGTGAGCCACCACGCCAGGCCCCCACAAATTCTTAAAAATGTTTGAGGTTTCCAAAAGCTTTTGTTTATTTGGATTTTTTCTATTAGTATTTACTATACCAGAAATAAAAATGATATATTTTTAAGAATATACCGACTAATTCATTTAAAAATAACAAAATAAACCCATCACATGTTAACATAAATAATCCATTCTTAGAAAATTTTTCCAAAACTTTAATGAGAATCATTTTACATATTTACTAATCTTTTAATGTCTGGTTTATAGAAGACAGCTGGATTCTCATATCTGCTTCTGTATTCAATCTGTTGCCAAATTACACATCACCTAGCCTCTGAAAAATTCCACTGTGTAAGCTGAAGAATGAGAGAGAAAAGGGCAAATATTTTCATAGAATAATTTGAAAATAGTTTTGAATTCATTGACTTTCTAAAAGGGTCTCAAGAACCTCTCATATTCTCACTTTGAGAATTCTGCCTTATGCTAAAGGGTTTTCATTAAATAAATAACAAAACTATGGAGGCAAGGTGAGTCAAGGATTGGTGGATTCACTGGCTTATTGCCATCATCAGGATCTTGCCATCTTTATCACTGTGCCATTCTTGGAGAGTATGTCTTTTCTTACTGGCTGGCTTCCTCATGAACCTAAATCTATCATAGTTTCAGACATCAACACTGGAGACTAGAGGCCAAAGAAAAGTTCCAGTTCATAAATAGTTTTCATAGCTATAAAACAATTCTAAGATGCCCCAGCCAACTTCCCTTATGTTCATTGGCCAAAAATACATGACATGTCATTCTTTGACTTGACCAATCAGCTGGATGAAATCACCATACTTGGGCTACATGCGCACACACACACACACACACACACACACACACACACACACATAGATATAGATCCTTAAATATGCATATGTCCTTTGAATGTGCATTTCTACTTTCAGGTATTTATCCTAATGAAATTATCAAATGTGTAGAAAAATAAATGCATTTTGATATTTTACACGGCATTTTTATATTAGTGGCATAATCTTTAAAATTTTATGGTCCAACCATAAGAAATTGGTTGAATTTTTTTTTGTGCTTTCACCAGTTGAATGCTTTGGAGCCATTAAAAGTGAGGATGTGGAATTACCCTTATTAGCATGGAAAGTTGCTCATAGCATATTGTTTTAAAAAAATGAAATTTACAAAATAGTATGAATCCACTTTTGTAAAACATATTCAAAAATGTGTGTAGACTATATATAGAAACAGTAATAGTGATCATTTATGGGTAGTCATATTCACTTTTCTGAATTATCCAATTCATTTATGAATGCATATGATTTTTTATAAACACATTATTTTATAATATAATTTAGTGAAGCTATTTTCATCTTGAAAAACAATGTAATGCAGAAAATTTTCTAGTTCACTAGCATCAGTTGAATACATTTTAAATACATCTTAAGAATTCCCTTTCTCAACGCAGGAAACACGTTTCAATCTTTAAAACATTATTATGCATACGCAAATGTTAGGTCATTTAATGTGACCAGTTTAATTCCATGTGATTTCATAGCAATACCAGTGGAAATCAAAATCATCAATCACATTTGAAAGTATCTCTAAACCACATTTTCATAAATTAATCTTAGTCCTATAAAAGATAAAACAATGCCCTAAATCTCTCTGTAATTGATTTGAAGGCATAGAAATCCCATTTACTTGAGATCAGAGGGTACCTGGGGACAGATAGTTGTTTGTGGAATTATGATTTCAATATCAAATACAATTTGCTCATTTGATAAGTACCTGCAACACTCTGTTTAAGAACTACTTTAATATATCTGATTAGAAATCAAAATAAATTTTAATCTTCATTTTACTATTGATTGTTCATGTCTAGTATTCCCTAACACTGCCTAGTGTTCACTCATTCATTCCATTAAATTACTGACTACCTAACATGCCCTGAGTATAAGGATGGGCCCTATAGGTGCAGAAATAAACCACAAAGTCCTGCTCAGAGAGATTCAAGAGATGGGACTGGTGAGGTGGCATTTTTAAAATCTGAAATGATAAGGAAGAAACAATGTAAATAGGAATTAATTTGTGGAGGGAGAGGCTGATGTTCAAGGCAATGTATGCCTGAGCAACGTATGCCTGAAAGGGTCTGCTTTCTCTGTAACGCAGGAAGCAGTGTCCTTGGCTGGGACTAGGCAAGGACGTGCCGGAGATGAGGGAGACAAGTGCCTGGAGACTTGAACAGAGGGATGAGGGTATGGAATATGCTTATGAGGAAAGTCAAGGAAGTGAGCCAGAAACTAGAAATCTGATTAGTAAGCTCACTTGAATTATCCATAATTTCAAAGCAACTCTGGGAATAGGTGATTATGACAGAACAGAAAGCATGCAAAATCAAAATAATACTTCTCTATAACAGCAGTCACTGTTTCCTATGTACTAACAAGAAAATGAATATGCATTTCAACTGGGACAGAGATTCACACTACCTACTAATAAAAAATAGAAATAAAAGTAGGAAGGGAAAAGGAGACTAAGAAGTACAGGAATTTGCAGAAACCTGTGGTACCAATCCTGTTCCTGAGAGTTCAATGCCATGAATAGTATCAACAATCATTAACATGCCATTGTAAGACTTTCTATCCTTCTACTTTGTATTTGTGCTCAGATCTTTATATATGTGTCAATAAGTTATGCTAGCACTTAAAAGAAAATCTTAATTTGAGAACAAACTATAATTATGTGATATATCATTAAATAAATTAGAAAGTAGTGGTTAAACTAAAATAAGCAGTGAAGACAGTAGACACAAACACTTGTAATTTTTTTTTTCCAAGACAAAGTCTCACTGTGTCACCCAGGATAGAGTGCAGTAGCGTGATCATGACTCACAGGAGCCTGACTTCCCTGGGCTCAGCCTCCCAAATAGCTGAAATTACAGGCGTGAGCCACCCCACCCAGGTACTTTTTGTATTTTTTATAGAGACAGGGTTTCACCATGTTTCCCAAGCTGGTCTCAAACTCCAGAGCTCAAGCAATCCACCCCACTCAGCCTCCCAAAATGCCAGGATTATAGGCGTGAGCCCCCACACCCAGCCAACACCTATAATTTAATCATACAATAGTCTGATATTTTACCAAGAATATAAATTTTACTTTAATGTATCCTGGTAATTATGAATAAGAATTTAAAATAGTACTGTGGTTCTACAGAAAAAGCTGATAACATTGAAGTTTTATTAAATTGTTTAAAAAGTAAGACATTTTAATCAAAATGCGAAATTTCAATCTTCTAAGCAGTTGTTTGCTTGAATGCAACTAATTCATGAAATAGAAATAGAGATAAATTTGGATTTCAGTGCTATATTTTCATAGAACCCAATATTTCCTACCAATTATTCCTAAGGAAACACCTAGACGTCATTCATTCTAGTGAATAAAGATAAGCAGCCTGAAGTGAAATGTTTTGAAATGTTTATATATCAGCAAGGAATGAACCATTGTGTAACAAAGGAAGTATCCATAATCTTTGGCCAGTGGGCAGGGGAAAGGTGATATTTTGGGGAAAGATCCATTCATTCACATAGTTGCTAAGTACAGTTAACCCATGTTCCAATGCCATGGAGGCTAAGAGTGCCAATCTCTGACACAGTCAAAAAGCATCCTATATAACTTTTGACTCCCTAAAAGCTTAACTATCAATAGCCTACTGTTGACCAGAAGCCATACCAATAACATAAACAGTAGACTAACACATATTTTATATGTTGTATGTATTATATACTGTTTTCTTACAATAAAGTAAGCTACAGAAAATATTATAAGGAAAATCATAAGGAAGAGAAAATACATCACATTTACTATTCATCAAGTGAAAGATCATCACAAACGTCTTCATCCTCATCATCTTCATGTTGAGGAGGCTGAATAGGAAGAGGAGGGGTTGGTCTTGTTGTCTCAAGGGTGATAAAGGCAGAAGAAAATTCACATATAATTGAACCCACACAGTATTATTCCAGGGTCAACTGTATATTTGTAAAATGAGTCATCAGAAACACAGCCTTAACAAAATTCTATTCTAATTTTACTAAGCATGCTAGACATTCCGTATAAAAATGAGCTCCTGCCACCTCAAAGTAGGGTGACCAAACATCCCAGTTCACCAGGGACTTAGTGGGTTTCCATGATGCAAGACTTCCAGGTTTAAAATCAAGACACTCTTGAGCCAACTGGGACCAGTTGGTCACCCTACCTAGAACTGACCGTCTACATCTGAAATGATTAAATCTCCAAAACTTCCAAAAGAAAGTATCATCATACTTGTGCTGAATCACCCAATAAGGCATCTGCAAATGAAAAGAATCCAGAGGTCATAAAAATTTATAAGAAATTATTTGGAGTGCAAAAAGAGCATTGAGATCCAGCATGGAAAAAACCTAGATCTTCTTTGGGCTTTCCCACACTACTTACAATTTAGAATGGATTTTCCTTTGACTTGCAGATGGCTGGATGTTACCATCATAATCAGGCCCTGTTCTTTAAACTCCTAATCAAGATGTAAAATGTGGAGTGAGAGTAAGAACACTTCCAATTATAGATGATGTTATAATTTTGTTTGAAATAATGGAAGATGGTTTCAATAGACCAAAACCATCAAGATGTACAATAAAAATATCTGAGGGCATTTCTTCCTCAAAATATCTTAACACAGCATTGCAATTGTTCTTTCCTCAATTTTTAAATGAATGACAGCATACAAGAAGAACACTTTGAGATAATAATGAACAATAAATGAATAATCAACACTTTTGTCCATATCGATATCTAATATAGTTAAGCCTTTCAAATTGAAGGTGAAGTGGAAGTTCTATTACTATCTGTCAGTATATTGCTATGAAAATTTAAGAAGAAAAATTAAAAAGAGGAAAGCCTTTTTCAATTTTATTCTCTTGGGAAATACATATATTAATTATAACTTAGATGATTAGAACTATTCATGGTCAGAATGCTTAAAGAAGCCCTTCTACAGACTTTTAAAAAATATTTAAGATTTTAAAGTTTCTTTGAAATGCTTTCCCCCAGTTGATAGCCACTAATTGGTAAATGTATAGACACTTTTACTTATCAAAGTCACTGTAAAAATGTTTGAATAAATATGAATTTGAATCTAGCTTGTTTGGGATCACTGTTCGCTCCATTACTTAAAAAATCTATTTATGCACAGATTCTGGATTCACAACAATAGTCTGACCTTTAAAATCCTTCTTTTTTGGATCCTTGTCTGCAGTAAGAACATTTTTCTCTTACTTAAAATTATCAAATATAGTTAAAGGTTAATTAGGTGGCAAAGCCAGATATGACTCAAGAAAATATATCTTGCAAAACTAGTGAGAATTCATTATAATAGCTTGCAAAAAGCCAGTAGTGTCAAAAACCCAAATAATAAACAACCTACTGAGTTGGAAAAAACACAGACGTTACTGTCAAAAAATCTGAATACTAGTCCTGACTCTGTCATAAATTAGTTGTGGTGTTTAAGGGAAAAATTCGAACCCCTCTGGGTTGCATTTTTAATTTCTGTATAATAATAAACTATGGGCAGGGCGCGGTGGCTCACATCTGTAATCCCAGCACTTTGGGAGGCCGAGGTGGGCAGATCACCTAAGGTCAGGAGTTCGAGACCAGCCTGACCAACATGGAGAAACCCAGTCTCTATTAAAACTACAAAATTAACTGGGCATGGTGGTGCATGCCTGTACTCCTAGCTACTCGGGAAGCTGAGCAGGAGAATCGCTTGAACCCGGGAGGCGGAGGTTGCAGTGAGCCGAGATCGTGCCATTGCACTCCAGCTTGGGCAACCAAAGCAAAACTCTGTCTCAAAAAAAAATAAAATAAATAAAATAATAATAAACTATGGGTTAATAAGTAAATTAGTATATTCATTGGTTTTTAATACATACCTTTTTGTATTATACTTTAAATTCTAGGGTACATGTGCACAACGTGCAGGTTTGTTACATATGTATACATGTGCCATGTTGGTGTGCTGCACCCATTAACTCATCATTTACATTAGGTATTTCTCCTAATGCTATCCCTCCCCACTACCCCCACCCCACGTCAGGCCCCGGTGTGTGATGTTCCCTGCCCTGTGTCCAGGTGATCTCATTGTTCAATTCCCACCTATGAGTGAGAACATGCAGTGTTTGGTTTTCTGTCCTTGTGATAGTTTGCTCAGAATGATGGTTTCCAGCTTCATCCATGTCCCTACAAAGGACATGAACTTATCCTTTTTTATGGCTGCATAGTAAACCAACCCAAATGTCCAACAATGATAGACTGGATTAAGAAAATACATACCATTTTTTAACGGAAAACTATAACATAATATATATAACTTCTCAATCTATTTATTCATCCAATTGTAATTGTGTGGAGAATTTCTAGAAAGATTATTACAAGATGTTGACCATAATTGATTCTAAGTAATGGATATTTGTGGGGTTTTTTTTCTTTTTTGTGTTTTTTTCCTTTCTTTTTGAATGTTTTTGTATCACTTGGATGTTCTACATTTGACTATGATTTTTTTCTTTTTCTCTAAAGCAACAAAATTCCTCCCAGTTTAAAAAGAAAAAAGATGTTTCCTCAACTGTAAAAAAAAATTTAATAAATTTTAAAAAAGTAATTCTGGTCAAAATAACACCTATAAGGCATGCAAAAAGTAACGCCAAAAGCTTGAAACGTAAAAGAAGTTACTTGCTTCTCTTCCATACTGGTTTACTCCTCAGTAGTTTACGACCACCACTTTCCTTCTCAGAGGCAACCACTTACAAATCTTCTAACATTATTATATTATTTACCTTCATTGCAGTCTGGTGAGTCATCAATTGTAAGCATCATCCTTAGTCATTTACTTAGCAGAGGAGTATTTTAGCTGATTCATCCCCTTCCTCCTCTTCCATCACCAAATATGTACCAATTTTTGGTTAAAATCCTGCCTGGGTTCACAGAATACAGAAAATTCCAAGAAATGGTCCCTCCCACACTAGCAGCAAGAAAAAGCTGCATAATCCACAGATCCTAAACCTTTCTGGAAGCCTATCTGAGAGCTGACATCTCAAGGCAACTGGATGAACTGAATGCTGAAATGTCCAAGCCCTTCTGGGGAGAGACAGATAGGACACAGGAACTGAGGAACTATCCTTCCTCAGACAGAGCAAGGCAGAAAAAGGGAGAAGCCAATGGAGAAAAGGAGAAAATATGCTCATACCAAGACTCTACTGTTATAAATAAAGTTTTGTTCCCATGGTAGGAAAAGTCAGAAATGCAAAAATATCTATTTCCTGTGGCTCAAATAACACGGAGTCTAATTCAGCAGGAGAAATAAGACAATCGCTCTGTCCTAACATGAGTCTTGTACCAAGTAATAAACAAGAACAGTGTACTGGTGGGAGAAGGCAGGAGTACAGAGAGGGACCCTCTCTATAGTACAGCTGTGTATGATCTGCTAAAAGGACATGGAAACATACTCCGATACTCCAGTGTTCATACTAAGCACAAGGTAGCTGCAGTCCATTACAAGAGGAATTTGAAATATGTGCATACTCAAAGTAGCTATAGTGACAAGAAAACCCAGGCACAGCTAAACAATAGACAAAACTGACAAACATGCTCATTTCCAGGAGTAACTATTATTTACTTCTGTCTGTAGGGTTCTTTTACACAGAATGTTTGGCATTCTCCAAAAATATGACACATACACACACAGCCATTGTCAAACAATAAAGATATAAAGACAACCAGAGAGCGAGATTTTGTATATATCATACTAATAATTTTAAAAACTACAGTAAAAAATGCTAAGGAGTTTAGTGAAAAAAAAAGATGGTGTACATGTATGAACAAATGGGGGAACTTACAAGAGAAACTGTAAGAAAATGACAAATGAAAATGCTAAAATGAAAGATAAGACATTAGAGATAAAAATTGCTTAGTTGGGCTTATCAGTAGACTGGATACAGCACAGGAAAGAATCAGTGAACTTGAAGACAAGAAACACACATACAAAAAGTCAAGAAAATAACAGGATCAAAGAGCTATGGAACAATGGTGCACAGTCTAATGTATGCATTATTGGAGTTCCAAAAGTCAAAGAGATAGAGAATTGAGTAGAAAAAGCATTTTAATGTATAATGACCAATAATGTTCCAAAATTAATGAAAGACAGTAGTCCCAGTTTTAAGAATCTTGGGAAAACCTAAGCAAGTCAAATACAAAATTAACATAACTAGATCCAGCACACTCACTTAAGTAAGAAATAATACTTCTTTTACATGGAATCTTCCAGATTACAGAGGAAGAGGGAACATTTCCTAACTAATTTTGTTAATCCAGGATTACCTCAATTCCAAAACCAGATTAAGAAATTACAAGAAAAGAAAACCACAGACTACTATGCTTCATGAAAATAAATACAAGTGTCCTCAATATTCTAAAAGCATTTAATATAATATGTATTGTCAATACACATTAATAAAATTCAACATCCATTCATGTTCAAAAGTCTCAGCTAAGTACGTATAGAAGTGAACGGCCTTAATCTGATAAATATATCTGCAAAACATTTACAGATAACATCATTTGTAATGGTAAAAGACTGCCATGTTTCCTCTAAGATTAGGAATGAAGTATGGAAGTTCATATTCACCACTCCTATTAAACATCATATTGAAAGTTATCGCACCAAAAATGAGGCAAGAAAGGAAGGAAAGAAAGAGGGAGGAAGGTAAGGAGAGAAAAAGAGAGATCGCCTACAGAAATAGTTGCTTAAACTAATAATTGACTCTAGAGAGGTTTGAGACATACAGA
This sequence comes from Homo sapiens, assembly GCF_000001405.40. Taxonomy (NCBI): domain Eukaryota; kingdom Metazoa; phylum Chordata; class Mammalia; order Primates; family Hominidae; genus Homo; species Homo sapiens. The sequence continues at coordinate 225,099,207 of NC_000002.12, read as the reverse complement.
CATCTACTGTATTTCTATATAGTAACAGTGAAGAACTGAGAATTGAAACTTTTTTAAAGTTACATTTGCAATGACACCAAAAACACAAAGTGAACTTAACAAAAATTATGCAGGATCTCTATGCTGACAACCACAAATGATGGAGGAAAGAAAAAAAGTCAAGTAATAGAGACTCAATACCATTGTCAGTTTTCCCCAAATTAATTATAGATTCAATGTAAACCCAATCAAAATTGTAAATCTTTTTTTGTAAATTCAGAAGCCTGATTCTAATTCTTTTTCTTGTGCTTTTTTTTTTTTTTAGATGGAGTGAGGTGGCACAGTGTCGGTTCACTGCAACCTCTGCCTCCCAGGTTCAAGCAATTCTCCTGCCTCAGCCTCCCAAGTAGCTGGGATTACAGGCGCGTGCCACCACGCCCGGCTAATTTTTGTTATTTTCACTAGAGACGGGGTTTCACCATGTTGGCCAGGATGGTCTCGGTCTCTTGACCTTGTGATCTGCCTGCCTCAGCCTCCCAAGGTGCTGGGATTACAGGCGTGAACCACCGCATCCAGCCTGATTCTAAATTTTTTATGAAATGGCAAAAAAAAAAAAAAAAAAACTAGAATGGCTAAAACATTTTTTTAAAGAACATCAGAAGACTCATCCTGTCAGACAGTGTGATGATAAAAGGCTAGGCGCAGAGATCCTTGGAGCAGAAGAAGGAATCCAGAAATAGAGTCTACGCATATAGAGCCAATTTATTTTGACAAAGAGGAAATTTAATGGAAGAATTTAATGAAAGAAGCATAGTCTTTCCAACAAGTAGTGTGGGTACAATTGGATATCCATATGCAGAAAATGAACAGGGACTTACATCTCATGCATTATAGAAAAGTAACTCAAAACGGATCATAGATCAAAATGTAAAACTTAAAACATACAAATGTGGAAAATATTTTTAATCATGGATTAGGCAAAGATTGCTTCAATATGATACCAAAAACCATGACTCATAAAGAAAACATTGATAAATTGGACTTTAGCATACTTAACCTCTGCTCTGAGAAAGACAGTTTAGAGAATAAAAAGACAAGCCATAAAACAAGAAAAGACAAATATGTAGTCTATATATATGTCTTATATATAAGACTACATGAAGTAGTCCCAAAATGTAATAAAAACAACCCAATTTTTAAAATGGACAAAAATTCAAATTACTTCACTAAAGAAAACACACAGATGGTAAATAAATGTGACCATGAAAACAGAGTCAACATCATTGATCATCAGGGAAATGCAAATTATAACCACGACGAAATATCACTACATGCTTACTGGAGTGGCAAGAAAGAAAAAAGAAAAACCATCAATAACAAGTCCTGGTGAGGAAAGAGAGCGCCAGCTCTCCTACATAACTGCTGCAAATGCAGATGGTACAGCCACTTTCAAAAATGGTTTGTCAATTTCTTATAAAGTTAAACATATAGCTACCATAAAATTCAATGCTCCTAAAATTTTACCTAAGGAAAGTAAAAACTCGTATTCACAGAAAAGCCTCTTTGGAGAAGTTTACAGTGGGTTTATTTATAATATTTTTCTTTTTACTGTTGCAACAAAAATGACTGCTTGCATCAAACCAAATACTTATATTTCATGCACTCCCTCCACTGGTTTCTATGCTTTCTCTTTATATAACAATTTCCTACACATCTGTAGTTCTCTTTAGGGCTCTTTTCTGTTGCTCTATGCATTGAATCTATTTCTACAGAAAAATTATCTTAATAGGACTTAAAAATAAATCTAGACTTCTAATTAAAAGTCCTTTTACTTTCTCTCCAGAATTCCTTTCCTTTTTGGGATCTTGAAACCTCAACGAGGATTTTTAAATCAATGTAGATCTGTAGAACTGCATATGTAAATATTTATAGCAGTTTTATTCATGATAGCCCCAAATTGGAAACAGCTGGTGAATGGATTAACAAACTGTGATACATATAAACAATTGAATACTATTCTGCAGTAAAATAGAACAAGCTATTTATACATAGCAAATGGAGGTAGCAATACTGCATACCTCATAAGATTACATGAGGATTAATTGAGTTAAATCAAGTAAATTCTTAAAATAGTCCTTGTCACATAATAAGTTCTTAGTATTATCAATTTTTTTCAGTTTAGAAATTGTCTTCTTTGTTTTATTTATTTCTTTAAATATCCAACTAAGTCTTGTCACACACTCCATCCATTCTGTAAAACATTTTCTCTTACTGTCACCTTCTACGATACACACTGACCACAATTATAGAGCTTTTTTCATTTGAGAAGACAAATAAACTTAATTATCTTCAGTTCTCCAACCCTTCATTACATAATTTTTTCATTTTCTGTTGATAATTAGTCTGATTTTTATAATGCTTCTATTTTACTTATTTACTCATATACTGTGAGCATATTTATCAATATCCTAGTTTCGTTGACAAATGAAGTATGTACTTATATTTCTTATTCTCTTTTCAGTTTGGGTGACTTCCAAGGGAGCAAGAGATTGGGCATCTGCATTTATTTACAAATGTTCTTGTTCAACTGTTGCATTAACTGAAAAAAAAGAAAGGGCATTAAAAATCACTCACTGCCGGGTGCGGTGGCCCACGCCTGTAATCCCAGCACTTTGGGAGGCCGATGCAGCTGAATCACAAGGTCAGGAGTTTGAGACCAGCCTGGCCAACATGGTGAAACCCCGTCTCTACTAAAAATACTAAAAAAAAAAAAAGTTGGGCATGGTGACGGGCGCCTGTAATCCCAGCTACTCAGGAGGCTAAGACAGAATTGCTTGAACCCAGGAGGCGGAGGTTGCAGTGAGGCGCAACCGCGCCACTGCACTCCAGCACCGGCGAGAGTGTGAGACTCCACCTCAAAAAAAAAAAAAAATCTTTCACAATTCTACCACTCCTACCACAACTCTTCTACACTTCAGAGTTCTCTTTTACTCTTTATCTGAGTACAGGAGACATTAATACATAGCAATAATGGTAGAGGTATAATTTTACTGTGTTTTTTTATAAGTAAATATTGCATCATAAATATACCCCGATTTTGAAAAGCCACTTAACAGATCAACAGGTTCCTCAATTGCATTTCTCAGACATGAATACACCCTACTCAAATCATTCTGATGATTAGAAAATGGGGTTTCTGACTGTGGCCCCAGGCTCTTTATTATACTATTTTATTACACAAAAAGATACATATATATTTTCAATTCCTTTTCAATCATTATTCTCTATTCTAGTCCCTTTTTTCCTGTCCTGAGATGCCACCCTGTTGTGACATCTCTAGATAGATAAACAGGATAGATAGATAGATAGATAGATAGATAGATAGATAGATAGATAGATAGATTAGATAGATAGATTGATAGATAGATAATAGATAGATACTTATCCAATTTGCTTTTTTCACTCAACAATGTTTTTGCAAGGAATTTTATGTGCAAATTTGTCCTCAGTAAACTATAGCATGTAACTGAGTGGATGAGTAAAAAATTCAGGTAACCACTCACTGTATGTTTATCTCCACCATTATGTTTTGCCAAGAAATCAGTGTATATAAAAACTTAGATTGTGTCCATAGAAGTACTATTTCTGATAGCAAAAGACTGGAAAAATATGAAAGAATAAGCCAAAACAAAACAAAGAAAAAGCCACTACTAAAGGGAAGGAAAGCCGTGTGCAGTGGCTCACGCCTGTAATCCCAACACTTTGGGAGGCTGAGGTGGGTGGATCACTTGAGAACAGGAGTTAGAGACCAGCCTGGCCAACATTGTGAAACTCCGTCTCTACCAAAAATACAAAAATTAGCTGGGTGTGGTGGCACATGCCTGTAATCCCAGCTACTCCCAAGGCTGAAGCACAAGAATCACTTGAACTCAGGGGGCAGAGGCTGCAGTGAGCTGACATAGTGCATGGCACCACTGCACTCTAGCCTGGGCGACAGAATGAGACTCTGTCTAAGCAAAAAAAAAAAGGAGGGTCGAGAAAGGGGTGGAAACATGCATGCTCCTCTGAATACATCTCCTTTCATAATTTGACAGGGTAACAATGTAAACATGTTTCATAATTTTTTTAAAAATTTAAATGTATGACAAATCAAATCAAACTATCTTAATATCAAAATGGTAGCATGAGTACACAAAGAAGAATTGTTTCAATTCTCTTCCTATCCTTCCTTTTCCTCCTACCATTCCCAGCTTCCAGTATCCTCTGTTCTACCTTTCACTTCTATGAGATCAACTATTTTATCTTCCACATATGAATGAGAACATGTGATATTTAACTTTCTGTACTTGGCTTATTTCACTTAACATAATGTCCTCCAGTTCCATTCATGTTGTCTCAAATGACAAGATTTCATTCTTTTTTGTGGCTGAGTAGTATTCCATGGTGTATATATACCACAGTTTTTGTATTCATTCATCTGTTGGACACCTAGTTTGATTCCGTATCTTGGCTATTGTTAATAGTGCTGCAATTACCATGGAGGTGCAGATATCTCTCTGATATAATGATTTTCTTCCTTTGGAAAAGTAGAACAGAAGATACTAGAGGCTGGGAAGTATAGGGGGAAGGGAGGGATAGGGAGAGATTTGCTAAAGGATACAGAATTCTGGTAAGATAGGCTCAATAAGTTCTAGTGTTCTATACCACTGTAGGATGACTGTAGTTAACAATAATATATAGTTTCAAATAGCTGAAAAGAGGATATTGAATGTTCCCAACACAAAGAAATGTCAAACGTTTGAGATGATGGGTAAGCTAATTACTCTGATCTGATCACCACACATTATATGTCTCAAAACATCACTATGTGTCCCATGAATATGTACAATTATTACTTGTAAATTTTTAAAAATAAAGCAACATTTTTTAAAAATAAAAAGAAGAATCGTTTCAAATTAAGCTGATGGACATATTTTGACTATTCACCCTTGTGGGATATATTCTGCGACAGAAGTAATTGCCAACAGATATTTCAATAGCTTTTGTTAGGAGTGATTTGGGTATGGTTATTTTGAAATTATTGTACATATTTTGCGGGATTAAGTAATTGATAAATTGTTTAGGCTGGGTTCCCTAGGAAACAAATTCTAAGGCAAAAAATTTCTGTAAACATTTTATTGGGGAGTGCAATTCTAGGGACTTGAGAATGAGGGAGGAAGGAAGTAAAGACAGACAGGAGGGAGAGCCAACACTATGTGAAAATGTATTGCAAAGCTGGTCCAAGCTTTAGGATACACTGAATTTTTGGTTTTACAGAGCATCTTTAAGAAAGTATCATGAAACTACTGAATCTTTGGATAGTGTGAGAGGAAGGGATAAGCATTTGTTCTTTATGTCTCATTGGCCAAAGTAATTCAGGGGAAGCTAATACTCCCTCACTTACACAGGGATTTGCAAATCCTGCAGGGTGCCTCAGCTGCAACAGGGAAGCCCTGGGACAGGAGGATGGAGAAACAAGCCCAGCAAGAGAGAAAACGTGGCCAGGATATAAACTACAAGTGAAATGAGAGTCAAGCAACCATCCTGTCCAATGATACCCTTGGTCTTGGGGCAGTGAAGGCAACATGATCCTGACTCATGCTGGACCATGGGAAAAGTTAAAGCAGTTCCTGAGGCTGCTCCACACAAAAATAAAGTCAAATGTGCACAGGTATGGTGGTTTATACACTGAATCTAGTACAATTACACTGATGTTGGTAGGCACTAGGGCTATTAGCAAAGAAGAAAAAAGATACTGGTGTAAAATTAAAGGTGTTGAGTGAACTCTTCTTGTTCACAGGTGGTATTGGAACTATCAATGTGCACTTAAGGCTTATTTTTGTTCTTCTAAAATATATGTGTTTCCTCTCTCTGTCGGCTAAAAAATCTGGAAGCAATGACAACCCAGTGACAATGAGCACTCCTTTTGCCCCAGATTTATTCTCTAGATGCCATTTCTGGAAAAGGAATCGGGGTTCTTTGAACTAGCAGTTGATCGCACGTATGGAATAGGAAATGTATAAGATGAGCTTGGTACAATTAATTGGAACAGAAAACATATGCACACCTTTGAAAACTATTGGTGTTATTTCAAAAGGAGATAAAAGCCAACTTGAAGGGGCTTCCTCTGACTAAAGATGGGACAGTTTGTGGATGTAGGAGAAAAATGATTGCAATAAAGTGGAACATATCAAATAACTAAAAATCCATGAATTAATAGTGATACACAGACAATTAAGGAGAAATAAAATCTTCATTGGTCATCTTTGCAGGCTGCCAGCATGCGATTTCATTCTGATGATTGGTGAGAAAGGAGAAAGGGGCAAGTGTTTACTCTGACCTCATTATTGAATTCCATTTCAACAACCAAGCAGTTAACAAAGAAAAGTTTTCCAGTATATAAGAATATCACCTGATAGGCCAGGTGTGGTGGGAGACCAAGGCGGGCAGATCATGAGGTCAGGAGATTGAGACCATCCTGGCTAACATGGTGAAACCCCGTCTCCACTAAAAATACAAAAAATTAGCCAGGCGTGGTGGCGGGCACCTGTAGTCCCAGCTACTCGGGAGGCTGAGGCAGGAGAATGGTGTGAACCCGGGAGGCAGAGCTTGCAGTAAGTTGAGATCGTGCCACTGCACTCCAGCCTGGACAACAGAGTGAGACTCCATCTCAAAAAAAAAAAATTCACCTGATAAATGCTGAAAAAATGATAGATTTAGAAAATCCACCATTTTTTAATCCTTAGTTAAATAATAGATCTAGACAATTACTGATATAATTTTTAGGGAGAAGTTTGAAGGAAATCTTCATAAGTGGAGCCATTTGCCAACACTAATCCTACTAAGAGTATTAACATACTCTCCAAATGTGCCTATTGCTTCCCTTGACATGATGCAACAGAAAGTACACAGAACAACCCAGAAAGTATTTTTCCTCCCCAAAATTTCTCCCGAATCTAATCAAGCTTCTAGATATAACTAACAGTTAAAACAGGATAAATAGCACCAGGAAAATGCAATCAGCCAAATTCATAATCTGGGACAAATAATATGGTTTCTTCAACAAATAAATATCCTCAATAAATAAGAGAGAAGGGAGAATTCTTCTTATAAACTAAAAGACACTTAAGAGACCTCTCAGGTAAATGTAGTATGAAGACCTTGATTAGACCTTAATTCAAATATACAACTATTAAATAATATTTTTGAGACATTTGGAGAAATTTGAGATGGATAATGTACTAGCAGATATTAAAATACTACTTTGTTAGGTGTGATAGTGATAGAAAACTTAGGTACTTTTTAAGGAGATCTCTGTAAATGAAACATAGTGATTTACTCATTATATGATATGACACTTGAAACTTGCCTTACATAACACCAAAACTGAAAAAAAAAAAAAAGTTAGGAAAGATGAAATAAGATTGGCAAAATGCTCTTAATTATTGCAATGGTGGCAACTCATTATTCCATCCTCTCTACTTTTGTGAAGGTTTGAACATTCCTGTAACAAAAGGTCAATGACACAATTTAAAATCAAGCATATGTATTGAGATTATTTTTATAATACAGAGTCTTCAAAGACTTTGAATATCTCTATAATCTGCGCAGTCATTATCTCAACATAGGAGGATGATTCACAATGAGTCCTAACCCTCCCGACCAAGAATGATTCCACAAGAATCTTGCATGAGTCTCCTCAAGAAACCACAAGACAATCCTGATGTCCACTGTCATCCTCATTGAGGTGTACATACAGATTCTGGTGTGTATGGTCCAGTCTTTTTCCAGGTTAGCTAATGCAAACCATCCTCACTGTCTCTTCAACAAAAAAAAAATGAGGCTGACACAGGAAGAACAAAAATCTGTGACCCACAACTGCACTTTTTAGGTTCTACTGTCAGTGGTCTTTTACACGAAGTTGTCGGTAACAGTTGAAAGGAAGAGAAGCTTGTATGGCTATTTCCTTTACATGCAACTGTAGTGTTAAATTTCACTGCCTGAGAAATGCCACTATGAATAGCAATACTGGACAAATAATGCTTTTTTAATTACTTGTTGATTCTATGAAAACATGTACAAGTGCAAAGTGATACTTGCATTTATGAACAGAGGTGAGCAAAGAGCAATATTCTTAAAAATATGTTTACCAAAGGAGTTGTAGTAGACTTCTAGCTTTGAGTCATGGTTTCATCAATCGTCCAGTTTGATGACAATGATGGTTCAGCCATGTAAGGGTTTTACCACGTAATACCACATGCATCTAGCCATTTAGTGGTAATCATCTGTCATCTGGTAATCAGCCGTAAGTGATCCCAGAGGAGAGGGAGATGAAGGTGGAAGAATTGCTTCCACTGAGTTTAAAATGAAATTCAGATAAATTGTTCATTTTGGTTCTCTTCACAGCATACATAAATCTACTATTCTAGCAGTAGTTAAAAATGCATGTATATTCTATATTTCACTAGACTTGAAAGACAAGGGTAAATTTCAATATCTTAAAACCTAGTTTCCAAACATACTCTTGGACAATGAAATCCTCATGTCTTTTGTTTCTCTGTAGTAGAAAAGGTTATAACCAAATCTTGACTAATTTTTCTAATGATGCATCAGTATCAGTTCCAAACATTTAATGCATAGTTTATAAAATAACTTTATACCAAAGCCTCCTTTTGTTGAAGGAGGTTTCATAATTGAGTAATCAGACCTCAAACATTCAAAGATTACGTTTATGTAAGATCTACGTATTTTATTATTGTTCTAACAATAATAGACTGTTTTTATCATTGTCCTAATAGTGAGAGACAAAAATATGAAAAATTCACTGTTTTGAGATGACATAACCCTATTGACCATTGGCAATCTCATAATTGCTGTCTTCGAGGCATTACAAATGAGAAATCAGGTTTGGAGTTACTGGATTTGGAAACTGGAAGAAGTCTTAGCAGGAAGGAGCCAGGCTTCAATAGGGAAAGTAGCATATTTATATTAGCAGTTCAGTAGAAAAAATTTCATATGTGAAACCATTTCTGTAGGTGTATAAAGGGCTGAACAGGAAAACAGAAGAGGGTAAGAAAACCCAGAATATGGCAGCTGCAGATAGCTGCTTTGCCCTTAAGTCCACAGGGACAGGGAAAGAGGATAATGTTGAATCCAGCAGCTGGCTGGTGGGGTTAGAACAACCAAGGTATATCAACAACAGCCCACAGAAGCCACGCTGAGTAGAAATAAAGGGGAGATACATGTTGGTTGCTCTCTCCTGATCTCCAGTTTTCTACCCGAATTCCCCATCTGCCAAATCTAACCAGAAGTTAGTTGGCTAAGAAGCTTGGAAAATGTAATTTTACAAGTCAGCCTCCTGCAATACAGAACAAAGTAAGAGAAGCACAGGAGAATAATATCAGGACAAAGAAGCAAGTAACCAGGAACAGGATGTCTAATACAACTTCGTCATTTATAAATTATTGAATGGAGAGCTGGCACTGTGACCAGCAAAAGGATCCCAATAATCATGGGTTAAATTGCGAACATTCTCTCAGCAAATATTTATTGTGCAGCTCTAATGTGCCACACAGTGTTCTAGGTACTGGGGACAGAGTAGTTACCAATAGAGATGAAGCTCCTGCCTCATAGAACTTATAATCAAATGAATTTTCCAAATTATTTGCATCAGCAAATCATTGCACTGATACAAACCAAAAACAATCTACCACAACTATCCATGAGCTTGTTCCACCAACTCATACTGGCCCTTTTCTTGGTATAAGAGTGAACACTCCAACCACAGTATCTACCTGGGTAAACCTTCTTTCTTCCAAATGCCCCTTCACATTCAGAAAAATATCTCTTGGCTATCACAGCCTTCTATGCGTATCCACTATAGCACTTATCTGAATGTGCTCATATAAATAATTAGGCATTTATTTGTGTAATGCAATCTCCCCCCAAGTATATAAGCTACAAACGGATAGAAACATACTGATATGGTTTGGCTGTGTCCCCACCAAAATCTCATCTTAAATTGTAGCTCCCGTAAATCCCACATGTGGGAGGAATGTGGTGGGAGATACTTGAATCATGGGGGTGGGTCTTTCCAGTGCTGTTCTTATGATGGTGAATAAGTCTTACGAAATCTGATGGTTTTATAAAGGGGTGTTCCCGTGCACATGCTCTCTTGTCTGCCTCCTTGTAAGACGTGTCTTGCTCTTCTTCCTTTGCCTTCTGCCGTGATTTTGAAGCTTTCCCAGCCATGTAGAACCATGAGTCCATTAAATCTTTTTTCCCTTATAAATTATCCAGCCTCGATATGTCTTTATTAGTATCATGAGAACAAACCAACACACATACCTTGTTTCTTTCACTATTGTATATAAAACTTCCACCAAAATATTTGGTAAAGTTAGGTATTCAAAAATAATCATTGACTGGTTGAATTTATATAAGCCAATCTTCTTCTAAACATATATTACCATTGTTACTATCCTTTCTGAAAATGGAGACTAGTATAGACAGCCTATATTAGTTCTCTCTAAAATGATTGAATAGTAGCTTCCTCGTTAATATAATAATGGAGAACGAGAAAAATAGACTTTTCAGAGAAATGTGCGACATAGTCTCAGCCTAATTATCAGCAATAATTATGGACCAAGTATAGAAGCGTTGGTGGGCTATATTAAAAGTTAAACAAAGATCTCAAATAACTTGGATTCAAATCCAGGCTATGGTGTTGGCTACGGGACGTAGAATGGGTTATTATATCTGAGTCTCATCTGTCTGAACTGTAAGTTGGAAACAATAATATCTGTACATACCTGTCAGAGTTACAGTGAGTATTAACTAAAATGTGTAAAACACCTAGTCAACATATAAGATCAATGACTATGGACTTGGACCGTATCTTGCTGGTTTACCAATCCTCAACTATTCCTGACATGATGTTAGTTCCGCAAATAAAGGAAGGAACAAATTAAATTGTAGAGTAAGGAATAGGTAGCTTTTTGGATAACTCAATCTGAACTTACATCCTTGGCATCAACCTCCAGAGGCACTGAAAATCCAGCTTAAAGAAACCTTAAAAATCTACAGTTTTCACTGATAACAGAGAGCTGTAGCAGAGGGATTAAGCAAAGCAATCTCAGCCATTGAAAGAGTAATGCTTCATAGGAAGCTCAAGTTTTCAAAGGGACTAAAAATTCAGTGTTGTTTTTCTGACACCTGAAGGGAAAAACAGTTAACACTTCTTCAGTGAAGCTGACCTGCAGTTGAAAGTTTTTATTTATTTTTATTTTATTTTATTTTATTTTATTTTATTTTATTTTATTTTTATTTTTTTGAGACGGAGTCTTGCTCTGTCGCCCAGGGTGGAGTGCAGTGTTGTGATGTCGGCTCACTGCAGGCTCTGCCTCCCGGGTTCACGCCATTCTCCTGCCTCAGCCTGGCGAGTAGCTGGGACTACAGGCGCCCGCCACCACGCCCGACTAATTTTTTGTATTTTTAATAGAGACGGGGTTTCACCGTGTTAGCCAGGATGGTCTCGATCTCCTGACCTCGTGGTCCACCCGCCTTGGCCTCCCAATGTGCTTGGATTACAGGCGTAAGCCACCGCACCCAGCCGAAAGTTTTTAATAATTATCAGGGATTTTTTTTCCCCAGAGAAAGGAGATAACCAAGGAAGTATCCTAATACATAACTACCTGCTTCCTGTTTAGCAGGCCTTTATGAATGAGAAAACCTGTAAAATGAAATTTCAATTGTATTTAAGAGAAAAAATTTCTCTTTGCAAAATGTAAGAGAAATTCCATGTAGGATTTCTAGGTAGCAGACTGAAAATTGTTTGTATCCCCTCTTACCTGAGACACCACTAAAATAACAGTAACGTTCAAGTTCTAAAATGAAAGAGCTAAGAAACCACTCACACAATGCCTCTCCTGCCAGAAAGAGAAAGGGAGAGAAAGACAGAGAGGATGAAAATCAGAAATGCAAGCTCATTTTCATTGACACTGGAAACATGCGTAACTCCAAACCACAACATACAAGGAAGCACTGACAAAGTCAGCTAAGGGAAAACCAGGATGTGGGAAGATGTCAAAAAAAGACAACTGTGCTGTCGATCTCAGACAAAGCTGACAGCAAAACTACCCAAACTGTCACCAACTATCCTTGGGTGGTGCATACTACAGCTTGGCTCACTTAGCAATCATGCCAACCCTGTCTCCTTTGTCATCCGCTAATGTCGGGGACAGAAAGCAAAGTACTTGAAGAATAAATATAAAACAATAAACAAAAGAGGATAGGAGTACCTGTTAACAAAGTCTGCAAGTCTGAAAGTACATGGAAGTGGCTGGTGGTTGAAGAGAGGAGACTTGCTAGTGGGGCCTGCAGCAGAGGTGTTTGCCGCTCTGCTCTGGGCATGAAGATAAAACTTAACAGAAAGCAGAGGGCGTGAGGAAGGGGTCTAAAACCTGGCTACTCACTGAAGTCTGCCTGCTGAACAGCTTTGCCTGTTCACCCACCTCCACTTCCCCCACACAACAAAGTCAGCCGGGCAGGGAACAGGGCTGGCACTGTTGGGCACCCCAGAGTAGCGTCCTCAGCTCCTATGTCCCTCTCCCACTCTGTCTCCTACAAAGCAAGGTATGGTTGTCAGAAAGCCCCACCTGTACTTACAAAGTTCAAAATCAGCCCACTGAGCATAGATCTAGACACATATACTAAAGCAAGACAGCCCAAACTGGCCACTGAGAAAATCAACCAATTCTTCATTTGTAAATAGAGAAGGACAAGCAATGATGGGCAGCAGATACAGGAGGAGAACCACAAACATGAAAGCAAAAGTCCAAGGGAAGTAAATAAACAATTGAGCCTAAGGGAAATAAATAAATCAGGGAAGACAAGTAGCTACTGAGGTAGCTGAAGTTTGTTTCTTTTAATGCAAAATTATAAATATATATATGGAACCAACACCCTACAGTACAAAAATTCATGTACAACTTTTGACTTTCCAAAAACATAACTACTAATAGCCTACAGTTGACCAGAAGCTTCACCAATAACATAAACTGTCAATTAACACATATGTGGTATGTCATATGTATTATATACCATATTCTTACAATAAAATAAGAGAAAAAACATTATTGAGAAAATCACAAGGAGGAGAAAATATACTTAGTGTTTATTAAGTGGAAGTGGATTATCATAAAGGTATCCTTCATCCTCAACACCTTCAAAGTTGAGAAGCCTAAGAAGGAAGAGGAAGAAGAGGGGTTGGCCTTGCCGTCTGAGGGCTGGCAAAGACAGAAGTAAATCTGTGTGTAAGTGGACCCATGCAGTTCAAACCTATGTTGTTCAAGGGTCAAATATATATGTGTGTATATATATATGTGTGTGTGTGTATATATATATGTGTGTGTGTATATATATGTGTGTATATGTATATGTGTGTGTGTACATATACATATACACACACACATACATACACATATGTATGTGGAAAATATATATAGCAAAATATATATGACATATATTTACATATATATTACTATACTTGATTTATGTACTTAATATATTTCAATATATTTGTGTATTATATAATTATACATGTACATATACTTAACATACAAATATATAAGTATATACTTATAAGTGTATGTATATCTTTATAAATATATATTTTACACATATATACACATATACTTAATTTTTTCATAAAAATTGAGGAACATAGACTCAGTAACCAGGCTGCCTAAGTTTAAATATCAGCTCAACACTTACTAAGTATATTTTAAATAATACAGTGATTTAAAATACTAAGCTCATACGTTGTTTCAAGGATTCCTGAGTTCCTCTGTCTATGCTTGTATGCCTCCACACCTTGAGCTCTACATAAGCTTGTCCTATGTTTATAACACCTATGACACCTTCCAGGACAGAAATAAAAGGGCAAAGGGCATGGAGTAAAAACAAGAGAACAACTAAGCAGCATAAAGGACTGTAGTTAAGGGTCCAGCCTCCAATTAATAAGATTACTCTGCTAGTTGTGAAATGTTTTTAATATCATTCACATATTCCCTGGTAGAAATGACAGAATTTGGAGACAGAAATGGGAGCAAAGTTGAAAGGAAGGGTAAGATATCTTAATTTTATGTGGTGAGGTGCCAAATGCCAATAGAACAAAATATCTAGGCTAAATATTTTATTTTAAAGTTAACACATAACCAATAGAAAGCCTGCAAATAACAAGAATGATTGGAAGTTGAGAGGGAGAAGGAAAGATGGGGTAGTGAGTGGTGAACCTTATCTTTCATACAGAGGAGTCAAGAGACCAAGAACTTATAGGGCAAATAAATTTAGTGTAATGTAAATAACCCACTAAGTGCACTAAAATAGGAGTGGTTAAAAGAGCCTGCCTCTGGCTAGTGGGGCGATGTGGGGAAGGATGGTGTATTAGTCCATTTTCTCACTGCTATAAAGGACTGCATGAGACTGGGTAATTTACTAAAGAAAGAGGTTTAAATGACTCCCAGTTCCACATGGCTGGGGAGGCCTCAGGAAACTTACAATCATGGGGGAAGGGGAAGCAAACACATCCTTCTTCACATGATGGCATGAAGAATTGCCAAACAAAAGGGGGAAAAGCCCCTTATAACACCATCAAATCTCGTGAGAACTCATGTTCTATCACCAGAACAGCAACATAGGGGTAACTGCCCCCATGACTTAATTACCTCCCACCAGGTCCCCCTCACAACTCGTGGGGATTATGGGAAATATAGTTCAAGATGACATCTGAGTGGGGACATAGCCAGACCATATCAGATGGGCTGGGAAATTATGGCTGTCACTATTAGCTCTGTTTTATTATTTCATTGTTTCTCCCTGTGTGTGTATTATTTTATGTGAAGTATTAAAACAAAGAAGCTGACACTTTAAACTTCTGATGACAGAGTACAGATCTTATTTTTCTTTTTCACCATAATTATTTTCTTTCTAATCTTGAGAACACATTTTTAAATGGCTGTTTTCCACTTTGCCTCCCAATGCTATTATTAAAATAATAAGCATTTCTATAGGTAAAGAATAAATCATTCAGGTGTTGAGACACTAAAATGAAGGGACTAAATCATCAGGGGAAAACTGGGGCTCTAATTTAGCTGCTGTGTATGCAAGAATACACAGACTTTAAAACCATATGAATTTTTAGAAATATTTATATTACAAAGTATTTTTATTGATCAGAAAAGTGGCTTTATGTTATTTTTAGTTGGTTTATTCATCTGTATTTAAGTGTAAATGAGAGTTTATAACTGACCAGATACAAATAAGAATATTCATAATCTACAAAATAACATGTTTATGTTGAAATAACACTTAGATGCCCCCTTCTACTTACCCATCAACTTTCTGAAAACTGATCTGTCTACTCTGCCTCCATTTCTTCCCCAGAAAGCCCCTCCTTAAGGGCTCTTCGATCTGAGTTTGGTGCATAAACATCACCCCCAAGGTTTTCAGTAAGCGTTTTCCTCCTTGGTTCCTTGCGCTCCTCAGTCTACCTTCCAGCACAGGACACAAGTGCCCAGCCCCTACCTCTGCATCCTTCTCCTCTTCATGCATCCAGCCCAATTCAGCTCTTTGGACAGAATGGCTCACAGGGCACATCCCCAGCTCTGTCCTATCCTGTGCTTCCAGAGCACTGCTGGCACACTCTACACATTCCCCACACCCTTCCCTGTACTCCCAACTAGACTATACATTCCTCAAAACCACTGATCAAACATTCAACTTTGCCTTCTTCTCAGGGGTGACTAGCACAGTGCTGGGTCAATCAGAGGCCCTTAAGATGTTACCTTTTGTTCTAAACTTTATGTTAGGCTCTCCAGGGACCTTCCAGCCAACCACGTTCTAGACCAGTCAGTATTATAGTCCTGAACAATCCACCAGACAAATGAAATAGCCTCTATTTGTATAAAATTGTTTTCTTCTACTACTTATTTTATTTCACTTCACTTTGTGTTTTTGTAACCTATTTTCAAAAATGTATTTGTGTGTATATATAATGTACATTAATTTTCTTTTTCAAAACATCAGATAAACCAATATGCAAATTCAAGTCCAAAACAACAAAATAGAAATTATTTATAGTATTTCAAACTTTTTTATTTGTAATCAGTGTCCTTATTGGCATTTCAAAAGTATCTGAATCGGTTTGCAAGAAAAGGCATGTATAATAAGGTTATTAAAAATAAAATTGGTTTTGAAAAGCCTTACATTTCAGATGAAATGCCTAATCTGTATTTTTTTGCAAAGGAAAGCTTTGAGTTCTTCCTTCTTTTACTTGGAAATAGTATGTTAAATTACCATGTTAGGAAAACCAGTCTTTTGGTGTTAAAATTATCTATCTATGTATCTCTAACTGGAGTATTGAAAAGTTTCAACTTGGGATTTGTCCATGATATGATTTCATTTTTTTTCCAGTAATTGCTCTCTAATTGTGCTAGATCCATCCTGCGTTTCCCACTGTGTACTTTAATGATACTTTGGTAAGATGCAGTAACTTTCCACTCAGTTTTGCTTATTTTGAAAGTCTCATTTGGGGCAATAAAGAATCAGTACTCTAACAGCTTGTGGGTGGGCCTGGTCAGTGAGTTTCTTGGGAAAGGGAGTGCTGCAAGTTGGAAGGAAGGGATTTATTTGACCCACTTCTCTCCCTTCCTTCTTCTAGGCTCTTGCTAGTCCTCAGTGTTGGGACAATGAGGAAGAAGTGGTGTATAAGGCAGGCCTTCCTCTGCTGCCTGCAGGGAACAATCCTCTTGTTAGTAAATTGATACTCTCCTCTGCCAAGGTCCTTCATGTTGATATCGGCATTGTTACATGTATGGGATTTCCAAGGAGTCCTGCATGGGCCTCTACTCTGCAAAATAGTTCTAGTCCTGGATCGGTCTTCCATCATTACCTCTTAGCCCCACTAAAAGATATCTACCAATGTCCCCTGGGTGGTGGGCTTTCCTTGCCCAGCAAGTGACCTCTTGCATGGGGTCCCAGAATAAAGACAGGTTCGGCTATCAGTTCAGCATCCACTTAACTTATAGTGAACTGATGTATTCCCTTATGGCATGCCAAACAGGGAAGTACGAGCTTGTTCTATTGCACTTCCCCCTAAATTCTACCTTGCCACCTCACTTATCTCTTTCTCTGCTCAGAAAACCCAAAAGAAAATAAAGTCTTCTAGTTAAGTAACTAATCAAGTCTTCTATTTAAGCAACTAGTACCTCCCATAGACCCGGCAGCTGGGCCCATATCCTAGATCCCATGCTTTCAAGAACCCTGCTCTTGCCCTGTTTTGAACCTACCCCTTCCCATCAGAGTAACAGTCTGTGAGATATGCCTACCCGGAGTCCCTGACACAGCCAACCTCTATCTTGAGCCCATACCCCTGAGAGAAGACAGCATCCAGTGTGCCTACACCCAGACCTCAAGGATGGTCAAAGAGGGCTGGGGGTGGGCTGGGAGAGAAGGATGTGGGAACTACGGAAGGGGCCTGAATTTTGTCAGTTCCAGATGGGGCTTCCACTTCAACTCTCAGCCTGGGTCTCCAAATGTTAATGACCAGCCCAAAACAGATTCTCAATTGAAGAATGATGTGTGCTATTACCCATCTTGCAGACATCCAAATCTCTTGGAGTACTATTCCCTTGCCTTAGAGGAGGAGAATCACTCCTTCCCTCTCCCCATGGGAAGTCACCACCACAAACCTCACTCTTCCTAACAGGACTGAAAGCCCTGTCCATTCTCATTCCATTTTTTTATATTGGAATTTGGAAAAGTGTTATGTGTGTAAGAAGGAAGTCAATAATGGAGTCAGTTTTAAATTGGTCCCTTTTAGTAAACCCTACAAATAAGTAGATGACCCGAACCAATTGCTGGTGGCTTACTGTGTCACTCTGAACTTGGAGTGTGGGAGTTCTTTGTGTCTTTTTTACTCAACACTCAGCATTTATGCTGCCTTGAAACAGTAGAAAGAAATCAACATGTTAATACATATGTATTTGTCATTTACCTATCTATATGAGAAGCTAAGAGAAAGAAATAATGTAGACATGAAGGCCAGGTACCAAGAAATATAATTATGTTACTTGGAGGTATTGGGGACAGAGAAAGAGCAAAGGGCAGATTGAAGAGACATCTTTAAAGAAGACTCCATAGGGCTTGTGGATTGTGGACTGTATGCATTAAGGAAAGGAGATTATCAGAGACATTTCTTAGGCAAGAGTCAAAACATGGCAGCTTCTGCCCTGCATCTGGTTCTTGGTCTAATTTGCAAGTTTGTTTGGTCTACCTAATATTTTAAAATACTTTTTAAATGAATTTTACCGACATTTAAAAAAATGATATTTCATATAGCAATCACTTTTTAAATTTTTGGCTTCTCTTTTATAATTGGAAGATCTGACAACCCTGAGCTGACATTCCCACACCCCATCTGTCAACTGGAGCTGAAGAGTGTCTGTCCCTCGATGGAGCAAATGTGTCTCCAGTTTGCCACAGTCCTCTCCCAGCTTATGTGACTCCTTTGCTCCTATCAACACCTGAACTTGCAATCCCTATTCTAATGTTCCTGTCCTAAGGAACACAAAGTTGGTGGCACCATCAGTGGAAATAGAAAAGATGCTGCTGCTTTGGAGAATTCAATTTTGTTCATGTTCAGTCTGAGGTAACAGGAGGACATCACTGACAAAATGCCCTGTGGCAGGAAATGCAAGGTCAAACTTTAGGAAAGTGTCTGCAAGAAGAGTTGCCCAAGCCAAAGACTGCTCATAGGGATTGCTGGCTCTGGTGGAAGCAAACACTTCATTCACTTATCCATTCACTTTAGTCATCTATTTGTTTGTTAACAAATATTTCAACAAATATACACCGGGAGTCTATTAGGTGTCAACACTGGGCTAGATGCTGGGAATTCTGGGGTAAGTAAAGTAGAAATGGCCTGTGCCCCAGAGGATACTATGGTATAGTTGGAGACATACACATTAGTCAAATGATCACATTATAAAATATAAAATGCATTTTGCAGCTGTTATGAAGGAGAGGTCAATGGTGCTCTGAGAAATTAGAGAAGTGAGGGTGTGGGGAGAGCTGGCCAGCCAGAGAAATCAAGGAAGTCTTCCTGAGGAAACAGTATTGGGACCAGGATATGCAAACGGAGTAGGATGCATCCTGGTAAAGACAAGAAGGAAGTGAGTTCCAGGCAGGGCAAACAGTTTGTGCAAGGCAAGTCCCAGACATTAAATGATACCCTGCGGTGGTGAGATGGGGGGAAGGGGGACAAAAGGAATCTAGCCAGGGCTGAGACTGAAGTGGTCCATGGGATCCAGGCTTGTAGGGTGCCGTAGGCTTTGTTAAAGTGTCTGTCTTTATTCCAAGTGCAATGGAAGTTCATTGGTGGTTTTTTAGTGGGCCGAGGGGAAGAAGACACATTATAAACATTATTAGGTTTATGTTTTCAAAATTTTACTCAGTTTGCACAGAAAATTTTACTCAGAGTGTACAGAAAAACTAATGAATGGGGGCAAACAAGAAAGAAAGTTAGAGCTGAAATCCAGGCAGCATGATCCAAAGTGGTGAGGCTCTACAGAAAGAGTTCAATCAGGCCAGGAGCAGTGGCTCACGCCTGTAATCCCAACATTTGGGGAGGCTGAGGCAGGTGGATTGCTTGAGGTCGGGAGTTCGAGACCAGCGTGGCCAACATGGTGAAACGCTGTTTCTACTAAAAATACAAAAATTAACCGGGCAGAGTGGCAGGTGCCTGTAATCCCAGCTACTCAGGAAGCTGAGGCAGGAGAATCCCTTGAACTAGGGAGGCGGAATTTGCAGTGAGCTGAGATTGTGCCACTGCACTCCAGCCTGGGCAACAGAGCAGGACTCTGTATGGAAAAAAAAAACAAAAAGGGCAAGGGGAGGAAGAAAGAAAGAAAAAGTTCAATCGAAGTATAAGAAGTAGCCATGTTAGTGGGATATGATGAGCAAATAATTAAATAGATAAGTCATGGAGAGGAGAGCCAAGCTTATGGAATAACATGAAAGAACAGACTATAGATATGAATGCAAATCAGGGGAGGTGGGTGATTTAAAGTTCAGGACATAATAAATTTCTCCAGAAACAGAACTGAGGTATGCATCTAAGCCGGCGGAAACCCCAAAGTAGGAGACCAACAGAAGGAATGCCTTTGGGAAATTGGAACTTGTCTGTAATACACAAATCATAATACTGGGCAATAGGTCCCACTTCAGCTAGGAATCTTCTTCCATGATTCTTACAGGAAAAAGAACCACATCCAAGATGTGACTATCCCAAAAAGCACAGAGCAACAACCTGTCATACCCGAGAGGCCCTGACAGCATCCACAACATCACCAAAGGTTCTAGGGCCATAAATAAAAAGGAGGTGCAGATACAGAGGCTTTGCAGAGAAGCACGATTATCATTCATAATTACACACTTTACATGCTTCAAACCATCAATGTATTACAGCAAGGAAATTACACGGCTGAATTAAGAATTCCTCCAGAGGAGAATGAAGGTAATGAAGTCTATGTTGAATAGAAACCCAAACCAATTAATTCTCCCAACACTGCTGCACAGATTAGAAATTCTACCAATGCAGTCTGAACCATCAAAATGAAATAACACTATAAATTTCTTTATTGGCACTATAACAAGTCAGTCATAGGACAAACAGGCTAGCTCAACATTTTGTGGCATGTCAGATAATAAATTTTATTTACATTTGCGTTCTGTTAATGAATGAAACAAACCACTGATAACCAGCTCTCCAATGACCACTCTAAAGTTTCATGATTCCTTTTCCCCCAATGTAAGTCAATCATAAAAGAGAAAAAGAATCTCTAAATTTTCGTAAAGGAGAATTTTTGCTTCTCTGCTGAGCTTGGGAGACCTCTCCTGCTTTGGTAGAACTATTTCCTCCCAACTTTTAGTTCACAAGTTTTTTGTGGACTCCACTACTGGGTAACCAGAAAAAAAGCCTATGCCCCAAGGGCCACACTACTCAGTACAATCCCTCCCAGTGATTGGCTCGGGGATGGCAATGTGACCCAGAATAGCCAGAGAAGGAATGAATACTTGGACTTCCATAGGAACTGTAAGAAAAAGACAGTTCAACTGGACTTCTGGTTGAAAGAGTGAGGTTAAGGAAGCTGTGGTCTTCTTGTGACTTCAAGGTCAGAACCCAGCTGCAAAAGGAGCAAGATGGAGAAAGGAGAGCTGAAAGACAGAGAGAAACATGATCCAAAACCAAATATGCTCCTGGATGTTTCAGTTACACAAGGCAATACATTTTCCTTTTTGCTCAATTCAATTTGAATTGACTTTTCTGTCACTTGTATGAGAAAATATCTTAATTGAAACAGTATCCAATACAGGTAAAGATGCCCAGAAGACATGATGCCCGTTTATCTCATTTACATAGTATCTATTATATGCTAGACATAGTCCTTGATCTTGGGGTCTTACAGCCCAGTGAGGGAAAAGGCTCATGCCCTGCAGAATAGACACCAACACAAGCCAATGTGGCGTAAATGCCAAATGAAACATGCCAGCAGTGTGGTGAGCACCAGGGGTACAGGAAAGTACAACCTGAGGAGCTAGTGGCTGTGATACACCGGCACCCTCCCCATCAGAGCTGTGAAGCCTACGAGCCCAACTGACGCCCTTACAATCCACATGATCTTGTGTTTGTTCTATTTGGGCATAAGTAGAACAGCTATTAACTGTATGTGCATTGGTGTATGCAACTGTGTATGCATACAAATCCCACAATATGACAAGTTAGGCTAAATACATCTCAGACTTCTAAAATTAATCCAAAGCAAAATAATAATAATAATAATAATAATAATAATAATAATAAAAGAAAGGAAAGAAAAAACAATATATAGTAAGGCCTTGGGCTTCATTTCTCTACTTCCTTAACTTACACTGAACTTTTAACTATTAAACTTGTGGAAGTGATTTTTTATAACTTTCTCTTCTGAAATAATCATAGATTCAGAGGAAATTGTCAAAAACAAAAAAATACAGAGAGGTCCCAAGTCCTTCTCTCAGCCTCCCAAAATTACAATATCCTGTACAGCTACAGTAGGATGTCAAAATCAGGAAATGGATGTCGGCACAATCCACAGAGCTAATTTCAAGTTTACCAGTATTACTTGTACTAGTGTATAGCATGTGGTCTGACGTGTTTGTGCGTGTGTGTGCATGCGCGTGTAGCTCTATGAAATTTTATCATCTATGTAGATACAAGACACAAAATTGTTTCATCACCACAAAATTCCCTAGTGCTCTATAGCAACACCCATTCTCATCCTTAATTCCTGGCAGCCACTAACCTCTTCTCAATCTGTATAGCTGTTCTCAATCTCCACAATTTTGTCATTTCAAGAGTGTCACACAAATGGAATCATAGAGCATGTGCCCTTTGAGACTGACTTTTTGTTCCCAGCATAACTCCATGAGATCCATCCAAGCTCCCACGTGCAACACTGGCTTATCCCCCACAATGACTGAGCAGTGTGCCATGGTACAGGTGCACCCCAGCCTATTAAAGCATTCACCCAGGGAAGGACACTTGTATTGCTTCCAGTTTGGGATTATTATGAATAAAGCTGCTATAAGAATTCATGTACATGTTCTTTGTGAAAATGAAGTTTTATTTCTTCAAGATAAATGCCCAAGAGGGCAACTGGCAAATGACTTTTAAAAGATTTAATCTTCAGTCACTTCACACATCCCAAAGAAACCTCACTATTCCCTGCCTCTGCATTCTTGGGCTTCCAAAGGCAATGCTGTTGCTGGTATCTTTAATTCCTACCAGATGCAACATCTAAATGTTGGCTGAGCTGAGTGGGAAAGCATATTTTTCTGATTTTGAACTCAGTAGATTCAACATTTTCTGAACCTGCTGCCTGGAAACAAGCAGCTGAGAGTAAAATGATCAGATCTCTTTCTCACACACAGGAGCTTTAGGTGTCAACTAGGCCCACTTTAGTGGCTGGAACCAGCCACCAAGCTGTGATTTCTGCTTCACAGGCTAGTAAATAGTTCATAAAATTGCAGGCAGTAAGGTAGTTATGAAATGTCTCTTATCCAAACCACATTCCAATATTTGAATTCCCAAAATAAAATATGGCAGGTACCTAGAAAACCTCAGTTCTTTCTTTGTCGGAGTGTAACATCTTCTCAAAATCATATTTGTGAGGAAAGGAGGCAAGTCACTGAGATGTGATTCAATTGTTGAATCATCAATGAATTTCCTCTAATGTATAGTGGTATCAAGTCTGTTTCTTGTTCCACTGAGAGACAAAAAGAATGTCATTTGTATCCTAGGAAAAACACATTCAACAGGCCAAAAGAAGAAGAAAAATGCATTTCTTGAAGTGCACACAGAGTTTCCAGTTACTTTATTAAATTAGGCAAAGATTTTCTCTCTCAATCCATGTTTTCCATGCTTGTATCTAAACTTAAACACATACACAGTGGGTCCCTGGATGAGAGCCTGGCAGTGAACTTTGTAGATTCAGACACATCTGCCCAAAGACCCAAATCAAGCCATGTACTACATGGAAAAGGAGAAAATGCTAATTCAGCCATTCATTCCATGAGTAATGATGGAACACTTATGATACACAGGCCCAGTGAAAAATGCATGTGATTCACAGTGGTGCACAGGACACATAAAACCTGTCCCATTGCAGATTAGACAGGGTTCCATGCAGCATATTCAGGTATATGGTAGCAGAAGCACAAAATGCTTTGAGAGCATGAAGAAGGGGCACAAACCTGAGTTGGGCAGTTGAGATGTCTTCCTGGAGGCCATGGAATATAAACTGGCCCCTGAGTAGGAAACAGCCAGGTGAAGTGAGGAAAATAGGACAAGGAGCAGAAACATTTCAGGCAGGGAGTGTAGAACACACTTCTCAAGAGAATGGTTTCCTTGACAACTGAGAGTCATCTGAAGTAGCTGTTGCACTGGGGGTGAGGAGGATTCTGAGCTGAAGGTGGAAAGAAATCAGGAACCAGAGCACAGCTGGTCTGTCAGGTTGAGGAGAGAGTTCCTTCTCCAACCTGAGCACAACTGACAGTCAAGAAAGATCGGTCTTCCTTCCTTCCCTTCTTCCTTCCTTCCTTCCTTTCTTCCTTCCTTCCTTCTTCCTTCCTTCCTTTCCTTTTCTTTCTTTTCTTTTTTCTTTCTTTCTTCCTTTCTTTTTCTTTCTTCCTTCTTCCCTTTTTTTCTTGTCCCTCTTTTTCTTTATTCCTTTTTTCTTTTTCCCTCCTTTTTCCTCTTTCTCTCTTTCCCCATTTTCCTTAAATCTAAATATCTTTAAATGTCAAGTATCTTTTGTGTTTTTATGAAAATAAGATATGCTAACTGAAAAAAATCCAAATGGGATAAAATCTTGTTAGATTATTTAGGTTAAAAAACGGAGTATTAAAGGATGGAAAAAAATAATCCATTGGGCAAATACTTTCAAGGGAAAGCCCCTTGGGACTCTGTACTAGTGCTGAACTCTGCATGAACTTCTGTGCCGCTATATCTACTTCCCTTCCCTGGCCTCTACATCACATCTTCCCATCCACCCTACCCTGGCGTCCACAGCACAGATCCCTCCACCACTCAGAATCAACAGCTCCTTTCGGTGCATTCCCAAAGCACTTCACACATTGCTGTGTTTTTGTCTTTCTGTGTCTGTCTTTACACGTAGGCTGAGCTCCTTAAAGGGAGATTATGTATGTATTAGTTCTGGACCTTCATTTAAGCATTCATTCATTCATTTATTCATTCATTCACTGAATAAATATTTACTGAGAGCCTACTATGTGCCCAGCAATGGTCTAGGTCAAGGGAATGTATCAATGAACAAAGCAGTCAATATTAACTGTCCTCCTGGGGTCTACATTATACCAAGCACACAGTTGGTTGCTAGAAACCTCAATGTGGTATCCTAGCTTCCAAGAAGAAAGCCAAGAGGGAATTGCAGTTGTCTGCCACTACTAAGAGCAGATTTTTTGAAGAAGTTTGTGTCTACAGACCAGTAGTGTGTTCTGTCTAGACAAAGACATTCTAAAAGCTGACTTGGGCTCTCTTGTAAGGAAATAATTCTAATACCTCCCCTTTCCTCTCAGCTCCTCCCTTGGTGGTCATCCACCCTGAAAAAGTGGTCATCCACTCTCCAAGGCACACATCCACTTTGCTGGATCCGGGGCTAAGTTAGAACGTGGTGCTATTGGCACTCGTTTCCCTCAGCTGTAAACCCTCCTCTCCAAAGAACCAACAGCTTAGGCTGCCACATAGGTTTTGAAAGCTGTATGACAGCTCCATCAAACTTTTTTGGGTTCTTTTGAGGAGCTGTTTTGCTAATGAGCAAATCTACCCCTCTGGAGGCCTGGAACAAATGGAACTTCACTGCCCGTGAATTTCAGGACTCCCATTCTGGTCCTCTGTTCAGTGCATGGGGCCAGCTACTGATGTCTCTTTTTAACCATATCATAACTTAATTTCAGAGGCTTCATTGTTGTTCTCTGTCACTTGACCTTGTGAAGGGTGCATGGAATCATCTCGATAAGTTTATCTAACTTTTAGGTTCTCCTGTGAGAGTTTGAGGGCTCATCTCTTCACTCTAGGCTCCTGGATCCTTATGCAGTTTCATCTGACCCCTCCCCAGACATCCATATGGAACTAGGAGGGCTGGCTTTGCTCAGACCTAAAGCAGTGATGCCCACGTTTCTCATCCTTACATAACAAAGGACGGCATCTGAAACATTCCTCTTCCAAATGACTCTCCTTTAAGGTGAATTGCCTTCTGGATCTCCAGACACTGAAGTAGCAAAATATTCGTTTTTTTCCTGTAAAGCTCGCATCACCAGGCATCCTACTACAATTCCCAAATTGCCTTAAGCCAATTGGCTAAATAGATATGATGATAAGAACCACCTGGGGAACTTTCAAGCCAATTCTGGAGGAGACCCTTCCCCTTTAGAATCTAGTTTACTAAGTCTGGATGGGACCAAAGAACCCAGACTTTCTAACAGCTCCCCAGGTGATTCTTATCACCATGCCAGTTTGGGGAACCCTGCCTTAACCAGAAGTTTCTGATGAGGATATTTATCAGAAGCACATGCAAGTTTAAAACATGTAAGAGAAGAGGAATTTTAGAACATGTTTCCCACTTTTTAAATTTTTGAAGTGACAGCACAGTAGAAAGTGCAGGAGATTTATATTTAGAAAAATATAAACCATTATCGCTCCAGTTTCTGCAACTTGCAGGTTGTATGCACCTTGACCAAATGTGAGCATTTCACACATATTTACTGGATCATACTCTTTGCCAATCGCCAGCCTCCATGAGTTCATGGTTCAGAAGGAGAGACAGAAAGTAAGCAACTGTTTCTGCAAAATGTTATAAATGCTGGAATGCAAGTATGTGATGGGTTTTAGGGTACTCACAGGGCAATTTACTCAGATTGTAACCAAGGATGGCTTCCAGGGGAAAAAAACAATAGCTCAGCTGGATCTCTGGAGCCTTCCATTGCGTAAAATGAGAATAAAAGCTTTTACTGCATAGGCTCATTGTGCAGGTTAAATACATTAACCTAACAGATTATTAACACCCAACAAGTGTTAAATGTCCTCCCCCATTTTTGTTGTTAAGGAATCCTAAAAACCATTAATGACAAGAAATACAGAGAGTATGACATAACTTCTCCAAGCATAATGAAGTATAAAACAATTATAAATAATGTACCTTAATCCTTTGTTCTAAATATAAAATGACATCTCCCCAGGTACTGTCTCCACCATTTGGTCTTTATTTAATCTATGTCAGTCTCCATCTCTGTGTTCTGGGTAATGCCTTACCCTACATCTAATACACAGTTGGATGGGATCAAGTACATTTTATTTAAATTAAATTGATGCACGCGCACACATACACACACACACACACACACACAAGGTCTCTATTTTGCAAGTCATTGATAATTATTAATCTAATCAAGAACCCAGTGAGAAGTTCATATTCCTTCCATGTAATTATCCTGAGTTTATAATCCATGGTCAAGGAAATCCGGAGATTTCTCTTGCTGGTATAATCAGTAGCTAATGAAGATATAATGTGAAAGCTTCCTGGTATCCTTTCTTTTAACAGAGATGCCAGGCCATTTTTCGAGTTAATGACTATTAAGAAAAATCACTTAAAGGAATTAAAAATTCCTATTCACCTCTGATAGGCATTCTATATTTCATACTTATAGCACTTAATATAGTAACAGATCATCTTGGAAATTTGCATCATGAAAAACAATAATAGATTTTAAAGTTGGAAAAAATCTCTCTCATCAAAAGAAGAAAAGTCAGTTTCTATCTATAATTAGGTGGTTGACTTGTCATTTTTAAGTACTTGAAGTAGCTGAAGATTTTAGGAAGTTGAGGATTCGGGGGTTTGCCTGGAATTTTGTGTGTTGTTTTTAGCTTCTATGTTGTGGCCATATTTGTAAGCTATTCCACTAGGGGCAAAAGAAACATGTTTTGTGATATTTTAAAGTGAAAATATTGCTGAGTTCATTCTAAAGTAAATTCACCTGGGATAAGTTTGCGCACAGTAGACTTGCAACAAACGCATTGAGTGTTAATGAGTATTGAACATTAGAGCAGATGGGGACCTACAGACTCTAATCTAGAGACTGTTAAGTATGACCGTTAAGGATATATATTTATCCAGGACATACACAAATTTACAGGACATATACATTTGTGTGTGTGTGTGTGTGTATGTGTGTGTGTGTGTGTGTATCCCATAAATTTTTTTAGTTTCTAAATTTAAATTTTGAATATTCTACATTCAAAAATCCAGATTTATAGCTTTTCTTGAAAAAAATGAGTACATTTGGCAACACAGGGCTTACATTCCTGCACCATCACATTTGACTAGGGCCAAGTGGCAGCAATACCCTTTAAAAAGGCATGTGATTCCATTGAACACTTTCTTCCTTCCCACACCTACTTTTCCTTTCTGCCCTGAAGGCAATCTGGGTTTGCAAAAACAGTCCTATTCTTACACCCTCATGTTACAGCTAAAGAAATTTCTCCAGGGAAAACAGAACAAATTAGTTCTAGTCCTGATAATGCTGCATAATAAACAGCCTCAAAAGCTGAACAGCATAAAACAATGAGCATTTGTGTTTCTCACATGTCCGGGGCTCAGCTGGGTTCAACTACTCTAGGCTGGGTTCCTCTGGGGTGGTTTGGCTCCTTGTCACTCATTCTCCTCCCAGCGCCAGCAGATTCTCATGGCAATGACAGAAATGGAAAAGGGCAAGGGGGACACAAAAGCCCTCCTAATGTCTAGGTCCATAACTAGCACATCATCACAACTGACTTTTCAAATGAGCAAAGCAAGTCACATGGCTGAACTAAAGTCAAGGGATGGGGAAATATATGCTGCCCCTTTGCTGGGAGGGACTTCAAAATCATAGTATAGAAGGGTATATGTGTACAGTTAAATAATTAAAGCCAGTAATCCAATCTACCACTAAGGAGGTATGCGATCACACATTGCACAGCTTCCATCAAGTCCAGGTTCACTCATTCACCTTTCATTTCTGCCCCAAAGTTATCTAATTTGGAGACAGCTTGTCTAATCTCACCATATGGACAAGGAAATGTGCCAAGCTAAACAGCATCAAAGCCCTAAAGAGAACCTCCTTCCTAGCCCCGTGTTCTTTCCTTCTCAGTTTGATGAAGTAGTGTTGTCTTACCTGTGTGAAATAAGACAATCCCTCATGGCTTTTGCCAGTGGAATTTCAGGTTTTGAAAGAGCTATATTAAAGCTTGAATAGCAATACAAAAATGGACTGCAAATCACTTATTAGGATGCATTTTCAGTTCTCAAAGCAATCTGTTCCTTAATAATTCTCAGAATTTAATTGCATCATATATAATACTATGGGAATATAGCACTAGAGACCTCGAATAGGGAAGTAAGAATGCTCCACAAATTAGGCAACATTATTTAGTCTAGGTTGGAAAATCTCAGCAGCCTTCCCATTACTTTCAGAATTGTTATTTTCTTTGGTCTCTGCTTCTAAGACTTGACAGTTTTATAAAACACTATACTCAAAAAGCTAATAAATCATTGATTACTAATTAATGGAGAAAGGATAAAAGAAGCTTAGCAAATGAATTTTAACATACTAATTTGGAATATCATGCATACATAACCATTGGGATTCCCTAATTCCTTACAAGGGAAGTTCCAGTCAAATGAATGGGAGCTCTTTTTTTTTTCTCTGGACCAAGAGTCCACACAAAACCCTGTCTCCTGTCTTAGACTGCAGAGCTGGTTAAGCAGCACACTAAAGGCAATCTGAAGGACCTTCCAGCTCTGTTTCCTAAGCCTACAGCCAGCCCCAAATACCCAGTTCCTAATGTCTTTTCAGGGCCCCGCTTTTGTGGTTTTAGCTTTTCAGAGCTACTGTTGTCACACAGGCAAAGTCTACCTCCCACAACACAAAATGAAGAAAGACAAATGTGGAAATTAGAAACTTCAAACATGCCAGCAGTTCAAAAGATCCAAAGTTCCCAAAGCCACCCCAGTCTAAAAATTCACAATATAAACCTTCCCCAACTACACACACACACACACACACACACACACACACACACACACACACAGAGGATTGAAATCCATTCTTTCCTTTGAACTATGATCCCTCCCTAGGCTTATTTTGTTTCTTGCAGAGAAGGAGGCTGTGGAGAAGAGAAGACAAATGGGAGTTTCTATGCCTCTCCTTTGCTTCTTCCAAGTTCAGAGTAAACGGTTTTTCTTTCTCTAAAACTTTTTCTATCTATAATATAAATATTCACTGACATCTTTGCTGGTTCAAGTCTTTCCACTTTAACAAACCAGTTGGGCCATGTTATGCTGCCCCCTTGGACCTTGCATCTTCATCTACTGTGAGCACTTTATGTTTATCATGACCCTTCCCCCAGGAGAGTGAAGTGAATGGGGGATACAGAGTTCATCTGAAAACTGGATAATTAAATTCCGTAAATAGTGTGTACGTCCATGAATCTCAACATATCCAGCAGGGATAGAAAATAGTATTTATAGATAAAGTACTTCGTTATGTAGTATGGATTTAATATCACTCAAAGCACACGACTATGCTAAAAGTTTAGATTTTCCTTTTGTAGCTGGAAGTGGGAGAGGACTTGAAGTTGAGACAGAAGAAGTCACTTTTTCGAAGTCACTTTTTCAAAATCACACAGTTAATAAGTAGCAGAGCTGCTATCGTGATTTGGGGTTGGGTGAGTGTATTAATCCGTTTTCATGCTGCAGATGAAGACATATCTGAGACTGGGCAATTTACAAAAGACAGAGGTTTAATTGGACTTTCAATTCCACATGGCTGGGGAAGCCTCACAGTAATGGTGGAATGCAAGGAGGAGCAAGTCACGTCTTACATGGATGGCAGCAGGCAGAGAGAGAGCTTGTGCAGGCAAACTCTTGTTTTTAAAGCCATCAGATCTCGTGAGACTCATTCACTATCACAAGAACGATACAGGAAAGACCTGCCCCATAATTCAATCATCAGCTCCCATCAGGTTCATCCCACAGCATGTGGGAATTGTGGAAGTTACAATTCAAGATGAGATTTGGGTGGGGACACAGCCAAACCATATCAGTGAGAAAGGTCACTTGGACCATTACAAGTCCCCTTTGTCTTTGATTAAGTACTATAATCATAAATCTTTTTAAGTCCCCCTTTCAATGCATGGAAATATACAGTTGTCTCTTAGTAACCACAGGGGATTTATTCCAGAACCCCCATGAATACCAAAATCCCCAGATGCTCAATTCTTATACTTATAAAAAAGTATAATATTTGCACATAACTTATACACATCCTCCCTTATATTTTAAATCATCTCTAGATTACTTATACAGTCCCCCAAAGTCTTAACTCATTTCAGCATTAACTTCAAAGTCCAAATCCAAAGTGTCATCTGACACAAGACAGGTGTCTTCTACCTATACGCCTGAAAAACCTGTACAATGGGGGTACAGGCTTTGGGTAAGTATTCCCATTCCAAATGGGAGAAATTAGACAAAACAAAGGGGCCACAGGCCCTAAGCAAGTCCAAAACCTGACTGGGCAGTCATTAAATCTTAAAGCTCCAAAATCTCCTTTGACTCTATGTCTCACATCCAGGGAATGCTGATGCAAGGGATGGGATCCCATGGCTTTGTGCAGCTTCACCCCTGTGGCTCTGCACGGTTCAGCTCCTTCAGCTGCTTTCATGGGCTGGCACTGAATGCCTGTGACTTTTCAAGGTGTACAGTGCAAGCTGTTGTTGGATCTACCATTCTTGGGTCTAGAGGACAGTGACCCTCTTCTCACAGCTCCACTGTGCAGTGACCCAGTCGGAACTCTGCATGGGGGCTGAATCCCACATTTCCCTTCCTCACTGCCCTAACAGAGGTTCTCCATAAGGGCTCTGCCCCTGCAGCAGACTTCTGCCTGGACATCCAGGCATTTCCATACATCCTCTGAAATCTAGGCAGGGGCTTCCAAAGGTCAACTCTTGTCTTCTGCACAGCTGCAGAACCAGCATCATGTGGAAGCCACTAAGGCTTGGGGCTTGCATACTCTGAAGCAATGGCATAAGCTGTACCTTGACCCATTTTAGCCACAGCTAGAGCTGCTGGGATACAGAGCCCCAAACCCAAAACCTGCACAGAGCAGGAAGGCCCTGGACCTGGCCAATGAAGCTATCTTTTCTTCTTAGGCCTCTGGGCCAGTGATGGAAGGGCTTGTCTGTCGTGAAGGTCTCTGACATGCCCTGGAGACATTTTCCCCATTGTCTTGGCTATTAACATTTGGCTCCTTGTTACTTATGCAAATTTCTGCAGCAAGCTGAAATTCCTCCCCGGAAAATGGGTTTCTCTTTTCTACCACATGGTCAGGCTGCAAATTCTCCAAACATTTATGCTCTGTTTCCCTTTTAAACATAAGTTCCAATTTCAAACCTTCTCTTTGTGAAAGCATATAATTGAATGCTTTCAGAATAAGCCAGGTGACCTCTTGAATGCTTTGCTGCTTAGAAATTTCTTCTGCCAGATACCCAAAATCATCTCTCTCAAGTTGATAGTTCCACAGATCTCCAGGACAGGGTCAAAATGCCACCAGTCTTTTTGCTAAAGCATAGC
The DNA here is from genome assembly GCF_000001405.40 of Homo sapiens. Classification (NCBI taxonomy): domain Eukaryota; kingdom Metazoa; phylum Chordata; class Mammalia; order Primates; family Hominidae; genus Homo; species Homo sapiens. The sequence goes on along the minus strand of NC_000002.12, from coordinate 225,066,910 downwards.
AAGAGTGACCTTTGCTCCAGTTCCCAATAAGTTCCTCATCTCCATCTGAGACCACCTCAACCTGGACTTCATTGTCCATATCACTATCAACATTCGGATCAAAGCCATTCAACAAGTCTCTAGGAAGTTTCAAAGTTTCCCACATCTTCCTGTCTTCTTCTAAGCCCTCCTAACTGTTTCAAGTTCTACCTGTTACCCAGTTCCAAAGTCACTTCCACATTTTCAGGTTATCTTTATAGCAGTGCCCCATGCCCCATACCAATTCTCTGTATTAGTCCATTTCGCACTACTATAAAGATAATACCTGAGACTGGGTAATTTATAAACAAAAGAGGTTTATTGACTCACAATTCCCCATGGCTGGGGAGACCTCAGGAAACTTACAATCATGGTGGAAGGTGAAGGGGAAGCAAGGCACATGTTACATAGCTGCAGGATTTGGGGGGAGAGCGTCAGACCCTTATTAAAGAACCAGATCTCATGATAACCCACTATCAGAAGAAGAGCAAGGGAGAAATCTAACCCCATGATACAATCACCTCCCACCAGGTCCCTCCTTCAACATGTGGGGATTACAATTTGAGATGAGATTTGGGTGGGGACACCAAGCCAAGCCATATAAGCATGCTAGAGCTAAATTCATACTAGTTTGTGAGAGACGATTGTATGCATCTATTGTCAAATTTGTTTTCAGTGTCCTCTCGGTACCTTAAATTTGAACATAAGAGGAAAATGATACATGGAAGATGATATATGGAAGGCAAAGGACAGAATCAGAAAGAGAAAGAGACTAGACTATTAACATATTTGAGTCATTAAGTTAAATCAAACCTGAAACCTGCTCTATATCTGGAACTTCATCTAGTTACTGAAACAATGACAAAAAATTCTACTTCATTATTTGAGTTGGATTTCCTGTCTTAAACTAAATACATCTCAACTGATAAATATCTTTTTGGGGAAAACATTAAAGATCTACTCAGCTTTTTTGATAAGTTCCAGACCATTATCTACCGTGTGTAACTTGTCCTACTAATTGGCTATTCCAGGATAATAATTTTATTCTAGTTCACAGCATTTACTGGAAACATTAGTTATACTTACAAAATTATAGAATGAAAGCTGTCCCCCAAAAAGACATAGTTATTTAGTATTGGAAAGTAATATAGCATTGATGTGCCATGGACACTTCAACATTTTTTTTTTTTCGTTCTTGATGCAACTATTTTAATACTCTCAAACAAAAGGATAAATAAGGTGCACTACTTCACAAAAGTACTGAATCTTCCCTGGTGAGGAGAAATACAGAGCTTGGCCTTGTCACAGCTTTATGGTAGGAGCCTATGAAAACTGTATATGTCAATTCCATTTTATAAATGACAACATGATTAGTGATTTTCACTGTGATTCATCTGCCGAGAAAAAGTGAACAGGCTTTTAAATTTCTTCCAAGTAAAGTCAAGCGGAAGAATTTCTTCCTAGGAAGTTCAATAAAACAAAATTAAATTCTGGAAAAAAATTAAAAATACATTATCTAATGAAAAATAAATAAAACCTAAGCATTTGGGCTACTCTCAAAGCTATACACATAATGCATGAAAGTAAAAGGATATATTGTGACAGGCTGAAAAATGCCCTCCCTCTCTGATATGGTTTGACTCTGTGTCCCCACCTAAATCTCATGTAGAATAGTAATCCCTAATGTTGGGGAAGAGACCTGGTAGGAGGTAACTGAATCATAAGAGAGGACTTGTGATATTCTTATGATAGTGAGTGGGTTCTCATGAGAGCTGGTTGTTTGAAAGTGTGTAGCACTTCCCACTTCACTCTCTCTCTCCTTCTCCACCATGTGAGGATGATGCTTGCTTCCCCTTTGCCTTCCACCATGATTGTAAGTTCCCTGAGGCCTCCCCAGCCATGCCTCCTGTACAGCCTGTGGATCTATGGGTCAATTAAACCTCTTTTCTTTATAAACTACCCAATCTCAGGTAGTTCTTTATAGCAATGTGAGAATGAACTAATACACTCTCTCAAAAGGTATCTCTGCCTTCGTCCCTGGAACTTGTGGATGCTGCCTTATTATCATGGGCTATTTGGGTTGCCCCTAAGTGACATCACGGGTGTTCTTTCAAGTATAGGCAGAGGGAGATTTCAGACAGAGAGGAGGAGAAAGTGATGTGAAGATGGAGCAGAAAAAGATTTGAAGATGCTACACTGCCAATCATGAACATGGATGAAGAGGCATGAAAAAAGACAAGCAAAACATGCAGCTCTAGACACTGGTAAGGGCCCTGCCAACACCTCAGTTTCAGCCCAGTGAAACTGACTGTGGACATCTGACTTTCCAAACTGAAAGAGAATAAATGGGTCTTGTCTTTATCTAGAACTAGAAACCACACTAAGTCTGTGGTACAACATCCACAGGAAATTAATACACATATAAAAACAAAAGTTTCAAATAACCTTTTTATGAAAGCATTCTTTCACCACAACTTACAGCACGTTACTCTTCAGGACCCCATCAAACGACTTGTACCTTACCAAAAAGAGGTCACTAACCCCATGATTGGACAAAGACACAAATCACTCATTCACAACAAATTTGGACTTGGTAATTTTTCTTGTTTCAAAATTAGAATATTAGTGAGTAATCTATTATAGAGGAGAATGTTTGGGATCTGTTGTTCTAAATGCCTGAAAATATTTCTTCATATAATTGCAATATCTGCTGCAACTGAATTTTGGGCACTAATGGGTCAGAAGCAACGGTTTCTCCAAAGCTATCATTCTGTGTATTCATCCCTGACCTGTGGTATTTGACAGTTAAATATAAAAACTATCAATTTTAGAGTGTTTTTAATTTTTACTTTTAAAGCACATTGTTAAATGTCTAAATCATACCATAAGTTACTTGTTTAATTTTCAAAGTCTGTGGTATAGTTATAATTCTTAAATGACTGAATCCTGAACATTAGGAGTGGAATTTTTCCATGTCTATTTTCGCAATTGAATGACAGCTTGTTTATATTCTACAAAGGTAGTGGAAAACTCTGATTTCTGACTCCCAAGAAACAAAATAAAAGATACAAGCCACTACCAATTCCATAGCGGACCAGTTTAAGTCCCACTCTGATACACTCTCCTAACACTTCATAATTCTCTGTGACAACATTTGCCAAAATTGTAAGTAATAATCAACTGTGTAACTCCTTCTACAGTGTCTTCCCCCCTCAACTAGAATGAGTCCCAGAAGAAGAGTGTATGGTATGTGGTTATCTTACTTACCTTCTATTTCCAGTGCCTAACATTGCCTGTCTCATAATAAATATATGTTATGTGAATGGATTCAATAAATATTTCATATCGTTTCTGCTTATTGAGTTCACTACATTATGTATCTATCAATATTATATCTTAATTATTACATAAATGATACTGAGAAATCTGTATTGTATGTTATATGCCCCATTTGAGAATATGCAAATCTTAATAATGCATTATTTAAAACACTTTATTTTTATTCCTTGAGAATTACAGGAGGAATAAAGTCAGAAATATTGAGACCAGGTATTAAAGACATTATCAACAAAGCATTATATGACAGAGATTACAGCATCAGCATGTAGCACTGTGAATATTAAGTTAACAATAAAAGTACCAGATGCTGGTTTTTTGTTCAAAGGACTTACAACCTTATTTAATCATAATAAATGAGAATGGTATGGCATTTTCTTCATATATATTAATAGAAGAATTTATTTTATCTGCCTTTAAGATACATAAAGTAAGCTCCCAAAGTAATATATTTTCAAATTGTTATAGTCAAACTCTGAAAATAACAATACGTATTCTATCAATACTCCATAGAGTAGATGATACATAAGGATACTGTGGGAGAAACAAAGAGGAATTACATTCCTGCTACAAAGACTTAAATTACTCAAGCTGATACGAGACTTAATATAAGGTTAACACAATGAGGGAGTTGTTCAGCCAATCAGCCCTAGCGGCACTGCCCACCCCAATTCAATAAGCAGTGTTTGTTGGAATGGTCAGTGAAGGCATCAAAGGAAAAGATGGCTTCATCTGCAATTTGAATGATGGCTGGAAATGACATAAGCATAGAGGAAATTCCAAGCCAGAGAGATGACATGAACCGAACTGCAGAAATAAGAAAAGATATCAAGCATATTGAAGATAATGAACGGACCTATCGGATCATATCTTAGTTAGGCTGTCCAGCAGGACCTATTGAGATAATAACTTCTACCCTGCTCTAGATGCTAACAGCATTTTTCTTTTTTTGCCTTTCCTTCATTGCCGGCCTTGAAGAAGAAACCCACTCATGCTACTGAGGGATGAGGCTGGAATTGCTCCACAACAAGGAAAAAAAGATACAATTGCACAAGCTCCTTTAAAAAGCCAAATTCTACAAGAGAAGTAAAACTTATGAGTTTTTAGTTGGTTTTCAATTGGTAATCAATTTGGTGACAACTGACATCATTATAATGTTGACATTTCTAATCAATAAGTGTTGTATATTTCTCTATGCATTTAGATCTCATTAAAAGTTTTGTATTTTTCCCCTTAGCTGACTCACTAAAATTTTCGATTTACTCATCACTTTTTATGCTATTTAAAATGGCATCTTTTAAACTTTTTCTTTCTGTTTCTATTTCTGCATATTATTATTGATTGACTTGTTATTTTATTACTGATTTTTATATAAGTATACAGCAAACTTGCTAATCTCTCATTAACTTTAGTATTTGGTAATTTAGTAATTAGTACATTCTTTTGACTCTTGTAACTAACTACTCAACCATATTCTCTGTGAATCACAATTTCTAGTCTTCTCTTGTAAGACCTATAGACACATTTGGTTTGGTTTGTTTTTTGCCATATTTTGCCACGTAGAATGCCAAGAAAAATACTGAATGAAACTTAGTAGTGACTGTGTAAAAATTTCTTTCTTTCTCCCAATATAATCCTGATTCACCATTAGGTTATATTTTTAATAGTTGTTTTGTTGGTAACTAGTTTGTTCAAATATAGACTCCCTTTTTTAGATACAGGAACTTCCATTTTTTTTGTTTGCAAGATATTTTATATCATGAAATCTATAATTTTATCAAATGTCTTTTTCAGCATCATTGAGTTGGTCATATGATTTTTTTCTCCTTTATCCTGTCACAAAAATCTATTCATTTTAACCCATCTATGCCTGAGTTTGCAATTTTTTGAATTTTTGCAATCAGACCTTGGCAATGACCTTGAGCAGTAGAGTATAAATAACTCCCAAATGCTTAACGTTCCAATAATGGAACACTAGGCATAAATGGGTCTAAACTGCTATATCAACTATGTGTTCATAACATAAAGACATCTTTGACTCAGGCTCTGTTTGCTAATATTTTGTAAATATTTTTAACCTATGTTCACAAGTTAGATTGAACTGTAATTTGTATTCGTTCATATTATCATTTTGGTGTATGCTCTCAAGGTTGTGCTAGCCTGATAAAATGAGCTGGAGTTTGTAGCTCCTTTTTGAATTCTTTAGAAGCTCATGTATAATTTTGCAATTACTTCTTCATTGAGTGTTAAATAGAACTGCCCAGAAAAGTCACTGGGCCTGAAATATTTTTTCAATAATGGATTTAGTCAATTTACCTGAGTGATTAGAGAACCCTTGTGATATTCTATTGCATATTAAGTCAGTTTTAAATCTAAATTTTTCCAGGAATTTTCCCATGTCATGTAAATTTTCTAGCTTTTGCCACAAGTTTGTTTCCTAATTTTTAAATTTATGCTGGTCATTAATGATTTTCTATTTATTATATCCTCTAATAATCTACTGTAGGATTTTATTATAACCCTGCTGTTGGTTATGTGTGCCTTCTCTTCTATTGTCTTGATCAGTCTCCCTAGGGGTTTACCATTTTTTTCTTGAAAAAGCCATTTTGCCTTTGTTAAGTCTCTCCATTGTATGTTTGTATCCTATTTCATTAATTTGTGCTGTCATTTTTATTATTGTCTACTTTCTACTTTCTTTGGGTTTATTTTGCTACTATTTTCTAATTTCTTATAAAGGGTATGTAGCTTGCTAATTGTTAGGGTTTTTAATTAATATAAGAATATAAGGATATAAATTTCCTTCAAAGTGCTGATTTAGACATGTCATGTGATTTTATATAAAGTATATATATTATAGATCAGCTCAACCTATTATCTAATTTCCATTATGATTTTTAATATATTTAAAAGTATATTTCTAAATTTCAAAACATATGGTAACTTTAAATTTATATCTTTGCCATTGATTTGTAGTATTTTTGTACGTGAAAAGGGAATAAATTTTACAGAATTACAATTTTCGGTATTATCTGTGTATTCCTTTTTCCCCAAGTACCTGTTAATTTTAATATATGTTCCATATTTTTTAAAAAGAATGCATAAAGTGAAATGAAAATATGACATCAAAATATGTGGGATGCAGTGAAACCAATGCTTAAGAGCAATTTATATTTAACAAATATATTAGAAAAGATTTTAAATTAATAATCTAAATTTCCACCTTAGAAAACTGCAAAAAAAAAAAAGAACAAATGAAGTCCAAATAAACTAGGAGAAAAGAAATTTTAAAAACAATTTAATTAAATAAATTAAATAAATTGAATTGAAAATAAAAAATTAACAGAGAAAATCAACAAAACCAAACCTGGTTCTTTGAAAAGATTGATAAAACCAGTAAGTCAGCCGAGGTGGGCAGATCACAAGGTCAGGAGTTGGAGACCAGCCTGGCCAATATGGTGAAACCCCATCTCTACTAAAAATACAATAGCCGGACGTGGTGGCGGGTGCCTGTAGTCCCAGCTACTTGGGAGGCTGAGGCAGAAGAATCGCTTGAACTCAGTAGGTGGAGGTTGCAGTGAGCTGAGATCACACCACTGCACTCCAGCCTGGGTGACAGAGCAAGACTCCCTCTCAATAAAATAAAAACAAAAACAAACAAATAAGATAATAACAAAACCTGTAAATCTTTAGCCAGGCTAACTAAGAAGAAAAGAGAAGATACAAATTACCAATATCGAAATGAAAAAGGAGATATCACTACAGGTCCCACGGACATCAAAAAGTAATAAAGCAATACTATTAACTCTAGGACCACAAATTTGACAATTGAGATGAAATGGACCAACTTCTTAAAAGACATAATCTACCAAAATTTATACCAGAAGAAATATGCAGTCTGAATAGGCTTATATTTTATATTATATATCTATATTAAAGAATTTCAATCAATAATTAATAACCTTCCAAAACTGAAAGTGCCAGGCCTAACTGTGCTTACTGGTGAATCCTGTCAAACATTTAAGAAATTGTACTGATTCTACGCAATTTTTTTTTTTGGAAGATAGAAGCAAAGAACACATCCTAACTCATTCTATGAGGCTAGCATTATCGTAATATCAAAACCAAACAAAGACATTACAAGAAAAGAATACTGCAGACCAATATCTCTCATGAACATAGGTGTAAAGCTTCTCAACAAAATATTAGCAAATCTAATCCAAATGTAAAAAAGAATTATATACCATGACCAAGTGGGATTTATTCCAGGGATTTTATCATCCCAAGGCTGGTTAAACATTTGAAGATCAATTAATGTAATCATAACTTCAGCAGGTTAAAGAGCAAAATCCACATGATCATATCAACAGATGCAGAGAAAGCATTTGAAAAAATCCAACACAGATTCATGATAAAAACTCTCAGCAAAAAAGGAATAGAGGAGAACTTCCTTGACTTGTTAGAATATCTACAAAAAAGTACAACTAGCATACTAGTGAGAAACTAGAAGCTATCCCTTTAAAATCAGGGTCAAGGCAAGGATGTCTCCTTTCACCATTCCTTTTTAACCTTGTACTGTAAGTCCTAACCAACGCAGTAAGACAAGAAGAGTAAATAAAAGGTATACAGATTGGGAAGGAAGAAATAGAATGTCTTTTTTCACAAATGACATAATCATCTATGTAGAAAATCCAAAAGAATTGATAAAAACAATCTCCTGGAAGCAATAAGTAATTATAGCAAGGTTACAGGATATTAGGTTAATTTACAGAAGCCAATCATTTTCCTATATACCAACAAGGAACAATTAGAATTTCACATTAAAAACATACTATCATTTACATTAGCACTCACAAAAATGAGATATTTAGATTTATATCTGGCAAAGTATGAATAAAATTTGTACAAGAAAAGCTACCAAATCCTGATGAAATAACTCAGATAATTAAATAAGTGAAGACATATTTTACATTCATGGATAGGAAGAGTCAATATTGGCGAGATGTCAGTTCTTCTCAATTTAATCTATAGATTCATCTCAACCCTAATGAAAGCCCCAACAAGTTACTTAATGAATATTGACAAACTAATTCTAAAGTTTATATGGGAAAGCAAAAGAAATAATCATAATAGCCAATGCAATATTGAAAGAGGGAAACAAAGTCAGAGGACTGATGCTACCTAACTTTAAGACTTACTATAAAGATGCAATAATGAAGACTGTATTGCATTGGTGAACAAATAAACAAATAATTCAACAGAACAAAAGAGACAGCCCAGAAATAGACCCACACAATATAGTCAACTGATTTTTGACAAAGGGGCAAAGGCAATTCAATGGAAAAAAGATAGCCTTTTAAAGAAATGGTGCTGAAACAGCTGAATATCCACATGCAAACAAAAATAAAATTCTAAACACAGGTGTTATACCTTTCACAAAAATTAAATCAAAATGTGTCATAGACCTAATTGCCAAGTGCAAACTATAAAACTTCTAGAAGATAACATCGGAGAAAATCTAGACGACTTTGAATTTGATGATAAGTTTTTAGATAAAATACCAAAAACATAATTCATGAAAGAAACAATTGATAAGTTGAACTTCTATCTCATTCCAACATGTGCTGCTATAACAGAATACCTGAAATTGAGTAATTTATAAAGAACAGAGATTTATTTCTTACAGTTCAGGAGGCTGGGGAGTCCAGGGTAGAAGGGACTGCATCTGGCAAAGCCCTTCTTGCTGCATTATCCCGTAGAGGAAGGTAGAAGGGCAAGACAGCATGCACAAGAGAGAAGAGGCCTAACTCATTATTTTATTGGTAACCCACTCTCAAGATTACTAACCCACTCCCACAACAACGGTATTAATCACCTCTTGAAAGTTCCATCTCTCATTTGGGATTGATTTTCCAACACATGGACTCTGGGGAACACAATCAAATCATAGCAACTTTTTAAAATTTTTAAAAAATTCTTCTATGAAAGACACTATCAAGAAAATGAGAATGAAAAGACAAGTTACATTCTAGGAGAAAAAATTGCAAAAGGCTATCTGATAAAGGTCTGTTATCCAAAATACACGAATAACTCATAAAGATCAACCATAAGTAAATGAACAACCTGATTTTAAAATGGGCAAAATATTTAACAAGAACAACACCAAATACTGGAAGAATGTGAAGTAAAAGGAATTCTCATTTATTGCTGTTGGGAATGTAAAATGGTTCAGCCACTTTGGAAGACAGTTTGGCAATTTCTTACAAAACTAAACATGTTTTACCATACATCCAGCAATCATGCTCCTTGATATTTACTGGATGTATTGCTGGATGAATGGTAGGAGTATACTCAATTTTGTAAGAAATTGTCAAACTATCTTCAATTGTTATTTACCAAATAAATTGAAAACTTACATACGAACAAAATCCTGCATGCAGATGTGTATGATAGCAGGTTTATTCTTAATTGCCAAAACTTGAACTAAGATGTCTTTGGTGAATGTAGGTAAATATATAAATTAAGCTGTGGTACATCTATACAATGCAATAATATTTTGTATTTGGCTCTAAAAAGAAATGAGCTATCAAGCCTAAACAGATATAAAAGAAGCTTAAATGTATTTCACTAAGTGAAAGAAGCCCGTCCTTAAGGGTGACCTTGCCTAGACTGGTTTCCTGACTGCCTAGCAGAGCTAGTGAGTCACTGTATGTGTTTGTAGATTGTATCATACTCTTTTATTTATCTCCTTGAAGGTAGAACTTATTTATACTAGAATGGATTAATTCAAGTACTATATACTAAACAAATTTTGCTGCATAAACAGATGATAAAATGCACTGTGCAGAATTACAATGGGAGAATGAGAGCTTTGGACAGACTCCCTCCTACCTAAATCCATTCTCTTGTTCATGTTGATCTCAGATTTTTCTATTTTTCACTTGTATTTATCCTGCTTAGAAGCAGGTTAACTTGTGTCTAACTTGGGTATCCAATCACTGGTCCTGCTTCCCTAGATTCACATCTGGCCCTTGTGGTAACTATGGTACATACATACCACTCCTCCTACCAGGAGATGGAGTCTTGGTCTGCGCTTGCCTCATAACTTGCTTTGACCAAAAGAATGTAGTGAATTACTTCTAGATCTAGACCTTCAGAGGCATGGAAGCTTCACCTTCTTGAAAACCAGCTACCATCTAAGGAATCTCAGATCAAACTACTGAGTGACAAAAGGCCATGTGGAAAGAGAGGCCATAAGGAAATGTACCAAGGCACCTCTGCAGACATGTGAGAGTGGCTTAGGTGTTCCAGCCTCAAAGAGCTCCTAGCTGAATGTAGTCACATGAGTGATCCCAGAAAACCATGGGAGTCAGAACTGCCCAGCTGATTCCAACCAAACCCAGAATCACCTTTGTTTTGCTTCACAGAGTTTTGGAGTGGTTTTTTATGTAATGATAGATATCTGAAATAGTAGTATAGCATTAGGTATTTGAAGCCAAGCAATTTAATACAAGAATGTATTTTTATAAAATCATTGGAATGGCAAGATGAACCCCCGCTCAGGGGCCCCTACTGGACTACTGAGTCCACCTCATAATAACTGTGTTTCAGATGTCAGGAAGTGTCTGTGGCTGCTACCACAGTCACTGCCTCAACTGCCTCTTAAACCTGATGGCTGGTGACAGCACACTGAATTTTTGAGTTTGGACTTCAAAACTGCCTCTAAACATTCACATCCCTTCCTGCCTTGCTTCCCAGCTGGAGGGTGGCTAGCACTTCAGTGTGCCTTCCAAATCCACACAAGTGCTTCTATTTGGCAGACCTGACACCATACTCAGAATCCTAGATTCAGGAGAGCTTGAGAAATGTAGGGTTTTAGCTTTCCAACCTCACTACCCTAGGTCAGAAGGGCAGTGGGATGGATGATGAGGGAAACCTAGTATCCATTATCACTGTCATCAGACCCTAAATTTATTCAGTATAACACATAGAAATGACTTGAGATTTGGAGCCTGACAAATACAATTTCTCATCTTGGTTCTCCTGCTTACTAGATATGACCTTGGTCAAACCACTTAGTATAAACCTCATTTCCTCACCTGTAAAAATAGAAATACTCATAGCTAATTTGGAGGGTTCTTCAAGAACTCAACTCACCTTTTATAAAGACATTTTGGTAAAATGTCTAGTACATGGTAGGTATTCAATGATTAATAGCAGTTATTATTAATGGAAGAGAGGACAAGTGGACAAAAAACTAAAATACACAGACAGTATCTTATTATGTAGGAGAGCATCTAACAGATGTACACTGCTGAGTCTCCTGGTAAAAAACTGCTTGGGCTATACTTGCATGTGAATGGATCTAGGAGAAAACACCTCCTAAGGGAGATGGTTTCAGATCTGAATCTTGAAATATGAGAAGTGCCAGGGGAAAAAAATGAGACAAAAGGAAATATCAGATATTGGTGTCCCTCCCTGGTCCCATTCATGACCTTGTAGGTAGGATGATGACTCCAGCAGTTCTGTGCTGTATTTCTAGAACACTGCTATTAGCCTTTAACTTTCCTCCCCTTCATGTTTCTGGCTTCATGGTATACTGGGTTAAGCCCTAAACTAGTACATCTTGGTAGCATTTCTACCTTTGCCACAAAACAGCTTTGTCACTAACTAGTTGATCTAAGATATAGCACTTAGCTTTCGAGTTTTTACTTCCTTTCCTATAAAATGGAACAATAAAAACAAAGCAAAGCAACAACAACAACAAAATGGCTTAATTTCTCTGCCACTTCCGGCTTTTTTTTTTTTTTTTTTTTTTTGAGACGGAGTCTCACTGTGTGGGCCAGGCTGGAGTGGAGTGCAGTGGCGCCATCTCGGCTCACTGCAACCTCTGCATCCTTGGTTCAAGTGATTCTCCTGCATCAGCTTCCCAAGTAGCTGGGATTAGAGGCGCCTGTTACCATACCCGGCTAATTTTTTTTGTATTTTTAGTAGAGATAAATGGGATTTCACCATATTGGCCAGGCTGATCTCAAACTCCTGACCTCCAGTGATTCCCCCACTTCAGCCTCCCAAAGTGCTGGGAGTACAGGCATGAGCCACCGGGCTGGGCCCACTTCCAGCTTTGACAATCTCTGAAATGCTTTGATTCACTCATAGGCAAGCATAGCCCCAGCAGTTTTCAAAATCAGACTTAGCATCATACATCAGGCACTCTACCCCAGCCCAAAATGTGAATTCAACAAGAGAATATACATCCAACAACTGAATTAAAGCCAATTAAGTAGATTCACACACTAACTACTAGGTTTGACTTTCACAGGTAAATGTCATCCAACTGATCAAAATTGGTTGGATAAATATTGAAGCAAAGGCCAGGCACAGTCGCTCACGCCTATAATCCCAACACTTTGGGAGGCTAAGGCAGGTGGATCACCTGAGGTCAGGAGTTCGAGACCAGCCTGGCTGATATGATGAAACCCCATCACTATGAAAAATACAAAAATTAGCAGGCGTGGTAGCAGGTGCCTGTAATCCCAGCTACTAGGGAGGCTGAGGGAGGAAAATAGCTTGAACCCAGAAGGCAGAGGTTGCAGTGAGCCAAGATTGTCCCATTGCACTCAAGCCTGGGTGACAAGAGTGAAACTCCATTTAAAAAAAAAAATATATATATATATACACACACACACACACACACACACATATAGAAGAAAACAAAAGCAGAAAAGGGTAGTGCCAACCTGATGTCTGTATGGAATACATATACGTGTGTGTGTGTGTGTGTGTGTGTGTCTGTGTGTATTTTTTTCTTTTTTTTTCTGAGACGAGTCTTGCTCGGTAACCCAGGCTGGAGTACAATGGCGTGATCTCGGCTCACTTCAGCCTCCTCCCCCTGAGTTCAAGTGATTCTCCTGCCTCAGCCCCTTGAGTAGCTGGAACTAAAGGTGTGTGCCACCACCGGACTAATTTTTGTATTTTTAGTAGAGACGACGTTTCATCATATTGGCCAGGATGGTCTCGAATATTTTATTGAGCCTTGGGACTCATACTCAGGTGCTTTTAAGTAGCTCCAGTCTAAGCATTTCTGTAACAGCAAACAGGCTGTGTGGTAGTGTTAGGAAGGCCTCTTGTTAATGTCAGCTTGGAGCTTTGTGCACATGATGACACTAATAGCACCTTTTTAAAAACTACAAAAAGTACTTTGACTTTATTATGAATTTTTAGACTAGTTGCATGATAATGACTCTCTCATTGCTTTTAAGATTTCAATAAAAATAGCTATTTTACTTCTTTTTGTCCCTCTAGCAAATCAACAAATAAGGAGAAAGGGGACAATATTCATGATTAGCTCAGAACAGAAACACATTTTCAAGCCTACACATGAGAAACTGCTAAAAGATAAAGCTACAAAAAACCCTAATCTAGTTGTATTAATAAATTCTAATGATCATGGGGGGAAGAACAAAAACCCACTGGCTTTTATTTGAATAGACATCCCCAAGACCAGTCAATCTGCCATTTTTGCTTTGGGCTTCAGAAATGCTGCACAGTTTGCATTGCTTTCCTTCCTCTGCCTTACACCCTTTCAAAAACTGAGCTCTGGGCAATGCTGTGATATTTCTATTTCACTTCTTTTTACCACAGCAAGAGCAAAGGCAAGCAGAGTCCATGCACAGGAAATGGGTTAGTGCAAATACAAGTATACACAAAAACCACATGACTGGAAGGGAGCTGTGACAACTGAAAGATATTTTTTAAGAGAAACATTTCCTGGAAAAAAAAATGGTTTCTTTAAATCAATTATACATGTACATAAACAAACCCAAAATATGTTTTCTCCAACTGTCTTCAGCTCACTTGATCAGGGTATGAAATTAATGTTTTGAAAAACTTCAGAAGCCTTATAAACTTTGTAGCATTCATCTAAAACTTTGGAAGTGTTAATGTATTTCTTTCTGAGACTATTAGGAAAAATGCTTCCTCTATCTCTTTTAAAAGATAAACAATCACATTTGATAAGTATACATTTGGTATAACGTTCTCTGAATATGTAAGGAAAACAGCAAAATAATGCTATGACTTCTAATTATTGAGCAACGTGCAATATTAAAAACAACAAATCATATATGCATATATATTTGATGAAATACTTGTATCCAAAAAATACAAATTAAATTTAAAAAACCAGTAAGAAAAAGACTGACAATACAATTTAAAATGGGCACAGAATTTGAGATTGAGATTTTCTGTTTTTTTTTTTTCACTTTAAGTTCTAGGGTACATGTGCACAACATGAAGGTTTGTTACATATGTATACATGTGCCATGTTGGTATGCTGCACCTGTTAACTCATCCTTTACATTAGGTATATCCCCTAATGCTATCCCTCCCCCATCTCCCCACCCCCCAGCAGGCCCCAGTGTGTGATGTTCTGTACCCTGTGTCCATGTGTTCTCATTGTTCAATTCCCACCCATGAGTGAGAACATGTGGTGTTTGGCTTTCTGTCCTTGCGATAGTTTGCTCAGAATGATGGTTTCCAGCTTCATCCATGTCCCTATAAAGGACATGAACTCATCCTTTTTTATGGCTGCATAGTATTCCATGGTGTATATGTGCCACATTTTCTTAATCCAGTCTATCATTGATGGACATTTGGGTTGGTTCCAAGTCTTTGCTATTTGGAATAGTGCCACAATAAACATACGTGTGCATGTGTCTTTATAGCAGCATGATTTATTCTGTTTTCTTTTAATTTGGCTTTTTGTATTAGACTTTCTTTTTTACTAATTTGCTCATTTTTTATATTTTTCTTGTCCGTTAGTAAGAGATCTTTATATAATAGAGATATTGGCTTTTCTTGTTTATTTGTATTACAAACATGTACTAAATTATGTCATTTATATACTGGCATTTTATTAATATTGCCATAATGAAGATTTAAGATTTTATGTATTTAAATAGTACTATATTTTCTTCTATAGCATCTGATATTCCTCTCTTGGTTAAGAAAATAGCTTATTAATGAAAAAAATAAACAGTACAAAGTCAAACTAATAAAACAACTACAAGTTCCTTGAGGAGACTACTACAGTAGATAATCCCTCTTGAGAACCCAATTAAGGAAAAAAGGAGGAAGTAAAAATATTCGAGATTAAGAATGAGAAAAGCGATTAGCCACTAATTGAGGAAGGATTTTAAAATCTAAAAACTTTCTGCACAGCAAAGGAAACAATCAACAGAGTGAAAACACAACCTACAGATTGGGAGAAAATGTTCTCAAACCAACAGAGGGCTAAATCCAGAATATACAAGGCATTCAAACATTTCTACAACAAAAAACAAATAATCTGACTTAAAACATGGGCAAATGATCTGAACAGACATTTCTCAAAAGAAGACATACGTATGGTCAAAAAATATATGAAAGAATACTTAACTCCACTAATTATCAGGGAAATGCAAATCAAAACCACGATGAGGTATCATCTCACTCCAATTAGTATGGTTATTATCAAAAAGACAAAAAAATAACAAATGCTGGCAAGGATGTGGAGAAAAGTGAACTCTTATACATTGTTGTTTAAGAATGTAAAGTAATAAAGCCCTGTGAAGAAGAGTATAAAAGCTCCTCAAAAACTACAAATAGAACTACCGTATGATCCAGCAATCCTACTACTAGGCATTTATCCAAAGGAAAGGAAATCATTATATGAAAAGCATTTGTACCCCCATGTTTATTGCAACACTGTTCACAATAGCCAAGATACGGAATCAACCCAGGTGTCTGACAACAGATGAATGGATAAAGAAAAAGTGCTATATATACACCATAGAATACTATTCGGCCATACAAAGAATAAAATCCTGTCATTCAAGGTAACATGGATGGAACTAGAAGATATTATGTTAACTGAAATAAGCCAGGAACAGAAAATTAAACCACTCATGTTCTCACTCATATGTGGTAGCTTAAAAGAGTTGATCTCATTAGAACAAAAAATGCTAGAGGCTAGGAAGGGTAGGGAGAAGGAGAGAAAGGGAGTCATTTGTTAAAGGATAGAAAATTACAGCTAGATAAAAGGAATAAGTTCTAGTGTTTCATAACACTGTAGAATGACTATAGTTAACAATAATGTTACTATACAGTTTCAAATAGCTAGAAAGAGAATATTGATTATTCTTAACACAAAGAAATGGCAAATGTTTGAGACAATGAATATGCTAATCACCCTGATCTGATCACAGTGCATTGTATAATTGTTATGTGCAAATTTAAAAAAAATAATTTTTTTAAAGTATGTATTTTAAAAGGCTTCAGATAAAAAGCAACAAATTAGGCTTGGCACGGTGGCTCACGCCTGTAATCCTAGCACTTTGGGAGGCTGAGGTGGGCAGATCACGAGGTCAGGAGTTTGAGACAAGCCTGGCCAATATGGCAAAACCGTGTCTCTACTAAAAATACAAAAATTAGCTGGGCATGATGGCGCGCACCTGTAATCTCAGCTACTCAGGAGGCTGAGGCAGGAGAATCGCTTGAACCTGGGAGGCGGAGGTTGCAGTGAGCCGAGTTCGCGTCAGTGCACTCCAGCCTGGGCAACAGAGCGAGACTCTATCTCAAAAAAACAACAACAACAAAAAATTAAATGTTAGCAAAAGATAACAAAACTTGGAATAACTGGCTTGGTCTCTTCGAAAAGTCAAAGTCATTATCAAAAATGGGAGGAGAATGGTTTCAAATTAAAGTCTTAAGAGACATGACAACCAAAGCAATGCATCTTCAAGATTAAATTTGAGATTGATCAAATCAGCTGAGAAAAAGTTATTTGGGGGACAATTGGAGAAATTCAAATATGACCTGGATGACAAAAAAAATGAAGGAATTGTTGTTGAATTCAATGTGTTAAATAATATTGCAGTTATGTAGGAGAATATTCTTACTTTTTGGAGATAAATGCTGAGCTATGTAGAGATGAAAGGTCATGATTTCTCCAATTTAAAATAGTTTAATATACCTGGAGGATTTATGAGTATTCATTGTGTTCTTTGTAATACTTTTTAGCCATGTTTAAAATATTTATAATAAAATTTTAAAGAATACATAACAGAAGGGAACACATATCATTCAGTGTTACATGCAATTCTAAGGCAAACATTTCTAAAATCTAGAAAAATGGGATGATATTATTAGTAAAATATAAATTATTAAGAAATAAAAGATGTGAAAAATCTTGAATAGACCAATTACCATACAAGGGATTTGAAAATGATTATAGATCTCCTATTAAAAAATGTACCAAAACCAGATGGTTCCACAGCTGGATTGTATCCAACCATTGGAGAACGAATAAGCCCAATGTTATTTAAATTGCTGTAGACCATGGAAAGAGGCAGAAAGCTCTCCAATTTAATTAAGGAAGCCAGAAAAATCTCCCTGGCAAAATGTCACATTAGTTCCAAAAATAAAAAAGGTAGACCAATGTCACTCATATGTGTAGATGCAAAATTCTCAATGAAATATTAGACAACAGATTTATTTTTATGTTGCTCTCTTTAAGAAACAAAAGAAATAATTATGATAGAACTTTTTTACATATCAAGTTCTATTTCTGTGAGACTAGTAGATATCAGGAGTAATCACCACACTGGAAAAATGGAGGAGAACATTAAAATGTCTGGAAAAATAAAGTAAGTACAAGGGTTTAATTATGCACGTAAGAAATAAAAATGTTCCCATCTAATATTTACTAATCTTTTCCTTCTTCATATGGAGCCAAAATCTGCCTCTGAGTAACTTTTACAGATGGAGGAAAAAAAGATCCTGGGACATTAATTCCCTTAGGCTAGACTACAAATAAAAGCCAAAGTAGGATAGAGAACCTAGAGACTGGTTGCCAGTTAAAAATAGTCATTCTTTTCTTTCAATCATGTACCTCTGTTTGCACTATGCCCCAAGGATTCTGGTGGACTAATAGTGATAGAATGCCACACTGCATGCGTATTGGCACGATATACAGCCTGGCAGTGTTTCAGATTCAAATCATATTACTTTAAGTGTAATTTTCTCCCAAGAAGTGATCTGTCTTCTAAACACAGTAAGAAATACATATCAGATTTAATACCTTTTTCCATAGACAACATGGAGGCACTCAGCTTTTTCAGATGGCTTCAGCTCCAGCAAGAACTCAAGAACTAATAGACCCCATTAATATCATACCTTTCAAACCATATTTTTCTTGTAGCTCTTTAATATTCTCTTGGTAAGGTTAGGAAAAATGTATCTTATGAAATAGTATTCAGCCAAAACACCACTGGATGTACATTCAATTGCTTATTTTTTTCTTAGTGTTAGGAATCAAGATGTGCTGTGGCAAAGTATTTTTCCAACAATTTGGTTTACAATTCTGATACTTTACTTATTGCTGAATATGACAAGCATTATACTTTCAATAAACAAAATTATTTTAATTTACCCACCCAATTACACTACTACATTATCAAGGCAAGTCACCTGCCTCTGTGGACCTCCATTTCTATTGTAAAAATAAGACAAATATACTTTTCCCTTAATAAAGGAAGGTTTCCTCAAAATTGACAAATGGGATCTAATTAAAGAGTTTCTGCACAACAAAAGAAACTATCATCAGAGTGAATAGGCAACCTACAGAATGGGAGAAAATTTTTGCAATCTATCCATCTGACAAAGGTCTAATATCCAGAATCTACAAGGAATTTAAACAAATTTACAAGAAAAAAAGAAACAACCCCATCAGAAAGTCGGTGACGGATATGAACAGACACTTCTCAAAACAAAACATTTATGTGGCCAACAAACATATGAAAAAAAGCTCATTCATCACTGGTCATTAGAGAAATGCAAATCAAAACCACAATGAGATACCATCTCACTCCAGTTAGAATAGCGATCGTTAAAATGTCAGGAAACAACAGATGCTGGAGAGGATGTGGAGAAATAGGAATGCTTTTACACTGTTGGGAGTGTAAATTAGTTCAACCATTGTGGAAGACAGTGTGGTGATTCCTCAAGGATCTAGAACAAGAAATTCCATTTGACCCAGCAATCCCATTGCTGGGTATATACCCAAAGGATTATAAATCATTCTACTGTAAAGACACATGCACACATATGTTTACTGCAGCACTATTTACAATAGCAAAGAACTAGAACCAACCCAAATGCCCATCAGTGATAGACTGGATAAAGAAAATGTGGCACATATACACCATGGAATACTGTGCCCCCATAAAAAAGAATGAGTTCATGTCATTTGCAGGGACATGGATGAAGCCGGAAACCATCATTCTCAGCAAACTAACACAGAAACAGAAAACCAAACACCACATATTCTCACTCATAAGTGGAAGTTGAACAATGAGAACACATGGACACAGGGAGAGGAAAATCACACAGAAAACCTGGAAGACAGGTTGATGGGTGCAGCAAACCAACATGGCACATGTATACCTATGTAACAAACCTGCACGTTCTGCACATGTATCCCAGAATTTAAAGTATAATAAATAATAATAATAATTAATAAAATAAAATAAAGGAAGGCTTCCTATAATATCAGAAAACCATTTTAACTTGGGCATTTGTATTCCTATTTCTGTATCTTTCTTTTTTATTAATTAGCAAAATTTCCCTCCTAATTTCCATGCTATCAAATTCTCTCCCAGCTTTCCCTTATGTACGGTGGGGGCAATATCACATGTCCCATGTGCATTTTAGAATGAATGATTGAGAATCAAATGAAATAATGAGTGTGCTTTGTAAATGGTGCAACACTAGACAAACTTGATATAGTTAAGCACTGGGACATGGTGATGCCCAGGCTGACACCCAGGGTACACTGGGCTTGGTATCACTTAGGAAGGGTGGCTCAATGCCATGGAATGGATGCAAGGAGTATTTGCCCCACCTCCTACAATCTCTGGGTATCAAGATCTAATTTAGTCATTTAGTGTGCAAATTTAGTTATTCGTCCAAGAGTCACACTCCTAGACTAATAACTAAATTTACACACTCTTATGTCTGTAGGTATTTTGGAAAATATAGTACAGTTTTCACATTTATACTTATTACTGCTATGAAAAAATTTCTGAAGTCTTTCCTTGCTGATAAGACATGGACACAGTCATGTAGAAGGATGACAGGAGAGGGCTATTGACAGTTGTGGTTTCTTAATTCTATAAAGCTTTGAATTGTACCAGGTCAAGTAATCAGTGCTTACTACATCTTATGAAAGTAAGTGATGCTTTAGTATGAATAAGAAGAGTATCAAATTTTAAAGAAGGAAGAAGGGAAGGAAGGGAGGAAGCAGTGAGGGAAGGAAAGAAAAGGACAAAGAGAGAAAGGAAGAAAGAAGAAGAGAGAAAAGGAGGTAAGTAAAGAGGGGAAGAGAAAGAGAAGGCTAGAAAATTCCATGTTATTGAGACCAATTTTTTCAATCTTATTTAAAAAGTCATAAAAATATGAAGTATAAAATGTTAACATGGGTCCATAGACGCTCCATCTCCAAAATCTTACTCTCACCCCCTACCCACTCACCCATGAGCACCAGTAATGTTTTTTAAGTCAGTTCCTCTGTATGAAATTGAGCTTTTTGGAGACAGAAACATTTTGCTCAGCTCTGTGCCCTCCTAGCATAGTGTGAGATCCTGTCCATAGTTGATATTCCATAAGTGTCTGTTGAGTGGGGTTATTTCTTCCTCAGTGAATGGCTTGTCTCGTGACAACTCAAATGAATTGGCAAATTCAAACACTGATAAAACTTGATTGCAGCCTCTGCATTCTATGTATTAGTACAATCTTGATTTGAGAACATTTAGCAAAATTTGCAACCACTGGTTTCTAAAATGTCTGTTCCATGCATTTGGGGAGCTCTTTTAATGATCCATCTACAATTTTAGACAGCGAGACATGGGATAGATGGGCTGAACAACCCCATTTTATAATATATTAAAATTCAAGTGAAATAATATATGTGAAACTATTATCCAAACTGTAGCACATTATGTTATAGTTACATATTGTTACACAATAGTGGGTTAATACTATAAGGATTACATTGTTATTGTTATTCTTGTTCATGAAATTCCATAGTCATTGATTTGGGTTAAGACATTGTCTCCAGAATGCTCATTAAATCCCCAGCCTTGGCTCCAAGATAATACCCATCCATCCTTCTTCTCGCAAAGGTTCATATGAGAATCAAATATATGAAAAGACATGGAAGTTTGTTTAATTCCTGAGTTATCTGCAAGTGTAGGAATAATAACAGGGTTCATATGAGAATCAAATATATGAAAAGACATGGAAGCTTGTTTAATTCCTGAGTTATCTGCAAGTGTAGGGATAATAACAGTTATTGAAGTCCATGTGCTAGTCACTTTTGAAGAAATTTACACTAATTTAAGTAACTCTCTCAGCAGCCCAGCCACACAACTACTATCTTGATTGCGTAGGTAAGAAACTGAGGCTTACGGAGTTGGGATTTGAACAAAGGTAATTGGACTTCAGAGCATGTATTTTAACCACTATTCTACAATATTACAAGCCCTTGAAGATTCTCTTATTAACTAGCTGTTCCAAGAAACTTAACATACTTCATGATATGTGCACAGATTTGCGTTTACCAAGCATCTGAGCCGAGTTTCTCCAGGGATCTGAGAGATGGGTGGCCAGCAGAGTCAAGGTCCCAAATCAGCAGACCTGAAGTTACATTTCTGTAGCAAAAAATAAGTGTATTTATGCTACAAGGGCAGGGGCAAGGGTCGACACTCAGCTCTCTCTCCTTGGTGCCCGAAGGAAGCTTAACTAAAACCTACATGATCATAAGGGCGGAGGAGAGTCTCTGAAGTATCATTATTGACATGCCCTGGGTGTGAGAGGTATGCTATCAACACTTAAACCTGCCTTCCTACTCGGTGTGACCCACGGAATTAACATCATACAGGGTATGGATTGGGCAAACAGGCATTTGTTCGTTAAACCCTCTCACACCAGTGCTCTGGGTGACCTCCTGAAGCTGGAAAAAGTACAATTAGGTGTATTAATTGTACGATTAACAAATTGTAAGTGACTTTCTGTTACTCGATATTGTTGGAGATTGGGTTGTGTGTGCTACTCAGTGTTTTGGATCAGCGAGTTGCCTTGTGCAGGGCACATTCTGATGTATTATCGATTACTATAGCCTTCCCTTTCAGCACACCTTTCTCTTCTCCTCTCTGACTTTCTCTGTGTCAGGCACACCCAGCTCTCTGACTGCACTAGCCCATCTGAGCCCTTTGTAAAGTCATCCATAAGCTGATATTTATTGAGTGCCTACGTGTGCCAGGCAGTGTTTTGAAACCAGAGACAAAGATTAGGTACCTCTTCTTGGGAAGCTCAAGTTAATTCAAATGTGCTTAATCGGTTCTCTCAGGGGAATATGCATTCAGAGACATCAAGTCTGGGTACACCTGGGAAAGGGTACGGTTGGAGGGAGCTGTTCCTACAGAGATCTTCATGTACCAACACAGAGGCAACCACCTACTTTGCTTACCCTGAAAGGTGGTGTTGCTCCCACACTGAGTACCAATATGAAAGCATACAATACAGGTACAGTTATTTGTTATGCAGGCTGTCTTGGAACTAGATGATGTTTCAAATGGCACTTCCCAAATCTGCCAGAGCCTCTTACCCTCTTACGCCTGTTATGATTTCTAGAATGTGCTGAAATGATCCCCAAACAGCATCTCTGGCTAATTGAATCCTGGCTAACAAAGAGCTGACTAAAGTGCATTTATCAATTGCTTAAGAATTCTTTATACCCAAATGTGACCTTGTGTTATAACTATCTATCATTGGCTTTAGAAAGTGGCAGGGTCATGGATCCATAAAAAGCTGTTAAGAAAAAACCAGACCACTTGGAAAGGCTGTCCCAGATCTCTCCAGACCAGTATCCAGGGGCCAGAACTTCTCTGCCCCCCATCCAGTCCAACACTGAATTGCAGAACCACCCTGGGTATGACCCAGGAAGAGACTTCTTAGAAGGCTTTCATCAGATACCTATCTAGAGGCAAAGTGCAGGCTAGATGGGTATGGGCAAGAGAAGAGCAGAGACAGCATAACTGTGAAATCCACCCCCGACCTGACCACCCTACATAGTAACCCTGCCAGTTGGTTCTTGCCTACTCATCCTAATGCCACCCAAAGTCTCTTACCCCCAGAACGCTGATTTATTGGTTTTGAGTTCGTGTTAGTAGCTTAAACTGTCTCCTTGATTTCTCTGTATTTGTTTATTTGTTCGCTTGGTT
Organism: Homo sapiens; assembly: GCF_000001405.40. Lineage (NCBI taxonomy): Eukaryota > Metazoa > Chordata > Mammalia > Primates > Hominidae > Homo > Homo sapiens. Next base: position 225,043,238 of record NC_000002.12, on the reverse strand, counting down.
ACTTGCTGTCTCCCACCCCTACCCCGAAAAAACCTATCAGCTCTACACAGCCTTAAAGTGTAGTTGCTAAGTTCCTCTCCGTATCCTCAGTTTCCAGAACAGTGTGAGCTGGCATATAGTAGGCGCTTAATAAATACTCATTGAAGGAGTGAATGAATGGGGAAGCTTATTCCAAGGCCCTGAACATGGACTTCTGGCAAGGGAGCCTTCCAAACGCTGGCTTGGGCGATGCTGCTGGGATCCCAGCCACCAGATCTTTAATAAGCCTCTGACCCCTTCCCGAGGGTGGAAGGGCGAACCGAGCTTGGCCCCCACCCACTAGCCGGACCCAGAAAATAGAAGTCTAAACGGCAAATGCATCCAGGGCTCCAACTCTCCCAGCAACCTCCAAATGAGGCTGACGGCCTTGGACAGGCGACGGCCTTGGACAGGCCCCGCCCGGAGCCCCTCGGCGGCCGCCCCCCGCCCTCCCCCGCAGCCTGCAGTTCCCCCGGGCGGCGTGGACAGCCCCGGCCGGCCAGCTGAGCCCGTGTGGGCGGCGCGGGCAGGAGCCGCCCCACACGCGTCCCGCGACGCCCGCTCCAGATGCGCCGCTGCAGGGCCCGGCCGCCAGCCGAGTTGGCCGCGCGCGCCCGGGGGAGCGCAGAGTTTGGAAAGTCTTCGAGAAGCTTCAGAGGAGGGAAGGGGGTGGGAAGAGTGGGGGTGCAAGAGAGAAAAACCCGCCTCTTGCGAGTTGAGCGAGGAAGAGGGGGGGGAAGGCTCCGAGTTCCGCTTCCTGAACGGCGGGTGGATAGAGAAGGTTGGCGCGGGGAAGACCGGCGGGAGGCGCGCCCCGGGCCCGCGGCGCGATTGGCGTGACCGGCGATGGCCGGTGAGCGGACCCGCAGGTTCACCCGGAGCCTGTTGAGACCTGGGCAGGCGGCCGAGCTCCGGCACAGCGCCGCGTCCGCCGCCGCGGTGGCAGTCAGCAGCCGGCAGCAGCAGCGGGTGAGTGCGGCGCGTCCTCCGCGCCTTCCCGCGCGCCCCAGGCGCCCGGGGGGAACGGAGCCCAGCTTCCCCAAAAGCTCGGCGGGCCCAGGTCCCCGCAGCTCACGGGTCCTCTCCTCCGCACTCCCTCCCCCGCCGCCTCTGCGGGCTCCCCCGGCGCCACCTCAGCGAGGCAGCGCCACCGACGCGTAAGGACCGGGGGCGCGTTTGTGCACGCGGGACGCTCAGAGGAGCAGCTGCGTGGGTAGCAGAAGCGCAGCGTGGGAGAGGATGTGCAGGGGCTTTAATGGGGCGCGAGGGGGCCGGAATGCACCGCCAGTCACACTGGTGCTAAGTGATACGAGTGCCAGAGACCCCGGGTGGGGTGGGGGGATCTACAGAACAGAACCCCTGAGTCCGGAGGTCTGCGCGTCCCTCTCACCCTCCAGTAAACAGACCAGTGCGCTGAGAGAGAGGGATGCAGTCCGTGGTCCTCGCCCTGGTTAGAGCTGGGGCCCCCCGACGTTAACTATCGCAGAAATAGATGTACTTGGAACAGCCCTCCCACCGCAGGGTAAAAACCCACAAACCACTTAATACTCCTCCAGAAAGGGCTGAGGAACACAGGCTGGAGGAGACGTGGGTCATTAGGTCTCCAGCGGTTTCTGATATTTTTCTAAGATGTTTCGCGGGGTTCTCCCACCAGCAATGCTTTACTGGTTACTTCCTTATTGAAACGGCTTCTAAGTGCTGGGTGATTTCCGCGGGAAGTCCCTGGGGCAGCAGCCAGCATCTGATGCTAGGATCCTATCCATACCAACCCAGATGTTCCTGCGTTGCAGTAGGTCCACACTGCCGGGGAGAGGTGGCAAGAGACAAATCAACTCTAGTGGAAACGGGAAGCGAGTGGGAACAACAGCCTCACAGCAAGACCGGGGCTCAGCAGCCGCGCTCTTGGCCTGCGTTTGGTGGACCGGAATCCGGGTTGTGTGTTTCATTTTCTTTTTTGCCAGAAAATATCATTAGGAACTAAACGGCTCTTTTTAAGAGTGTGAAAGTGTTACTCTTGCCAGTCACCAATGAGGAGGGCGCCAAAAGCTTCCCAGAGCCAGTTCCCACAGCCAGGACTATTCTCTAAAGCCAGAGGTCGGAAAGTTGAACAGAACGGAAGCAAATTGCCTGGCAGAGGGAAGAGGCATCGGGTGCCCAGGGGGTGTAGAGCGGGCGGGGGTGATTGGAGTGTGAAACGAATTGGTGGCCAGGGTGCCTTCTCTTGCACTTACACTAGCTGCAGTCCGCAGTTACCCAGAGGTGGTTCAACTGTTAGCTCACTCTGTGCCAGGGACAGCATGTGGTACTGCTATCAGCGTGCACATTTTCAGGACACCAAAGACAAACTGTTCAAAAGAACATTAGAAGAAAAGATTCAATTCGAGTAAAAGTAGAGATAAGAAAATCTCCACACAGTAGTAGAAAGTACTTTTTACTTTTGAATGATCATTCAGAATTGTGGTTTTGTCATTTTCTGCCATTCCCTTGACAAAAACTTTATTTTGCAATTGACTCATTGGACTGAATCTCACTGAGGATCTGATGGAAACACACAGCGTTCAATTGGAATAAACAGCTTAAACTGTTGTGTGTTTTTTTAAATGTAGATCCTCCTAGAATTTTTGTGGCACTAGAATTTCTATAAAGATTATGTATCCCAGATACCCTTCTACACCACACACACACACACACACACACACACACACACGCACTGCTTTCTCCAAAATTATGTCAGATTTGAAATCCTAGGGTATCTTGTCAAAATGAATAAGCTCGCTGTCTTTAAAAAGAGGTGGGGGAGGGGAGATTCAGTGGCAAAGGTGGTCCTGACTCCCCTTGCTTCGCTTCAGCACCTTGGCCAACACTCCTAAACTAGCTTTTGCCAAGACATTTCATGGGATCTTACACATCTAGGCAGGCAGTTTTGGCTGCTATTTTGGCAGCAAGAACGCATGTGCTTTGCATACTATCCCATCAGTTAACTCTTGAAGGGAAACAGGAAGGTGATGAGTTCTCTGAGCTGGCACCTGAACTCGGTGGGATTCTGTGGGTGTAGAGCATCCCTTCTGAACCTAAAACCGTGTCATTGGACTATGTGGTAGAGACTAATCTTAGCGTACATTGATGCAATCCCTTAAGACTCTTCATATCTGTTGCTTCAAGTTCTCAAAACATGGTTGTCAAGGGAGAAAAATGATAGGATGTTGGGGAAAATATTATGGATATCCGACTTCAGTACAGACTCATAGAACCGCGGGTGTGTATTGGAGCAAGCCATCCTCTATTGCAAGGTATTTGAAAGAGACTAGAAACTCCTGCTGAGAAAAAGTATCTTACTGCTAGATTTGTATATTCCCCTTTCTGAAATCCCTGTCTTGGGGACACAAATCCTCCAGGACATTGCCAAAAGATTGCCATAGGGTTTGAATTCTGCTCTCTCCAATAAGTTTAGGTAAGGTTGTCAGGTTAACAAGATAGTTTTCTTCCCTGAGAATGGGGTGTGTATACAGAGAGAGAGAGAGAGAGAGAGAGAGAAGACAGGAAGCCTTCAAAATGTGTTTGAATATGGAGAGGAGAGATCAAGGAGATGCTGAGTGAGGGTAATGACTGGGAAAGCCAAATTTTAAGGCAGTTGTTGAGGACAATACAGGTGTATGCCAAAGCAAATTTGATGTCAGTTTTTACCCAAAGCACTGTATGTAGTAGGCTTATGTACTTGCAGACTCCTAGACACGAACCACCTTATTCTTCACCCCTCCCAAGAACAGTAATGAACAAAAACATACATTTCAAAAGGAGAAATATTTGCTCCTTCATTATCCTAAAATTCCCCATAGAAAATAAATGAAAGACAACTCATTCGAAGATCAATTCAAAGGATCATGTCAAGTTCTCATAATTTCCTGAAATCTCATTCCTGATTGTTTCATAAAGCAAGCTTCTCTAGGGTAGAATTTCAGCCCGAAAATGATTAGAAACATTTGTCTCATATCAGAACTGGAGTGTTTTATTACATTGGTTGAATATACATACCATGTTGGCTTCAAAGTTGTAATGCCACTAATTAGAAATTCCTTTTTGATAAGAAGCTCATCTTTTAAAATGAATGAAGTGTATCTGTACCCTAGCATGAATTAGTTCATTTAGATAGCTTTCTATAATTCATTAAGATATACATTTAGGATTTGTGCACTTTTCTGCATATATATTGTATTTGAGAGCATTTCAAAAGAAAAGACTTTTTAAAAAAAGTATAGGTAAACTTTTTGCAAACACCCCATCAGATCTGTCACTTTGAGAGAAATGGAGTTTTATTTATGGAATGTTTTAGGTGGGTTAGTGCAATGGAAGGCTTCAGATAACCAGAAGGATGAGATCTACATAGAGTCAGATGATGGAAAGGAAGCATTTACTAGAGATCAAATAATCATTTGGTCAGTTTTAGCCCAAAGCCGTTCATCTATTTCCTAGACTGGAGCTTACCACTTTAGTTACATGCACTTTTAATGCCTTTATATTTACTCTATTATTAGACAAAAACTCCTTTGCAACTCCTTTTTAATTGTATCTAATTTTGTTATTAACTCATTTTAAAGAGAAAGCATCCTGCCGGAAGTGATTATACTTAACCAGGAGGTTTTCTCCCTTCCTACCCACCCAGAAAGTGTAAGGGGTAAAGAGGGGAAAGTATTTATTTCAGTAAATTCCATTTCCCTTCTTTGATGTTTCCTAACTCTTCAGACCTCCAATAATACCACTTTTGATATTTTAGAGAGCTTTGAGTAAGAAGCGGAACCTTTGACCAACCAAAGAGCTTTGATTGAGAAGTAATGAATATGTAAACATGTTTACGTGAGCGTGAGGAATTCCTAGAAGGAAGAATTTTCTCCCCTCTGAACTTGGTGGCATTCAAGAGTTGAGAGTAGGAGGGATTTTTTTTTTTTTAATTGAGTGGGGGATACTGGAATTTCCCAAAAGTCATATGCTAGATGCAGAAAGTGATAGCAAATGAAAGTGAAGCACTTGTTTTGCTGTCGCTATCCAGATTTAAAAGCAATATGCAATATAAGGGCCTGGTTGTTTAGCATTCACAGCACAGTCTTTTTATTTTGTTTGTGTTTTTTGCTTTGTTTTGTTGTTTGTTGTTCTGGACAGAGTCCTTTATGACAAGGGTGTTTATGGTTTAGCAGAAATCACACGGTTATGTTTTCATATGAGGAAAGTCCCTTGACCTCTTTGCCTGGAGAAGAAGTCAACACAAACTTAGTTTACAAGATCAAGTTTGAATGTTACTTGTGTGTCTGCCAATGTTTTTTATTTCTCAAGGGCATTGGAGAAATAACTTTGAAAATGAATAGTAACCACAAGTAGGTTCTAGAAAACTTCTAGAAGGATCAAAGGCTGAAAGAATGAGTCAACATGTATAGGTTTTGGCTTTTTCTCCACAACCAGATTCTCTAAGGCCTAGCATAGAAAAAGAAAGCAATAATGAATGCATTAAGGTAAATAATTTGTTAAGAATGTACGATGTGCCTGGCACAGTGTCAAGCATTCTATTTAATTCTCAGAGCAATCATTTGAGGAAGTTATTATTGTTGCAAAATACAGAGGAGGCCAGTGAGACTCATAGGGTTAAACATGTTTCCCTAAGTTAAGTAACTGATATGGGACATCCTCTGCATTTTGAATAGAAAACTGGAGGGGTTACCTTCCAGTTTTTTAGCTGCTTCTAAAAGCATCTTCAAATCGGTGGATATGAGTAGCTGACGTTGATTGGTGTTGCCTTTTGATCTATCCAAGATGCAGTTCTACCTAAGGATTAGGAAAACTGTTCTTCCCACTAGTGCTTCAGAGTACCTGTGAGAATTCACTCCAGTGTTCCCCTGAGGATAGTTGCAATAGCAGAGGCTGCTCCAGGTACCCTTAATTATAATAGATCTTCCCAAGGCAACTGGAATTTCAATAGTTAAGTCTTTAAAATATGAACTCACTCAGCCATCCCCATCCCACCTGTATTGCAAAGTCTTAAGAAAATTGTGAAAGAGCATGAGGTTAATCCTCCTGCAGTCTACTTCAAAACTGTCTGCTTCTCCATTCTCAATTGCTTACCCCACTCTCACATGTGCCTGAAATTCCTCAATGCATTGTGTGTCTGGGAGTATGTATTACCATTTAACTGAGTTGTGTTGGGATTCTTTTTTCACATTCTATCTTATTTGAAGGAGGGATCCTAAGTATCTTACAAAGATGCATGTGAGATGACAACAACAAAATATAGTAAGGGCAGTGAAAAGTAATATTAGCCAGAAAAAAAAAAACAGTATTAGGAAAGTTAGATGTAATCAGATGTAAGTCATTGGGACCAGTAAATAAAATACATCACTATTAAGTCCTATAGCTTTGTTAAAAATGCTTCTTGGTGACCAAGTCAAAGAGGAAAACACCATCAGCCATGAGATTTAAGAAGTCCATTAGATAAATGAAAACTTGCTCTAGACATATTCAGCATTAACTTATACTGAAACTTAAGAGACAAGATATTTTTTTCCTGGGGTTTTTACAAATAGTAGCATGGTGTGATAGAGTCTCGTCATTGAGAGTGTTGTCCAAGGACCAGCAACATTAGATCACATGGGAGCTAGCTAGAAATACAGAATCCAAGGGCTCACACCAGATAATGCATTTTAATAAGATCCCCTAGTGATTTGCACTAGGACACTAAAATTTGAGAAACATGAAAATAACCTACATCTTTAGCCACACTTTTGCAGTATCTTTTTAGATAAAGTCAATTGATGAGGGTCCAATACAATGTGGTTTATTCTGCAACTATTTGAAAGTTTTACTTAAAGCAGACATGAGGTTTAGACCACTTAGAAACGAAAATGGGATTTAGTTCATTGTTAAATGGCTTTAGGGAAATCTCTTACTTATTTGTGTTATATTCTCTCCTCCATCTACCATCTAGCCCCTTAATTGTAGTGTGAACTTAATTTTCCAGGTTAAGAAAAAATTCCATAACAGACTTAAATAATTGCTATCTAAATCAGCACAAGTTCTCACTCTAGGTTGTACGGTGAGACTTCATACCCTAAACATGTGTTTCAGAGTGAGGCGAATGTTGCTCCTCCTACAGAGAATTTTTAAATACAATTACTTCAACTAATGAAAGATGTGTTATGAACTAAACGTTTGTGTCCTTCCAAGATTAATATGTCGATGCCTTAACCCCCTATATGATGCGGTTAGGAGGTGAGGCCTTTGGGAGGTAATTAGGGGTAGATTCGGTCATGAGAGTGGACCTCTTATGATAAGATTAGTGGCTTTAAAAGAAGAAGAAGAGAGAGAGAGATCACCCTCTCTCTGTCATGTGAGGACACAACAAGAAGGCGGCCAACTACGAGCCAGAAAGAGAGCTTTCACCAGGAACCCAACCATGTTAGCACCATGATCTCAGACTTCAGCCTCCAGAACTGAGAAAAATAAATGTCTGTTGTTAAAGACACCCAGACTATGTTATGTTATTATGGCAGCCCGCACTGACTAATACAACACACAATTAACACTGATTCTTTGGTTATTATGGCAGCCCGCACTGACTAATACAACACACAATTAACACTGATTCAGTGTTATATATATATATATATATATATATATATATATATATATATATATAATATATATCATATCATATAAGATCTATATTGATATGATATTGAGTGAAACCCTTAGGGATTTAAAAAAAATGGTGATATCAGAAAATCCAACTGCTAGAATTAGAAAATCATGAAGATGTTTTTCTCTCTCACAGTCATTGACTCCTAGAAAAAGTGATACCTCTTGAATTCATGCTTGAATGCGGTAAGAATGGGCTTCCATAGAGTTAAAGATCTTGACTTCCCCATATGCTATAATGTGGTTCATGACCTCTTTGATGGGCTGTCCTTCACCATCATCCTGAGATACTCTTTCCTTGACTATCCATGTTGGAGTTCCATTATGCACTTGTAACAGTTTGGCCACATGGGATTCTAATGAATGGGAGTTGGTATTGGAAATGTCAGAGCCTGTGAGTCTGGAGAGCAGAATTTCAAACCTGGCTCTGTGACCCTTGATGAAGTCCCTTCTCTCTTTGAAGACTCAGTTTCCTGAACTGTGAAATTAGGGGATTAGGTGATTGGGCTCTTGAATTTCCCACTTCTTTGTCCCAGAGTTCTCACAACTTCTCCTTCTCATCCCTCAGATTCTCAGATGTCACCTTCTCAGGAAGGTCATCCTGGATTACCAAGTGGAGGGTGAGAGTTCATACCCTAAAGATGTGTTTCAGGGTGAGGTGAATGTTACTCCTCCTACCAGAGAATCTCCCACCAGGCTCCCCACCCTCAACACTCTCAATCTCATTACTAGGCTTAGTTGTCTTCATAGCTCTTACTACTATCTAAAGTGATCTTTTTATTGATTTCATTTCTTGTTTGTCTTCCAACCCTCTTGCCTTGTAATATAAGTGCTATTGAAAAGCGAGAACTTGTCTGTTTCACTACTTTTATAGTATATTTGCTATTGGGAAATAAGAGGGGTGGAGTCCCTCTTCTTAGTGCACATTAGTTGCTTAAGGAAAGTCAGAAGGGTGGGCCGAATGTACATTACTGAAAGGTTATAGTGGAATTATAACTTTTAAATGTCCAGGTTGTTAGCATCTGATAATGACAGCCCTTGTGTCATCCTCTTCATAGTCTACTTGTAAATCTTGGCAAGCATTGGAAATGCAATCCTGCAGAAAGGTATTGGGCATGTCCTGTGTGCCAAGTACTATACTTGTGCAATCTCTTCTAATCCTCATAGCAACCATATGGCAAAATGTTGGTATTCTCATTTTATAGATGAGGAAAGAGATGCTTAGAGATCAGGAACTTTCTTCAGATCAAATGACTCCTCAATAGTGAATCCAGAGTCACAATCACATAGTCTGACTCCACAGCCTGTTCCTCCTGACTACTCTATAACTGCCTCCCAGCTCCACCAGGCAGGAAGGACCTCATTACACATGCAGCTTGCATCCATCAGCGAAAGCAGTGAGAGAAAAGAAACCCTCAGAGTACTAGTTATAGGAAGAGTTTCTAAAAAAGAGTTTCTTGACAAAAGAAGAGCTGTGGCTACTTTTGCTCTGCTTCAGTCTTTCATTTATGACATCTCAGCAACCTGGGATATTGGGAGTGACACCAACTTTGGACACTGTTGCTCAGACATTTCCCAAAGACAGGACTGGCACAGAGTGAGTTAAGCTTTGCAAACAAAGGCTCCTTCAACTGTGAAAGGGGCATTATTTGATTCCTCTCCTTCTATAGAAATACATTTCTGGCAAGATAAGCATGAGGTTGGGGGGCGTGGTTGGGTTGCAACATTACATCTGTTACATTGTCTCTTGTAGTCTTGATTTTGGTGTTCTTGTTTACAAATAAGAAGGTTGATGGTTCTTTATTTTTCTCCCCGCCATTGAAGTGAGACTTGTTTGCTTCTTATCTTTCACAGCAGTGTTAGCAGGCTGGAAATAAATGCTTGTGTTTGCTGGACTCAAAATGTTGACCTACATTTAATGAGGTAGAAATAATAAAATTTAATGAATGTGACTGAATTAGTGGCAATACAGAAAAACACTTGCCTTTGAAAACGTTAATATTTTGCAGTTGGATTGAAGCGAAAATGTCTGCCTCAGAGATTAGAAGAATTAACAGTCGCAGCTGGGCACAGTGGCTCACACCTGTAATCCCAGCACTTTGGGAGACCGAGATGGGAGGATCACCTGAGGTCAGGAGTTCGAGACCAGCCTGACCAATATGGCGAAACCCCATCTCTACTAAAATTACAAAAATTAGCCGGGCGTGGTGGCATGCACCTGTAGTCCCAGCTGCTCGGGAGGCTGAGGCAGGAGAATTGCTTGAACCTGGGAGGCGGAGGTCGCAGTGAGCTGAGATCATGCCACTGCACTCCAGCCTGGATGACAGAGTGAGACTCTGTCAAAAAAAAAAATAATAGTACCAAATCATTAAAAGTTTCTTTATTTTGGGCAACTTAAATGTGAAAATACTGTATTTCTAATTCAATTTCAGCATACCTCCTCTGAGACATGTAGAATTTGGGAAGCTAGGCAGCTCTTTAATGTAAATTAAATACCAAAATGGCAGAGTTTAACAACAGGATCTGAAAATCTGAAAAGGGGTCTATTTGAAAAGATGACACCATTTAGGATTAACACAATGAGATTTTTCTTCATATAATTATCTTAGTAATTACCAATTTAAATGACTAATTGAGGCTGTCAAAATGACCAGTGACTCTTTGGCCTTTCAAATTAAACATTCTATAAAAAGAACCCAGACATGAACATTTGACTTGGCAAACAAGCAAACAAAAAACTTAACAAAATTTACTGTTCAATGAAATATGATAATTAAATTATTCTCAAATACTCATTGTTTGATTAGCTCTTAAATGTCCCTTTGTCACAGCTCTTTAGAATGACAAATGGAAATTGATTGTAGCTGAGTAATCTTCACAAAAATGAAAGTGATGTTAGAACTCAACTTTTTTGAAGATACTGCAAATGTGGAGAACTAATATTTAAAGACATTTATTTTTTGTTTTTTATGTTGTTTAAAAATTGGACACATTCAAAGGAAGTTTTATTCTGAAGTGAAAAAAATGTATTTTAAGTTTTCTTTGAAGCATATCTTTATGGTGGGCTATAAATTTGTCCTACATGAGAAACTACTAGTAATAAAGTTTGTTGGCATACCAACATGCAGAGATAAGATGCCTTCAGAACCTTTCTGAGTGCTAACAGGGAAAGTTCATTCATTAACTTCCATTTTTGAAGTCAGAAGCCATTATATGGCTTCTGTCCAATCAATTTGAAAAATGTATCTTTTTATCATTAGGAAGCAGTGGTTTCCAGGCAGTATAACCTTGGCCAAGTCTTTAAGCTTCTTTGAGTTTCAGTGTTCTTGTCTTTAAAACAAGAGAGTTGGACACCAAGACCTTCAAGAATGCTTTAGTCCTAAAAATCTGGGGAGATCTTATCCTTTTAAAGGGGTTTTCATAGAGAATTAAAATAAAACTTATTTTCATCTTAATAAGATGATTATTGATTAAGATATCTGATTTTAGCACCTGGAAGACTTGATCCCAATGATCTATGACCACATTTGTATTTCACCTGTGAAGATGGTAGCATAAAACGTGGTTATTTAAGAATGCAATGAAGGGAATGGCTGTTCACACATCCTGAGGACAGGGCTAGTGGAATGGAGACTGGCAAAAGACAGCCAGTGGTGGCAAAGGCTGGGCAAGTCAGGTTCTTCTGACCTTATCGAGCCTCAGAGGCAAGCATACAATCCCATTTCCTTCTTTCTTATCCTGAAGAGAAGGGTAAGCCCCATCTGCTTTAAGAAAGCATGCTTTCCAGTTCCCATGCTGAATGTTTGTAGTTGCAGTCTCTGGCTTAAGGTCTGTGCCAGGCCGTGTCAGCACCCACATGAGCAGAACATACATGAGCAGAAGTTTGAACTGTGCTACCAGATCCTATCCCCCTTGCCTTTGAAAAAGCAGCAGGAACCTCTCGTTTTCTAGTTCTGTGTCTGTCCCTGGCTTTTGTCTCTGCTTCTATCACCTCCTTCTCCCTGCTCACACCTGGGAAAGGTAATATGATCTGTCCTGGACCCAGTGTGATTTCAGAGGGTCTCAAGACTACAGATTCGTCCTTCGGCCCTGTGCCCACATTGTCCTCCTAGCAACTGATACCAAGGTATAGGCCATTTTATTCCACAGTTCGTCATCAACCTTAAATGCACAAGGCGGCATGGTGAGGACTTTATTTCACTCCACAGTGTAAGTCCATTTCTGAACAGATGTATCTTGGGAAGATCCCTGACCCATTAGGATAATACAGTATGGAAATGGGAGGCTGATGTGCTAGAGATAACCTTTCACCACTTCCCTGGCAGCCAGTCTGATCTCTGGTAGAGCTATCCACAGTCCAAATGATATTTGTCTCTGTTGCCAGTCCTGGAGGAGGAGGAAGAGGTGTGGTTTTGCCCTTACACTTCTGATACTCTGAGAGACCTTCAAGACCAAGACTGTGGTTATAGTCTCCATATTTCCAGGGCAGCAAGATGTTTGGCACATAGTAGGTGCTTACTAAATGCTTGCCAAATGGAAAAGAGAATGTCATACTTAGAGATGACAGGAGTATAGATTAGGCATGCAAAAGGAAATCCAAGGGCCTGGTTTGCAGTAAAGAAATTCTGAGGCACGTTCCAGAGGACAGATGTTGGCGACAAAGCACCAGCATATAATATTTGTACAATATTATACAAATTGTACAAATTGTATAATATTTACAACTTTATACAATACATTGTATAAAATTTTTATTGTTAAATATTTACAACACAAATATTATAGCAAATTGAATTGAAGTAAACTGAGCAGAATTTAATTCAAGATTCCCACAAAGGCTATTCAAAGATTAAAAAGAAACAAAACAAAATCTTGATTGGCATGCATTTATATTCTTAAATAAGATTCAGCTAAGCAGGTGTGATCACCAATCCAACACCAGCCCCTGTCCTCGTGGGCGCCTGGGTAGCACACGCAGGCCTCACTGCCTAGCCAGAGATGTTAGTGCCATTCTCACTGATGCTGTTAGCAGTCACAAGGTGGAGGCCACCCCGAGCAGGGTGCAGAAAAATGATTGATTAAAGTCCAAGGAGTGTGAGCCACAGGGTTTTGAAAGCAGTCTGTTTCCAGTCACATGATGGAGAGCGGTTTATGTTTTTTTAAAAAACCCTTACTAAATCACCAGAGTTGTGTGATTTTATCAGTTTATGTGAATGCTATTTTCGCCCTTAAAAATTCTCCTTTCGTTGAGGTTAGGATGTTAGAGAGTTTTCATGACACGGCTTTAGAGCATTGTAATGACTCTGCTCTGTTTTTTAAAGTTCTGGCATTCATGTAATGGTTTCCTTTCCTTTTACAGCTGTATTTTCTTTTTCTTTCTTTTTTTTTTTTTTTTTTAAAGACAGAGTCTCACTCTGTTGCCCAGGCTGGAGTGCAGTGGTGTGATCTCGGCTCACTGCAACTTCTGCCTCCTGGGCTCCAGTGATTCTTCTGCCTCAGCCTCCCAAGTAGCTGGGACTACAGGTGTGTGCCACCACACCTGGTTAATTTTTTTGTATTTTTAATATTGATGGGGTTTCGCCATGTTGACCAGGCTGGTCTCAAACTCCCGACCTCAAGTGATCCACCCGCCTCAGCCTCCCAAAGTGCTGGGATTACAGGTGTGAGCCACCTCTCCTGGCCTTACATCTGTATTTTCTAAGCTTTTGTGAGTTTTATTACAATAATAGTTCAAAATATAGAAAATAATGAAGAAAAAACTAGTAATCACCCACATTCCTACCACCTGCTGGTAACAACTTTTGCTATATTTATTTGAAGCATTTGTCTCTTCACAAAAACATGCTTTGACACACTTTTGAGCTAATGTTGAATATTTACATTTTTAATTTGTCTGAAGTGATTTAAGGTATATTCTGTCCTAAAAATTCTTTCTGCTGGCATTTCTGTATACCAACTCCACATGAAATATATATTGTTAATTAAAAAAGAAAAACTGTGCTACATTTCTTGAGATTGTACAGTCATAAACATTTAGACCTGAAAGAAAATCTAGTCTAAAATAGATAAAGAGGCCGGGCATGGTGGCTCATGCCTGTAATCCCAGCACTATGGGAGGCCGAGGCAGGTGGATTACTTGAGGCCAGGAGTTTGAGACCAGCCTGGCCAACATGACAAAACCCTGTCTCTACTAAAAATACAAAAGTTAGCCAACTGTGGTGGTACACACCTGAAACTCCAGCTACTCAGGAAGCTGAGGGAGGAAAATCATTTGAACCTGGGAGGCAGAGTTTGCAGTGAGCCGAGATTGTGCCACTGCACCCCAGCCTGGGCAACAGGGCAAGATTCCATCTCAAAATAAATAAATAAATAAATAAAATAAAATAGAAGGAAACTGAGTCACAAGGAGGTTTAAATGGATGTGGTCAGGGTCACAGAGCAATGCCACGGGAGGACTCAAACCCAGGGTATTTTCTCCTTCAGCCCAGTGCACCATCTGTAATACACGTAATTTCATATCATAAGATGGAAATCTAGAATATATTTCCATGGGGCTGTCCAGTAAAAGTGAATGAGCCTTAAACCCAATAGAGCACTACCTTTAAAGATGTTTAAATAGTACACATTCGCTTAACCTGGGCACACACGCCTGGTTTACTTCTTGAATATGTGATGTCTGTGACACCTGTTGTTTGCTGAGACTCTGTCCAGGTGTTTCAAAAATGTGACCTATGCTTGGCAGCCAGTTGAAAATGTGTTCCTCTAGTTCATGAGCACAGGGAAAGGCCCACTTGTGCCCCTGGGCCTGAGCTGTTTTCGTAAGCTGACATTATGCCAAAAGTCTAGTGATCAGAATTACTGCATGTGCTGTCTCAGTGCCCTCAATGATCAGAATTTGACTGGGTCTGGGCTGCTGTGACTTTGCAGAGATACAAAGGATCTTAATAGATTTCTGTTGCTGCAATAACAGACTATATAAACTTAGCGCTTAAACAGCATCTGTGTATTATCCTACCGTAGTGTAGGTGAGAAGTCTGGTGAGGGTCTCACCAGGCTAAAATCAAGGTATCAGCAAGGCTGTGACCCTTTGTGGAGCTCTAGAGGAAAATTTGTCTCATGCTTACTTGGGCTGTTGGCAGAATTCAGTTCCTTGAGACTGTAGGGCCGAGGTCCCCATTTTCTTGCTGGATACAAACTGAGGTCTATTGCCAGCTTCTAGAGGCCCCCACATTGCTTAAACCTGGCCTCCTTCCTTCATCTTCAAAGCCAGTGGTGATGGCTCAAGTTCTTCACATGTTGCGCCCCTCGGACCCACGCTTCTGCTTTCCTCTCCCACTGAAGGACTGGTGATTGGATTGGGCCACCTAGATAATCCAGGACAATCTCCCATCTGCAGGTCTTCCATCTTAATCATATTTGCAAAGTCCCCTTTTCCATGGAAATGAGTATATTTATAGGTTCTGTGGATTAGGGTGTGGACATCTTTGTGGGGCCTATTATAAAAATGCTCAGAAAGTGCATTAAAAGATTAAAAGGACTAACTCTTCCCGAGGCACTGCTTTCTGATCCTAAAACAAAGCGGAAGGAACTATCTTTTATAGAATACCAGAGACAGTTCTTAAATCTAACCCTCTGCTTATGTGGCTTTGATTAAGTTAATAGACCTTAGCTTTTATCCTTGTAAAATTAGTAGACACAAAATTCTTATGAGGATTGTGTTAGTCTGTTCTCCCACTGCTATAAAGAAATACCTGAGACTGGGTACTTTGTAAAGAAAAGAGGTTTAATTGGCTCACATACAGTTCCACAGGCTATACAGGAAGCATGGTGGCATCTGCTTCTGGGGAGACCTTGGGGAGCTTTTAATCATGGAGGAAGGCAAAGGGGAAGTGGGGCGTCTTACATGGCAGGAGCAGGAGAAGGAGAGAGAGGGAGGGGGCACTACACACTTTTAAACAACCATATCCCTGTGAGACTCACTATCATGACCACAGTACCAGGGCGGATGGTGTTAAACCATGAGAAACCGATCCCATGATGCAATCACTTCCCACGAGGCCCCACCTCCAACACTGGGGGTTACAATTTGATATGAGAATTGGGTGGGGACATAGATCCAAACCATCTCAAGGATCAAGTGATAACATGCTTCAGAGTTTTGAAGCTACATCCGTGTTCATTATTACAGTGGTCATCGGGCCAAGGAGAGTGCTGTCCAGTTGCCTCTGTGCTCCTGTGCCTGGGCGTGAACATCTCAGAATGATCTCACTGTGATTCAGTAGACCCTAGACTGTCACGAAAGGTGACTAGTGGGGCCTGGTCTGGGTGTGCAGGCGAGGTCTGTGTAGGGCTTTGTCTCTGACCAGGCCTCATCATTTTGTTTAGGTGAGAATACATTTCATCCATGACGGATCTCAGACCTACAAGGCTCTGTACTTCTTTCTCCATATATTCCCTAGTACTGTGTACTGAGGAGCCTGTGGGAAGAACCACGTGCTCTATGTACGGGGCCTGACAAGCTGACTATAAGTTGTGTATGGGGACTCAATCATCACTACTCTGAAAGATAGTCTGAACCATTTAACACAGGCATTTGATTCAAAAAGACATCTTTGATTCATCAATAAACAGAGATTCACTATATATCTGGTCACAGAAGAGTGGATCAAGTATTATTCAATATATTTTCAATCCATGGAACAATTTGAGGAAAAATGGGCTTTTAATGTTAGGATGTACAAGGGATCTAATCTTAGACCCCCTTCTCTCTGCCTTCCCCACAAAACCCCCCCTAGGTGATTTCACCCTTTCACACATCTCTGAGCTCTGCCCATTGATATCTCTGTCCTGAAGTTCCTCAATTACTTCAAACTCAACAGGATCCAGATCTAACACAGTTTCTTGCTTCATAAATCTGCTTTTCTTATTTCCTGAGTTGTATACCTCAGTGGATCCAGGAAATCTCAAACTAAAACCATGCTCAATTATTTCCACCCCTGGCCACTCCACATCAGTTCATGCTCCAAGTACTGGCAAGGCTACCTCCTAAATATTTCAGACAGCTCCCTGACCTTAGTGATTTATGTAAGTCACTCAGTATTTCTTCCCCAGACAGTGTTTTGCAATGTCCTTGTGGTTTCCTTCCAGCCTTCTCACTAGTTGTCTTCCTGTCTCTCCCCAGGCAACTATCCACCCTCCATTCTGCCTGCATCTTGTGAACACACAGCTTTGATCATGATATAGCCCTGCCAGAATGCTGCTAATGTTCTTGATTATTGCCCTCAGAGGATTACATCTCACTTGGTTTCAGCCTACCTTTCTGGCATCTAGCTTCACTTTCTAGTATTCTCTTTCCTCCAACCTTTGCCACACTTCAGCCACTCAAGCTTCTGGGCATTACCCAAGGATGCCACTCAGGCCCGTGCCACCAGCTACCCAGAGGACACTTCCTTTTTTCTCTTCTTGTTCGGCTCCTGCTTGCCTTTCAAGACCCAACTAATTTGCCCCTCTTCTGTTACCCTCTTCTGAGTCCACAGGCAGACTTAGTCTCTTCCTCTTCTGTATTTCCATAACACTTCTTGAATACCTTAATTAATTTTTATTGTAATTATTTAGTTATTATCTCATTGCTTCCAGACAGAGAGTTTTATAATAGCTTCATAAATGATTCTTGGTTAGATGGATGGATAGATGTATATGCATATGTATGGTTTTTAAAAAATGTTCTAACCATAACTTGTCAATTTTGAAAGGGTAATGCATTGCAAATATTGTAGTAAAAGGGGAGCAGTATGGCATTATCCTCCTTTTTTTTTAACTGAAGGGCTTTGAATATTACCTAGCCTTGGAAACAAGAGCCCAGGCATTTCGGTCCAATGCTTCTGAGAAAATGTAACAGGTTCAGGGACTTTTTAAAACTAACCATTTTAATTATTGCCTTTCATGAAATGTGATTGTGAGGAAAATTGCATTCTAGGCCCATGATTTCTTTATTTTTTAAAATGCACAACCTATCATTTCTCATTGGAATTTTTAGCTGTTGAACATTTCTACCATTTCTAAATATTTTTTTCTAGTTGTGGTGAGTCATATTAGATTGTGCATTAGATTTTTTCTGAATTATCCAGTTTGCTGAGGGAAATATGGAGACATATTAAAATGTCCCATTGCTAGCATGGAACACCTTGGATCTAGGAGTTTCGAACTCCAGTGTCCTCTTACTGCCTGGGTCAAAGGCCCAGGGACCACCTTCAAGTACCCCTTATGCAACATCTTCCTTTAAGCCACAGCCCTTTAATTTGGTCTTTCTCCTGCCTACAGGACTCCTTCACGATTCTTACTCAGAATTCTTCTCACTCGATATCTCCTCAAGAATCCTTCCCTGATCTCCACCAAAGCCCAGAGAGCTTGCATTGCACTGGGCACCTGCTTAATGTGGCAAATACTTGTTTTCTACTTTTTCTATAAATGAGTTCCTAGAACGTTTATTTACTCCTTAAAGAATACAAATAAAATTAATTTTATGAAATACACATGACCAATACCTTTGCAGACCTCCGTCAGCTTCTCCCTTTCCCAAGTTCATCCCTTCCCTGTGGTAACCATGAATCAAAATGTTTTTTTGATTTTTTTTTCTTTTTCTTTTTTTTCTTTTTGAAACAGAGTTTCATTGGTTGCTCACAGTGGAGCACAGTAGCGTGATCTCAGCTCATGCAACCTCCACCTCCCTGGTTAAAGCAATTCTTGTGCCTCAGCCTCCTGAGTAGCTGGGATTACAGGCATGTGCCACTATGCCCGGCTAAATTTTTTTTTTTTTGTATTTTTAGTAGAAATGGGGTTTTGCCATGTTGGCCAGGCTGGTCTCAAACTCCTGGCATCCGCCCACCTCGGCCTCCCAAAGTGCTGGGATTATAGGCATGAGCCACCATGCCTGGCCATGAATCAAAATGTGCTCAATGTTTGCCTGATTTTCTTTTCTTATTTTGAAAAGCATTCATATTTGTAAAACAATTGTAAAATACAGTACAAAGAATATCATATACCCTTCCTTCAGATCCCCCAAATGTTAACATTTTGCCATACTTAAAATTTAAAAATTATTCATTCTCTCTCTACACATACAAAGAATACTATTTCTTTTTAAACATCTGTGAATAAATTTTAGACATGATGCCCCTTTACTTCAAAATATATTTCCTAAAAGAAATTCTCTTACACAACTATAATATAATGACCAAGATCAAGAAATCAGTATTGATAAGATTATGTAATCCATAAATGTTACTAAGATTTTGACAATTAACCCACTATTGTTTTTTTCTGGTCCAGAATCCAAGGATTCCATTTCATTTAGATGTGCTATCTCTTAAGTTTTCTTTAATCAAGAATAGATTATCTGTCTTTCTTGACCTCGAAATGTTGAAAAATACAGGTCAGTTGCTTTGTAGAGTGGACCTCAGTTTACATCCTCATGGTTGGATTTAAGCTGTCGTATTTTTGGTGGGAATGTCACAGAAGAAATAGGGTGTCCTTAGTACATCGGATCAGGAGGGACATGTCAGTTTGTCCCGTTATTGGTCACTTAGTTAAGAAAGTGTCTGCAGATTGCTCCTCTGTAAAGTTACTAGGTTCCCTTCTGTAACTAGTGATTAACTTGTGGGAGATCTTCTGAGATTCCCCCGCTGCTTTTTATACCTTTGCTATTAATGTTAGCATCTAGTGATGATACTTTCTTGAAACAGTTATTACTGTGGATGGGCATTTAGGTTGTTTTCATATCATTTAGTTTTTGGTTTTTGCTGTTATCAATGATGCTTCTGAGAACAGCCTTTTCCCCATCTCTTGGTGTGCAGGTGCATGGACTTTTCTAGGGGAGCCCTGCTTCAACTTTAGAAATACTGCCAGCTTGTTGTGCAGAGACTATACCACTTTCCACTCTCATAAGCAGTATGAAAGATTTTCCTTTCTACCACATCCTTGACAGTAAACTTGTCAGACTTTTTGATTTTTGCCAGTTTGGTGGTATTATTGGTATTAAATCACTTTTCAAATTTGCATTTCCCTATAAGCAAAGAAAGTAGAGCATCGTTTTATATGTTTATTGGCCACTTTTTTTCCCCATCTGACAATTTTGTGTATACTTGGGAGATTTGCATTCATATTGCAAATGTGTCAAAAATGAATGAGAGAGTTATTAGAAGTTGTTTTGGGCTGGGCGCAGTGGCTCACACCTGTAATCCCAGCAATTTGGGAGGCCAAGATGGGCAGATCACCTGAAGTCAGGAGTTCAAGACCAGCCTGGCCAACATGGAGAAACCCCGTCTCCACTAAAAACA
Source organism: Homo sapiens (assembly GCF_000001405.40). Lineage (NCBI taxonomy): Eukaryota > Metazoa > Chordata > Mammalia > Primates > Hominidae > Homo > Homo sapiens. Next base: position 225,023,208 of record NC_000002.12, on the reverse strand, counting down.
CAAAAATCAGCCAGGCGTGGTGGTGGGCGCCTGTAATTCCAGCTACTCGGGAGGCTGAGGCAGGAGAATCGCTTGAACCTGGGAGGCAGAGGTTGCGGTGAGCCAAGATAGTGCCATTGCACTCCAGCCTGGACAACAAGAGCGAAACTCCGTCTCAAAAAAAAAAAAGTTGTCTTGTAGGAGGAAATTTGTTTAATTTATTTAAGTTGCATTTTAAAGTTTCATGAGCATCTCCTCCAAACTATGTTGGTAATTAGGAACAGTATCTTTCCATCATCAAATTTATGGGCTTCATTACTTACTACATAAATGTCCCATACAAAGTTCTCATAATGAGATTCACAACAATAAACACAAACAGATGTCTGCATTTAAGAAAATTCCATGTATACCAACTTTTACCCAAATCTAGGGACAAAAGAGCTATTTAGGCCACACAGTTTCCTGGCCCCAGGCATTTGTTGTGCATATGTTGTTTTGTTTAAATCAAACTGAGTTATACAGTGCATTCTATTTGACTTGTATTGAACACCCTGCCTGAAAGACAGATAGTAATTTCACAGTATCAGAATTTTTCCAGGGACAAATTCTGGTGGTAGTAGATAGTGTTTATGTTAGAAGGTTTTTGTTCTTGTTGACTTTAAGTTTAGATTAACAGTTAAGTTCTACATGTGTGTGAAAATGTGTGGTTAGGAGAGTGATGGAGAAGGAAGATTTGTTTTTACTGTCACAGAGTTGCTACGGGTAAGGTTTGTGACTTGGAGCCAGTTGTGGAGCCCGATTGTATTGATTTTGGCTGGCAAAACTAAACCTTCAGGGAATAGGTGAAAGGGCACCTGCGGAAGTGGAACAGGCAGCTCAGTTTGATCCAATAAGGGAAACTGGCACACAGTGGTTGAGTAACTTGCTCAAGATCACACAATTTTAAATGGTAGATGTAAGACAAGATTACACAATTTTAAATGGTAGGTCTAAGACAAGATTACACAGTTTTAAACGGTAGATCTAGGATTCCAGCTCCAGAGCCCACACTCTTACCTGCTATATTGTAAGCTACTGTGTGTTTGTGTGTGTATGTATGCATGAATATTAGAATATTGTGCATTTTAGGGCACAATGGGGAAAACACATAATTAAGAAAATTGAATATAATGTTATTGAATACAGAATCCAACTTGACTTATGTTCTTTTGCCACCTACTAAATAGAAAAGCAATTTCTCCAGAAGTCCATTATAAATAACTTATTGAAGTGAAAATATTTATCACCTTACAGAACAACTTAAATTCTTTAATGTATGGGTCCCATCTTAGTTATATGGTGAAATTTAAACTGCCAAGTGCCTCCCCAAAAAACTGTGCTGGCTTAATTACACTGATATGATGATTTACCTCTAGGCATTTTCTTAACAATACTGAAGAATGCCAACACTCAAATTGTTATGTCTTGGAGAAGAGACAGAGGAGAAATTAAAGGAGCAAACAGAACAACAACAACAAAAACCTGCGACTCTTCTAGCTTTTGTCCCAACTGCATTAGGATATCAAAGTACAAATCCAAAAGGGCTAAAAACCACTAATATGTGTGATCGTTACAGGAACCTGCTGCAAGTACTCAATGTACAAGGTTCCCCACAAAATAAAACAAAGCTCCAGCCTTGGAGGGGACAGGGTTTTCATGGACAAATCCTTGAATTTCTCTTTTTCCCACATTTCTCTCACTTCCTTAATGACATATTTTTAGCAAATAAAAATTAGGTTAAAATAAACACTAAGGGCAGTTTTGAAGGGGGACATAATCATAAATGGGCCTCCTGGGTGGGTAGAACCATAGACTGGGCTGTGGAGGCAGAGGTGACTGCTAAGCTTCAGTGAAAATGACAGAGTTGTCAACTGATTATTTTCCCACTGTTTAACCAACCGTCTGTTACCTGCCAGGTTCTCTGATGGACACCCAATATACTGGGTTCTGTTTGTTTTTTGTTTGTTTGTTATGTAATTGAACCGATTATTTACTGAAATGTCCTTGGGACATGGGCTCAATTTATTATATAATGCACATGGAAATGTGGTTTTGGATAAGGGAAACACACTGGTAAGTGACATACTGTTAAACAGGGCAGCGATGGTCCCTCTCACATTGGTTGTTCTGCAGGAGGCAAAGCTCTCCAGCTCCTCCTGCCTTTAGCAAACTCCCTTGATTGTTGTCAACTGGCCCCCAAAGTGTAGCTCCTGAAACCAAATGCTGATTTGTTATATCTTTGCAGATGTTCTCAAAACCAATGTATATAAACAATATCCTATGTCACATATGCACTCTATCACATTTATGAATTTTCTTTCACACAAATGCAAGAAGTAAGAGAGGGCATGTGTGTGTGTGTGTGAAACCCAACATCCTTGGGAATCTAAACCAGTTCCATTTTTCTTACTAAGAGGACATGCTCTAGTGTGTGTAGAAATTGGATTTCTGAAGGTGAAGATTGTTCTAACTGGTGGCAAGTGTTGTTTCATTCTTCTTGTGTTGAGTTGCTTGCAACGCATTTTTAGAAAATTGCATCATCTCATGATTGCCATTAAATTGACAAACTGTCCCTTAGAATCTTAAAATAGCTACCTCTATTCAGAGGGAAGAAATTTTTTAGAATACGTCATAGCAATCAATGTCACTTTTGTTCTCACAAATAATAATGTATGATTTTTTTAGAGAACAATCATAATACACAAAATATAGGGAAGAGTTGCTCTTCAAATATATGTTGCTAGGTTAAGTTTGGCAGAAAACAGACTCTTTGCTTCATGGTTAGCTCATTATTCCTCTACTGCTTCACCAGTGTGTTCACCACATTTTATGCTAGTCTTTGCTGTGACTCATCTATTCTGCTCTATAGACTATATTGACAGCAGATGAACATTAATATGTGTATTATTCTCCACAAAATGTCAAGGACATACAGTTATAATAGGTACGATGCCCTTTAGAAAATGTTATCTATATAACATTTATATATATATATACTTTAATATCAATTTCAAGACTATTCACTTATGAACCATTACTAATGTGAGTGTTCTAGATGGGAAAGAAAACTAACATTAAACTCTTGGCAGTTTCAAGTTATGAAAACTCATAGAGGAAAGTGTTCTGTCTACAAAGACAAATAGGTATATGTTGGGATGTATCTCTGACTCCAAGCTAGATTCATCAGGAATTAACACTCAGGAACAACATATAGATCACAAATATGTTTGCAATTTACACCCATGTATTAAGGGGTTCAGCTTGTTGGTTCAGCTTTGTCAATTGGTCACATAGCTTGACAGAAAGCATGGGAATTTGCCTTACTTCTACTTAAATTTTGGCGTCTGATTTTTAACTTAAGAATCATGAAATCAGTAGACCATGCTTTGTATAATGAGAACCGAACATTAAAAACTCCCAATCTTTTTGTTCACCCTCACATTCCAGTCTGATACCAAAGCCAGAGTGAAGGGCAGTGTTTGCAAAGGAGCTTCCAGTGAAGACGGAATAAACCCTCTGCTTCAGAATGAAAGATTTGCCATCAGAGAAATGAGGAGCAGACCACTGCATTTTAGAGAAAATAGTAGGCATTGAGCAGCGGGAACCAGATGGAAGCCAGGAAGGAGTAGATGCCAGGAGCACCAGAAATGGGTAGAAAGAAGAAAACCAGGCAGGAGCATAGGACACCAAAGTAGGGTTGGCTTGAGGATTTGTATCTTAGCCAGGAAAAAAAAAAAAAAAAGATTAAACCACACTCTCTTGAGCTTTGAAGTTGCCAATCCTCAAATTCACAGTTGTCTACTTTTTAGTTAACCATGAGAGTCTGTTTCAGATCTTGGAAACCCAGACCATGTATTTAGTTGGGGAGTGTGGTATTTCTCCATATCTGTTCAGGAAACGAACACATCATGTGGTCAGGGTGACAGCCTTTACTCATTCAAGATCCCACACAGGATAGCGGGGGTCCTGAAGATGTGGGGGGCTACGCACAGAGAACCTGAGGACCAAATGCTAGATGATTGGTCTCCACTGCGACCCAACCCATGAGGCTGTTTTCTGCCTTACACAATTGCTGAAGAGTTTGTAACAATTCAAAAATAAAGGTTTAGAAAATGTTCAGCCATTCAAAAAGATTGTTGCTAGTTGGTAACAGGGCTATATAGTTCTAGGCCTTTCCAAGATGTCATGTAAAAAAAATCTATATATGTATACATACACATATTATATATACACATATATACATATATACACATATATAACTATATACACATATATAACGATATACATATGTATATACACATATATAATGATATACATATGTATATACACATATATAACGATATACATATGTATATACACATACATATATGCATATATATCTGTATATATATTTACATGACATCTTAGGTGTATATATGTACATATACACATATGTGTATGTGTATATATATATATTTACATGAAATCTTGGAAAGGCCTAGGAACCTCTCCACCTTATATATTATATATATATAATATTACATATATATTATATATATATAATATTACATATATATTATATATATAATATTACATATATATTATATATATATAATATTACATATATATTATATATATATAATATTACATATATATTATATATATATAATATTACATATATATTATATATATATAATATTACATATATATTATATATATATGTTTACATGGTATCTTATAAAGGCCTAGAACCTCTCCACCTTTATCTGCAACTTGTTGCCTTCTGTGAAATCAACTGAATGTTCTGTCCTAGGAAGAGAGCAATAGTTAGGATGCGATGCACGTTACGCATATCACTCGGCCCCTATTTCAGTCCTGCAAGGAATGGCAGCTCATTCCATACCTACCCCTGGGTTAGCGTTTCTCCCTTCAAACTGTTAAGAAATAGAAAGGAACCATTTAGTCCCATAGTTGGTACAATACACAGAGTAGAATACAGGAGACTACAGACATGGTTGATAATAAAGCTTATTTTTAAAAAAGTTTCTTGATGTACTGTACTATAAAAATGTATGAATACTGCATTCGCAAAGTGAGTCGTCACATTGGTATAATATTCCTTAATGCCCTTTTTGTTATTGAAAATTCAGTCAAGCAGGAGTTGTGGGACACCTAGGGGGCCGTTCTGCCATTACTGTGAATTCATGTTTTTCCAGGAGAGTTACTGATTTGGAGAGGCAGGGAATGGGGGCTGGCAACCAGACAGTGGCCTCTGTTTCTCTGTTGGCAGGGATAATGAAGAACAGATGAAATTATAAATAGAATTATAGCCCAGACCAGGATTACTTGGATAACTCAGTCAACACAAGGTTTTGTTTGATTGAATTTTCTAGATGATTTCATCAATGATTAACCTAACTACGTTAGTGGAGATCTAAAAGGACAGCCAGCTTAAACATATTCAGCAAGGCCAGCATTTCCTTTTTGCTTTTTTTTTTTTTTTGGAACAGTAGGCATATCTTCAGTTATTGGCTTCTTTGGCTAGACAGTTCTATCCACATTTTTTTTTTGACAAAGCAGAAAAAATTACTAAGGGATTCAGTTAAAAAATCTACAAGAAAATGGGCAAGCTGGAGAAGGATGTATGTTGAAAAATTATCTTAGATGCTTTACCCAAATGGCATACCAGGTCAAACTGCTGAATCAACCAATCAATCAGTCAGTCTCTCTTGGTCTCTTTCAGGCTTGCTCTTGCTCTCTCTCTCTCTCTCTCTCTCTCAATCTCTGTCTGTCTCTTTCTCTCTTTGCCTTTCTCTAGTGTGTCAATTTTATTTCTATTTCTCTCCTTATAATGTGTAATTCTTTACATGAACAGTGGGATGTGCTCCTGCCTCTAAGCTGTCTTCAAAAATAAAAATTGGTGGGTTAATTCCATCCCTAGTTGATCTTTGGACTTACGCTGGTAATACATAACTTTGACCTGAAGCTGTACGAGATGACCTTCTTCACTCTTGCTATTTCCTAAAAATAAAAGTACTGAATAATAGATCAAATTAGATCAGATTAGGAAATCCTCTCAAAAGTTTTTTTTTTTTTTTGGTTTAATTTTATTCAGTTTCATCTTGAGTTTACAACACTTAAAAATATAAGAGGCTTGAGTTTACAACACTTAAAAATATAAGAGGCGGCCGGGCGCAGTGGCTCATGCCTGTAATCCCAGCACTTTGGGAGGCCAAAGCGGGTGGATCACCTGAGGTCAGGAGTTTGAGACCAGCCTGGCCAACATGGCGAAACCCCGTACCTACTAAAAATACAAAATACAAAATAAAAATTCAAAAATTAGCCAGGCATGGTGGTGCCCACCTATAGTCACAGCTACTCGGGAGGCCAAGGCAAGAGAATCGCTTGAACACGGGAGGCGGAGGTTGCAGTGAGCCGAAATTTCACCACTGCACTCCAGCCTGAGTGACAGAGTGAGACCCTGTCTCAAAAAAAAAATTATGTCTATATATATACACATATATCTATGTGCACATAGATATATGTATCTATGTATCTATGTGCACATAGATATATGTATCTATGTGCACATAGATATATGTATCTATGTGCACATAGATATATGTATCTATGTGCACATAGATATATGTATCTATGTGCATATAGATATATGTATCTATGTGCATATAGATATATACATATATATGTATACACATATATAAGAGGAATTGCTATTTGAGAAAGAATGTGCACATAGATAATATCACCTCCAGATTTTTAATAAGATACTTGCCTTCTTACTCATATAAGAACATCATAATATTTCCTTTTTGTCAAAAACTTTTAAACAAATACCAATTACAATACATTATTAAAAGTGACACTTGTTTTGAACATAAAATCTAAATTTTCTATATGATATAAAAGGTCAGATAAAAACAGAAACTTTTGACATCTAAGCCAACTGTTTTATTTGTCATTTCTCTTTACATATGTGATATGAATAAGGTCATTGTAAGACATTTACAAAGCAAATGAAATGCTAGTGACAAACCTGCTCACCAGACCTGTTAAAGCTACCTGACTCTAGATGAAGTGGCCATAATAGAGCAGCACATTAACAGAAATAGGAAATAGTACATAAACAATTTGTGAAGAATTTTAGCACATGCTATCCCATTTAGGCCTAGCAAAAACTCTGTGATGGGGGAAACTGAAGCTTAGAGAGTTTGAATGAAATTTCCAGCTAAAATGGTCTTATTTTAGCTGATTTTTTTAAAGGTAGTAACATTTTATTTTATTTAGTTGACATTTTGACATTCCCCCTCTAACTTTAATACCCTTACCAAATGTAAAGGTAAATACAATCTTTAAAAAGAAATTAGAAAGAAATACAATGCCTATAATCAGGACACACATCTCATGTACTAGAAATGAAACGGCAACACAAAGCCATAAGGAGCACTGAAGAAAGAAATAGCGCGTCTAGAAGCAGACTGGGGTATTGATTGCAATGGAGCTCCACTGCTCTTGAAAAGGCCTGAAAAAAGTTCTGCCCCATTCCCAAGAGCCTCGTTTCTAAAACACAGCCTCTCAGCCATGGCCGAGCTGCCTGCTGGCCTGGGTTTCAGGTATTTCCTATCAGTATGTGATGGGCCCGCCTGGTTGGTGGAGAGTGGGGAGGCACAGACTCCAACTCCAGATTAGTCTACAGTCTAAAACCCCAGAACATATGAGGAAAACATATGCTAAGGAAAGTACCCAGTCAGATCAACGTTCCAAAGATGAACTTGGTCCTGATTACATGGAAATAATAAAGCAATCTGGAAAAGGCTTCTTTAAAAGCATGGTAAAATCCTGCCATCTTAGAACGTAGTGCTCTCATAAAAGTTCAGTCACCTAAACTGCAAAGTTGCTTTATTCTAAGAGTAATGAAATTTATTTTGACTATCTTCCAGCTTCTGTGGAAAGAATACAAGGAAAAGTGTTTTTTATGTTTATACTTTCATGTATTGGCTATATTAGTAAGTTAAAAAAAAACAGACTGCTATTACAAACTTTGTAACATGCACTAAATTCACAAAATCTTAAATGACCATAAAGTGGTCACTTCCAAACTGCACCCCCATCCTCCTGTTCCCAGGAGCGAAAAGAATTTTATTCAGCCTTCAGATGAGAACAGGCAGATGATAGAGGTCAGTCACCAATTACATTATAACCACATTCAAATATTTGGGACCTCCCATAACATAGTTTATTTTAGATTTTTCAAGAGGTAAAGAATGAATTAGTGTCCATAAAAATATTAACAAAAAAGAACACAGAGATATTTTTAACGACCAATTAGAAATCATGCAAATGAAAATTAGATCCCCTGAAATTAAGGAATAACCTTCACACTGGACCTGGTTTATGAGAGAACTAATGTATTAAAAATGGTACTGAATTCACACAGAACAAAGTTCAGAGAAATTAGGAGATTAAAAGTAAGAAAAAGAAAAATATATAAATTTAGCCATATTAAAACTAAGCGGAGAAATAAATATTGAGCTTCTAAACTTGCAGAAGAGAAAAGCAAAGAATTTAAAACATATTATTCCAATCAAACACATATGGGGAAAAAAAAGACACAAATAAAAGGCATGATTAGTAGACATTTCAAACTAAAATTTTAGAGATTAATCTAATTATATCAATAATTAATCACAATAAATGTAAGATGACTAATCTCATCCAATACAAAGCAGTGGGTATTCTTATACTGATATTATCATATCTTAGTATATTATAGCACCTTTTATTTTAAATTCTCTATTTTTATAAGGAAATTTCCTTCTACTTCATTAGAACTTTTCAGCAACTAAGCTTTCTCTCAACACAGAAACACCCAAAATCCTATTTCAAAAATTTTTCATTGTCTCCAAAGGATATATAAAAAACCTTTTAGTTTACCATGGTACCCAGTAACTCTAGAAAACAGATGATATCATCAAAAATTCCCAGAGGCAAAATGTGGCTTTAAAAATCCACATTGATTTGGGGACTTTTGATTCAGCTAAAGGCATTTTGTTTCTGATGAGTTTTTAACCTGTATTTCTTAAAAAAAAAAACAAAAAAAAAAAAACAATATATTCAGACTTCTGGGGATTTTTTGAATACATTTTTGAATTTCTAAATCATGGCTGTGGTCTAAGTAGCAGTTTACTAAAGGACACAGGAAAGAGATAGAATAAAAATATGAAAGGCTCTTAAATGCTTGGAAAGCCCTATATTTCTTGAGTTACTTATCTACTTTTTGTCACTTACTATTGCCTCCTTCTCTCTCTGTCACTCACACACACACACACGCACACCCCAGAGCCCATGATGGATTTTCTGTGTCAATTCTATGACACTGCCAATAGCCTTGCAGAGCTGGTGGTTGAACTGAAGAGAACCAAAAGGAATTGTAAATACCTGTTTCAAAAACTGGCAGTAAGCACTGCACATGTAGGATGCCTTCACTCAAGCCTGTTCTTAAGTAAAGTCAAGTGCAGATAGAGTACATTGCCCCACACTGAGCACAGGAAGCCCTGAGAGGTTATTATCTAGGGAATGCGAGAATCTAGGTTGGTTGGTTGATTAACATGCCTCAGCTCTCCACTTCACTTTGGTTGGAGTGATCTGACCTACATCATTTCATTCACTTCAGAATCATGAACTTTCTGCTCATGATCTTAGCAGTTAAGAGAAACACCAGTTAATAAATGGGATTTAACTAAACTTGTGGAGCCATTTCTGAGACATAGTACTTTCGGATACTGTGAACCTTGACGTACATTTCACAGCTGCACACTTAACTATACAAGCACCAGTGGATGTACTTTTGAGTGATCAGGGACCTTTATAGTCAGGAGATTTTGATGATGCTTGTCATCCAATAGGTAAGTGATTACTTTCCTATAGGGTACTGAAAATTTTATATACTAACTGGCAGTAAAAGGGAATGTGGTTTGATTTTAACAAAGAAATGATTTGTGCAATCTCCCTGATGTGAACTAACTCAAAGGACTAATCAGGACTCACTGATTAATCTGACTCAAGATTAATCTGCAGACTAAAGTTCCAGGAAATATGAGGAAAATGAATACTAAGAAAAGTACCCAGTTAAATTAATGTTCAAAAGAGGAATTTGGTCCTGATTACAGGGAAATAACAAAGCACTCTGGAAAAGACTTCTTTAAAAGTATAGTAACACCCTGCCATCATAGCGAAGTGGTAATCTAATAGAAGCTCAATTATTTAATACATAAGCTAAAACTAAATGTTTTAATATGGAACTAAGGCTTATGAATATTAGCCTCTGTGGCATTAAACAACTAATAGGACCTTCCTGGGCTTTAATTTTCTTTTTTGTACAAATGGGAATAAAAATCATACCTATTTTATAGTTTTTGTAAAGATTAGTTTGTTTAAACAGCAAGTAATGTTTAGGATTGTATCTATTATACAACATAATTGTTAACCATTATTATTATTATGAGTTATGTGCATCAAATGAGATAAATGCTTTGCAACTTGTAAATGCCTTGCTAACTCTAGGGAGCTATATGTTAATAATCTCTTTTGGACTATCTGATGGAGAAGCCAATTTCTATTGGCACTACAATTTTTTAAAAGCTGGTTATAAAACTGAAAAAGCAAGCACTATACAAGTATATTAAAGAATTTGGGAATTGTCTTCATCCTATTTTGAAAGTAAAGTAGAGGCGGATGGAATTTAGTACAAAATTATTACTGAAATAAAATGAACTTGGAAGCATGCTCTGGATGATTGATGTATTGTCCCTAATTGACATGCATGCCTGCAAATGCTTTTTAAACCTCCTTATTTAACAAAGAGGTAATTCAGGGTACGTTCAGCTTTTGGTTCGTGTGAAAGGAGCATATGCGATTACTGTTCATTTCAGTCTGGTCCAGAGCAGAGGTTAAAACCTCTGAGCAAAGAGCCGTTAAGCTACCAACTCAGTGGAACTGATGGCAAGTCTAAGTGTCTGGGCCTCAAGTTTCCCTTAGCATAGCCAGAGGAAATATTTTCACCCTGCTTATGGATTTCAAATTCTGAATGAGTGGGGCCTCATTCTGAGAAATCTGGAGACATGATATGCATAATACTGAATTATTATTGATAATAATAATATTGGGCAAAGCCATTTTCAAGTCCTACTCTCTGCTGAATGAATTTAGAAGGCTTATTTTTCTTCTTCCCGACAGTACATGTGAGCTCGTTTTTAATTCAGTTGCGTATGTGCATTGAGCTTGCCCTGATGATGTTCTCGTTGGGGCATGTCCCACAGAGCAGCTCAGGTCGTTTTGACTCTGGGTACTTCGGCTTACGCTGTAGCTAAGGGCAGCTAGACCGTTCTTGCAGAGCCTAACATTTTGGGTGCCATTTTATAATGCCTGTGGCAATTTGCATATTGACGTGGCCTCCCTGCTGGAAGCCAGATGTCCCTGCAAGCCCCAACGTCTTCCTTTCATTCAACTGCACCCAACTCTGGACTTGACTTGGTTGATTTTCTTTGCTAAAGTTCAGAGTCTTTACTGTTTAAAAATCAGGATTAAATAGATGCATTTCAGTTTCGAAGGTATTATTTGCAGTAAAACTGCCAACATAAACATTTTATAAGAAAGCCATGTATGTCCTGAAGTCATAACTGCAGGCCTCTCTTTACCTTCACATTGGCTGGTGGCATTGATGTCAATATTCAACACTCTAAGAGTTAATTTAATTTGAATTTCATTTCTTCTTTAAAGTAACTTGATCTTGCAACCTCTTTTCTCTCTGGCTATGGAAAGAGTCACTTTAGGAAGCTGAAACTTCCAGCATGAATACTTCTAGCAGGTTTATTTGTGTGGCAAATATGTGCTTCTATCTCATTTTTTCTTTGTACCTGTGACTTATCTACCTACCTGAAAAGCCGTAAGTCCTTTCTGGCAACTACTGCGACATTGCCTCTTTTTCCTTTTTGTAATCATCTTCATTGGCGTGAAATCTTCTTTGAACTGATCATTTGGCAACACTTGCTTGCTGTGAAAGAACTTTGACTATATACATATGCTATGATAGATATCATATCAATATTTTCCATCACTACTTTTGCTTTGTCAGAAAACTCATGACTTGTTGTGAGTCAGAATGTGTCACAGCCAAGCTGTCTTCCAAACCTTGAAATATTTTACTATATTTTCCCTTCGAAGTATTTGACTCATCAGCTGAGAAGATATCAGGCCTTTTACCTACGTTTGGTTTGATTTAGAACCATGAAGATGATGGGATCAGTATGTCCTTGCTGTGCCGTTTAGCTTCTTAGCTGACCCATTTGATAGAGGCTGAATGCTTCCTTGGAAAAGTTTTGCAGGATTTATCTTGTTTCTCATTCTGCATTAGTTGATGTCTGTCTTTGAAAAAAAATTTTGATTTGCTTTTCTGTATTTCTTTTTCAACTTTTAATCTATATTCCCAACTCTAATTCATTCTGTAATAATGTTAACCCCCAAAATTGTATGAACTGTCTTATTTGAATCAAAAGATGAAGTGCCTGAACTGATCTTACGTTCCCTTTCCCAGTGTCCCTTCCCTTTCTCAAAGTCTGCTCTTCTAAAAGAAACTGATGTCAGCTAGGGTACCAGTGACTGATACCTTGGAGGCATTTTATCTAAGATACACACAAAGCAAATGCCTCTAAGGTATCAGTTTACCAGGCCAGGAGACAGAATTTTATATTTTCCTCTAGGTTGTCTAGGGGACAATATAAGATTCTGTCCCCTGGCCTGGCAAATTAATTGCATTCACCTCCCCAGTTCTTCATACTTCTCTCTATCCAGGCCCTTTGGGGGTGCCCTCCCACACTGAGTTTAGGCTTCTTGTTAAAATTTGCTTTGGCCCATGAGACACTAATAAACTAAACACAGCAAGGCTTAAAAGGTTCTTGACTGCCTCTTCTTCCTCTCTTGATCCTCTGCCATTGCCATAGGAAAATGCCTGGCTTGGTTGCTGGCAGATGAGATTTAAGGAAAAGAGCTGAATCTACCTGGTTATTCTAGCCAAGGCCCCACACACCCTCAGAACTGCCTAGTGGACCTGCAGCTGACTGCAGATGCATGAGTAAAGCCCCAGCCAATGCCAGAAGAACTGCCCAGACAACCTTTAGGCTCCTTAGCCACATGAAAAAATGGCTGCATTTTTTTCTATGCCCCTGAGTGTTTGGGGCAGTTTGTTACTCAGTTAACGGTTAACCAGTACAACTCTTAAAGAAATCTAATCCCTCAACTATGCAGGAGGGCAACACAAAGACTCTTGTTAGTCTCTCTGATCACATCCACATCAGCCTGCATGACTTGACCATATCATTAAATAAAGAGTAGGACTCCAGCGTACTATTGAGTCAAAATGAACATCTATAAACAAGTCTTTCCAGTGGCCAGTTTCAGTTCATTGCTTTGGAGAGTTTTCTCTTTGTAAGCAAACTCTGAATACAGTTTTCATGTTTTTGTTGTTGTTTTCTTTTTTCTTTCTTTTTTTTTTTTTGCCTTAGGGCTTGCCTTTGTCATTGTTCCCTTCAACTGCATTTCTGCATTTCTTCTCTGCAGACGACATTCTGCTAACCTTGCCAAGAGCCACCCAGGTGAAATGAGATTTGTAGGGAGACACTCAGGGAGATTAACAGATCTTTTTGCATGAAGAATAATTGCAAAAGTAATCTCTTATTTGATTGAAGCTAATAAGTGGACATAGTGGATATTATGGTCTTCTTTTTTGAAGTCTTACTAATTTAGAAATTCGGCTGAGTATTTTAATGTTCAGAGAGCTTCCCTTCTTAAGGTTTTACTGTTATAGAACTTAATATCACCTATTTTTTAATATTTTGATTCAGTGATTGATTTTCTTGGTAGGTAGAATATTACATCTTAGCGAAAAATTAAATACTCTTCTGTAGTTGGAAACTTTTTGTGAAGACATAAAATTTTAACCACTTAAACCTAATCTGTGACCCCCTTACTTAGGCGTCGACCCTGGTTTTTCAAGCATCTCTCCCTAGAGGGCGGTATAGCCTCACTTCATGATGTGGTCTTTCCAATGTTGGCTGCTGGCCCCATATCACCTGAGGCTGAAGTCCTTTAGATTACAAGATTGGAATATTTTTAGTAAATCTATCACCAGTAGAGCCTTCATCTTAACATGATAAATGTACAACTCACTGGACGTATTTGGCTTGAGATTTATGGCAAATCAGACACAGCTTATGAGAGGTGGAAACGGTGCTTGTTTAACATAACTGTGGCTGTTTGTTCAGGTCAATCCTAGTCTATCTTTGTGTCGACACATAGTAACCTGTGGGATATTATGGGCAGATAGTGGAGCATTGGATAGAGTACTAAGGACGATTCAGTGGACCTGTGCTCTCATTTTGGATATGTCATTACAGGTAGTACTTGCCCCACTTGGACTTTGGTTTCCTTATTTGTAAGATGAGACAGCCAGTCTCAATATTTTTTTCACAATCCCAGCAACTCTGTGATTTATGGTCTTTGGTACATAACAGTAGTTCTGTACAGTTTGGTAGAGGAAGTGATACCAGTGCTCCCAACTGCCAATTCAAAGGAAATGTAGGTAGTTACCCAGTGATATTTTGGTTAGCCTACAGAAGATATTTTAAATTCTGAGGAAAAGAAAATGCCAGCTGATCACTGAAACCCATAAATGCTAAATAAATAGTTTTTGTGTATCTTCTTAAAACATGAATATTCTTACAAAGTCAGCATAAAGTGTTGATATAAGACTGCCTCAGAAGAAAAAGTGTCCACTACTCACAATCTAGCACCATGCATAACAAAGAGTCTTCACTCAAGAAATGTTTGTGAATTCTCGGCAGGGCACAGTGACCCATGCCTGTAGTCCTAGCTACTCTGGAGGTTGAGGAGAGAGGATCAGTTGAGCCCAGGAATTTGAGTCCACCCTGGGCAACATAGCAAGACCTCATCTCTAAAGAAATAAAAAGTTTATGAATGAATGACAAGAAGACTAATCCCATGTTTGGTACAGCTTTTACTTCTAAAATACTCTTCAATATACTGAGTCAGGATTGATGCTCATGAACTTCCAGCCATGGCTTTAACTCTACTCCTTTGGGTGACATTTGAGCATATTGGATCTGCTATGCGTGGAAAGTCACTTTACTTTTATTTGCCCCCACTCCATTGAAAAAAAAAAATTAGATGATAGCAGCATTTCTTAAAGAACAGAATGCATATCCCTGATCATGCTCACAATTAGGCGTAATTCTTTTTTACATGACCATTTTTAAGTTTTCAAAAACAATTGTCAAGCCTGTTGTAGTCTTATCTTTCCAAAGCTAACCATCATTCTTCCGGACTTTTTTGTGGATGTTTTTTAATGTCTTCATTGCTCTCCTTGCAATCGGTCCTGCTTGTCTGTATCCTTCCTAATCTGTCTCCAAGAATTAAACACAATATTTCAAGTTTCATCACTGCCATGAAAACCAGGATCACCACCTTTTTTATTCTAAATACTATGTTTTCTTCTAATACAACTTAATATTAGATTCCTCATCAGGTTGGTTTATATTGATGCCCAAGTCTTTTTCACAAATGCACTGTTAAATCATGTCTTTCTTTTATATCCTTTTAACTTTTATGTAAATCAGGATCTTCTTTTAATCCTCCTTAAAGTACAACTTCTTAGACTTAACTTGCATGTGGGAATATTATGGGTTCTAGTTATGTCAACCTACTAAGTCTGCTTTAAACTTCAGTTTATTTACAACAATGTTGGCCTCATGGACTATTTACAGGTTTTATTTATGCATGCATCTAATTTAACAAAGTCAAGAGAGAGTTGTAATGCTTACTGCTAGAAACCACCTTCTGGGAGGTACAAAAACATCTCAGAGTTCTTATTATATACCTTCATAAAACTCATACAATCTTCTCATCTCAGGCCAGGGAAAAGGAAATAAGATTATCATGACTTAATTTGGTCTTAGTGATCTGCACTAGTACCTGCTAACCACCTTTTTCTTTCGTAAGAGCTGACAAATCATCCTGTTAATGTCCACTCTAGAAATTTACTAGAAGTAAACAGAAAGCAAGATGATGGATTGCAGAATCTATCTCACGTTCCTTTCATACATTTTGTGACACATTTATGCATTCTCAAACCTTCTAGCCTGTCTTCACACATCCTGAGAGCTCTTGACTGCAGTTAGGTGAGTTGGCTCAGCACACCTCAGTGTAATCTAATGGCTTGAAGTTCAAGTCCTCAGGACTGCTAGTACTGTCTTAAAACTGGGGATTTTATTTCCCCCTTTTCAAGGTTCACTTTACCCTTTGTATGCACAGGTCATTGACTTTGAGAGGACAGAAACAACATGAGAGATTAACTCTGATATCCATCAATGTTTCTCAACTCTAATCTGCATGTTTATTCCTTCCTTGCTCCTTTTATTTCTCCAAACATAGATTGAAACCATCAATACAAATAAGAGATGTACTCAAATAACTCATGTTAGACAGTGTGTGATAGGTGTAGTAGGAGGACTAGAACGGCTTAGAAGACAGAGACATTACCTTCATCACAGGACCTCAGCAAGTGTGCTCTTTGAACTGGTCTTTGAAAAATGAAGGATTTTGATTGGAAGCATTGAGAGGAACTCTAAGTGCAAAAAGTGGCAGGGGCTAAAACATAAATGGGAGGTATGTCGACATTTAAGAAATGGAGCAGAACTTATTAGGTTTACCTAGCAGATAAGAGCCTGATTAAAAGGGGCCTTTGTACGTTCCTCCTCATTTGGATCATTTGATGAACTTGAGGGAGATTTTGAAGCTTTTCAGCTAAAGCTGTGATATAAGTAAATGTGTAAGCTTAATCTAAAAAAGACAAGAATTGCAGTTAGGAAACCACTAGGGGATTTTATACTAACCCATGCCACTCAAACTAAGATGGCCATAAATGGAAGGTATGGAAACAGTCCATAAAGTAAAGGTGGGGAGAAGAATGAAGATGGTTTTCGTATTGGTCAAATATTTAAAATATATTTATAATGTGTTTGCTCTGCCTAGAAAATTACCTCACCTATCCATACTCACCCCTCCAAAAAATATTAATACCCATCTTCACTCTTTCCACTCTATTTCATGAGGCACCTAATAAAAACCTCCAAGATGTTTTTGTACACCCTAGAGGGTGGTCTTTGGCAGTGAGCATCAGCTCTCTCTTGACTTTGTTAAATTAGACACATGGATAATCTCTAAATTATTTTGGGTGGTTTCATACACAGCTTTAAATAACATTGGATCATATTGTGTGGAAGATTTTGTTTCAGTTATCTTTCAAACTTCAGATTACACTGAGGATAAAGTCTCAATTTAACATTAGTTTGTCCATAACGCTTGCCTAATATTTGCAATTCTTCCCCTTCACACAAAGACCGAGTGGGCTTGGGCTTAGAAACTTTGGTAGACAACAACATTGAACTAAAACTGAATGGCAACATTTATTTAATTTTGTCCTTGTATTATACCATTACTTTCAGTTATTCTGTTTTTTACAAGTGATACTGTTGTCCTGTTTACGTCAAAGAATACAGTTTTAGTTTAAAATGAAATTTTATGGAAAAAAGGTAGTCATTGATTAAAAGGATTTTGTTAAGTATATACTAACAGGTAATACTATGATTTGGCAAAAATCAAGATGGTGGGACATGAATAACTGACATTCAGTTAACACTGCTCTAGTATAAAATCCAATTAGAATTACAAAAACTGTACATATTTTGAAGATGGCTTTTCTCCTCTTCTGAATTCACCAATGATTGAAATCATGTCCTTACATTGCTGAGAGGTGGTTTGATGGCCCATGGAGAATAGAAAGTTGTTTGCCATTATCCATGTATATGGGATAACAGTGGTAATCTGCTGTACTTGAAGCATAAAATCACCATTTTGACTCCTAGAGATTTGTAGGGTTTTTGTGGCAGCTGTACTACTCTGATGGAAGTACAAATTCTATCTATCTCATGACAAAAAGGTTTTTTTCCAAAGAGAACATGAGGTCTCATTTCTCAGTTAACTTTCAAATTGCCTCTAATATATCTAATGACCTCTTTTCTAAAATTAGTTTCATGAAGGGGTTGATTGATTTTAGGCTCTTTATAGATTTAATTTAATGTTCATTCTCCATTGTATTATTGCCCAGCATGAGTCAAGACAATCATACTTATGATTAGAGAAATAAAGCAAGGCCTTTGGGGGCCAAGTATAGAACTACCTTATCCCTGAGCTGGGAGGCTGAGCCACACGTGGACTGAATTGCTGATGGACAAACTCTAATGGCTTTTTTAATGCAAAAAATGCATTCTGGAAGCAGGAAGCTGCTGGGAGAGCCTGCTCTGAAATTGCATCAGCACACTCTTCACATCCTTGGTTCTGTCTTAGGAAAACAAATGCTCTCTGAATTATTAAGCCGACATGTGGCTTCATGCCTAGAGCACAGGTGCTTGAGTCAGAAGGATGTCAATTCAAACACAGCTCCCCCATTTCTTAAGGCTAGCTCTGTGGCTCTGGGAAGTTATTTAACCTCTCTGAGCTTCCAGTTTCTCAACTTCAAAATAAGGATGCACTAGTTTCCTAGGGCCACCATAACAAATGAGCATAACTTAAGTGGCTTATGACAACAATAGATATTTATTCTTACAGGCCAGAAGTCCAAAATCAAGTCAGCAGGGCCACACTCCCTCTAAAAGTTCTAGGGGCAAATCCTGCCTTGCCTCCTCCAGTTTCTGGTGGCTCCAAGAATGCCTTGGCCTGTGGCCACACAACTCCAGTCTCTGCCTTCGTCTTCATATGTCTTTCCCACCTTTTCTTCCTTTTCTCTCTGTGTCTTTTCCTCTGCTATCTCATAAGAACACTTTTCATTGGATTTACGGCCAGCTTAAATAATCCAAGAGGATTTCATCTTGAAAGGCTTAACTCATCTGCAAAGAGCCTTTTTCCAAATAAGGTCACATTCATGAGTTCCAGTGATTGGGATATGGGCATATCTTTGGGGGAGCCACTTTGCAACCCACTGCAAGGAATGATCATGATACTTACATCACAGACAAAACGAAACGAGAAAATGCTGAGCACATACGACACAGTCAAGAAATGTTATCATCATTTTATGATAACTATCTCCTTAGTTTGTCATTATCATGTTTATTAACATTTTGATAGACCTAACTACATTTAACATAACAGTGAGCTCTATTATGATTGGACCTGTAGAGCAGATGTAAAACTCCAATTGCCACTGAACAAGTCACACAGAGAAAAGATGGCCTCTTTCCCCAAAGCAGCTTGGGAGTCACTGGCCTTATTTTATCAGTGTAAATGCACATTATGGACTTTAAAGAGACAATATTTCTTGTGGTTTAAGAGATAGGATGGCCATTAGGGATCAGGGATGCTAATGAAACATCAACAATGTTACCTTGTAAAATTTTGAACAAATACTACTATTAGATAAAACTTTTAATTTGAAACTAAAAGAAGTGAAGCGTATGTCTGTGTTTTAGATTTGCCTTTTTTGAACAAAAGGTTCATTCAGTCAAACATGAAGTCAACACACTCAGGAAAGTGTCAGGATTTCCAGATTGTGGGTCTTTCTTCTGATTCGAGTTGCATCAGCCACGGTTCTAAGGAGAATTCTACTCCCAAGATCAGCATTCTAGTGGAATCATAAAAGGTCCCACACCACCATCAGTGAACTTAGGATCTCCATGGGGATGTTTACCCAAAACTCAAACTGAAAAATGTAACCTTCCAGCCAGGCACGGTGGCTTACACCTGTAATCCCAGCACTTTGAGAAGCCGAGGCAGATGCATACTTGAGTCCAGGAGTTCAAGACCAGCCTGGGCAACATGGTGAAATCCTGCCTCTACTAAAAATACAAACATTAGCCAGGTGTGGTGGTACACACATAGTCCCAGCTACTCGGGAGGCTGAGGTGGGAGCATCACTTGAGCTCAGGAAGTCGAAGCTGCAGTGAGCTGAGATCATGCCACTGCACTCCAGCCTGGTGATAAAGTGAGACCCTGTCTCTAAAATAGAATAAAATAAAAATAAAAATGTAACCTTCAAATTCCTTCCCATTCTCAAATAGAGATGGAATTTGTCACTCTCAGAATTTACCCTGGTCATTTCTCGGTTCTTGCTGTCTGCCCCAAGACAGACCACACTGATGTGGTTCATACCAGTTCTGCAGTGTTGAGCGACCAACAACATTCTGTGGGTGACGAGATGCCACCTGCTGGCTTTTTTCTTTCTGCATATGTGGATGTTTACACCTGCCCGATCATGCAAGACAGACCACACTGATGTGGTTCATACCAATTCTGCAGTGTTGAGCATCCAACAACATTCCAGACTGTTTCTGGAAGCTGTGGGTGACGAGATGCCAGCTGCTGGCTTTTTTCTTTCTGCATATGTGGATGTTTACACCTGCCTGCCCATGCAACTAGCTCCTCGTGGCATGGCGTGGCCATTGTCTCACTATGATGAGGAGTCACTGAGACATTTTCTGTCTCCAAATATTCTCATCAGTTAACAGTTAAAGAGAGCTGAAGAGCTGACTAAATCTCAACTACTGAGGCCAAAGAAATGTATGACTTATCTATCAATAAAGGACCCTAAGAGGTGGAATCAGGCTTACATCTATGTAAACTCACTGAGAAAGCCGTGTTGTCATTGCTGTTCTTGGTCTGTGCCTGCTTTTATTCAGCATGCCACTTGGTAATGGAAACTTGAAGAAATGATACTACAAATAAGTGATATTGAGGATGACAGTCTGTTCATTTTTAAAGGGCAAAATGGCAAAAAGGATGCATTTGTCCTTTCAGACCTCTTCTCACAATGGACAGCAGGGGGCAGTGCTAATATAGGGAGAGTTTAGCATCAGGTAAACAAGTGGTATCGGCCTTCAAAAGTCAGATGCCTTCGTGAGCCACATAGCCTTTCACATTTGAAATACTCTAACTCACTTTTCCTCCCAAGTGTCATTTATTCATCCTTCACGGCCCAGGTCAAATAGCTTAGACTCTGAGAAGCCATATGGAATCCCCCTGACTGAATTACGCTCCCTCTCTCTTGGCTATGGGTTGCTTATGTGTGTCGCCTTACCATCTCCCCCCAGATTCACATGTTGAAATCCTAACTCCTTAGACGGTGGTATTAGGAGGTGGGGCCTTATGGAAGATGGTTAGGTCATGAGGGCAGAGCCCTCAGGAGTGGGATTAGTGCCCTTACGAAACAGGCTCAAGGGAGCTCATTTGCTCCTCCTACCATGTGAGGACAAACCAAGGAGATGCCATCTGTGAACCAGGAGGCAGGCCCTCACAGACACCACACCTGCCGACGCCTCGATCATGGACTTCCTGCCTCCAGAACTGTGTGAAATTAATTTTTGTTGTTTATAAACCACCCAGGTTATGGTATTTATTATAGCAGCCTGCATGGACTAAGACACTGCCCTTCCACAGTATTGCAAATAAAACTCTATTATAGAAAGTCTGTTGTATACTGGCCAGGCACAGTGGCTCATACCTGTAATCCCAGCACTTTGGGAGGCTGAGGCGGGTGGATCACAAGGTCAGGAGATCAAGACCATCCTGGCTAACATGGTAAAACCCCATCTCTACTAAATACACAAAAATTAGCCAGGCATGGTGGCGGGCACCTGTAGTCCCAGCTACTTGGGAGGCTGAGGCAGGAGAATGGCGTAAACCCGGGAGGCGGAGCTTGCAGTGAGCTGAGATCAAGCCACTGCACTCCAGCCTGGGTGGCAGAGCGAGACTCCGTCTCAAAAAAAAAAAAAAAAAAGGTCTGTTGTATATTGTTGTGTAGCTCTTTTCATTCATGACTTACCAAAGTCCCGAGCACCTACCTGCTAGTTCATCTATGTACTTACTGATAAATGCATATACCCTGAATGTGGCCAGACTACTGCTACTATTTCTACTATTAGTAGCTAACCAGTCACTTTAAAGTACTGATAAAATATCACTGCCCATAATAATGTTTGGCATCCCACTGTTGACACAAAACAGCACTAAGCCACTTCATAGTTTAACTCCAATTAACACATCATTAGCCAGATTAACACAATAGCTTCTAGTGATTAATTTTTTTTCTTTTTGAGATGGAGTCTCACTCTTGCCTAGGCTACAGTGCAGTGGCACGATCTCGGCTCACTGCAACCTCTGCGTCCTCAGTTCAAGCGATCCTCCTGCCTCAGCCTCCCGAGTAGCTGGGATTACAGGCGTAAGCCACCATGCTCAGCTAATTTTTGTATTTTTAGTACAGACGAGGTTTCACCAGGCCAGACTGGTCTCGAACTCCTGACTCCAAGTGATTCTCCTGTCTCAGGCTCCCAAAGTGCTGGGATTACAGGCATGAGCCACCCGGCCTGATTTTCTTTCTAGTAGTAGCCTATGACCTGTTTCGGGCAACCTTTCTCTGAGGGAAAGACACAGAAGCATGGCTGGCTCGTAGAGTCACTACTGTCAATCCCTTTTTCCCGCCCTACTGTTGGCGTAGACACCTTGGAGACATTGTGAACGTGTTGAAATTCTCCAGGCCTTCTCACAGGATTGGCACCAATTGCTTTCAATGAATTACGAACAGGAAATGCTCAAAACAATACAATTGTTTCTTCCTTTGCTAGAGAACTCAACTTTCACTCTTCCGCATGTGGAAAGCACAATTCCACGAATGACTGTAATAAATAGAATATGTGTTTATAGATACTAGGAGATCCCCAGCGGTTCTTTCCTTCTAGTTTTAGAATCTGGCCACATAGATCATTATAAACTGCAGCAATAAGACTGAAGTCAGTTTTCCATCATGTGTAAAACCAGTAATTGCATGTGTGTGTGTGTGTGTGTCTGTGTGTGTGTGTGTGTGTCTGTGTGTGTGTGTGACTTGAGTGATCCCAATGCTGCTTTATAAATGATAGAACATAGCCTTTGTGGCTTCGGAAGACTCATCATGAATCTTCCCTGGGCCAGCTATATTTTTGCATAGAAAGTGTATGAAATTGAAATTCACATCTCTTCCCTTTGGATATACTGTAATTTTCAAACTGAAGGTCATTTGCCAATTCAGCAGTTCCTGCTTCAGTGCCTTGTGACATCAGGCAGGATGCTGTCTGAAGAATGATCAGAGAGATCCTGTTGCACCACACATAATAAAGCTTTCAATCCATAGCTGAGCTTTTCCAAGCTCTTGGCATGCAATAAAATACATATTTACTGTTGCATACTGTCAGACTGCAACTCTCAGGTTGGAGACCTTGGAACCGCCGCTTCTTTGGGCTTAATTTTTCTTATCTGCAATTATGGGCATTCAACCAGACAACACTCATTTTAGACTAAAGAATCTACCAAAAAAAAAAAAAACACCATTATAGTGTTTATGGATATTTTCCCAAGAGGGAATCATATTATTTTTGAGATTTGCACCAAAATATAAGCTCCCAGAGGATAGGACTCTTTGTGTCTCTGTATTCACTGTTTTATCCCAAGGGCCTGGGATATTGTCTAGCACAGACTAGCAGTCAGTAAATTTTCATTAAATAGAGAAAATAAGGAAAGAGGGGAGAGAGGGAGGGAGGCAGGAAGGGAGGGAGGCAGGAAGGGAGGGAGGCAGGAAGGGAGGGAGGGAAGAAAGCTAGCATATTAATATCTTATTAAGTTGAGCTTCACTCGCTGGAATAACAGTGCTGAAGCAACTCTGAAGAAGATGTTTGCAAAAAGTTTAAACTATGAATGAGGTAGGGCATGATGGCCAAGTCAGGAGGATCTTTAAAGCCAGGAATGCAGCGTGGGCAACATAGCGAGACCCTTATTGAAAAAAAAAAAGAGAGAGAGACAGAGAAAGAGAGAGAGAAAGACAAAGAAAAACAATACTATAAATGATATCTTTTAGACAAAGTCTTACTCTGTCACCCAGGCTGAAGTGCAGTGGTGCCATCTCAGCTCACTGCAACCTCTGCCCCCTAGGTTCAAGAGATTCTCCTGCCTCAGCCTCCTGAGTAGCTGGGACTACAGGTGTATACCATCACACCCAGCTAACTTTTGTATTTTTAGTAGAGCCGAGGTTTCACCATATTGGCCAGGCTGGTCTCAAACTCCTGACCTCAAGTGATCCACCTGCTTGGGCCTCTCAAAGTGCTGGGATTACAGATGTGAGCCACCACACCCGGCTATAAATGAAATTTTAAGAGCAACACTTTCATAAGAGAAAACACTTCTAAGAATTTCAGCCATCCTTTTCCCATATAAAAATCACATGCAGAGAGCTGACTTGTGACTCTTTGATGGAGGCAGTTGGGTATAGTAAATGCTTGTTGTCAATCCCCCTGGGTTAAGAGTGAATGGGAAAAGAAGAAGGGAAGAAAGGGGGTGCTTAGATTATGTTTTCCAGGTGTTTGCCAGTGAGGGAAGGTGAAAGAATGCTTTAGCCAAAGAAATCTTAGGGTTGAAGAAAGTTGTATATGTGTGTGTTGTGGGGGAGTTATTTTATATATAGCAGAAGCTTTTATGCTGCTAAAGGGAAGGAACCAGGAGAGGGGAGAGGAATGATTGATGGAGCAAGACCCTGGAAGAGATGAGAGTACAGAGATTGTTTCCAGAGAAGGGAAACCTTCCCTTGCATCTGACACCAAGGAGAATGTAAGGGGGATGTAAGCAAATATTTAAAAAGAGCAAGAAGAATACAAATAATACCAAGGTGTTGAGCCAAGAAAACCCCGATGCTCCTGAATCATTTTGGTAATGTTCGTTTGCTCCTTGTTCATTTTTATGCAGCTGCTAATCCTGACTCACAGAGAAGCAGCAACAGAGGCAAAATATTAAGAAAATGTATTAAAAACTTACATTTGGCATATTTCTAATAGAGAATCCAAAATAGATTGCCACTTTCCAATTCATATTTATCTCACTCTTAGAATCCCAGGGCACCATGAGATTGAAAGTAATGAGAACTATAACCAGGAGGGTAGCACTAGAAATCGAAATACGGGCATGTGTTCCTGAGTCACTGAGAGCTCTGAGGGTACAGAACATCACAGCTTTTGGAACCTACATGAGGGAAAACAGACAAGAGCCAGCTGGAGCGACACATCTTTGTTTGCCAGAATGTTGTTTATATCTCCATGCCTACACGCCCACACCCTGCTTGGTCTTCTGGTAGCCCCCTGGGCTCTTTAAGGCTCTCTTCGAGCCACCAGTCTTCCCTCTGCGAGTCTGCCTTCAGGTCTAAAATCTTCTCTGTGGCTTTGAACCATATTGCGTGTTTGGTAGCGGCTCTCTTTCTGAATTCTATCCTGGTGCTTTCAAGCCTGTTAGTACATAGCCCTGGACTTCAATTTTGTGCTCACCATTCCTGCCTCACACACTGGGTGCTGCATGTACTCCTACATGGGCTGCTGTCTAACTCCTCTCCTCCCGCCCTCCATCAGCAGGTACATTTGAGCCGAGCTTGTTGCAGGTTGCACACGGATGGCAGTGAAGAGGAGGGCAGCAAAGATCACCCCAGTGTCTCAGGGAAAATGGTGCTGCTGTTAAAAAGAATAGGACAGCCGGGCGCGGTGGCTCTCGCCTGTAATCCCAGCACTTTGAGAGGCTGAGGTGGGCGGATCACCTGTGGTCAAGAGTTCGAGACCAGCCTGGCTAACATGGTGAAACCCCATCTCTACTAAAAATACAAAAATCAGCCGGGCATGGTGGCAGGCACCTGTAAGTCCAGCTACTCGGGAGGCTGAGGCAGGAGAATCACATGAACCCGGGAGGCAGAGGATGCAGTGAGCAAAGATTATGCCATTGCACTCCAGCCTGAGCAACAGAGTGAGACTCCGAAAGAAAGGAAGAAGGAAGGAAGGAAGGAAGGAAGGGAGGGAGGGAAGGGAGGGAGGGAGGGACAAACCCCAACCCCAAAGGCAGTGTTGAATTTGGTGGGAAGCAGATTATGAAGACAGAAACATGGAAATAAGCATATGGGGGTTACAGTAGATTTTGAAGTTAGAGGTGAGAATTTGGAGATGCCAAATGTAGGGCAAACAAAGATCTTGTGAAGTTACATGAATACTGAGGTAGAACTGTCTTGTCCTTTCCTTCTCCTGCCTCTAATCAGAAGTCAGTGTGGCTAGTGGAGCTTCTGATCCAATTGCTATTCCTCACTCCAGCTTCTCTGCAAGGCAGCAGCCAGACTCTAATCCTCTAATCTGGTCTGCCTGCTGCACCCCTATACATGCTAGATATTTGTCTCAATACCACCCCTGATGTCTGGGGCCTGCATCTCCTTTCACCCTGAAATTTAATCTGCCAACCTGCCTGCAGAGTCAAGTTCGAAAGCTGCTCAGTGCTTCTTCACTATGGGACCTCTTCACTATTAAGCCCTGGTCATATTGCTGATGCTTATTGACATTATTATGCCAAACACCTGGCTAAGTGATTTCACATGGATTTTCTTATTTGATTTTCGCAGTAGCCATAAGGGTTAGAAACCATTAACAAGGTAGCCGTGCATTCCATTCTGTCTGTGAATAGTCCCTATGTTTGCATAATTATTAATAGCACCCTCTCACTTTCAAAGGGTTCTAGTTTGGATGGTCAATTATATGGGCATCCTAACTGTCATTACACTTACTCTCCTTAGTTTACAGATGAAATGCAGAGAAGTTAAGTCTCTTCTCCATTGTTACACAGCTGATAAATG
Organism: Homo sapiens; assembly: GCF_000001405.40. NCBI lineage: Eukaryota > Metazoa > Chordata > Mammalia > Primates > Hominidae > Homo > Homo sapiens. The sequence continues at coordinate 224,996,393 of NC_000002.12, read as the reverse complement.
GCTGAGCCAGGACTTGAACACAAGTGGTCTAACCCATTGTGATTGAATTCATGTCTACAAGTCCCCTTGAAGTTTGGATGGATACCTGGCCTTTTAGGATTTGTTTCTTCTACTAATTCAGTTGTCATATTTTGTGTCATACCAGGCAGCTTATCCTCTTGCACCCCCAGCCGACTCCTAGTGATCACCAGGCCCCACTGTGCCTGATTAGAAACAGCAGATATAGGGTGACCTTTTATCACACAGTGTGATGAAGAGGAGAGAAACGAAGTACTTGCTTGAGTGGGTAGGAGACTTGAATGAGACTTTTATTGCATAAGCAATGGTTAGGCCAAGTAATGGCCTAGCCATTTATTTTGGATAACTTACTAGTTGACTCAAATTACCCCATAGTCAGTTCCAAGGAAGTTAATAACATCTATCATGTAACTAGCTAAAATGCTAAGAACAAAAATTCCATGTAGAAGTTTACCTAAAAAACCTGGGCTTTTGCAAAAATTGGAGTTTGGATATCCATAGTATCATTTTTACATTAAAACAAGTTCTTGGCCAAGAGTGTGAGCAATACACATTAAAAATTCTTCAAGCTGATATAATACCTTTTTCTCAAAGAAAACCAAAAAGTTAAAAATGCAGCTATCACTTTCCACATCCTGAAAACAAGGGAATGTACCGAGATTTGCACAATTAACCATGCTTTTTTAAAAGCATTCTCTCCAGCAATTGATGACTTACATTCTTGGCTCATTTGGACTGGGTGGCTCTCCATGGTTCTGTCTTGTGAGGAGGGAGTGGAAGCAAGTCCCTGTGGACACCTATGCTACGCAACATCCTTTCAATGCTAGAATAGTAAAAGTTACATTAAAATATCCAAATTTTTCAAGACCCAGAAACAACTACAAGAGGCCCTCCTGTGTATTATTGGCGTGAGATAGATAATAGGTGTTCAATAAGTGCTTGTTGAATTATATGTGTTGACATTAGATGATTTACTAAAGATGCTTCTTATACATATAATTTGTGTGTGGCAGTGGGTGTCTACAGTGAGACTGTCTTCAAGGCGGACTCCAACAACCTCTACCTCTTGATACTCATGCCCTGTGTAGTTCCTTCCCGCTCTGAATGGGACTAAACTATAGACCAACAGGATATTGCAGAAATAATAGTGTGTAACTTAGACTGGTCATAAACTTCAAACTCCAGTAACTTAGATTGTTCAGTGTGGCTTCCTCCTTATCGTCTTGGATTTCTGGCTCTAGAAGAAGCCAGCTGCCATGTCATGAGGACACCCAAGCAACCCTGTGGAGAAACCCACCTGCTGAGGAAGTCAGGTTTGTCACCTTCCCCTCCTGACTTGCCAGCCGTGTGTGTGAACCGTGGGAGGGCACCTGCAGCCTTCAGATGACCATGGGCCCAGTCAACATCTTGTGTGCAACCTCAGGAAACACTTGAGCCAGAACTACACATCTATGCCACTCCTGAATTCCTGACGCACAGAAACTGTGAGATAACAAAAGTTTATTTTTGTTTAAAGCCATTAAGTTTTGGAATACCGTGTTCTTCAACAATAGATAACAAACACAGATTTATTTTATGCATTGTGTGTGTAAGTGTGTGTGTGTAAAAATTTGCTTTGAACTAGAAAAAGAGCTACATAAAGTGAGTAGAAGAATAACATATTATATACCCTGAAACAGACCAGTCAGAGGAAGATCTTGTCTGTCGACACTGGATGTGTACCAGTGACCTCTTTCCAAGGAGCTCCCAACATATGTTAGCAATGATGATTAAGTGTCAGACCATACTAAGATAGAAGCTGCTAGAAAGAAGCAATCTTTGTTGTGACAATGTTTTAGTGAGTACTGCATCTCACATATTCAATGCCTGTGAGAGAAAGCAGAAGTAGAGACTTTCTGGTGGACAGTGTCTCCCACTTTTTGGAGAGGGTAATAGTAGCTGCCACTTGTTGACCTTGTAGTACTACTTCCTGGCACCATGCTAAACCTTTTATACATATTATCTCACTTAATTCTCACAGCAGTCTTCTGAGGGAAGTGTGAAGGTTGAGAGGAGTTAAGTAACTTGCTGAAGATTACCAAGCTAGTAAGAGACAGAACTGACTTTCAAATCCAGGCTGACTTTTTCTAGAATCTTCCTTAACCAGTACATATACTACCTCTGATGTCATATTAAACTTGATTTTGAAGCTTTATATCACCATTAGCTTCTATAGAGGTGGCCACAGCATAAGTTGATAGGCTACTCTTTTAAAAAATCTTATATATTAAATGAATTACAAAGCGATATAATATGTCACCATTTTTATTCATAGACATGTAGTGATAGGCTGTGTTTTAGAACCCAAAGCATGTTCATGGGATATGCCCTCTCTTCATCTCTATATTGGGTGGGGACAAGACCTTTATCAAGACTGCCTAAGATAATTTGTATTCCCTTCAGAAATGTAATAGGATCCTATCCTAACCACACATATTCTTAAAGACCCAAGAGTACATGCAGCTGACCAGGTTTAAGGGTTTTTCAAGGTAGAAACACTACCAGCATGGAGGCTTGGCTCCTACCCCCACATAACCCAGCAATCCTGGAGCCAATCTCCATTTGAACTGCAGCTTTGCCCTCTGTCAGCTTGGCCACATTGGGTAGGGGACAGAGTGGGCTTGGGGATGGAGGGAGGGGGATGCCTTCTACAGTCAGAATTCAGTTACGCTTGAAAATAAAACAGGATAACAATACTTTGCCTAAAAGATGAACATGAATATCCTGCATCCTGTCTTGCATTCTTCTCATCTGAAATGCTGGGAGCCCAGTGATTTCTCCCACTTTAGGAGGTTCTCTGTTCTCCCATGACTGCTAATGCCACCCTGCAATGGAAGGCACAGTTGACTCACTTCGTGAGCTGCTGTGGACTGTGGATGCTCCCAAGTTGAGCCCATAACCAGTAGAGCTTCTCTTTTCACTGGGTTTTCCCAATATATCAGGTGCTGTGTCAAGTGCTCCATTTGGATTATCTCATTTACTCCTCCTTATCCTATAAGAATCTGATACAGTACATGACTACCATTCCCATTTCTCCACTGCAGAAACAAAGAACAGAAGATCATTTGCCAAAAAGCCACAAATCCAGGAAATGGTAAATTCAGGTCTGTTGGACAGCAAAAAAAAAAAAAAAACTTCCAAAGAAAGACCATCTGAGTCTTCTTAGTATTCCTTCCATCAACCTGCACCACAGGGCAATGCCATCTACATATTAGAGCTAACTGGGGTGACTGTTCTGGGCTTGGTAGGACCTCCTTCCACTGCCTGATTTTCAGTTCTTTCCTCTTACACCTCATTTTTCAGTGCTCCTACCTCTTTTGTGACACTGTTGGTGATGTTTACTACAACCTTCAAAAGAAATATTTATAGGGGAATGTGGTATATCCCAGCAACAACTCCTATCTTCACCTCTACCTTAAAGTCCAGCCACTGGTCATTGGTGTTCTATCTGAATCTTTTTGTTAGATAAAGCTATAGAATCCTAGACCTAGAAGAACTCATGGCATCTATTCTAACCCTCTAATTTTATGGACAAGCAAACTTAGATCCAGAGAAAGAGATGACAAGACTTGTCTGCAGTCCTAATTAGTGTTAGAGCCCAAAGCCAATTCCCTGCTTTCCCCACCTCTTCACACAAGAAGGAAGGCTGCACATGTCCTCTTGGGAACTGCAGTTGTCAGTAGCACAAACTGGAGATAATAGGAACAAAAACTTTAAGAATCCACATCTTGCATTTGAGGTTGTAAAGAGAGGCTAAACATTATCTTATCAAGTTAATCTTCTGAATATTGCCACTTCTCCTATTCCTGCTGGACTTAAACTTTGGTTGTCCCTGTTTCCTTTCAAAACCCTGGAGCTGGGTGCTTTGCACCAACCCTAAAATGATACTTTGGGCGACTCCCCTGAGTCCTGGCAAATAATGTAAAATTGAGCTCAGGCTATCTTTTTATCTTTAAAATTGATTTGGAAAGAACATTGTAAATGACTTTAAAGACTGCCATTTTCATGTTTGGAAAGCAATTCGTGATTATTGTAAACTAGATTTAACTTGGAATGTTTAAGACGTGGGTGGTTAATTCCTGCCACAATTCAAAGGGAGAAAAATGAACACAGAAAATAAAATAGAACAAGTACAGAGAGTACAGTTAATAGTTCATTTATCCCGTGTCATCCAAAAATATTTTTCACATAGCTAACTCTTGAAGACAACATAATTTGCCCAATTTGATCACTTAACTTTTAAAAATTAAAAGCAGTTGCTGTTGGAGGTTTTATCTAGAATGTGTCACAGATTTCTCTCTCCTGAACCCAAGGCCACTTGGACATAATTTGGTTTTTCTTGATGCATTAGCGTCCTTGTTGTGAATATATTCCAGTAACAACTCCTCCTGTATTCACCCCCACCATAAAGTCCAAACATCAGTGATTGATGCATCAGTCATTTCCCTAATGCATCAGTTTCACCCATTGTACTGGGGTAGAACACTGTAATTTATATCCACCTTTCTAGTGTTTACCGCCCCGAACGGGGATTAGTCCCAGATACTGTGTATATTGATTTTTTTTATGTTTTCCATTTTCTCAGATTGTCTGTCATCTGTCCCTTCCTTTGGTGGGTGGCCCATACCTTTAAGTTAGCCTGACTCAGCCATGCACCCTGGACTCATGGGCTGGTGAAGAGAAGTCAAGGAAACTTTCTGTCCCACCTCTCCCTTGTCCTTGCCACTTCATTCCAGTGCCAAGGCTCTCTCTTCTGTTTGAGTTACTGTTTCCGCATGACTTTATTGTTTTTGAGCCTTGACTTGCAGGACTGTTATCTACCCACTTTGGTACTAACTTGGAATAACAATGATAATAACACAAATAGTTGTAATAATGATAATGGTGAAAGAATGATACCACCTACTATTTATGCCAGTGTTTTGTACTATGTGCCTTTGTTACAACAGTTATGTAGAAGGGTTCTTCTTACTCTTATTAGCCAATGGAGAAAATAAGTCTCAGAGAATTAATGTTCCAAGACAACAAAACTAGGATTCAAACACAGGTGGGTCTCTTCAATTCCAAAACTCATGCTCATTGCTCTGAATCACTTTCTAGGCTGCGTTATTTCACCCTCATTCCTTCCCTATGTATGCAGCCTCAGCTCCATCAGATGGCTGAGTCTTTGGTGGGCTGGCTTTATAGCTGGACCCACCACAACCCCTTGAAGAAGCTTTCAGCCCACCTGCCTTCACCGGGGACATCCTTCCAGTAGAAATTGGCTGGACCAGGGCAGGTCAGAATGATATTGCTTCTGGTCAAAAGTCACTGTGAGCTTAGTTCAGCAAGCTCTTTAGAATCCTGCATAAGGTAACGGTGTTAACCATGAGGATATAAAGACCTCTTCACTAAGCCACTCCCATTAGCTTCATAGAGGGAATCACGTGACATCCTTTTCTGGTTCTGGAGAAGTTGTTTCTGTCCCTTTTCAGGAATTGACTGTGATCAGAATAGTTGATGTTGCAAAAGTAGTGACCTTAGGGTAAGTGAGGTATTATTATATTATTTCAAATTTGTTTACTCATGAAAAACAACAGGGAAGGGGATTTAGAACTTGTGTCACATTACCATGGGAGCTAACTTCAAAGCACAGAGGAGACATATGCAACACCCATTCCCCCATCACTCAGGGAAGACTATGTGTCTCCGGGAAAAGAAGAGTAAGGAGATTTAAAAACAACAACAACAACAACAACTACAACAAAAACTACTTACTGGGGAAGTGGGGAGAAAACAAGCAGTGTTTAAAAGTCCTTAGATTTTCTCTTTTCCAGTAATAATTAGAATTTGTTGAATTCTTACCATGTGTTTGGTACTGGACCCAGCACTTTACGTGAATATTAGATGCTCATTAATATTCATTCATTGAACAGATGAGGAAACTGAGGCTTAAAATTTTTGCTGAAAGTCACAAAGTTAATAAACAGCTCAACAGGGATTTACATTTTGGCAAACTGCTTCCTGATGCCTAAGTGCCGCACTATACTACACTTTATTAAAAATAAGAAAGGTTTAGTATGAGCTGAGAAGAGTTCAATCAAACATAGATGCCTGAGAAAGGTAAGTTATTAATGGAACATTTAAATTATCCGTGCACTCTGCAGGAAGCTGACTTAGAGAGCAATGAAAGATAATTTTCCGATGCATCCAAATGTACCAACGAAAGAATTATCTGCTTTTGAGCTGCATCAATGCCAAAGGTAGAAAAATGAAAATAAAGGAAAGCTTGGCAGCAGCACCTGATTTTTAAAGCAAAAGAACAGTGTGCTTTTTTCCAAAGTGATTAATTGTACAACTCAATAAATGTCAGCACACGGGAAAGATGCCTGCAAAGAGGAGGCCACTATAATTAAGTGAAAATGAAGACAGAGAAACCGAAGGAAAAGGTCTCTAGAAATCACAGTTGTCGGGGGATAAAAAGAGATCAGGGGTTACTATCACAATAAACTTAAGTCCCAAGTCCCTGAGTAGAGGTAGCAGTAGGAGGGGCAGAGATGCAACTTGATAAAGGGTAACTAACTGGGTCCTAGGAAGAATGACTTCACTGGGTTGTGTTTTCCACTTTTCAGCTGAGAAGGCACTGATTAACTCCCTCCTAGCCATTTAATTGAGTTCAGACCTGGCGGGGGGCTTACCCATCTGGAAACAGACACGGAAGAAGATTCTCACTAATCTT